>NC_000012.12:58710128-59960128 GCF_000001405.40 Homo sapiens | reverse complement strand
TGGAGTTGGATAGTGGTGGTGGTTTTGTAATCATGTAAATGTACTTAATGCTGTTTTACTGCATTTAAAAATTGTTTAAAAGGCTAATTTTAGGTTATCTGTATATTACCACAATAAAATATAAACAAAAAATAAATTATAGGCCCCAAAATTCACAATAAATTACTAGGAATATTTTTAAACCAGATTTTAGTTTTTATTAGAAATGGGGATTAAGAAACTACAGAGTAAAGCATGATTTATAGATTTCAAGTTTAAACAATTAGATGGGGCTGATTTTCAGATGCTTTTGATACATAAGATGTCAAATAAGCAGTTAGAAATGGAAATCTCAAGCTCAGAAAGGGGTTTGGACTAGACATAGTAATATAGAAATCGTTGGTATGTAGATGGTAAATGAAGCCTTGGGAATGAATGGGGTTGTGACAGAAGAGTGTGTAGGAGCAGAAAAACCTGACTCAAAGAATCCTGGGCAACATCAGCATCTAAAGGAAGGTAGTAAAGATAGAAAGGAGAACAGATGGAAACCAGGAGAATGTTTAACAGAAATGGATTGCTTCAGGGAGAAAGAGGTTAGGTAAAATTATGCTGAAAGGTCACATAAGATAATGCCTTAAGAAATGTCTTTTTATTCAGTGACAAAAAGAACATTGGTGCTTTTACACTTAGAGTGGAGTGATAAAGATTAAAATGGAATGGGTTGGAAAGTGAGTAGACAGTGAAAAATTGACAAAAAACATTTTAGATTACTCCTTAAGAAGTTGTTATGAAAAGGAACAAGAAATAGCATCTGGATTAGTAAAGGGAGTCAAGAACTTATTTTCTTTAAATGGGAAAGATTTATGCATGTGTGCATTTCATGCAAAGATGCCTGTAGAAATACAGTTTCTTTTTTTTTATTATTATACTTTAAGTTCTGGGGTACATGTGCAGAATGTGCAGGTTTGTTACATAGGTATACATGTGACATGGTGGTCTGCTGCACCCATCAACCCATCATCTGTATTAGATATTCCTCCTAATGCTACCCCTTCCTAGCCCCCGGCTCCCCAACAGGTCCTGGTGTGTGATGTTCCCCTCCCTGTGTCCATGTGTTCTCATTATTCAACTCCTACTTATGAGTGCCAACATGCGGTATTTGGTTTTCTGTTCTTGTGTTAGTTTGCTGAGAATGATGGTTTCCAGCTCCATCCATGTCCCTGCAAAGGACATGAACTCAACTATTTTTATGGCTGCATAGTATTCCATGGTGTATATGTGCCACGTTTTCTTTATCCATTCCATCACTGATGGGCATTTTGGTTGGTTCCAAGTCTTTGCTGTTGTGAACAGTGCCGCAATAAACATATTGTGTGCATGTGTCTTTACAGTAGCATGATTTATAATCCTTTGGGTATATACTCAGTAATGGGATTGCTGGGTCAAATCGTATTTCTAGTTCTAGATCCTTGAAGATTTGCCACACTAACTTCCACAATGGTTGAACTAATTTACACTCCCACCAACAGTGTAAAAGCATTCCTATTTCTCCACATCCCCTCCAGCATCTGTTGTTTCGTGACTTTAATGATCGCCATTCTAACTGCCATGAGATGGTATCTCATTGTGGTTTTGATTTGCATTTCTCTGATGGCCAGTGATGATGAGCTTTTTTTCATGTTTATTGGCTACATAAATGTCTTCTTTCGAGAAGTGTCTGTTCATACGCTTTGCCCACTTTTTGATGGGGATGTTTTTTTTTTTCTTGTAAATTTGTTTACGTTCTTCATAGATTCTGGTTATTAGCCCTTTGTCAGATGGATAGATTGCAAAAATTTTCTCCCATTCTGTGGGTGGCTTGTTCACTCTGATGATAGTTTCTTTTGCTGTGCAGAGCCTTTAGTTTAATTAGATGCCATTTGTCTATTTTGGATTTTGTTGCCATTGCTTTTGGTGTTTTGATCATGAAGTCTTTACCCATGCCTGTGTCCTGAATGTTATCACCTAGGTTTTCTTCTAGGGTTTTAATGGTTTTAGGTCTTAGGTCTTATGTTTAAGTCTTTAATCCATCTTGAATTAATTTTTGTATAAGGTGCAGGGAAGGGATCCAGTTTCAGCTTTCTGCATATGGCTAGCCAGTTTTCTCAACACCATTTATTAAATAGGGAATCATTTCCCAATTTCTTGTTTTTGTCAAATTTGTCAAAGATGAGGTGGTTGTAGATGTGTGGTGTTATTTCTGAGGCCTCTGTTCTGTTCCATTAGTCTTTATATCTGTTTTGGTACCATTACCATGCTGTTTTTGTTACTGTAGCCTTGTAGTATAGTTTGAAGTCAGGTAGTGTGATGCCTCCATCTTTGTTCTTTTTGCTTAGCATTGTCCTGGCTATGCAGGCTCCTTTTTGGTTCCATATGACAGTTTCATATAGGAAGAGAGTGCCTTGGATTGATACTCAAGATCTCTGAAAAGAGAATCAGATTCATGTCTTGGCTGACCTAAGGAGGAAGTCCACCTTCTTTATTCTAACAGGAAAAAGGATGTTATCTTAGAACTTGGAATTAAACCAAGAAGTCTGGTTGGTTGCTTGTTTCTCAGAAATCTGTAGTCATTACGATAGTACAATCAGCATCTGTTAAAAAGTATTCTGAGATTTCTAAAATAATTTTTAAATGTTTAGAATTTTAATAAAATATTTTATTTGGATATTATCAAGGTGGCTTCTGTCTAACTCATCTTTCTAGATGTTCACCATTTTACTTCCAGACACACAACATAGTTACTTGTTCTCTGGATAGGCCATATATTCATAATCTGGGATTTATTTCCTTTGCCAGACCAAATCTTTTTTTAATTAATTAATTTTTTAAGTTGACAAATAAAAATTTTATATATTATGCATGACATGTTTTGAAATATGTATACATTGTTGAATGGCTAAATCAGGCTAATTAACATATGTCTTACCTCACATACTTATATTTTGAGGTGAGAAAACTTACATTTATTCACTTAGTAATTTTCTAACACATTGTTGTTAAATACAGTCACCAAGTTGTACAATAGAACTCTTGAACTTGTTCTTTTTATCTAACTGAAAATTTGTACTTTCTGATCAATATCTCTCCAACTCTTGCCCTATCCCCAGATTCTCGTAACCACCATTCTACTTGTTCTACTTTTACAGATCCCACATATCATTGAAATCACATGGTATTTGTCTTTCTGTGACTTTTTTATTTCGGTTAACATAATGTCCTCCAGGTTCATCTATGTTGTTACAAATAACAGGATTTATTTCTTTTTTAAGTTTGTATAGTATACCATTGTGTGTTTGTGTGTGTGTGTATATGTGTGTGTATATATATATTTATTTATATTTTATCTATTTGTTGATGGGCACATAGGTGGATTCCATATCTTGGCTATTGTGAACAATGCTGGGATGAGCACAGGAGTGCAGAAACTCTTCATATATTGATTTCATTTTTTAATATATATATACCCAGTTAGTAGGATTGCTGGATCAAATGGTAGTTCTTGATACTTTTATTTTTTTGAGGAACCTCCATACTGTTTTCCAACTCCTCTACTAATTTACATTCCCAACAACAATGCACAAGAGGTTCTTTTTCTCCACATCCTCTTCAACACTTATTATCATTCATCCTTTTGATAATGGCCAATCTAACAAGTGTAAAGTGATACTTTATTGTAGTTTTAATTTGCCTTTTTCTGAAAATATGTGACTGTGAACATTTTTTTCATATGCCTGATAGTCATTTGTATGTATTCATTTGAGAAGTGTCCATTCAGAGTCTTTGCTCATTTTTACATAAGGTCATTTGGTTTCTTACTACTGAATTGTTTGAGTCCCTTATATATTTGGAATATTAACCCTTTATCAGATGTGTGGTTAGCAAATACTTTCTCTCATTACACAATTTGTCTCTTCAACCTGATGTTTGTTTTCTTGGTGTGCAAAAGCTTTTTAGTTTGATGTAATCGCATTTGTCTATTTTTGCTTTTGTTGCCTGTGCTTACAGATTCACATATGAAATATCATTGCCTAGACTAATGTCATGAAGCTTTTCACCTTTGTTCTGTGGTTATTTACTGAAGAAATTTATAATTTAAAAATAGCTTCAAGAAAACTTCATTTGTTGCATAGTTGACTTAGAAGCCCATGTGCAGGCTTAAAGGGCAGGAGAGAATCACGTGCATAGAATCCCTGTATGCAGGGATTTTAGATTACCATTTCAAAATATTTAGAGAAATAGATTGAATTATTGTTTTTAATGCAAAAAAGTAATGACATTGAATGACAATATTGACTTTTTGAGTTCTGATTTAAATTCTAATTTCAAATTGAAAGATCTTAGAGGGTAGAATTTTCTCTATTTTGAATTAAGTGGAATACACAGGACAAATATACCACATATATACAATTAATGAAATGTACAATAAAAATTAAACATAATCTTCAGAGGTAATTTCACATTTATATCAACTTCTATCACTGTAGAGTTTGCCTATTCATTTTATTTCTTTGATGCAAGGGTATTTCTGCTGGTGATTTTCACATTTCGGGTCAGTAGCAACAAGAGAGCACAAATAATAATCATTGACTCCAAAATTCCTTTCTTAGTTATTATTTCTTAATTTCTTTTGACTTTATTTTTTTTTAATTATTTTTTTTATTATACTTTAAGTTTTAGGGTACATGTGCACATTGTGCAGGTTAGTTACATATGTATACATGTGCCATGCTGGTGCACTGCACCCACTAACTCGTCATCTACCATTAGGTATATCTCCCAATGCTATCCCTCCCCCCTCCCCCCACCCGACCACAGTCCCCAGAGTGTGATATTCCCCTTCCTGTGTCCATGTGATCTCATTGTTCAGTTCCCACCTATGAGTGAGAATATGCGGTGTTTGGTTTTTTGTTCTTGCGATAGTTTACTGAGAATGATGGTTTCCAATTTCATCCATGTCCCTACAAAGGACATGAACTCATCATTTTTTATGGCTGCATAGTATTCCATGGTGTATATGTGCCACATTTTCTTAATCCAGTCTATCATTGTTGGACATTTGGGTTGGTTCCAAGTCTTTGCTATTGTGAATAATGCTGCAATAAACATACGTGCGCATGTGTCTTTATAGCAGCATGATTTATAGTCATTTGGGTATATACCCAGTAATGGGATGGCTGGGTCAAATGGTATTTCTAGTTCTAGATCCCTGAGGAATCGCCACACTGGCTTTATTTTTTTGACATTGCAAAGCAATATAAGCACATAATAGGTGAAGGCAGTATCTAGAAACCAACTGCTGCTTCGAAGCTTGTAAAATAAGAGACAGAGCTGGAATTTGAGCCCAAACAATTGGTTTGGCTTTCTCATCTATAAAGTAGGAATAATAATTTACTGCCTCAAGGAAAATCGAAAGTGTTAAATGAATGTAGCCAGTTATACAGTAAACACTCAGTACACATGAGGGGTGTTTGTCACTATGATCTTCAGCATATAGTTTTGGCTTATTCTGAGTACATTGCCTAAATCTGCTTGGTGTAACTGTAGCAATTCTAGCACTTTGTAACAGACAATCAATATTAGACAAAACTTAGAAGTATAAATAAGCACACACAGAAATAATATAAAAGAAAATATACATGTAAACTTTTGCCTAGTTGACACGGCAATGATTGTCTAAAGGGTATGTCTGATGCTGTAATATGGTTAGAGAATAAAATTGCATACGGCTTGTAAGTGGAATTTCCACTCTTTCAAATTACAAATTACTTCATCTCTGACACTTGTCACATACTATGTATTATTATTTTATTTTATTTATTATTATTATTATACTTTAAGTTTTAGGGTACAGGTGCACATTGTGCAGGTTAGTTACGTATGTATACATGTGCCATGCTGATGTGCTGCACCCATTAACTAGTCATTTAGCATTAGGTATATGTCCTAATGCTATCCCTCCCCCCTTCCCCCATGGCACAACAGTCCCCAGAGTGTGATGTTCCCATTCCTGTGTCCGTGTATTCTCATTGTTCAATTCCCACCTATGAGTGAGAACATGCGGTGTTTGGTTTTTTGTCCTTGCGATAGGTTACTGAGAATGATGATTTCCAATTTCATCCATGTCCCTACAAAGGACATGAATACATCATTTTTTATGGCTACATAGTATTCCATGGTGTATACATGCCACATTTTCTTAATCCAGTCTATCACTGTTGGACATTTGGGTTGGTTCCAAGTCTTTGCTATTGTGAATAGTGCCACAATAAACATAGGTGTGCATGTGTCTTTATAACAGCATGATTTATAGTCCTTTGGGTATATACCCAGTAAAGGGATGGCTGGGTCAAATGGTATTTCTAGTTCTAGATCCCTGAGGAATCGCCACACTGTTTTCCACAATGGTTGAACTAGTTTACAGTCCCACCAACAGTGTAAAAGTGTTCCTATTTCTCCACATCCTCTCCAGCACCTGTTGTTTCCTGACTTTTTAATGATTGCCATTCTAACTGGTGTGAGATGGTATCTCATTGTGGTTTTGATTTGCATTTCTCTGATGGCCAGTGATGGTGAGCATTTTTTCAAGTGTTTTTTGGCTGCATAAATGCCTTCTTTTGAGAAGTGTCTGTTCATGTCCTTCGCCCACTTTTTGATGGGGTTGTTTTTTTCTTGTATATTTGTTTGAGTTCATTGTAGATTCTGGATATTAGCCTTTTGTCAGATGAGTAGGTTACAAAAATTTTCTCCCATTCTGTAGGTTGCCTGTTCACTCTGATGGTAGTTTCTTTTGTTGTGCAGAAGCTCTTTAGTTTAATTAGATCCCATTTGTCAATTTTGGCTTTTGTTGCCATTGCTTTTGGTGTTTTACACATGAAGTCCTTGCCCATGCCTATGTCCTAAATGGTAATGCCTAGGTTTTCTTCTAGGGTTTTTATGGTTTTAGGTCTAACGTTTAAGTCTTTAATCCATCTTGACTTAATTTTTGTATAAGGTGTAAGGAAGGGATCCAGTTTCAGCTTTCTACATATGGCTAGCCAGTTTTCCCAGCACCATTTATTAAATAGGGAATCCTTTCCCCATTACTTGTTTTTCTCAGGTTTGTCAAAGATCAGATAGTTGTAGATATGCGGCGTTATTTCTGAGGGCTCTGTTCTGTGCCATTGATCTATATGTCTGTTTTGGTACCAGTACCATGCTGTTTTGGTGACTGTAGCCTTGTACTATAGTTTGAAGTCAGCTAGCATGATGCCTCCAGCTTTGTTCTTTTGGCTTAGGATTGACTTGGCAATGCAGGCTCTTTTTTGGTTCCATATGAACTTTAAAGTAGTTTTTTCCAATTCTGTGAAGAAAGTCATTGGTAACTTGATGGGAATGGCATTGAATCTATAAATTACCTTGGGCAGTATGGCCATTTTCACGATATTGATTCTTCATAACCATGAGCATGGAATGTTCTTCCATTTGTTTGTATCCTCTTTTATTTCATTGAGCAGTGGTTTGTAGTTCTCCTTGAAGAGGTCCTTCACATCCCTTGTAAGTTGGATTCCTAGGTATTTTATTCTCCTTGAAGCAATTGTGAATGGGAGTTCACTCATGATTTGGCTCTCTCTTTATCTGTTATTGATGTATAAGAATGCTTGTGATTTTTGTACATCAATTTTGTATCCTGAGACTTTGCTGAAGTTGCTTATCAGCTTAAGGAGATTTTGGGCTGAGACGGTGGGGTTTTCTAGATATACAAACATGTCATCTACAAACAGGGACAATTTGATTTCCTCTTTTCCTAACTGAATACCCTTTATTTCCTTCTCCTGCCTAAATGCCCTGGTCAGAACTTCCAACACTATGTTGAATAGGAGTGGTGAGAGAGGGCATCCCTGTCTTGTGCCAGTTTTCAAAGGGAATGCTTCCAGTTTTTGCCCATTCAGTATGATATTGGCTGTGAGTTTGTCATAGATAGCTCTTATTATTTTGAGATATGTCCCATCAATACCTAATTTATTGAGAGTTTTTAGCATGAAGGTTGTTGAACTTTGTCAAAGGCCTTTTCTGCATCTATTGAGATAATCATGTGGTTTTTGTCTTTGGTTCTGTTTATATGCTGGATTACATTTATTGATTTGCGTATATTGAACCAGCCTTGCATCCCAGGGATGAAGCCCACTTGATCATGGTGGATAAGCTTTTTGATGTGCTGCTGGATTCGGTTTGCCAGTATTTTATTGAGGATTTTTGCATCAATGTTCATCAAGGATATTGGTCTAAAATTCTCTTTTTTGGTTGTGTCTCTGCCTGGCTTTGGTATCAGGATGATGCTGGCCTCATAAAATGAGTTAGGGAGGATTCCCTCTTTTTCTTTCTTTATTTATTTTTTATTATTATTATACTTTAAGTTTTAGGGTACATGTGAACAATGTGCAGGTTAGTTACATATGTATACATGTGCCATGCTGGTGTGCTGCACCCATTAACTCGTCATTTAGCATTAGGTATATCTGTAATGCTATCCCTCCCCCCTCCCCCGACCCCACAACAGGCCCCAGAGTGTGATGTTCTCCTTCCTATGTCCATGTGTTCTCCTTGTTCAATTCCCATCTGTGAGTGAGAACATGCGGTGTTTGGTTTTTTGTCCTTGCGATAGGTTACTGAGAATGATGATTTCCAATTTCATCCATGTCCCTACAAAGGACATGAACTCATCATTTTTTTATGGCTACATAGTATTCCATGGTGTATATGTGCCACATTTTCTTAATCCAGTCTATCATTGTTGGACATTTGGATTGATTCCAAGTTTTTTCTATTGTGAATAGTGCTGCAATAAACATACATGTGCATGTGTCTTTATAACAGCATGATTTATAGTCCTTTGGGCATATACCCAGTAAAGGGATGGCTGGGTCAAATGGTATTTCTAGTTCTAGATCCCTGAGGAATCGCCACACTGTTTTCCACAATGGTTAAACTAGTTTACAGTCCCACCAACAGGGTAAAAGTGTTCCTATTTCTCCACATCCTCTCCAGCACCTGTTGTTTCCTGACTTTTTAATGATTGCCATTCTAACTGGTGTGAGATGGTATCTCATTGTGGTTTTGATTTGCATTTCTCTGATGGCCAGTGATGGTGAGCATTTTTTCATGTGTTTTTTGGCTGCATAAATGTCTCCCTTTGAGAAGTGTCTGTTCATGTCCTTTGCCCACTTTTTGATGGGGTTGTTTGTTTTTTTCTTGTAAATTTGTTTGAGTTCATTGTAGATTCTGGATATTAGCCCTTTGTCAGATGAGTAGGTTGGGAAAATTTTCTCCCATTCTGTAGGTTGCCTGTTCACTCTGATGGTAATTTCCTTTGCTGTGCAGAAGCTCTTTAGTTTAATTAGATCCCATTTGTCAATTTTGGCTTTTGTTGCCATTGCTTTTGCTGTTTTATACATGAAGTCCTTGCCCATGCCTATGTCTTGAATGGTAACGCCTAGGTTTTCTTCTAGGGTTTTTATGGTTTTAGGTCTAACGTTTAAGTCTTTAATCCATCTTGAATTAATTTTTGTATAAGGTGTAAGGAAGGGATCCAGTTTCAGCTTTCTCCATATGGCTAGCCAGTTTTCCAGCACCATTTATTAAATAGGGAATCCTTTCCCCATTGCTTGTTTTTGTCAGGTTTGTCCAAGATCAGATAGTTGTAGATATGCAGCGTTATTTCTGAGGGCTCTGTTCTGTTCCATTGATCTATATGTCTGTTTTGGTACCAGTACCATGCTGTTTTGGTTACTGTAGCCTTGTAGTATAGTTTGAAGTCAGCTAGCGTGATGCCTCCAGCTTTGTTCTTTTGGTTTAGAGCCCGGATTCCCTCTTTTTCTATTGATTGGAATAGTTTCAGAAGGAATGGTACCAGTTCCTCCTTGTACCTCTGGTAGAATTTGGCTGTGAATCCATCTGGTCCTGAACTTTTTTTGGTTGGTAAGCTATTGATTATTGCCACAATTTCAGAGCCTGTTATTGGTCTATTCAGAGACTCAACTTCTTCCTGGTTTAGTCTTGGGAGAGTGTATGTGTCGAGGAATTTATCCATTTCTTCTAGATTTTCTAGTTTATTTGCATAGAGGTGTTTGTAGTATTCTCTGATGGTAGTTTGTATTTCTGTGGGATCGGTGGTGATATCCCCTTTATCATTTTTTATTGCGTCTATTTGATTCTTGTCTCTTTTCTTCTTTATTAGTCTTGCTAGCAGTCTATCAATTTTGTTGATCCTTTCAAAAACCAGCTCCTGGATTCATTAATTTTTTTAAGGGTTTTTTTTTGGTCTCTATTTCCTTCAGTTCTGCACTGATTTTAGTTATTTCTTGCCTTCTGCTAGCTTTTGAATGTGTTTGCTCTTGCTTTTCTAGTTCTTTTAATTGTGATGTTAGGGTGTCAATTTTAGATCTTTCCTGCTTTCTCTTGTGGACATTTAGTGCTATAAATTTCCCTCTACACACTGCTTTGAATGTGTCCCAGAGATTCTGGTATGTTGTCTCTTTGTTCTCGTTGGTTTCAAAGAACATCTTTATTTCTGCTTTCATTTCGTTATGTACCCAGTAGTCATTCAGGAGCAGGTTTTTCAGTTTCTATGTAGTTGAGTGGTTTTGGGTGAGTTTCTTAATCCTGAGTTCTAGTTTGATTGCACTGTGGTCTGAGAGACAGGTTGTTATAATTTCTGTTCTTTTACCTTTGCTGAGGAGAGCTTTACTTCCAACTATGTGGTCAATTTTGGAATAGGTGTGGTGTGGTGCTGAAAAAAATGTATATTCTGTTGATTTGGGGTGGAGAGTTCTGTAGATGTCTATTAGGTCCGCTTGTTGCAGAGCTGAGTTCTATTCCTGGGTATCCTTGTTAACTTTCTGTCTCATAGATCTGTCTAATGTTGACAGTGGGGTGTCAAAGTCTCCCATTATTATTGTGTGGGAGTCTAAGTCTCTTTGTAGGTCACTCAGGACTTGCTTTATGAATCTGGGTGCTCCTGTATTGGGTGCATATATATTTAGGATAGTTAGTTCTTGTTGAATTGATTACTTTACCATTATGTAATGGGCTTCTTTGTCTCTTTTGATCTTTGTTGGTTAAAGTCTGTTTTATCAGAGACTAGGATTGCAACCCCTGCCTTTTTTTGTTTTCCATTGGCTTGGTAGATCTTCCTCCATCCTTTTATTTTGAGCCTATGTGTGTCTCTGCACATGAGATGGGTTTCCTGAATACAGCACACTGATGGGTCTTGAGTCTTTATCCAATTTGCCGGTCTGTGTCTTTTAATTGGAGCATTTAGTCCATTTACATTTAAAGTTAATATTGTTATGTGTGAATTTGATCCTATCATTATGATGTTAGCTGGTTATTCTGCTCATTAGTTGATGCAGTTTCTTCCTAGTCTCAATGGTCTTTACATTTTGGCATGATTTTGCAGTGGCTGGTACCGGTTGTTCCTTTCCATGTTTAGTGCTTCCTTCAGGAGCTCTTTTAGGGCAGGTCTGGTGGTGACAAAACCTCTCAGCATTTGCTTGTCTGTAAAGTATTTTATTTCTCCTTCACTTATGAAGCTTAGTTTGGCTGGATATGAAATTCTGGGTTGAAAATTCTTTTCTTTAAGAATGTTGAATATTGGCCCCCACTCTCTTCTGGCTTGTAGAGTTTCTGCCGAGAGATCTGCTGTTAGTCTGATGGGCTTCCCTTTGTGGGTAACCCGACCTGTCTCTCTTGTTGCCCTTAACATTTTTTCCTTCATTTCAACTTTGGTTAATCTGACAATTATGTGTCTTGGAGTTGCTCTTCTCGAGGAGTATCTTTGTGGCATTCTCTGTATTTCCTGAATCTGAATGTTGGCCTGCCTTGCTAGATTGGGGAAGTTCTGCTGGATAATATCCTGCAGTGTGTTTTCCAACTTGGTTGCATTCTCCCCGTCACTTTCAGGTACACCAATCAGACGCAGATTTGGTCTTTTCACATAGTCCCGTATTTCTTGGAGGCTTTGCTCCTTTCTTTTTATTCTTTTTTCTCTAAACTTCCCTTCTCGCTTCATTTCATTCATTTCATCTTCCATCACTGATACCCTTTCTTCCAGTTGATCACATCGGCTCCTGAGGCTTCTGCGTTCTTCACGTAGTTCTCGAGCCTTGGTTTTCAGCTCCATCAGCTCCTTTAAGTGCTTCTCTATATTGGTTATTCTAGTTATACTTTTGTCTACATTTTTTTCAAAGTTTTCAACTTCTTTGCCTTTGGTTTGAATTCACATACTATGTATTATATCTTATTAGGCCATTATCATAGACTGCCAAGTAGGCAGCAAAATACTCAATATTTTTCTAAAAAGGAGCATAGCAAAGTAAGCATTTACCATTTGCAGAGTAATATATGTATTTCACTAAAATGCAAGGAGGGAAATTAGTTGTTATTCTAGGTATCAAAGAAGGACAAGTATGGGATCTGCCTCAGTCTTTTCAATAACATATGAAACAGTATGGGGCACTGGAATTTGCTTTTTGCTGGCTGAAAATTCCCTTTCCCTGATATAACACTTTTTATAACAATGGATTTCTTATTCATATTCAAAGTCATCTTCATCCTCTTATACATCTTTTTTCTTTTAGAGACAGAGCCTCACTCTGTCACCCAGACTGGAGTGCAGTGAGTTGCACAATCACAGCTCACTGCAGCCTTGACCTCCCAGGCTCAAACAATTTTCCTGCTTCAGCCACTTCAGTAGCTAAGACTACAAATGTGTGCCACCATACTACACTAATTCTTAAATTTTTCTTAGAGACGGGATCTTGCTATGTTGTCCAGGCTGATCTGGAACTCCTGGCCTCAAGCAATCCTCCTGCCCTGGCCTCTCAAAGTGCTAGGATTACAGGCATGAACCATCATGCCCACTTTATGTTTTATATTTTTAATAATATTATCTGTTCTAGTTATAGTCTCTCCTATTATTTTTGCTTTAATTTTTTGTAAGCAAAACATGAAAAATAAAAAGCAGGCATTATCAGCTTCAAGAGGGCAGAACATCTTGATGATAATGCCATTTCTGGGATAACACATAATGAGGAAACATACATTTCTTCACTGTTTTAATCCCTTGTATTCAAAGAGTGGATCCATTTGGTAGAACGATACCTATTTTTTCTGTATATAAATATTTTCAGAGGGACAGAAGAAATAAATTAATACTTTTCAGTAACTACTGTGTGTTGTATTGAAGCACTTGGATAGTTTCAACCAAAATGATGGGGAAAAGTGCTGACCTTTTAAGTTAATATTGTTTAGTAATCAATTTAAAGGGTCCCTGGTAAAGAAAACTACATAAATTGTATTGCTACAGACAAACTCTAAACATCAAATTTGTTACAATTTAAACGTGATTTTAGTCTAGATTTGGAAAAGTATGGAAAGAGAGAGAAGAACTTTACAGTAGAAAGACCTGACAAGTTACTTCAGCCAGGTGATTAAAGTCAACAACAGTGATAAATCATGTTGACAGAATATACCCTTGATGTAATGTATGATGTCAATTCGTCTTTGTGGTCTTCCTCACAATAACCCAGAAACCCAGTCTAAATACCTATTCAGTACTCCTCCACTGCTGAGGTCTTCAAAAAGAATGAGAACCTGAGAAGCTGTCACAGTCAAGAGTCTAAGGAAATACGAAAGCTAAATGTAATGTGGTATACTAGATGGGATCCTGAAACCTAACAAGGGCATTAGGTAAAAACTAAGAAAATCTGAATACAGCATGGACTTCAGTTAACAATGACGTATTAATATCACTTCAGAGTAGTGACAAATGTGCAATACTGATGTCAACTTTTAATAATGAAACTGGGTGTAGGAGTACATAGGTACTCTGTGTACTATCTCTGCAACATTTCTGTAAATCTAAAACTACTCCAAGACAAAAAGGTGTATTTAAAAAGTCAATCTTACTTTGTGATTAGTTACCCTTTATAAAAATATAGATGTCATTTTTCTCCTTTCAAAATATGTTTTGCATTTAGGCAACTCCCTAGAAATTTTCAATAGAATGCCATTTTTACACATAAGTATATGAGTATATCAGTCATGCAAATGAGTAAAAGCCATAAAAAACATATTAGCTATGGCAGAAGTCTTTGCAAGTCTTCTGTATCTGCAGCTCATGTAGTGATAACCCAAGAAATAAAAGAAAAATAAATTCCAGAGGTCTGGCGCAGTTGCTCATGCCTGTAATCCCAACACTTTGCAAGGGCATGGCATGTGGATTACGAGGTCAGGAGATCTAGACCATCCTGGCTAACATGGTGAAACCCCATCTCTACTAAAAATATAAAAAAATAGCCAGGCATGATGGCGGGCACCTGTAGTCCCAGCTACTCAGGAAGGTAAGGCAGGAGAATGGCATGAACCCGGGAGGCAGAGCTTGCAGTGAGCCAAGATCGCGCCACTGCACTCCAGCCTGGGTAACAGAGTGAGACTCCATCTCAAAAATGCATACATACATACATACATTCCAGAATCCTCTAGGCCATTAATTGTTCTTGGTCATCATAACTGAAGAATATTCTAAGAGTCACCCAAGATTGTGTAGCGGTTTCTTGCCTACTGAATGAATTCTTTTGGTAGGAAGGTCTCCCATAAGAACTTTAATCATAGAACAACTGTATTAAACATCTAATTTGCTGTTTAGAATCTACCCATCTAAAATTAAAAAGGTTGTTTGTTTCACCTACCCCAGACATTCCATAAAAAGAGCAAATAAATATTTCAAAAAATATTATTAGCAGCTAAGAGAAGTTGACCCATCATTGAGAAATGAACTTCTCATTTAATATAATTATTTACAATTGCTGATCCTTGTCTCTTCAGCATTGTTTTGAAGGTGATTTTTGCCTTTTGTTGGCTTGTGTACAGCAGAAGTATTAAATCCTACATGGCTTAATGTATGTTCTGTCACATAATAGGGCTGTGGTCCTGTTTTCCAAAGTACAGTGCTCTAAGTCTGTTTTCTCCTCTTTAAGAGAAGAAAATAAAACTTGCCTCATAGAGTTGTAAAACATAAATAATATAATGTGTATTTTTACAGTTCCAGGCATAAGATTGTTGTTTGGTAATGACATTGAAATAGTTGCTTGAAATAGGAGAGGCAGGATAAGATTATTATTTAAACTTGATATTTTTCAATAGAAGATTTTTCTAGAATACAAAAATAATTATTCAATATTTTCCCTCCATCCATTACCTATAAGGATAGGAGTACATATTTCACTTAGGTCAGAATGAAGAGCCCTTCTTAAAATCAAATTATTTGCAGATTCCCATACAATAATAATTTGATAGACATTAATTATGATGTATATCTCTTGCCTCAGGAACTATTGATGTAAACAATATCTGTTGAGAAATTAAACATCTAAAAATCCCAAGTATAACTTTATTCCCCCAATACAATATCATACTCACTATTTAAGTGAAAAAGATTTAAGGAAGTGCCTTTGTTTTCTTACTGCTATTGTTTACATACACTGATACTGAGAATTATCCTAGGTATCATCTTTCTGATATTTTCATAAACAAAAAAATAATGAGTCAAGTGTGAATGTCACTCTTTGAGACATTCTGCATTATAAAAAAAAAGACCCAGGAAAATCAAAGTAGCACAAAATTCCATTCTGTGTTACAGATGAAACACATCAAATGTTGACACATGAAATACACAGTAAAAGACAGCAAATAAGCTCTGCAGCTTTAGTCATTGTTAGATGCACATTAGAATTTGTGACAGATACTGATGGTTACAGCTGTCTCTGATATGCCTGGTTATGTAAAACAGGACATCTGTATATGGTCCATGTTGCCTGTCAATCCTTCTAGAGGGCCATAAACTGTAAATTCATAGTCTGGTGCTGCTAAAGCTTATGAGGCTTGAGAGAGATCTATAAATATAATACCCAACCAGGAATAATGGCTACCTGGCCAACATAAATATACAAATGATGCTTTCCCTTGAGGACCTCACAACCATTTTGCTCCAATATGGTGGTCACGAAATTGAATAAAAAAATAGAATTACAATTTTATTTTATGGTAGCTTACCATTTTTGTGTTTTTGCCCAAAATAAGACTGCTAATGGAACTGTGGTGATCTGGTTTGAAATTTGAGGATGGAAGCTACAACCACTCTTAAGAATGGGGCCTGGTAAAATAAAATGTCAGTTAGGAGGCAGTTCTTGCAGAATATGAACAGAACAAAAGGCACACATATATGAATCCTTGTCATATGAAGTATGGCAGATTCATTGTGAGAACATCTTTAGCCTTTTACATACTGTAGTCACAATACGTTTGGTGGCCTGTGCCCAGAAGCCTATTACCTGCCCAAGCCAAAGGAGTCAGAATTCTTCTGGCATTCTGTCCTGGGGTAGTCAGCCAGGGAGAACTCCATCAATCACTTGGTAACAAAAAGGATCTGGCAGGTGTCAGGGACTCCAGAAATTACCTTCCTTTTTCAACCAAAGAAAAGAAAAAGTAAATGAAGATGTAGATTAGCTGTTGTGCTATTAAGTTGCACCTTGAATACAATCCTCAGCAGGTGACTGGGAAATTAGCAATACTTCTGATGGGAAGCATTGTGAGAGGACAAGGATACAATTAAATTCTAGGTGAAGAAGTCTTAGAAGGCACTGGCGGAGAAAGAGGCAGGGTAGGAAGTGAGCCCTAAAGGATGCTTATGACTCCCAAATCATTCTCCTTGGATGTATGCCTTGCCTAGTGGACATCCCCACCTGAGTAAACTGCAGAATAAACTACAGGACAATTCAAAGGAGTTATTCTCTAGGCTAAACCAAAGTACATTGTACCTTTATCAAACCACACTGCACTTGAATTGCAATTGAATGCTTACCAACAATCCTCTCAATTACAAACTAAGCATCCCTGAGTCTTAATCATTTCTGCATCCCCCGTGCCTAAGATTGTGTTTAATTTTTTAAAAATTGTCTATTTGTAGAATATATATAAAACATTGAATTAAAATATTAATGAAAGGATGGATAAGATAATCCTGTTTTCTCATTTCTCAGATATATTTTAAACAAATTTAATACCAAAATTTATTTTACTCATTAAGATTATGAATGCAGACATTCTGGCACTCTAGAGTGTTTGAATTGAAAAATGTAAATATTTCATTCTCCAATTGCAGAGCCTACTAATGTCAGAGAGGCCTGAATGCAACAATGAATGGGTTTTTCAATTTGCATAATATGATTGAAAAACTAGTAATTCTTCTGCCACTTTTCCTGAACTCTTTCATGTTAAAGATATTTTGCAAAAAAAAAAAATTGTATTAATACAACTTAGGGTACCCCTTGGAAATCTGATTTGTCAGGAGCCTATAAAAGTCATTGGCTAGAAACATACAAACAGTAATTGCAGTAATTGCCTTTTCTGTTTGTGTTAATCTACAGCTTTATAGAAATTTTTTAATGAAACATTTAAATCAGCTGTAGATTTTCAAATGTTGGTTATATATAGTCTCTTAGATTGCTGTTGATCATTCTATTCCATATATAATAAATATTAGTCTGCATAGATCCATTGCATCTAATTACTACATGGCTACAAGTTATTCTTTCCTATGCTCCTATTTCTTCATGACATTTCTCGTATTGTTATAAATTCCCTTGACTATATATTTCATCCTTCTGCCTCCAAAGAAGGCATGGTGTCATATGGTCTCCTATTACCTCACTACTTCACATAAACTTAATTGGAATGTTAAGTATTCGGTGTGCTTAGACCTCATTATTGATATTAAAATATTTTCTTGTAATTCACTTACACTGATAAACATTTTAGAGATAAATCTTTCAAAAATATATGAATCACAGAAGACAAGCCAGTCTACTTAGTCCAAAACCTGAGAATAGCAAATAAGTACACAATGAGGGACAATTTGCTTCTCTGTTTTGAACTATTTTTAGAGTACTGATAATTTGCGAATGAAATCTTTGGAAAAACTGTGACCATGTCTCATTTCTTCTTCTAACCCATAAATGAGACCTATGAAGACAGTTGATATTTTTTCATAAAATCTTAAATGTATCTTATTTTTCCTTTTGGATATTGCTAAGTATTCTTGTTTACCGTTTAGCCAGAATCTAAACATTGCTAACCTTCCTGATGTCACCCAAGCAGTACCAGGGAATCTTTAAAATACTCCAAAGAGAAAAGCAGAAGAGCACTTACACATACATAACAGGTGTTATACAGGCAGGCACTAATTGTTACATAAGATACCTGCCACTCTCCTGACAACATAATGTCCTAAGCAGTTGTGAAATATAGCACATACTACTTAAAAGTTATTTACCCTGGATTTCATTTTACCATGTAACAAGAAACACTGAAGATCATTTGCCATTACAATTTAGAGTGCACATGTACTTTCTTTTATTAATAATTCATCCCAAAGTCCACTGCTCAAGGTTGGAATTATGGGAACAAAGCTCAGGAGTTAAATGCACAGCAGAGTTATTCAGGACAGTTTTATCAGCTATAGCTATTGCTTTAGACTTTTCTTATACAAAACACTGGATGATCCTAAAACATTTTCAGGTTAGAGACCAGTTTCAAAATACTACCATTTGTATTCTGGTGAACCAAATATTAAATACAGAGATGATAGATGGTATTCAGGAGATGTAAGACACAACTTTTAGCAAAAGAAAAGAAAAACGTGCATAAAATTGAGTATTACATTTCATCAGTTTATACCTTCTCAGTCATCAATTGGTCTTTAATGAAAACTAATAAAATTATGAACCAAAAATTATGTAATATTTTAGGAACAATAATTATGTGTTAGGTAAATAAAAATTTGGAATTTCTGAACAAAAATATTTGCAGAGAATGGCACTAGCTAACGTGATGTCAATTGCTGCAGAATGCAGGAGCTGTCATACATCGCATAGTTAACATTTTTCAAATTCATGGACTTCTAACAAGATTGTAACCTTCAGACAACATTTAAAACAAATTCTATTTTTCCTTCTGCACACAATTTATCATTTTCTAGAAAATGTGTAGTTGCCAAAAAAAGGATTTTATTAGAAGCATTCAGTGAAATAGAGATGTTGTAGACTTTGGGAAGAAAAGAAAAAGATGAAGTTCGAAATAATAATATCCCTTGGGTCAGGCATTTCCTGTCAGTTAATGAATAACTGGTTTAGAGCACCCCAAGGCAAAGCTTACTTCTTAAACAGCTTTGTATAGAGCTGATAAGAGTTTTTATATTGACATTTTCTGTGGTTTCCCACTAGTCTCTTTTTAAAGTCATGGTTCCTATTGATCCACATCCCTATGTTCCCTTTTAGATATTCTTTTCAAGAAATATGCTTTCATAAATTAGTAAATATGTGCACAGAGAGAAAAACATGACCTCAGGAAAATATCATGTGGCAACGGTCACAGGTCTAATGCAAGACGTCTGCCATTCTCTGGAGAATGAGGATTGAAAGAGGAGGGAGTGGGGAAGAGAAGTAGTAATTCTGCATTTCTAAACCAAGAGAAAAAATGTATGTATTTTAAAAATAATGGCATTTTAAATTTTTCATGTATTACTTCATAAAAAGGATTTGGGGTTAATTGAATGGGGGGATTTGGGCACCATGCCAGCTGTTCTCTTTATTATATTTTCATATTTTTAATTAGCTGCAAAGAAGTACAAACAAGCTTTTCTGAAATACTTGGAGAAATTTACCATGGAGGCTAATTTGTTGATAATAACATCCTGAGGCTACTAAACAGGCTGTTGATCTGGTAGAGTTTAAAATCTTTCTAAACTTTGGGGTAAAATATGAGAATTATATATTTAAAAGAGATATTAAGGTTATTCTAGCTCAGATTTTCATTTACAGAAGGGCAAATTAAGCTGAAGAATAATCAGCTGACTTGCCTAAATAAAGTCAAAAATGTAAAAATACCAAGCTGTGAAATTTCCAGGTATCAGTCAGCAGAGTGATTGCCTGTGCATTATTGTTAAAAGTTCAAATCATTGCCAAAGACTCAAAGATAAGATTACGTTGCGATGTAAGTACCACTTACCCAAGGAAGCAGGTCTTGCAGCATGGTCTTCCTGTGCCCACAACAAAGATAACTGACAAAGTAAAAAGGTTCAGCATCTCCAGTAATGGCCCCATAGGGGACTGGAAGACTGATTCATAGATTTTAAGCTAGTTAGTAATATCTTTCTTATAGACCAGTGTTTTATAATATACATCTTATCACAAAAGTTGCATACCTAGCAAATCAATCAAATAATACATATGTAAATGCATATGCACATAAACATATGTAAACAAATAAATGTTTTCGGTATTTTTGAAACCCCTGCCTAACTAAGTTGAAGAAACATTCCAAATTATAACCATCCTAGGAGATTTACACTGAAATATTCATTAGAACATCTGAGAGTTTCTGCAGTTATTAAAGGGTTTGTGAATTCTGAAAAAAGAACTTACCTGCCGCCTCTCCATTCTTGCACACACAGATTTTAACCTTGTTACACTCAGTTTCCTTCACTTATGCTGACCTACAAACCGTTTTAGTTATGCCTATTAACATTCTGTAGAAATAGTGTCCCCAAGAGCATGTTTTAAAACATAAAGTCTTAAGCATTCACTCTCATGCATAGAGCAATTTGGGTTGAAGAAACAAAGAGATACAACATGAACTAATGCAGTGAACACCATATGTTCTAGGTCTTTCTTCTATATTAACCCTTCTTAGCAAGCAATTCTCTTCCTGAAGAATTACATCAGCTTTATATGCTGCTTTTCTTGCTCAGAAAGAAACCACTCAGTTTTTGTTCATGCCTATACAGCTGAGGGGGGAGGTATAACATAGTTATAACAATAACAATTAGTGTGTACAAAGAGAAAAACCAACTTGGCTGACTGATAGAACCAAGCTTCTAAGCCTTGGGTTTCTCATGGAGGTTAAAATGTTTGGGTACAATTTTTGGAAATTTCCTTGTGGATGATACAATTTAAAATAATGATCTGGAATTCATAGGAAAAAATTATTGTGAAGATTAAACCAGATACTGTGTGCAAAGTTCTTAGCACAACACCATATACAAAACACTTGTTAACTTTTAGTGCCATTAACAGAAATGTCTATTCACAAACTAAGATGTAACACAATGTTTTTACTTTTATTAAAATAATTTTATTTCCCTTTTTTTTGTTTGTTTTGAATACCTGCCTCCAGTCCTCATGAGCCAGCATGACAATGCATTTAACATCATCGATCTCCGTGGTTAGTTTACATGGTGTTGCCACAGTCCTCGTATTTAATCCCATACAAACGCTTGAGTGAGAGTTCAGTGGCGGGAGGCATCTAGTGCTTGGTTTGCCTTTCACATAGGCTGCTGTCGCCGAAATATCCATCTATTTTTCTACACTCCTTCAGTTTCACTGATTCTATTGCTGTTTCTATGTAGTAAACAAAACTTGAAAATGACTATATTGCTACTTTATGCCAAATATTGGACTTGAGAATCCCATCTGACCTGAAATATTACACAATTCTCTCTCTCTTGGGTCTTGCCGTTCCTATGCCACTATAACTGGTCAGCAGGAAACAAGAACAATTACTTGCAGAACTCCCAGATACACCTCAGTCTTCCTCCCTTCCCTCTCTGTCCCTCCACCCCTCCTTTCCTTTCTTTCCCCTTCCCTCCTGCTGTCTTCTCTTCTCTCCTCTCTTTCTTCACAGTCAGAGAAAAATCATCTTGCTAAACAATCTGTTGGAGACTGATTTGTGCCCTCTGTTTTCCACAAAGATAGTTTGTCTGTATCTAAGAATTCCCCCTGAGTCTTTTGAAACCAAAACAACTAAACAGAGAAACTTCAAGGAAAATTTTATTTTTCACCCCGCTGCCTCCTCACATGTTATTTTACCCAAATTGTATATAATAATTATTATGGAAATGTGCTTATAATAATCAGAAACTCCCTGGAGATTTGAGTTCCAACACTGACATGCCTTTTCAACTAGATTCTATTTCATTGTAGGTACCAAATCTACCCAGTCCTTTTTCCTTGTAAGAGCTCCTACTTAAATTTCCATTTAAATTTTTATTTAATAGCTGTATTCCCACTTAGTTGTGTTCTTTCCAATCCTAAAATTATTATTCAACACCACTCTTAGATTTCTAAGAAAAATAAAAAAATTTCAGAGAAGATGAAAATCATTTTCCTGGTATCATGGTATCATGTAAATATAAAAACCAGGAGGAAAGTTAGAAAATATAATCCTAATTGGTTTCCAAATTGGACTAGACCAAAAGAGCAGATGACAATCTTAGAAGGACAAGGAATCAGAGTCAAGGGCTGAGGAAAGGAAACACAGGAGTAGTCAAGAATAAGCGAATTTGGAAATCTCAGGCCTCAGTAAAAGTCTTACTCTTCATGTTCAGAAATACATAATTTTTTAAATTGGATCAAAGCAAAGAAAAAAAGGACCAACAACGAAAAATCAAGCATGTAATAACTTGGGCCACTCTCTAAGACAGTGAGATTTCCCAATGGTAATTTTTATGTTCCAGTCACTGCACATTACAGGGGTAGCAGCTTCTTAGCTTCAGTATATTCAAAAATAGTGATGAGGCCTTAAACATATGCCAAAGTCCCTATCAGTGCAGCAAGAGATATCACCTACTCCAAAAGGAAAATATCAAAAAGAATCCCAGGAATGTAGCCAGGCATTTGGCCCTTTCCTTGCATAGCATCTTGTTTCATTTTTCCACTTGAACACACCACCACTGTCTCCAGTGTTCTAAGCTTACATGTGAGGTGGGTCTTAGAAAGTCTGAAAATTCATGACAGTGGTGGAGTTTAGCCTATCTATGTTATATAGCCCAAAGGCTTACTTTTATATCCAGATATTTTTAACTCTTGGTATTAAAAAACTTTGTTGTTTTTGTTTGCTTGTTTGTTTTTTGAGACAGGGTCTCGCTCTGTTGCCCAGCCAGGTTGGAGTGTAGTGGTGTGGTCACGGCTCACTGCAGCCTCTATTTCCTGGGCTCAAGTAATCCTCTCACCTCAGCCTCTGGAGTAGCTGAGACAATAGACATGTGCCACCATGCCTGGCTAATTATTGTATTTTTTGTAGAGATGCAGTTTCACCATGTTACCTAGGCTGACCTTGAACTTCTAGGATCAAGCAATCCACCCACCTCGGCCTCACAAAGTGTTGGGATTACAGGGGTGAACCACCACACACCTGGCCTATAAGAAATCTTTTATAAGCCTCAGAATACTGGAAAGGAACTGAAACTATAGTTTGATAAAATCTCTCTTATTTATTTATTCTGGATTGGAGCCTAGAAGTCGACCTTCAGGAATCCATTTTGTAGACAGGTATTTTACCTTTTCAGAAACCAGACACCAGGCGATGAAGTGTGGTATTTTGGTAAAAATGACAATCACCAGGCTGATATCAGAGGCATTATGAATAAATTTTAATGTCATTGTACTTCAAATGGCTTTTTGTAAGGAGATTAGAACAAACTCTTTGTGGTTGAGTCTAGTCCTTATCTCAGATACAGGTGTCACAAAGAGTTGTGCCTTATTTCTATAGTTAGGTTTAAAGATAAAAAATTGCTATTTACTTTTCATTTATCCCATATGAGTTACTTGTTAGACTGGCTGTTTTGTTTTGTTTTTCTCCTGTTTAAGTTCTTTTGTATTAACTGAGCTTAAACAAATATATTTTATTTCATTTATTAACATTTATTTGTAACTGTTTATTATGTTAGTAGTTAACCTAGGAATTTATAGTATGTGTCTTATAACAGTGAACCAAGAATTATTATGTACTTCTTGTATAATGTAAGAAACTAAAATGGTATTCTTCCATTTACACTGTTCCCACATTTTGAGCTAATTTTGTCACACATTTTATTTCTACATATCTTATAAAAGCCACAACATATTATTTTTATTTAAGAGGTTTCTTTGTTAAGAAAGAAGAAAAATTCATTTTATATTTAACCACATATTTTCTATTTGTGCTGCTTTTTATTGGTTTCTGTAGATGTAACTTTCTCTCTGGTATCATTTTTCCTTCAGTCTAAATTTCTCTAACCTTTCCTGTATAGTTCTATTGATGATAAGATTGCTTAACATTTTTTTAATCTAAAAATTTTCCATTTTTCCTTCACATATTAAGTATGTCTATATAATATAGAGAATTCTAGGTTGATAATCATTTTTTTCTTTCAGTGCTTTAAAGATGGCATTTGTTCTGTTCTAAATAGTTTGCCCTATTTTTAAAAAAATTTATGGGGACATAGTGTTTATGTATATTTATGGGGTACACAATATTTTGATAAGGCACCAATGTGTAATAATCACATAAGAGTAAATGGGATATTTATCATCTCTAGCATTTATTCTTTCTTTTTGTTACAAACATTTTAGTTATACTTTTCTGGTTATTTTTAAATGTACAATAAATTTTAAAGACTGTCATCACTCTGTTGTGCTGTCAAATATTGGCTCTTATTCATTCTATCTAACCATATTTTTGTACCCATTAACCATCACACCCACCACTGCCCTTCCAACCTCTGATAAGCATCATTGTATTCTCTTCTTCCATAAGTTCAATTATTTTAATGTTTAGCTCCCATGGATGAGTAAGAACATGTGAAGTTTGTCTTTCTATTCCTGGCTTGTTTCACTTAACATAACGTCCTCCAGTTCCATCCATGTTGTTGCAAATGACAAGATCTCATTCTTTTTACTGGCTAAACAGTACTCCATTGTGTATATGTACCATATTTTCTTTACTCATTCATCTGTTTCAAATATTGGCTATTGATAATAATGCTACAATAAACATGGGAGTGCAGATATCTGTTTGATATACTTATTTCCTTTCTTTTGGGTACCTACCTAGCAGTGAAATTGCTGGATGATATGGTAATCCTATTTTTAGTTTTCTGAGAAACCTCCATACTGTTCTGCATGGTGGCTGTACTAATTTACCTTCCTACCAAAAATGTATGAAGGTTTTCTTTCTACACATCCTTGCCAACATTTGTGATTGCTTGTCTTTTAGGTAAAAGCCATTTCAACTGGAGTGAAATGATACCTTATTGTAGTTTTGATTTTCGGTTCTCTAATGATCAATGATGTTGAGTATTTTTTATATGCATGTTTTACATTTGTCTGTCTTCTTTTGAGAAATGTTTACTCAAATCTTTTACTCATTTTTAATCCGGTTATTAAATTTTATCCTACTGAGCTGTTTGACCTCCTTACATACTCTGGTAATTAATCCCTTGTCACATGGGTACTTTGTAAAAATTTTCTCCCATTCTATGGGTTGTCATTTCACTTGTTGATTGTTTTTCTTTGCTGTGCAGAAGGTTTTTAACTTGATGTTATCTCACTTGTTCATTTTTGATTTGGTTTCCTGTGCTTGTGGGATATTACTCAAGAAATGCTTAACCAGACCAATGTCCTGGAGACTTTTCCCAGTTTTTTTTTTGTAGTAGTCTCATGAGTTGAGGTCTTAGATTTCAGCCTTTAATTCATTTTGATTTGATTTTTGTGTATTACAAGAGATAGGGATGTAGTTTCATTCTTCTGCATATGAATATACAGTTCTCCCATTACTACTTATTGACAAGACTGTCCTTTCCCCAATGCATGTTCTTGGCAGCTTTGGTCAAAATAAGTTCACTGTAGCTGTGTGGATTTCTTTCTGGGCTGGCTCTTCTGTTCCATTGGTCTACGTGTCTGATGTTATGCCAGTACCATGCCATTTTGTGTTGTATAATTTGCAGTCAGATAATGTGATTCCTCGAGTTTTGGTCATTTTGCCCAGGGTGTTTTTGGGTATGCTGGATCTTTTGAGGTTCCATATAAATTTTAGAATTATTTTTTCTATAAGAAGAATTATTTTTTCCTGAAGAATGACATTAGTATCTTGATAAGGATTGTGTTGACTGTAGATTGCTTTGGGTAGTATGAACAGTTTAACAATATTGATTCTTCCAATCCATGAACATGGACTGTCTTTCCTTTAATGTCTTTTTCAATTCTTTACATCAATATTTTATAGTTTTCATTGTAGAGATAATTCACTTCTTTGCTTAAGTTCATTCCTAGGTGTTTTATTTTATTTGTAGCTATTGTATTGTAAATAAGATTACTTTAGACCAGGCACAGTGGCTCATGCTTGTAATCCCAGCACTTTGGGAGGCCAAGGTGGGCAAATCACCTGATGTCAGGAGTTTGAGACCAGCCTGACCAACATGGAGAAACCCCGTCTCTACTAAAAATACAAAATTAGCCGACCATGATGGCACATGCCTGTAATTTCAGCTACTTGGGAGGCTGAGGCAGGAGAATTGCTTGAACCTGGGAGGCAGAGGTTGTGGTGAGCTGAGATCCCACCATTGCACTCCAGTCTGGGCAGCAAGAGCAAAACTCCATCTCCACAGCAACAACAACAACAACAACAACAAAAGATTACTTTATTGATTTCTATTTCACATTGTTCATTGTTGGCATATAGAAATGCTGCTGATTCTTATATGTTGATTTTGTATTCTGCAACTTGACTAAATTTATTGGTTCTAATAGTTTTTTGGTGGAGTTTAGTTTTTTTCAAATATAAGGTTTTTTATATGTATATATGTGTGTATATATATGTGTGTATGTGTGTGTGTATATATATGTGTGTATATATATGTGTGTATATATGTGTGTATATATATGTGTGTATATATGTGTGTATATATGTATATATGTGTGTATATATGTATATATATGTGTGTGTGTATGTGTGTGTGTGTGTGTATATATATATATATATATATATTCAAGGAAAATTTAACTTCTTCCTTTCCAATTTATGGGCCTTTTATTTATTTCTCTTGCCTAATTGCTCTAGCTAGGACTTCTCATACTATGTTGGATAACAGTGGTATAAGTGGACATTCTTATCGTGTTCTAGATTTTAGAGGAAAGTCTTTCAGTTTTTCAGTTTTCAGTTTTTCCTCATTCAGTTTGATACTAAATGTGTGTCTGCCATATATGGTATGGCATAATATGTTGGGGTGTGTGCCTTCTATACCCAAGTTTTTGAGGATTTTTATCATGAAGGGATGTTGAATTTTATCAAATGCTTTTTCAGCATCAATTGAAGTGATTATATGGTTTATGTACTTCATTCTGTTGATACATTGTATCACATTCACTGATTTGCGTATGTTAAACCATCCTTGCATCCCTGCACTGAGTCCCACTTGATCATGACGAATGACTTTAATGTACAGTTGAATTCAGTTTGCTAATATTTTGTTGAAGAATTTTTTCATTAATGTTTATCAGAGATATTGGCCTGTAGTTTTCTTTTTGAATGTGTCTTTGTCTGGTTTTGGCATCAGGGTAATACTGGCCTGATAGAATGAGTTTAGAAGTACTCCCTCTATTTTTCAGAATAGTTTGAATAGAATTGGTATTGATTCTTCTTTAATTTTTTTGCAAAATTCAGAAGTAAAGCCATCAGGTATCAGGCTTGTCTTTGCTGAGAGAATTTTTATTATGGCTTCAATCTCATTCAATCTTGTTACTTGTATTGGTCTATTTAGGCTTTCAGTTTCTTTATAGTTCAATCTGGTAGGTTGCATGTGTCTAGAAATTCATCCATTTCTGATTAGCTTTTCCAGTTTATGGCCATATAGTTGCTCATAACAATCTCTAATGATCCTTCAAATTTCTGCTGTATCAATTTTAATGTATCCTTTTTCCTCTCTGATTTTATTTATTTGAATCTTCTCTCTCTTTTTTTGGTCTGACTAAAGGCTTGTCAACTTTGCTTATCTTTTAAGAAAACTTTTGATTTTATTGACCTTTTGTATTTCTTGTTTCAATTTAATTTATTTCTGCTCTGATCTTTATTTTTTTCATTCTACTAACTTTGGGTTTGGTTTGCTCTTGCTTTTCTACTTCTTTAAGATGTGATATTAAGTTGTTTACTTAAAGTTTCCTACTTTTTCAATGTAGGCAATTATTGCTATGAACTTTCCTCTTAATATTGCTCTATCCCATGAGTTTTGAAATGTTGTTTCCATTTTTGTTTGATTAAATAAATTTTTAATTTTTAAAAATTTCTTTACTGACCTACTGGTCATTTTGGAGCATATGATTTGATTTCCATGTGTTGTATAGTTTCCAAGTTCCTCTTGTTTTTGATTTCTAGTTTTATTCCATTGTGATCACAGAAGATATTTGAAATGATTTTATTTTTTAAGTTTTTAAGATTTGTTTTGTGTCCTAAGTCTATTATTAGGAACCATCCTTGTGCTGAGGAGAAAAGTGTGTGTTGTGCTGTGTCATTGAATAAAATGTCCTGTAAATATCTGTTTTTTCCATTTGGTCTATAGTGCAGTTTAAGTTTGATGTTTCTTTGTTGATTTTATCTCTAGACGGTCTGTCCAATGCTGAAAATGGGGTATTGAAGTCTCCAGCTATTATAGCTTTGGGGTCTCTCTTTTAGCTTTAATAATACTTGCCTTATATATCTGAGTGCTCCAGTGTTGAGTGCATATATATTTACAATTCTTATATAGTCTTGATGAATTGACCCCTTTATCCTTACACAATAATGCTTTTTGTCTTTTCTTATGGTTTTTGTCTTCAAATCTATTTCATTTTACGAAATTATAGCTTCTCTTGTTCTTTTTTGGTTTCTATTACCACAGAAAATCTTTTTCCATTTCTTATTTTCAGTGTATTTTTGTCTTTATAGGTGAAGTATGGTTCTTGTAGGCAACAGATAGTTGGGTCTTGTGTTTCATTGTTTAACCCAGTCAGCCACCCTATGTATTTTGATTGGAGAGTTTAGTCCATTTACATTCAACGTTATTATTGATAAGTAAAAACTCACTATTGCAATTTTGTTATCTGTTTTCTGCTTTTTGCATGGCCTTTTCTTCTTTCTTTCCTTCCTTCATTTCTTTCTTTCTTTCTTCCTGTCTTCCCTTTTGTGAAAGAAATATTCTCTGGTGGGATGTTTTAGTTTCTTGCTTTTTTGTGTGTGTGAATTCATTATAGGTTTTTTATTTCAGCTTACGATGAGGACTGCAAATAACATCATATAATTCATTATTTTAAACTGATAGCTAAACTCTGATTCCAAAAACAAATAAAGAAACTAACAAACAAGCAAAGAAAACCAATAAAAACTCCACTTTAAGCTCATCTTTCCTGCTTTTTAACTTTTTGTTGTTTCTATTTCTATCTGATTATATGTCTATGTCCTGAAAATTTTTGTCACTATTTTTGTTAGGTTTATTTTTTAGTCTTTCTACTCAAGATGCAAGTAGTTTACACACCACAATTACAGTGTTATAATATTCTGTGTTCTTACTATTACCAGTGGGTTTTTTACCTTGAGATAATTTCTTATTGCTCATTAAAGTCCTTTTCTTTATGATTGAAGAAGTTTCTTTAGAATTTCTTTTAGGACAGATCTGATGTTGACAAAATTCATCAGCTTTTATATGCCTGGGAAAGTCTTTCTTTATGTTTGAAGGATATTTTTAATGGGTATAATATCCTATGATAAAAGGTTTTTTTTTCAACACTTTAAATATGTCATGCCACTCTCTTCTGATAAAGTTTCCGCTGAGAAGTCTGCTGCTGGATGCATTGGAGATTCTTTATGTGTTGTTTCTTTCCTCTTTCTACTTGTATGAAACTTTGTTTATTTTGAACTTTGGGAGTTTGATTATTAAACATCTTGAGGTAGTCTTATTTGGGTCAAATATGCTGGTTGTGTCATAACTTTCTTGTACTTAAATATAGATATTGTTCTCTAAGTTTTTACAGTTTTGTTATTTATTGCTTTGAATAAACTTTCTAACCAAATCTTTGTCTCTATCTCCTAGTTAAGGCCAATAACTCTTAGATTTGTCCTTTTGAGGCTGTTTTCTAGATCTTGTAGGCATGCTTCATTTTGTAATTCTTTTTTATTTTATCTCCTCTGACTGTGTATTTTCAAATATCCTATCTTCGAGCTCACTATTCTTTCTGCTTGATCATTTCTGCTGTCTAGAGACTCTAATACATTTTTCATTTTGTCAATCAAATGTTTTAGCTTCAAAATTTCTGCTTGAGTTTTAAAATTATTTCAATCTCGTTGTTAAATCCATCTGACAGGATTCTGAATTCCTTCTCTGTTAATTTTTTCTGATCTTCCTCAAAGCAGCTATTTTAAATATTCTGTGTGAAAAGTCACATATCTCTGTCACTCCAGGATTGGTCACTGGTACCTTATTTAGCTCATTTGGTGAGGTCATATTTTCCTGAGTGGTCTCGAGCTTGTGGATGTGCATCAGTGTCTTGTCATAAAAGAGTTAGGTATTTATTTTAATCTTTGCAGTCAAGGCTTCTGTGTACCCGTCTTTCTTGAGAAGACTTTCCAAGTATTCAAAGGGAATTGAGTGTTGTAATCTAAGTCTTTGGGAACTGTAGCTGTATCTGCATTAGGTGACACCCCAAGCTCCATAACTGAGTGACTCTTGCAGACTCATAGGTGTGCTGCCTTTGTAGTCTCGGGTGAAATCTAGGATAATTCCCCAATTGTCTATCAGAGACTCTTGTTCCCTTCCCTTACTTTCCCCCAAATAAACAGCATCTCTTTCTCCATGCTGAGCTGCCTGGAGTTGGGAAAAGAGTGGCACAAGCACTCCTATGACTACCACCACTGGGAATGTTCTGGTCACACCCAATGCCAGCACAGTACTGGTTCTTGCCCAAGGCCTGTAACAACTATTACGTAGCTACTGCTGATGGTTATTCAATGCTTAAGAGTTCTTTAGTCAGCAGATGGTGAATCTAGCCAGGCCCATGTCTTTCCTTTCAGGTTATTGGTTTCCTTTCTGGACTGGAGTACATCTAGAAATGCCATCTAGGAACTAGTAGCTGTAATCAGGAATTTTAGGAAACTACTTGGTGATTTAATTTACTGTGGTTGAGCTGGTACCCAAGTTGCAAGACAAAGTCTTTTTTACTCTTCTCTCTCCTTACCTCAAGCAGAAGTCTTTCCCCACAGCCACTACCAACCCAGGCCAGTGGTGACTGTTGTGTGGCTACAACTGATGTTTATTCAAGGCTGAAACAGTCTTTGATCAGCAGGCGATGAATCCTGCATCTCTCCTTTCATAATAACAGGTTCCTTTCTGGCCCAGGGCAGGTCTAGAAATGCCATCCAGGAGCTAAGGCCTGCAATCAGGGATTTTAGGAGTCTGTGTGATGCTTTATTTTACTGTGGCTCAGATGGTATCCAAGTTGCAAGACAAAGTCCTTTTTACTCTTCTTGCTCCTTTTCTCAAGTAGAAGAACTCTCTCCCCATGGCCAACACAGCTGGCAATGTGCTTGGTCACACCTGAAGCCAGCACAGTACTGGATCTCACCCAAGGCCTGTGGTGACTCCTGCCTGGCTACCACGGATGTTTATTCAAGGCCCATGGCTCTTTAGTCAGCAGGTGTTGAAGCCTACCAGATGTGGGTCCTTCCCTTCAAGGCAATATGTTCCTTTCTGACCCAGGGTGGGTCTAGAAATGTCATCCAGTAGCTAGGGTCTGAAATGGGAGATTCAGGACTCTGCCTGGTACTTTATTTTGGTGTGGTTGAGCTGGTATCCAAGTTCCAAGGCAAAATCCCCTTTACTGTTCCCTCTGCTTCTCTCAAGCAGAGGAACTGCAAGCTTCATTGCCTAGGGTCTCCCTCAGAACTGCAAGCTTCATTGCCTAGGGTTGGGATGGGGTCATAAACTGACTCCCTTGGCTACTCCAGATGGTGTCTCACTGGATCACATACACCCCAAGCCCACTGGGTCCAAGCCTAGCTGAGCACTAGGAGTTGCCCAGGAATTGCTTTCCTTGTGGCCTAGACTGCCTTTCAAGATTATTTAGAACCCCAGAGCACTTTAGCCTTAGGTGACGGGGCTAGCCAGAACTCAGGTTCTGAATGCTGGGATGGGCAGTTCTTCTCTGGCTAGGGCTGGTCTTACATGCTTCCTCTGGTCACTAGCTGAATTCTGCCTTGTATTATTTTCTGCTGTGAAGCGGCACCCCTGAGTTCCAATGCAAAACCTCACAATCGCTTTACTTCCCCTTCCCCAAGCACAGAGTTTCTCTCCCCACCGCCCTGCCCTTCCATGGCACAAAGCTGCCTTGAGATGCAGTAGTATAGGTGATACAAGACTGTCTTTCTTACTTTTTTCAATGTCTCTCTCCTTGATATGATATTAAAACCAGGTAATGTGATCACTCACCTGATTTTTGGTTCTTATGAAGATGCTTTCTTGTGTGGATAGTTGTTCAATTTGGCATTCCTGCAGATGGGATGATTGCTAGAGGGTTCTGTTCAGCTATCTTGGTCCTTGATGTTGGTCTTAATACTATTATTATCATGGGTAAGCAAAAGGGAATTCAGAGAAGCTAACTACCAAAGTTACAAAGTTAGTTTCAGAATTAGAATTTGAATAAATTCTATCTTATTTGAAGCCTTTTTTTCTGTCTACTGAAATAGTTACTTCTCTATTAGATAGATGTTCAACAATATTTGCTTAATTAAATTAAAATGTTAATGTTTCTTTATAAGTAGAAGCTGAGCAACAGTGTAAGTCTAAACTTAGTTCATCTTCTTTTCTCCAAAAATTAATTACACTACTTTTCCCAAGTTTTGGCAACCATTTTCATGACTTAATATTATTTAGTTTTTCTGATTTTATTGCACAATTTTTTGTTGGTACAGGATGTGAAGCTAATGAGTAAGAGAGACAGGCTTTGAAGTGTCAGATACGTCTCAATTCTGAATCATTGAGTCAGTAAGCTAGTCAATTTTTAAAAATAATAACAAAGTAGAAAAAAATTAAAGTGGAGAAAAGGTCAAGAACATTTTTTTCTTCATGAGTTATACTTGCTTCTAAATGGTTTTAATGAATCATTTCAAATTTGAACAAGAAACAGGAGTCTGTTAATTAGAGATTTGGATTTAATGACATGGTTGCATAGGTATGGCACACAGAACATCTGTGTTCTAGTACCTAAGATTAATTTAATTTCTTTACAGGAGTCATTTATGTTTTTCTTCATTTTTAATAAATTGTTTCACTGCTCAAAATAACATCGTAGTTGTGAAGTCATTGGCATCTACACAGACAGAATGCTGTGAAGCTGACTCCACAGCCTTCACTTAACAAGTTCTTCATTCTCATAGTGGATCATATGCAAAAATAACAAGAAAATAAATGAGTTCTGAATTATGAAAGATACTACATTCTTTGTGCCATGTGAGGAGATCTAAGTATTAGTAAGTTTAATAAGTCATACACTATCCAATTGTAAAGTACTAGTTTAGGATTGGATCTTTTTTAGGTTTCACTTTACTTATTCTTTGCACTATTATACTTGTGAAACACAAGATAAGAACCAGTCTTATGAGTCTTATCCTTGCTGTCTAAGAAGTTTATTTAGATAAATAAATCCAGTTTTTTTACTCTCATTTAAAATTTAACTAAAATATACATACATATTTATTGGATATTTACCACGGATCAGACCTTGGGTAAAGCACTTTACATATTTTATTTGGTCCCACTCTCCACATTTATGGATGAGGAAACTGAGACTCAGTAAGGTTATAATAACTTGCTAATAATCACAAAGTTAACAAATGACAGAGCTGTATTAAAAGCAAGAATTTTTTCTAATCTGAGCCTTTGTTCTTTTTTTTTTTTTTTTAAGGTTTTTTTTCCCCCCATAGGTTATTGGGAAACAGGTGGTGTTTGGTTACATGAGTAAGTTCTTTAGTGGTGATTTCTAAGATATTGGTGCAGCCATAACCCAGGCAGTATGGACTGCATGCTCTTTGTAGTCTTTTATCTCTCAACCCCTCCCTACCCTTTCCCCCTGAGTCTCCAAAGTCCATTGTATCATTCTTATGCCTTTTTATCCTCATAGCTTAGTTCCCACTTATGAGTGAAAACATATGATGTTTGGTTTTCCATTCCAATCTCATCCGGGTTGCTGTGAATGCCATTAACTTATTCCTTTTTATAGCTTAGTAGTATTCCATCATATATATACACACACATATACATACACACACACACACACACACACACACACACACACCCCCCACAGCTTCTTTATCCATTTGTTGATTAATTGGCATTTGGGTTACTTCCACATATTTGCAATTGTGAATTGTGCTGCTATTAACATGTGTGTGCAAGTATCTTTTTTGTATGACTTCTTTTCCTCTGGGTAGATACCCAGTAGTGGGATTGCTGGATTAAGTGGTCACCTACTTTTAGTTCTTTAAGGAATCTCCACACTGTTTTCCGTAATGTTTGTACTAGTTTACATTCCCACCAGCATTGTAGAAGTGTTCCCTGTTCACCACAGCCAAGCTGACATCTATTATTTTATTTTTGGATTATGACCGTTCTTGCAGGAATAAGGTGATATAGCATTGTGGTTTCGATGTGCATTTTCCTGATTATTAGTGATGTTGAGCATTTATTCATATGTTTGTTGGCCATTCATATATCTGCTTTTGAGAATTGTCTATTCACATCCTTAGACCACTTTTTGATGAGATTGTATGTTTTTTTCTTGTTGATTTGAGTTTAAATCAGTAGCTCTTCTATATATCAACAGCAACCAAGTTGAAAATCAAATCAGGAACTGAACCTCTTTTACAATAGCTGCAAAACAAACAAAAAAACACTTAGGAATATACCTAACCAAGAAGGTGAAAGACTTCTACAAGGAAAACTATGAAATACTGCTGAAAGAAATCATAGACAATACAAACAAATGGAAACACATCCCACTCTCATAGGTGGGTAGAATCAATATTGTGAAAATGACTACATTCCCAAAAGCAATCTACAAATTCAATGCAATTCCCATCAAAATACTACCATCATTCTTCACAGAATTAGAAATAACAATTATAAAACTTATATGAAACAAAAAAGAGCCCACATAGCCAAAGCAAGACTAAGCAAAAAACAAATCTGGAGACATCACATTACCTGGTTGCAAACTATACTATAAGGTTATAGTCACCAAAGCAGCATGGTATTGGTACAAAAATAGGCATGTAGACCAATGTAACAGAATAGAGAACCCAGAAGTAAACCCAAGTACTTACAGCCAACTGATCTTTGACAAAGCAAACAAAAACATAAAGTGGGGAAAGAACACCCTTTTCAACAAATGGTGCTGGGATAATTGGCTAGCCACCTGTAGGAGAATGAAACTGGATCCTCATCCCTTACCTCTTACAAAAATCAACTCAAGATGGATTAAGGACTTAAATCTAAGACCTGAAACTATAAAAATTCTAGAAGATAACGTTGGAAAAGACATTGGGTTAGGCAAGGATTTCATGACCAAGAACCCGAAAGCAAATGCAATAAAAACAAAGATAAATTGCTGGGACTTAATTAAACTGAAGAGTTTTGCACAGCAAAATGAACAGTCAGAAGCGTAAACAGACAACCCACAGAGTTGGAAAAAAATCTTCACAATTTATACATCTGATAAAGGAATAATATCCAGTATCTACAATGAACTCAAACAAATCAACATGAGCCTTTGCTCTTAACTTCTAAGTGCACGATCCTTGAGAAATGTATTCCACTTCGAGTGAGGGCTCAGTAAATGGAACAATTTCTATCCATTTATGTTACACAAGTCCACTCACTATAGAATTCAGAACTATTCAACTTTCTTAGGTTTATCTCAGGACCACTCTTTGGGTTCAACTTTTAATACATGTTCCAAAAGTCATGAGAAGTTGGGCCAAAATCAATATGTTCAAGAGAAAGGCATATAGGGCTATAGGGCAGACACTGGGGCCTAGACAAGTTTTCCCCACATTTGAAGTAAAACACCCTCTGCTCTCAGGAGGGAGTGATGGAAACTTTCTCACAGTCTCTTAATAGGCACCCAGGAAAAGTAAGACACTCTCTAGGGTCAAGTGGAGTGCTAGAGAAAGTGGTTTGTTGCTTTAAAATGCAGACAGTTTGCTGTGAAAAGGAGAGTTAAAAATGCAGTCTTCATTACTCTCCTGGTGGTTGGGACCCATGTGGTTCCTGAAAACGTGGATTCCAATACTTCAAGAAAATATTGCTACTTGAAATAATTTTATATTTGCAAAGAGGTGTTGTACATATAATAGAATGGAAGATCTGGTAGAGAGCAAAGGTCTGGAGGAGAAGTGAATAAAATGAACTTGGCAAGACATGAGGATATGATAATTCAGTTTGGGAGACCAGGGGCAATGGCAGAGCTTATGCAGCAGAGTTCTTGGGAACCAATGTGGAGATAAAGAAAGTGGAGTGGCACTACTGTGTATCTACCCAAAGGAAAAGAAATCATTAAGTGAAAAAGAGACATGCACACGCATGTTTTTAACAGCACAATTTGCAATTGCAAGGATGTGGAACCAAGTGCCCATCAGCAAATGAGCAGACAAATAAAACGTGGTACTATGTATACCATGTACCATGTATACCATGGAATTCTAAGCCATAAAAAGCAATGAAATAATGTCTTTTGCAGCAACTTGGATGGAACTAGAGGCCATTATTCTAAGTGGAGTAACTCAGAAATGAAAAACCAAATATTGTATGTTCTCACTTAGCTAAACTATGAGGATGCAAGGCACAAGAATGATATAATGGACTCTGGGAATTTGGGGTATGGGGAAGGTTGGGAGGAATGTGAGGGATAAAAGACCATATATTGATCACGGTGTATACTGCTCGGGTGATAGGTGCAGTAAAATATCAGAAATCACCACTAAGCAACTTATCCACATAACCAAAAACCACCTGTGTGCCCAAAAACTATTGAAATAAAAAAAAATTAACAAAGTGGAGTGCTAAAGAAAGCAATAGAAGGCTGCAGTGCCCCAGGTAGAGCCAGAACACACCTAAAGTGGAGCAAGGCTCTGAGATGGAAGTCTGAGAGAATCTTTTCTTAGCACCACAGGGGCCCTTAGAGCATTATGTTTCCATGTGAGCAGTTTTACTGGCATCTTGAAAAGAGTCTACAAGTTTTTCATTTTGTATGATTTGTTTTCTACACATGAGAAGAAACAGCAGAGGCACAAAATTACCATAACAAAATTTTTTTACTAATCACAAATTAGTAAAGGGCAATGATGTGTACACTTTGGGGCCTTTTATGGCCTCTTTTTAAATTTTATTTTAGGTTGAGGGGTACATATGCAGGTTTGGTATATAGGTAAACTCATGTCATAGGAGTTTGTTGTATAGATTATTTCATTACCCAGATACTAAGCCTAATACCCAATAGTTGTTTTTTCTGATCCTCTCCTTCCTCCACCTTCCACTCTCAAGAAGGTCCCGGTGTCTGTTCCCTTCTTTGTGTCCATGTGTTCTCATCATTTAGCTCCCACTTATGCATTATTCAGCTTTCTGTTCATGTACTACTTTGCTAAGGATACTGGCCTCTAGTTCATCCATCTTCCCACAAAAGACATGATCACCTTCATTTTTATGGCTGTGCAGTATTCCATGGTATATCTGTACCACATTTTGTTTATCCACTCTGTCACTGATAGGCGTTTAGGCTGATTCCATTTCTTTGCTATGGTGAATGGTGTTACAATGAACATTAGTGGGCCTGTGTCTTTATGGTAGAATGGTTTATATTCCTCTGAGTATATACCCGGTAATGGGATTGCTGGGTCAAATAGTAGTTCTGTTTTTAGCTCTGAGGAATCATCAGACTGCTTTCCATGATGATTGAATTGTGGCCTTATTATCAATCAATTGTCTACTGGCTTTAATCATCATATCTTTGGGAGCTTATTCTATCAGGGACTACTACAGGCAATGGTATATAATAATAACTAAGTCATGCTGCCTTTCTGCAGAGCCTCACAATTTAATAAGAAAATACATTTGCAGACATATAATTATAATACAAGAGTATGTACCCAATGATAGAATTTCAAGGAAATTACAGAAGAAAAGTAAAAGACATCACATTAGTGGTTTAAATTGTGCTCTAGAAACTTCCAATGAAAAAGTTTTAATCTTTTTATTATAAATATATATTACAAACATGTATTTTTAGGTGTTCGATATGTGTACATGCATTTCAATTATCATTCTTTTTTATGTTCAGATCATCCTATTTTAAACCATCAAATCAGGTCATAATCAAACAGTCTGAAACCCTCCTTGCTTTCTGGCAGAAAACAATTTTCCAGGCTAATTTAGCATTTTTGTTACAACACATTTGAAACAAGCAATTTTCAATGGAGCCCTGAGAAATGTCTTTAGAGATCAGAATTTGGGCATTAGTGTGTTTATTGCTGCAGTATTAACATTGTTTCCAGGACTCTTCAGTGCATATAGCTAGTAAATGCATAACAAATCAAAGTTTCATGCTATTACTTCTAATTCAAATTTTACATTATGGCGTTTTGAGTTAATTTCTTTCTTTTTTCCTTATCTATTTTTTTAGGTTAGAAGTATTGGTTCTTAGTAGCATTGTTGCGACTTCCCTACTTCTGATGTTCAGAGGGAGTGGTTCCCAGTGATGACTCCAGCAAGCGCAAGGAAGTGAAACAGCCCTTTTACTCCCACCACCAGCAGTTTGGCAAGCTGGAGCGCTACAGTTCCTGTACTCCCACAATTTGGCAAGTTCTGAGTTCTTTTCCCACCACCAAGAAGAATAAGGCACTCAAACACCAGAGAGTGAGTAAGGCAGAGTAGGAGTTATTAAGCAACAGAAAAAGCTGTGAGAATAGAGGGGACCCTAAAAAGGGTTGCCAGCTGTGGGGCTAAGTTCAGGGTTTTTATGAACTGGGAGGAAGAAGTAGTGTACTGATTTGTATGCAGGCCATTTTGGAAAAAGCACCACTCAGAAAGAGACACAGTAGAGCAAAGAATAAACTGGAGACAGAAGTGAAGACCTGACCCTCAGCCAATCAGGGACTGGAGTGACATTTCACTCTATACAAATGAAGACTCCGCCCATGGCCAATCAAAGAAAGGTAGGTATATCTAAAATAGGTGAAAGCTAAGGACCAATTGGGTGGAAGTGCACCAAATGGGAGTGAGAGTCCTCACTTCAGTCTGTTGATTCTATCCAGAACTGGCAGCTTGGTTTGCAGGCCTTAGATTGTCCTTGGCTTGAAGGTGAGGAGTTTCACTGAGGAGCCTTTTCTGCCTGCCTAGGAATTCACCTGCCTCCTACCACTATCAGCATTGACATATTTGCTTTATTATACAATATTCCTGTATTAGGTTCAATATAGCATTACCAATATTGTTACCAATAGTAAGACTACCGAATAGAGTTTATGATATTTCTCTTTCTTTCTCTTTCTCTTAATTGTAAGGATTATGGTCAAAATCCTGTGTTTGGCAGACAAGAATTTTGTCATTAGTGATTTGAAGAAATTGGGTAATTTCTTCCACAGCTGACATGGAAAATCTGGTAAAGTTTTTTAAAAAGATGATCAATTCTGCTTCTGCTTAAGGATTTGAAAAAAATGTTATTGCTTTCATTACACAGGGAAAGTCTAGATGATGTACAAAACCATAACTTTTTTGGAATCTATCAGAGAGCTGAAGTCCCAAGGCAGCCAAGTAAACTAAATTCAAATGTTTAATGAGCTATTCAGAGGAAAGGCAGCACAGGAATAGTATTAGTTTTTCCAGAGACTAGGAGGAAATGCTGGTTATCATATGAGTAGTTAAGGAAGAACACAGCTACAAATGTCAATGGATTCTTGAGTGTGAGCCTGCATGAGTTTACAATCCTTGGGAACCTTAGACATGAGAGGAGTCCACAATTACAGGTATTTTCTATAGACCTCCATCAGATGGTTCAGAGAAGGATCAGAGACAGTCTGCACTAATGAGAGGGTACCCTCATTGGTACACAAGCACAAAATCGCTCCTACTTCACAATTCCTTTTTTATAGGAAACAATGTTAAGCTACTTGAGAAAGGATAGGAAAGCTTCCTGACCCATCCCAAGCAAAGGTAATTTGCTTCTGAGGGTGAGGAGGAGCAAAGTTGCTGGCCTCTGTGAGATTTGTGAATTGGCGGCATGCTGGACTGAGCTTTTTCCCCAAACTGCAGAGAATACTACCCCAATTATCATTAGATTTGAATTGAAAAATAGTGGAAACTTTGATGTCTTGAGGTGATAAAGACCAGAAATTGGAGGTGGAAGAACAACTGGAAATTTAGTGAAGGGACTCTGGAAATAAGGGGATCATGGATACAGTCACATGAACCTCAGAGTACAGTTCTACCTAAATAATTGACCAATTTCTCAACTACATAGGCAGAAAGAAGACTTCAGGGGCCAGGTAAGAAAAATAGCAGCAAAAAAGCCAAAAATTTGTCAGAGATATTAGCTGCTGCAGATTGCCATGTGTGGCTCCAGGCAAGTTAACTTTCTAATAGAAAAAAAATTATATATATATATAATATATTTGTATATATGTGTATATGTTTGTGTATATATACACACTAATTCCAAAGGTATTATATAATTCTAATGTTCAGTGTTCAAATAGGACATGTAATAAAACAAAAGTGTAATACATCTTTGGGAGTGGGGTAAGGGAGAAGGCAGTCAATAGACATGGGCCCCATGTATTGGATTTGTTAAACAAAGAGCTCACAGTATGTAATATAAATATACTTTAAATTAAATTATTTTATTAATAAAGAATTTATGTAGAAAATGGAAATTATATAAAACTAAAGATTCTAGAGCTGAAAACTATAATATCTAAAATAAAAAATTTATTAGATTGACTCAAAAGCAGATTGAAGTGAGCAAAAGAATCCATGAAATTAATAGACCCATTGAAATATCTAGTATGAAAACAGAATAAGATACTGAAGCTCCAGAGACCTGTAGTGTAATACCAAGAAGCCCAACATACTTCATATCCTATATGTAAACATTCTTCAACAATATTAGCAAATTTAATCTAGCAATGTACAAAACAGTAATACATCAGGAACAAGTGGGGCTAATCCAATGAATGCAAAGTAGCTTAACAGAACAATAGGATAAAGAGAAACAAAATTATACAATCACTTAGATACAGAAAAAAGACTGACTCATCCGTGATAATAAACTATCAGCAAACTAGAAAAAGAAGAGTATTTGCTCAGTCTAATAGAGGGCCTCTGTAAAGAGCCTACAGCTAATATTATACTTAATGCTGTAATATTGAATGCCTTCTATTTAAGAAAAAATAAGATCACCACTTCTATTCAGCATTTTAGGAGAAGACTTAGCCAATGAAATAATAAAATAAAAAGAAATAGTCTATAGACTTGAAAATAAGTAAAATTTTATTTATTCACAGATAGCATAATCACTTACATAGAATGCTCAAATTATTCTATAAGATACATACTAGAACTAAGGAGTCAATTAAGCAAAGTCACAAGATACAAAGTCAAAATATTAGCTGCAAAAAATTGGGAAATAACATTTAAATAAATACCATGTACAATACCGTGGAAAATATAAAGCATGTAAGATTACATTTAATATAAGGTGTACAAGATTTGTACAATGAAAACTAATATATCAAAACAATGTAATCAGTTGGAATTATATAAAATGTTCATTAATAAGAAGAATTAATATTGTCAATATGGCCAGTGTGCCAATATTGATTAACAGACTCAATACAATCTCAGTAAAAACACAGCAGGCCTTTTCATAGAAATTGAGTACTTTATTCTAAAATTTATCTGGAAATGCAAAGGACCTAGAATAGCCAAAGCAATTTTGAAAAAGAGCAAAAATTTGGAGAATTAACATTGCCATATTTCAAGACATATTCTAAAGTTCCAGAAATCAAAGTTTGGTATTCATATAATGATAGATATATAAATCAGTGGAACAAAATAGAGCCCAGAAATAGAATCACACATACAAGGGCAAATAATTTTCAACAAAGATGACAAGGTATTTAAATGGAGAAAAAATAGCCTATCCAGTAAATAGTGCCAAAACAATTAAATCTACCTGTCAAAAAAAGTAACGTCAATCTGTACCTCAAACAATATAAAAACAAAAAAATTAAAAATGGATCATATACCTAAATGTATGGACTGGAATAATACAATTTTTAAAATAAAGCATAGAAGAAAATCTTGATTATACCTTAAATAAATATTCAATAGATAGGATGCAAAAAGCATAAGCTAGACCAAAAAAATTAAAATTAAACTTTATAAAACTAAAACATCATGCTAAATGAAAAAAGAAAACAAAAGATAACATACTGATTAATATATTTACATAAAATTATATGAAAGGCACAGTGACAGAATTGAGGCTTGTAAAAAACTCAGGAGAATTTTTTGAGTTGGCAATAGTGTATGTATTCACTGTGGTGGGGTTACATGACTATGTACATATGCCAAAAATGATAAAAATCTACATTTAATTTTAAAATGGGTGAGTATTATTTTAGGTAAATTATACATCAGTAAAGCTACTGAAAAAATTCTGTGTATTAGAATTACTTGAAATAATGTTTTTCTATTTTGTTGAAATACCATCAACTTCATAAACAATAAGATGTTTTGATTCAGTATGGTTTTTTATGAATTTTCCCACAACTTTGGTTTAACTTTGTTTCTTCCTAAGTTACAAAATGCATTTACATAAACTGAAAATGAAAACTCTGAAACAATTTACATTCACAGAGGCATTGTTTTTACTCTGCACCTTTCACACTGAAGGGTCAATTATTAATGATTTTTTGTTTACTATTCCATCTCTTTTCAGATAAGCATTTCAAATCCCCTTTCATTACTCAGAAGGTAGACTACTAGAAACAATATTTACCACCTGCTATTTTTACCTAATAAAATGTGCTGTAGATTACTCCACTTTAGTGGTATAGAAATGTTTGTTATTGTTTTTTAACTGTGTATTATACAAATAACAGCCTTGAGGGGTGGGAGGGAGGGTGGACAGAGAACAGTATTTGGAAACTGGAATAAGTTTTCTGACTAGCTACGTAGGTTTTCAATGAGAGTATAGTTATATCACTTTTAATTTGAAGTTTGGGAGAGGAAAGGGATAAAAAAGGGCTTATTTTATTATTTTTCATATTAGGTAACAAAATAACAGATATACAACTCACAACATATTGATGTAAATGAACCAATTACAACACAACTACAAATTTTTCTAAACACCAACATATAAAGAGTATGTTTTTAAGCCTTTAGTCCAGTAATCTTAACTAATAGAAATATATTCAAAATACATGATTGGCAAAAATACAAAATGATATTTGTGTGAGGCTCATCTTTGTGCCATTATTTGTAATAGCAAAAGACTGAATGCATCCTAAAAGTCGGTCAATGTGTCAGGACTCGTTGAATGAATGATAATATATTAATATATGGGAATATCAGCTATGGTTAAAAGGGATAAGAAACATTTCCATATACTTAAATGGAGCAATCTGTAGCATATTTCTTTCACACAGTTTTTTTCTGCCAAACGAGTCTGGTTCATCTACTTGTAATATAACCAACGAAAACACACAAAATATTAGTTTCTATTGGAATATCATTTAGATAGTATTTTGAGACCCTGTGAAGTTAGGCTAATTCCTTTACTGCGCAAAAGACCATAGTGTGGCATGGTCTTACTACACTTTATCCATTAATTAATTTTCTTAATTATTCATTTAACAATCATACAATGTAGTGCTAAACAGAACTTAGAATTTATCTAGCCCTATCTCTATTTTATGGATGAACAACCTGAGAACTGAAAGTTGAACCACTCACTCTTCTACAACATTTTAATTTAAAAATTATGTCTAGAAAGAATCAACATGCTTTAATAAAATGTATATTATAAATGAGACTCATACTCCAAATTAAACTACATAAATTTTCAGTTTAGAAAGCTAGGCTTCCTTAAATTCACATCATATATTGAATTTCATTTTTAATATCTACCATATTTTTATACATATATATGGTATATAGATGTATATATTATAAATATGGCATATATATGGTGTATATGTGTATGATATATATATAGTATATATATGGTGTGTGTGTGTATATATATATATATATATATATATATATATATATATATATATGTATATGATGTGTATATAGATATGGTGTATATATGCCCAGGTTCTTCAAAGAATAAAAACATGTGCTTTGAAGAATGAAAGCATTACATCAACCTACATTTGTACGTTTTTGATATATAGATAATTTTACAGTGGACAGAAACAAAACAACAGAAAATATTGCTAACTTTAGGTAAGATAAATCTTTCTGTATCCTGGGTCTGTCACATCTTAACTATGTGAATTCAAATGATTAGCTTCCTTTCTAATCTATTTTTTTCCATCTGTTAAATGGACACTTTGTAGCTGTATTAGAGAGTTAAATCAGGTGATACATACATAGTATGAATTTCAGTTACAAACTCCAGTGTACAAAAGTGAATTTATACAAACATCTTTATTCCACTAAAATGATAGTATATAATCTCAGTTAGTTTATATCTAGCCTTTTTCCAAGATCCTGTTTAATTTTCCAGGGATTTACACTGTATCAATTCATAGACCACAGTTCTATTAGGTTGGTGCAAAAGTAATTGTGGTTTTTGCTATTAATAGTAATTAGTAACCCCACAATTACTTTTGCACCAACATAACATCAGATCCTTAATTGTCCTTGGTGTCTCTTCTACTCTTAGATTGCGTAGCTCTTACTATTAATTCTACTTATTCTATTAATGTAAATCATGATACTCCTGGTATATTAGGACCATCTAAGGCCACATTATGAGCCATCACCTCATCATGCATTCATTTTGTATTATATCTACATCTAGGTATATAGACATAAATTTAGATAGATTGTCTACCCAAAACTCTATAAAGAAGGAAGTACAAGTTCCTTCTGCTCTTTTTTATTTTTATAAAACAAACAAACAAAAAAAACAGGACATCAGTCTGTTACTCAGGCTAGAGTGTAGTGGTTCAGTCATACAACATAGCTCAGTGCAACCTCGAACTCCTGGGCTCAAACGATCCTCTCACCTCAGCTTCCAAGTAGCTGGTACTACAGGTGTGTGCCACTGTGCCTGACTAACTTTTTTAAATATATTCTTTATGAGACAGGGTCTCACTTTGTTGCCCAGGCTGGTCTTGAACTCATGAGCTGAAGTGATCCTCCTGCCTTGGCCTCCCGAAGTGGTGGGGTTACAGACACGAGTCACCATGCCAGTTCTTCACATCTTAATCTGCGTACATTTATATGGAATTGCTGCTGCCTTGCCAGGCACAGTCCATAGTGCCGAGAGTATAACAATTTACCTAGAAGTAAAAAGTATCTACTATCTCATCTTTTACCCTCTACGTACTTTATTTCCTATCCTAGACACAGTATTAGAGAGATGGGATGTAGTGTGATGGAGGAAGGTAGAAGGGAGAGTTGTCTCACTTTAGCAATTTTATCCTATATCTTTTATCAATATCAAGATTATATCTGTAACCCTATGCGTCTAGGCTTTTAAACATGCCCTCTCCACTGCAAAAAAAAAAAAAAAAAAAAAAGTGAACTGCTTTTTTTGTCTCATTTCTGCTGCCATATCCCTTTTTGAAACAATATCTATGAAGCACTACATCATTGAAAAATGGAAATTCAAACTTTAAAAGTTACCTTGCAACATACATATAAGTGCCCTGCAAGTAATGTATGTTCTATAAATAGTATTATACTTGTCCACTTTTCTCCTTTAAGCACCTCTTTCTTCTACTTACTACTTTTCTTTTAAATTTTGGCAATGTCTTTGACTAGATGTGAGTTACGGCCTGAGGTTCTTTCATTTCTTAGTAACACAACTGGTTTCCATAAACCTTTCTTTGGTGCTACAACTTTTTTTTTTTTTTTTTTTTGCCTCATATCTTACCTTTACTACATCAGGAATTCTGAGATTGTCTCTTCATTGAACTAACCCATGATTCAAAAGTTTTAAGAGTTTCCGTCTCCCAAAAAGGACAAAAGTCTGGCTGTACTTTCTTAAAAGAAGGTGCATCTTATCAGTAGTATTTCCTTGTGTCTTGTTGTCTCTGGGCTGCCTAAAGTTCAGAACAGACTTTGCCTTCCCCTTTGGACTTAGGACTTTTTCTCATTAAACCTATATTTCTTACTGACAGATTCTTTTCCTGGTGTTATAATATTTGTGAGCATTTAAACTGGGCACATATTTGCCATAGATCTGTATACAATCCATGGATGTAAGTGAAAGAAAATATGGGAATTTGAGTAAATGATTGCAATGTAACATTTAGTCATAAACCACTACTTATTGACTGCAGGATAATCTTAGCATCCTAATTAATATGATTTAAAAGTCTCACATTTATCAACAGCAGGACCGTATTAATGAATGGAATGAGATTTTAGTCAACATGTCCCATAGATTCAAACAAAATAACTGGAATCAAAATGTACTATATACTTCCTGCTTTCCTTTACACCTAATTTGAATTGTCTACTTTCTCCCATCTCAGGGGAAGGTAGGTGATATAGTGGTAACCCTGCTAGCACTTTTTGGCAACCCAGTGAGCACTGAGTGACATTCTGCTATATTAGGTGTGATGGGTTTTCAACTGGGAGTGTGGTTTACTAAGGACATTTGTGACACTGTGGATTATGTGTGGAGCATCAGCCTGGTCCCCAAGATACTGTAAAATTAATACTTTCACACTGGACACTGAGGGCAATTTGTGTGAGCATTGCATTTCATATATTATTCTGCAATGTTATTTTTCCCTTTGCTGTAAATAACATCACTAATGAATGTCAGTCTCAGAGTTTAAAAACAGGTTTTCTCTGCATTTATCTAATGCATTCTTTTAAGAAGTCTCAAAATATAAGTGACAACATAATTACATCTTGCTTTACCCATAATGTAAAGATCATTTCTTCAGTACCTCTACTTTATATATATAAATCCCTCAGCAATCACTGATGGATCATCAAAGAGCAGTATAAAAATAATTTATCTTTATTGTAAGGAAGAAGTTAAGAAAACAGCTTTGAAAACAAAGGGGTTACATTAAATATAACTAAAACACTTTATAAAGTGAATAACAATGTTTTATCAAGGCAAGGAGAACTTCAAAAAGACAGTTTAATTGGGATTAAGACATCTTGCTTTCTAACTAGGATTTTCTTTCTTTCAGAGGTTTCTGTGATTGCTTGTTTAATTCTCTGTAACTTCCTTATGCATCACAAAGGGTTAGCATTTCAAATGAGTTTTCAAAGATTTCTGCTCATAATTCTTCATCTTGACTCAGTTATTGCTCAGGAAGTGTTGTTTATTGCTATGAATAATTTTAAGCATTTATGATAAAATATATCTCAGTGATGTAATACACAGATTTCTATATAATAAAATCAATTATCTTAATCTTAGCCAAAAATTTTAACAATATCCCAGTAGTACAAGTAATATTTCCAAATCAGTACAAAAGTTTGATCCTCATAAACATGCATTAGCTGAGCAGACACATGCTTCCCATAAAACCATCTGGATGAAAACCTGATCCATTTGGCTACTGGAAAAAGCAATTTTAAGCATATTCACTAATATCCTTTTCAAAAATGAACAGAATAACTAACATTCCATAGAGATACAATCTGTTTAATCCACTTAAATTCTAATGGTCACTGAGTTATTTTTAATATCATTGAACCTAAATTTAAACACTTTGAAATCTGGTGATTCCATTTTTTTTATTGTTAGTAAATGTAAAGCAACCTTCCATAAAAGCAAATTAACTTAAATACTTATTTAATACCTATTATTAGACATTGCTTGATGCAGATTACTTACAAATACTTGTGTGTTGGTTATTTTTCCCCTGTAATAATGCTGAATTAAAAATAAAACTCCAAAATTTCAAAGAATTTAAGAAATTAAGCTTATTTCAGATTCATAGAATTGTAGGTGAGCTACAGTTTTGCAGCTATCAGTCAGACTCAGATTGACTTAGCTGGACCAGGCTGGACTACTGATTTGGGGTTATATTTTTCCTCCATATAGCTTCATTCCTGTATTCAGGCTGAAAGATCAATGCCTACCTGGGGCTGCTCTTTGCATGGAGAGAGTAAGCTCCCTGAGTATTGGTGGACACTGCCGTGCCTCTTAAGGCCTTAGATCAAAACTGGCACAATTTATCACTTCCGCATTCCATCAAACTAAGTCATATGGCCATATCTGAAATCAATAGTGTGGAAAAGTATACTGTGCCAACAGGGAAGCTATAGCAAGGGAATGTAGCAATGGTAAAGGTAGAATTGTGGTAAAATAATATGACCTATCACACCTTGAAACAATCCCATCAGATCTCAGGGAAACAGAAACTTGAAAAATCAGCTATATATCCCCGTGAAAATACAGATATGTTAAGGTTAAAATGGATGCAGGCAACAACGCTCTTCAAGTCAGTGCTTCTCATTACAAATCACCTGGGGAGACTTGTTTTAACACCGAGGCTCAGAATTTTTCCTGAATATTTGCATTTACTTGATCTAGAATGGAGCTCAGGCACCAGTATTTTTTAAAAGCTCTACTTTTTCAAAGTGTAGCTAGGTTGTGAAAGTGACCAAGATCCCATTAATATTTTTCTGTCTCAGAGGTTTGAAACCTCAGAAGTTGTTTAGAAAGTCAATTTAATCAAATAAAGATGGTTTTGGTGAAATAAGTTGTTATTTCCCTTACAGCCAATATTTTTAAAGTGTTGCTACCAGTTTGACTAGAATCTGAACTGTTTGGATGAACAGTATTTTCTGGTGATTAAGTAGGCACAAAATATGCAGATATTCTTCCTCCATGCTATCTGAGAAAACAAAGTTGTTTTGTGGTCACTGATTGGGCAAAGATGCCAAAAAGAAAAGATTGTATTATCCATTGATTTTCTGTACATTTTCCTCCTTTTAATCTTTCAGTCCATCTAACGTACTCACTCCACCACTGGGCTGCATTCTTAATCAGTTTTTTTGTTTGTTTTTTGTTTTTGTTTTGTTTTGTTTTTCAAGACAGAGTCTCACTTTCTTGCCATGGCTAGAGTGCAGTGGCAGGATCTCGGCTCCTTGCAATCTTCGCTTCCCGAGTTCAAGTGATTCTTGTGCCTCAATCTCCTAAATAGCTGACATTCCCAATCATTTTCCACAGAATCTAGGAACTCACACCATGACCCCATTTATGAACTGAGGCTTTCTTTTTTGGTTTTTACTCTCAGTATATTTGCTCCATAATACAATTGCAGAAATCCTTCTGCGGACAAGTGTATTACTACAAAAGATACAGACTAGGCTAGAAGACAAAATCCTTTCTCTGAATTTCTCAGATTTGATTACTCTACCTTCAGTTTATCAGTTCAATAATGGATTTTAAAAACTTGTTTCTACTTCCTACTTAAGATAACTATAGCTTCGTTTTGCAACGAATTGACTATATTAGAATTTGCTATCTCTTTCTGTCTATATTATTCATTTAACCATCTTAGTTTCAACCACTAACTTAGATAACATTTGCACTTTAACAAAAGGCTTCAATGGTTTAACAAAAATGAATTAAAAACTATAGAAATTACTGATATTGCCAGGTATAGTGGTGCATGCCTATAATCCCAGCTATTTGGGAGGTTAAAATGGGAGGACTATTTAAGCTCATGAGTTCAGGACCTGCCTGGGCAACATACCATGATCCCATCTTAAAAAGAAATTATAGATATTGTAACATGAGTGTTACAGATGTTGTAACATGAAGTCTGAAATATTTCTTGCAAGGGAAAAAATTTGAGAAATAACAGATCGCATTCTATATTCACTTTATAAGCTTATGACATATATGAGAATCTATCTATTTGCTGTGGTTTGAATGTTTGTGATTTCCAAAATGCATCTCTTAAAATTATAATCCTCACAGTGATATTAGAAGGCAGCATCTTTGGGAGGTGATTAGGTCATGATGATGGAGCCCCCATGAATGGGCTTTCACGCCCTTGTACAAGAGACCGCAGAGCTGGTCCTTTCTAGCATGTGAAGACAAAAACGATAAGGTGCCATCTGTGAACCAGAAAGAGTCCCCCCACCAGACACCAAATCTGCTGGTGCCTTGCTCTTAGACTTCAGACTCCATAACTATGAGGAACAAAATTCTGTTGTTTATAAGCCACCCAGTGTATGGTATTTTGTTATGGCTGCCTGAATGTACTAAGACAATATTCAAATTAATTGCTTGAATGACCATATGTTCAGGAGAGCATGAAGTCCAAAATTCCTCTCGAGGATTTCCCCACTTCAGTAAACCTAGGTGCATTCTAATATATGAGAAGCCAGTTGCTCATACATCATCATGCTCTGCACCCAATAAGTGTTTGTGTCTGTGTCTCTGCTGTTTTTGCAAGTACGTGTGGCTTAGTGATCGATTTCCCAGCTATTGATGTTCTTTGAAGGCACATGATCCCTCCCTTTCTGGTTTAAGGCTCATTGCATTATGCATTCTGTCTTAGTCCTTATTCCTGAAAGACACCCACTATTCCAGGTTTGTCAGTTTTATGGTGGCTGTAATCTCAGTCACAGTTTTACTTTTGGTGACACTTGTCTTTTCTTGCTATGAAACTTTAGTTGAATCTCAAAAAAACAAATGAATATGTTCTTTATTCCTTGACTCCCAAAGGCAAATGGTCTAAATACTTGTTTTATATTTCTTTGGTATTTTTCTTCTGTTTGATTGTTAATTTCTCCCGTGTGGTTAGCCTGGCATATCAATGGGAACTGAGAGGGAGAATTAGTTACTTCCCTAGAGCTAATGTTCACTTACCTTTTACTTACTTACCATTGAATTCCATAACTAAAAAGTTTTTCATTCCTGAGAATCCTTCAGAATCTTCAAAGTGGGGAAGAAGCGTAGAGTGAGCATCATATTATCTAGTGAGGTGCAGGGCTATGAGAATTCATAAACCACTTTGGTTAGACTATCCCCTTTCTCCACTGCAACACAGGGATATAAGTAGTGTTTTAAGAAAACAAGTTTAACACCTTGTTGGTATATCAACCAAACCTCCCTTGGGTAAAACTACATGGTGTTAACTATACTTGTGATCAAAAGAGGATTGTACTTTGAGCTGGAGAGTGAGGGCTTTGAAAATGTATTCACATTCTCTTTCCAAGCTATTCATCGGGCCTTCCACCTCCACATGGGTCTCTAGGGCTCTTCTTAGAAAGTGTTTATTGTTTGTTTTGTTTTGTTTGAGATGGACTTTCACTCTTGTTACCCAGGTTGGAGTGCAGTGGTGCCATCTCAGCTCACTGCATCCTCCACCTTCCAGTTTCAAGTGATTCTCCTGCCTGAGTAGCTGGGATTACAAACACCTGCCACCATGCCCAGCTAATTGTTTGTGTTTTAGTAGAGACAGGGTTTCACCATGTTGGCCAGGCTGGTCTCAAACTCCTGACCTTGTGATTCACCTGCGTCAGCCTCCCAAAGTGCTGAGATTACAGGCATTAGGTACCACGCCCAGCCCTTAGGGAATATTTTAATGCATCATTCTTCTCAAATATGACATCAGGAAAAAAGTAATCAGCCCTCCCATATAGAAGGGGAGCCCACACTTTGCCCAATTAAGCATAGATTTTGATGGTTTTTGACTAGCCCTTGACAAAAGATTTCAGGGCCCAGAGCCAGAGTACAAATAGAGAATCATACATTTAAAGTTATAAATCAAGCTAACAAACCATTACACAAGACATGTCCTATTCTCCTACCTTGATAAATATCTTTATAACAACCTAGAAGACCCAGCTTGAACTTCATTTTCAGAGGATTTGGATTTCCACAGTGGTATAAACACAGTCAGCCCTGGGGCATAGGTGCTTAAACCTGGCTCAAGTTAATTTAGACAGAGAATTCTAGAATTTCAAGTACCCAGAACATAGTCCAGAAGAAGAAAAGTCCTGGACTCAAAGTGAGTCCACCTCCTTGGTTCCTTGATTCCTTGATATCTTAGAAGAGGTGTAGCCAGAGAGACTAGAGCTGAGCCCCCTAAATTTCAGGGACCAGGTCTGTTGCCTGAGGCTTAAGGATGGAACTGGAGGGACTTTTCTCTGCATAACAGAAGGAGAGTAGTAGGGACCTTTGCACAAATTTGGGAAAGAGCAGAGCAAAAAAGAAGGAAGATAAAGAGACGAATCAGTAGATGGTATGAGTCTGAAACTAGGTGAGCTCTCTAAAACTCAACAGTAATGAAATGGCCAAAATCTTTAAGAATAAAATGTTTGCTGTAATTTTGAAGTGTTTAAAAAAGCAATGAAAGTAGTTTCAGGAATTTACAGAGCAAGGCAAAGTTTTTATAAGTACTGAGTAGTAGAGAAGTGTGTAAATGCAAGGAGGAACAAGTTGGATAAAGCAGATTTTGAGGCACAACCAGAAGATTTTCCTGATACAGTGGTTTACACAGAGTTGACTTTTTCTAAAGTACCATAGCTTTACCTAGGGGAGAGAGGGGAAGATAAAGGTTCAGACACTCAGAAAATTCTGGACTATTAACAATTACAAGCCAATGACAAATGAGAAGAATTTTAGATTTCTAACTTGTATCTTGCACCTTTACTTTTAAGTGAGTAAAAATATGCCTTGCAACAAGTTCGAGGTAATAAAACAACATACAGAGAAAAAGTCTCCCATTTGCTTCTTTCCCCAGCCGCTCATTTTTCCTCACTGGAGTAATTACTGTTGTCAGATTCTAATAACTCCTTTCAGAGATAGTATATATATTCAAATATATTTATATTTTTCTCACAATTATAGCAACTATACAGACTCTTCTGTACTTTGTGTTTACACTTTACTGTATATCTTGGTGGTCCTTCTGCAAGTGTGTGTTTCATGTTGCCTCATTATTTTTAATGGGCGGCATAGAGCCTGTTGAATTGGTGTAACTTGATTTACTTTACAAATCATCTATTGATTAAAATTCAGGCATACGGTTTCTTACTTGTGCCATATATCTATACTATAAAATCCTGGATGTGGAATTTCTGAATCTATGTTGATAGTGCTAAGTCATATTTCATAGAAGTTATTATGGGTTGGATTGTCATTTAGCAAATATTCATTCCAATTCCCAAGCCCTTGTGGTTCCATATTTTATACCACCCCACTGACTTTGGTCTTGACCATGTTGTTACAAGAAAAACTTGGGACTGTTACCTCCCACTATCCCCAAACTGGAAAGGAACTAAGGGACCAAAGAACGACTTAGATGAGTCCACCTTGGCAAGTAGGTCAACTTATTAAGACTTACATACAGGGCACTCTTGGATGGTGGCAGGACAGCTCTAGAGATCTGCACTGCCTCCCATCTCTAAACTGCTTGTAAGCTAATTTTCTGCCTCTTTGCCTACTGAGTTTGTGTAGGTCAGTTTTAGGTCCGCTCCATATGCTGACTTTGGCCCACCAGAGTCTCTGCCAAATTCAGACAACTTTAACCAAGTCACAGCTGATCTGCATACCAATGAGGATAAAATAAATGTTTGTTGTTGCAAACCAGCAACTCTGGGAGGTGGGGAGCATTAAAGCAGCAATAGCCAACTGAGACTGGTTTGGGTTTTTTTTGGTTTTTTGTTTGTTTTTTTTTTTTTTTTGGTAAGTTTTTGACATCCCAGGGATGTTTGGGTTCTCAAGAATACCTGTTCCTTAGCTGGGCAACATGGCCTTGGCTCACTGCCCAGCCTTCAAGGTTCAGGCAGCAGACATAACACCCTTAAGCCTAGTGGGGAATCCATCACACTACACATGACTTGCTTGAACTAATCAGATGTGATCAGAAGTTATAGTGTGCAGCTTCTGAGCTGAGGCCTTAAAAAGTATGGCACAATTCCTTTGCACTCTTCTAGTGTACCGTAAGAATAACATGCTTCAGGAAGCTGGTGCCCTTTGATCCAGAGCCCCAGCACTAAGAGAGCCTTAAAACCTAGATTTTAGGTCGGTTTCAGGTCAGCTCCATATGCTGACTTTGACCCACTAATGTCTGATCAGAATGCTTGATCTCATCTGTATGAAAGCTTTCTTATTTTAGTTTGAGGTTGAGCATCTTTTCATATATTGAAGATCTGTTTTGTATTAACTTTTCCATGAAATCTGTTACTATCTTTCTTAGCATTAATTTCTCAGAAAGTAGAGTCTAAGCCAGATGGCTTATTTCTTTTGCACCGGGAGTAAAATTCCAGAAAGCAGCAATGGATTTGAGGAGTATAGTAGGGAAGGTGAGAAAGACAATAAAATAAGGCAGTATCAACCTGGTTGTGCAGTTGGTTCTTGATTAGGATCTCCCTGAAAATCCACATAAAATATGTCTAAGGGCTTCCATCTGGGAAAGGAAAAGTATGTTATTCAGATTCCACCTCCTATTTGTCGTTTTGTCCCATGAGGAATTAATTCACTGCAGTTCCAAGTTGCACATAGTTGAGCAGTGAGTGAGTTTCCACAATGGCACCATCAACAAACAAGCTCCAAAATGGAGCCAAAAGGCAGAAAGTTTGAGCAGAGTTGTCTGCATTAGGTGGTGACTATGTGAAGTTAATCAGAGTCCATACAGATCTAATTGCTATACTGACAGCTTGAAGAAGGGACAAGTGAATAAGAGATGATCTGAATAGATGCATAGTACGTGTTTGATATAATCAAAACCTTGCATCACTCAGATTATCCATGCCCTTCATTATATCCAGATTCCACATTGCAATATGAAGCCTGTGTTTTCGTGAGAACATAAGAGGGGAGATTCAAGCCCAATGAGTCACAAAGTGCACAATAAGTTTAAAATAGTAGCCAGCTTCAATCAATTAAATACTTATAGCAAGAATGTTCAGCCTTCACTGCTGAAGCTGATCCCCAGGCCATAACTGTAAGTCATCAACTACTCCTCTAACACTGATCCTAGAATACACTCACCTCAGCCAACACTTCAACTGGTCTGTTTTGCTGGCTTGATAGAGTGATGCTGACTGTCACTTCTCATGAGCCTGTAGTTGCTTTGTCCTTGTTGAGCTGTGGTTGTGGCAATTGTCTGGCAAAACTTATCACTGGGTATAAGAGCTTAAAGAGATATTAAAACTATCACTGAATTGCAGACATATCTTTGTCCCCATTATGTAGCAGCAACTCAAGTTTCTCACAGTGATAATAGTCTATTACCTCTGCCATTAAAATCACTCTGTTGTTTTTCTACTGGTTTACTGGATAAGTGAGAGAATGACCAAAATCAGTGGGACTCTGTTTCTTTGGTTAAAAAAGCCTTTGATAAAAGACATAAGAATTTGGATGAATAACTTTATGACTAAGGTTATATGAGGATAGAAAACAAAAAAACTCTCGAATGGGCCTCCGAAATTTAGGAGGAGGAGGGTAATCCTACTTTCATTCCTTAGTTTTTAGACCTACTTTTTTTATTTTTAGAGTTACAGAATCATATATCAGCCATTATTTCAGCATGTCTTGCTAAAGACCAAGCAGGATCATTATCTTTTGAGGATGCCAGCACCATTGGATGGATGGATGGACAGACATAGATAGATATAGATAGGTAGATGTGGATGGATGGATGGATAGATAGATTACTTCAAAAATATAAATATACCAAATGAGAGCTGCACCTTTTTTGCAGTGGAAAAAAGAAGTAGCAAAGTATAAATAATCTGCTTTTACCTTGGATAGGCTAACCAAATCTGGACTACTGAACCCTAACTTCAGTGAGGTAGCAGATCCTTGAATCTTTACAGGCTGAAATTCCACCTTCTGGCATATACGTTTTATTTAGGCATCTAGAATACGTGTCTCTCCTTCTCACCAGGTTCAAATAGTATGCTGCTATCAAGATAGTGAACCGGTACAATGTGTGTGGAAAATTATGGTAATTGACATCCCAGTGGACAGAGAAAGAATTAGCCTGTCCCCCAGGGAAGGACAGGGACTCAGTGCAACTATCTCCTCATGAAAAGGCAAAATGCTTTTTATTTTCCCTATGGATGGAGAACAAGAAGATAACACTTGCCAGATCAATGACCACATACAAAGTGCCAGAGGCTTTAATGATCTGCTCAAGTAAAAATCCAACATGGCAGCTGAAATTGAATCTATCAATTGTTCAAATTTATGGTTGTCAATTTTCACAGACTATTTTCTATCTCATTTTTGGAAGGACTATAACAGTTGATTAAATAATATAAAATCCCTGTCATTTATTCCCATAAGACATTGTTGCTTCTGATTTATATCTTGGCAGGGACAGAATAGTTCCAGAAGTTTCTCAGACTTCCATTTTTATTTCATACTATAATGTCTCTTATTTCTCTAATTAGGAAACCAATGTGATTATTCAGACAGCTGCTAGGTATATCAATTTTAAATATACATTCCAGGGTAATCACAAAATATATCCATGGGTACTTTTAGATATGCTAAGAGATAGACTTCCCCAAATTATTTTCACCTGACCTTCATAATTTCTTACTTTGGTAAGCCCATAATTGTGTTTTGGTTTCTCAGGTATTAATGTTAGATCAAACACACCTGGAAAACAACCACAGGTTATTTTCCATGGGGAAAGAATTGGAAAGTTTTGTTGTATATATTTTTAGAGGTGTTGAAGGGTCTTTCTTCAAGACTTCCAGACTTCTTCAACCAATGGGCTCTGGGTTTGTGAATTTAATTTGAAATGATCTGAGCAAGGGACCACATTTTTTCATTGTAGCAGCTTGCATAGTATTTTGTTCAACAGTTCTTGAGTTTTAATTACCCAATACCACCCTTGTTAGTGGTCCATCTTTCTTAAGAAACACCATGTGATTAGTCAATACCAAAGATTTGTAACGGTCAAGGTTTTCTGATTGCCCCTCTGGCCTTTTTGCCCATTAAGGTAATTATACCCAGTTTGCCGCCCACATTTAAGTGCTCAACTTTGTCTCTACCTTTTTTTAATTTCCTTATTCCATTGATACTAGGGAGCTAAGTTCCACAGCAACAAATCCTACCAGCAACTCCAGCTAACAAAAAAAGACCACCACAAGTTTATTAAATAATCTAGTGTCATCTTTTTCCAGTACATTTTTTGATGCCTTAATGAAAGAGGTTTACTTTAGCCCCTCTCGGAAAATACAGTAAAGTGGCGGATTTTCAGGCCTTACATTATCATTCTATTCTAACATTCATACCTCCCTGACCTTCTGCCTTTTCCTCAATACTATATCAGAAATGTTTTGTCATTTATCCAAAATTCAGCAAAGTCCCTCATCACATCCAACCTTCAGGTAGCCATCACAACAGATACTGGTCAGATGGCCTTGCCAAAACATTGAACAGCAAGTGATGGATGAGCTGCTCATGTCAACAATTTTTTACCAACCAGTCATATGCTCTGTTCCTAGTTTCAAATTTTTGCAGACCCATTCCAAAATCTGTTCCACTGGTTTCTAACAGTTGGTATTAAGCAAGTATTGCAATTTATTCAGCTTTAAGGCATTTTTTCCAGGATGGTGCTGATACCTGACTGATTATCACCCAGAAGTCATGAAGTCAATGAAACTTTGCAGATGGTATAATTAAATGTGTCTCCTGCAAAAAATTCATGTGTTGTAAATTCTCAATGCAACAGTGTTGGGAGATGGTATTTAAATAGGAGATGTTTAGCTTATGCCAGCTCTGTCCTCATGAAGAGATTAATGCTGCTATAAAATGGGCTTGCAGAAATGAGTTCACCCTATTCTGCTCTTTTTGATGTGAGGATAGTGTTTCTCCCCTCCAGAGCATACAGCACTGAAAGTATCCTCTTGGAAGTAGAAATCATGCCCTTACCAAATACCAGGTGTCAGCACCTTGATCTTGGACTTCCCAGCCTCTGGAACTGTGGGAGAAAAAAATGTTTTTTTATAATGACTCATTCTTAGGTATTCTATCACAGCAATACAAACCAATTAACAAAGCAGGGGAAGATCCAGGGTAGGATAAGTGTTACCTTACAAGTTACAAGTCAAGTCGCTAGTACCAAGAATAAAGAACTTTCTGTCTTACAAAAGAAAAAGAGGGCAACTTTTGACACCCAGTTAATTCAGACTCATCCACATATATGGGTCTATCCTAGGCCTCAGAATTATATTTTCCTATCAGGGTCCTGACTTTGACATTATAAGTAATTGAGATTGGACAGTCCATCTCCTCTGCAGTTTTGCCACCCTTGTGACTGTATCTTGGGCTTAATTTTTCAGCCTTTTTCCTTGGGACTACTGTAGTTGGATATTTCCTTAAAAGCTGCAATAGAAGATTTCTGGCTTATTGAAATACCAATTGGCTTCCATTTTCTGTTTGTAACATTTCTGATTAAAATTTAAATTAGAACCCAAATTTAAATTTAAAATAAACCAAAATACTCCACCTTTTAAAAAATTATTATTGCACTTATATAAGCTCCATAAGCACCAAAAATACCAATATTTACCTTACACCTATCCTTGATCCCAATGAGATACTTATTTTAAATGTTCTCAAATTACTGTATGTATTTGTCCTAGTCCATTCAGGCTATTATAACAAAATATCTTCGACTGGATAATGTATAAACAGCAGAAATTTATTGCTCACAGTACTGGAAGCTGAGAAATATGAGATCAAGGTCCAGAAAGTTTGGGGTCTGGTATATTCGTCCATTTTCATGCTGCTAATCAAGACATACCTGAGACTAGATTATTTACAAAGAAAAGAGGTTTAATTGACTCACAGTTCAGCATGGCTGGGGAGGCCTCAGGAAACTTACAATTATGGCAGAAGGGGAAGCAAACACATCCTTCTTCACATGGCAGCAGTAAGGAGAAGAGCCAAGTGAAGGGGGAAGACCCTTATAAAACCATCAGATCTCATGAGAACTTACTACCACGAGAATAACGTGGGGAAAGCAGCCCCCATGATTCAATTACCTCCCACCAGGTCCCTCCCAGGACACGTGGGGATTATGGGAACTATAAGATGAGATTTGGGTGGGGACACAGCCAAACCATATCATCTGGTAAGGCTTGTTCCTCATAGATGGGATCTTCTCTGTGTTTCACATTGCAGGTTGGGCAAAGCTCCCTCAGTACCTCTTTTATAACAGGATGAATCCCATCAGCAGTGTGGAGCCTTCATGGCCTAGTTTTCTTCTAAATGCCCCTCCCTTAATGCTATTGAGATTAGGTTTCCACATACGAATTTTGGGGGATACCATTCAGATGACAGTATTTTAGTTGATTTCTTTATTTTCTGTTATAATTCAGAGATCTGTTATCTAGTAGTATAATTCCTCTCATTCATATTTATTTTTTAGAGTTTTCCTAGCTATTGTTTATTTTCTAGTTATATAAACTAGAATTAGCCTAGCTAGTTCCAAGATGTCCGTTTGATCTTTTTATTGGGAACATGAAACATTTAGCTAGTCATAGGTAAAATTGTCATTTTAAAGATGTCAGATATTGCTAGTAAAGAATATTATATGCCCTTCTTCCCCCCTCTTTTTATTATATTAATAAATTTACAAGCATTTTGGAGGGAGTTGGGGGAAAAGTGTGGAGATTACTATTGTAAATGAGGCCTGTTTCTTATTCATTTCCATATATTTACTCAGCCACATTATCTTTTAATTTTTAATAATTTAAGTATTTTAAGCATACAATCATATATGCAATAATAATGTCTTATCAACATTTCTGGTGCTTTATTTCCTTTTGTTGTCTAATTATTCAATCTGGCATCTCAAGAACAATGTAGAACAATATTGGTGACATCTTGTCTGGACTTATAACACTTTCAGTGCTCCTTTATTAAACATGATGGTGGCTTTTGATAACATTAATGATGTATGTATTTTTGGAGAACACATCGTAGAAATACACAGGTGATGTGATTTTACATCTCAATTTGTTTCTACTTTTTTATGAAAACTCCAAACTATATAGCATATCTATTTTCAGATTCTTAATTTTTATACTTGATACTTTTCTTTTGCATGACTCCTAATTAGGCCAAATAGGTACAGAAGCCCAACTTCAAAACCTCAACAGGGTAAAAAAATGACAAAGGAAATGTGAGAGTTCTTAAAAAGGGTGTGAATGAAATAATTTAGATGAAAAAGAAGTTACATCAGTGAAGAAAAATTTTTTTAAAATGTAAACTTATAGATAGGAAGAATAGAAATCCTTCAGTTATTAATCATTGATCAGAATACTCATAGATAAGATATGAACAGGGGTTATGCCCAGAGAAAATTTATTTCTTAAAAATTGTGCTTCCAAAAGATTTGAGAACGAGTGAAGAAGAGTAAGATGATTTAATGCATCACTTTAAAAAATCATATTTGGCAGCAGGACCGTGGATGGACCAGCATGAGAAGATTGCAAAGTGAATACCCAGGGAGCTGAGGATCAGAATATCATAAATGAAAAATATTTTTGAAAGTCTGGGTAAAAAGCATTATTAAATTGTAGAGAAAATGGGAAAAGGAAAAAAACTAAATATGGTTTCACCTGATCATAAGCATAGTAGAGAATAGTGCTGTGTTTTTAACATTGAGGAAATGGGAAAGTGAGAAAAAAGAAAAAAGAAGCAAATCAGAGTGCTGAAATCCAGTTAGAGTAAATTGATCATAACATCAGTATAGTAAGATTAACTTTCAAGGAAAAAGGAAGACCCTGCCAGGAACACAGAGAAGCTGAGGCTGAGGAAATAGGGAGAAGGAGACCCTAATGTTGGCATTAACCAAGATGAAGAGCTAGTGCCTGTATACAGCAGCAGAGACAAATAATAAGAAATAAGGTGTGAAGTGCTTCAGCTAACACGGAAATGTGTTAAGCCCACAGGTTTGAAGGGAAACTTACTAGCTTGAAGTTGTACTAAATGAGAAATTTTGAGTGAATAAGAGGGAAGAAGCTTGAAGAAATTGGCCAAATTGTAGGCATCTTCGATATGGGAAAGGAGAAAGGAGGCAGTTAAAGCTTCATACGAATAGAGATGGATGAGAGTGGCATTCAGAAGTGGAAAGAAAAATAAGAGGAAGAGAAACAGGTACCAACAGAAACTGAGAGGTCTTAAAAGGAAGAAGATATTAGAAGTGAGAAAGAGTTTCAGAAAAAAATATGAACTATGAAATGAAGATAGAGGAAGATAATTGGTTATGAAAAAGAAAAAAATGGCTATATGCAAGTCAGTACTGTAGGAGCAATGAAGAAACAGCAAGAGTGAAATCATAGAGATCTATGGATTAAGATCTCTGAATGGTGCTATGTAGAAAAGTGGGTGGAAAAGTGGGATTGCCAATTTTACGTGTCAACTTGACTAGGCTAAGCTCAAATACCAGTGTAGAAGTTGCTGTGAAGGTATTTTTAGATGTGATCAACCGTCATGTAAATCAGTAGACTTTAAAGATCACCATCCATAATGTGGATGGGCTTCGTCGAATCAGTTGAAAACTTTCACAAGAAAAGGCTGAGGTCTCCCAAAGAGAAAGGAGTTCTGCCTCTAGACTGCTTTCAGACTCAAGACTGCAACATCAGCTCCCACTGGAATTCCTAGCCTGCAGGCCTGCCCTGCAAATTTCAGACTTGCCAGCCCCCACAGTCTCATAAGCTAATTCCATAAAATACATATAAACACAAACATACATCCTGTTGTTGCATCCTATTGATTCTGCTTTTCTGGAGAACCTTGACTGATACAAGAGGAATATTAACAACAAAGCAGCCTGATAGTACTTTTACCAACAGGTGGAACCATAAAACTCATTAACATTTGAAACATGAAGCAAATTAAAAGCTTGAAAACATTTGCTCCATTTATTTGTAAAAGGTAGCTACAACTAAAGAATTACCACGACTGTGGCTGGGCCCAGGGGCTCACGCCTGTAATCCCAGCACTTTGGGAGGCCAAAGCCAGCAGATCACTTGAGGTCAGGAGTTCAAGACCAGCCTGGCCAACATGGCGAAACCACCTCTCTACTAAAAATACGAAAAAAAACAAACAAAAAATTAGCTGGGCATGGTGGCATGTGCCTGTAACCCCAGCTACTGGGGAGGCTGAGGCAAGAGAATCGCTTGAACCAGGGAGACAGAGGTTGCAGTGAGCCGAGATCATGCTACTGTGCTCCAGCCTGGGAGCAAGACTCTACCTCAAGAAAAAAAATTACCACAACTGTAGTTTTAAAGCAAACCTCTTCCCCATTAGCCTCATTTGCATATTTATAGTTTACTATTAAAAACATGCCTTAGCTGCTCTCATTGTAGATCCAATAGGCCTCTGGTAGAGCATGTTTTTCATTGACTCTTCACACATCAATTACATTGTCATCTAACTTTATATTCCACAATATTTATATGGGTAAATGCTATCAGTGAGATATTTACCAGAAAAATCATTGTTTGGTGTTCTTTTACTGGAAAAAGTTACTAGTCTGGAATTCACCTGAAATACTCTGCTTTAGAAGAACCAATCGAATACTGATTTTGATTACTGAATATTTCCTTTTTATATCCCTACTTCATGTTAATTATGATTTTTCACCCTAAAAAATATTTATAACACTTAGTCTACTGAAGTTTGTTTTTTGCTTGGTTTTGTTTTATTTGAAACCTACAGGAAAAAAAATGACATATACCAAGTATGAGAAAAAATACATTCAATAATATTACAAGACATAGTCCTCTAGCTATAAGACTGTAGTGTTGAAAGACCAGCTCACTTCTCTCTCCTCAACTGAGATAATTTGTAAAAATCTGAGAGCTAAACAAATTAAAAAGCACATAGAGACTATATTTATAAATTTCATTTATCATCAAAGTGAACAAATATGGCAGAGTCTGATGGTATTAAAAAGTTAGACTATGATTAGTTTATGAACAAATACACAATATAGAGATTAAAAAGAAATAAGCACATAAGCAGAAAGTAAAAGAGAAATTTATTTGCATTATTTTACAATATTAGCATATAATTAAAATTGGTAAATTATAATGATTTGTTTAAAAAGCATGTATTAATTTGTTATTTTATAGAATGTACATCTTATACAATCCACCAAATTTGAGAATAATTATGTTCATCTTGAACATAATCAGTATCAAGTATAGAAGTTTTAAATCCATATTAAAATAATAGCATTTTTCTTGTAAACCTGATTAATAAATATTTGTAAAGTTAAAACTAACACCTAAACTTAAGTAGTACTTGGTATGTATCCAGTACTCTTTAAGTAATTCATAAGTATTCATTTATTTTTCATGAATCCTATGAAGTGAATATTACCATTGCCTCCATTGAAGGTGGTGAAACTGAGAAACAGAAGGATTAACAAACTTGCACAAAGTCACACAGCTACTAAGTGGTAAAACCAGATTTGAACCTTGATCTTCTGGCTTTCTTAATTATTACAATGAATTGACCTCAGTGTTGACTCTTTGCAAAGTTCTGTGGTACCAACCCAGGGCAGGGAGGCACAGGAAATCATGTTTTCAAAATGTAAACTGTAGGTGCTAATTCTCTAACACTCTTATCAACCCTATGAAGTAAATACAAATGAAGAAATAGAGACTCAATACTCTCAAGTAATTTGCCCAAGCTCACAGAGCTAGAAAACAGAAAATTATCTACCCAAGTCCATGATCTTCATCATTTTCACCAAGAAGGTGAAAGCAATGGTAGAACTGATAGTCCTTAGGCATCAGTTGTGTAAAAAGCTCTGCACCACAAATTAGAGATGTACAGTACAGTCTTCATCCTGAGTAGTTCATTTTTGTGTAAAGAATCTATGCACATATAAAAATATATGGTGATATATGGTATATTTTGACACTAAAAAAAATCTAAGTAGTCTTTACTACAAAATTATTTTACGGGCAGGAAAATTTAGTTTAATGGGTTCAATCAGGTCATAAAAAGAGCCACTGAGCAAGGGTAACCAATATCTCAGTGCTCTTGACTTCACATCCAGCCATATCTCCCCTAGCACCTGCTTTCCTCCTCCAACAAAACAGCATAAACAGTAAGGTTCTAAGAGTTTGAATGAGGGAGAAAATACTGTGGGCTGAAGTAGCAACTCAATATTTACTTAAGATCTTATTCAGAAGATTTTGTTTTTTGTATATCAGCCAATTCATTAGAAGAAGGAACAGGACTGGATTTATTTAAAAGCAAATATGAAAATACAAGCATTTGTTTTATAATTGTGCAGATGCTATTGATTTTGCTCTACTGCTGTGTTCATGCCAGTGGACATCCAATACCATTTGTAGTATGTCTAAAGATAGAATAACCATATTATTTGCACAAACTAAAATTGTTGGGACATTAGATATTAGAAGTGATGGAAATTGCAAGTGACAACTTTGGAGATGTTTCTTTGTTTAAATTCTACAATAATAGCTTTTCAGAGTTTTTGCAACATCCCTGTTAAATAACAGCTTGGACAGCCCAACAACAGAACTTTATTCTATTTAGCTAGGAATTTTCTCCCCAAACCATCTGGGCTGGCAGGTGTTCATCATCAGATCTGGGTTGCTATGAGACTGGAACTTGCTAATGCTAATGAGGTATAGAGACAGAAACCTAAATTTTGTTCATTTGAATCAACTTTATATTTGTCACTACTGGAAGTACCAGCAATGCCTTATGACTTTCCAAAATGCAGAATTTGTAATTAAAGGTTCCCAAGGAGGACGTTCTAGTGATCAAAAATGATACAGCAAATTGATGGCAATGTGTGCTTGTTTTCATTTTAAACACTGTATAAATGCTAATGCTTTTCCTCTTACTTGGTAGGCAGCAAGTTCCTAGACTGTGTATGGTTTTAAGGTGAATGGGCAGGAGAAGAATGGAAGCAGGTTTTCTCTCATATGAGAGCTGTATTCCTAGCCTGATAGAAAGGAGGGTCTCGAGTTATTTGCAGATGATTGTCACAGTGAAATTTAAAGCACACCAAAAACACACAGAAACAACAGTTGTTAGAAAAATTAACTTGGTGTTTTTCATTAGTTTTAGTGGTCAGCGGTATCATATCAAATTCAACATGATGGCCACGAAAAGGCAGAAAGTCTGTACATACGGCAGTTTTACAGAACAGTGTAGAACTGATATTTAAAATGACCATAAGAAACTAGAGAAGCAGGTTTACAGGAATATGGTAAAGATTAACAAAGGAAGTTAAAATTGTACATGTGGTGGCGAGGATAACAATTCAGACAAGTAATAGCGCAGAAAGATGCCTGGAGTCATGCTGCATCCAGTGATGAACATGGATAGATAATGTAGACACTTTGAGTGCACTAATAAGAAAAGTGATATTTAGTGATTTTATTTTCTCAACATGGTGTTACTATGTTGGGTATAGTTTGTATTACTATGAAAGCACACCGTAGCTGAAGAGCACAAAATGGGTTGATGAAAATGGTAGTTTTCACTTGTCTTTTGCTGTGCCCAGTTTGTCCAGAATGACTCAGGGATTGCTGGGGACAGGTGGGCAGGCAGGGAAGAGAGAAAAGTGAGTAAGAAAATTGTCGATTCATTATTTCAGCTTTAAAAAAGGTCAACTTACATCATTTTTATATTTTGAGGTTCTGTGTAATAGATTGCTTGAAAAGGGGGGCAGGGTTTTGATTGCTAAAAATAAAGGAACTTTGAAAGCCGCTGTATGAAAGCATAGAAAATGTGTGTAGGCGGACTGACCTAAAAAATAAAGATATACTTAAGGTAAATTCTGTTCAAAGATGATGGTAAAAGGCATAATGACAGGCATGAAATAGATTTTTTATCAACAGGAATAAAATTGTTTTTGTGCTTTATAAAATATACCTAACCTTTAAAAAAGCATTGTGTGTGTGTGTGTGTGTGTGTGTGTGTGTGTGTGTGTTTTGCAAAACTAATCTATGCATGGAGGACATTTCTACCGAGGTACCAGTGACAGAAAGAATCAACAATGCCAAAGGAATGGAAGTAAGTGTTGTTTAATAAACTATTTTCTAAATTATGTATGCAAAAGCAAAGTTATTTTGTAAAATTACTGCATAATTTTATACAACTACTGTGCTGTAAGAGCTTTGCATATTTATCTCAATTATTCTTCACAGCAGTCCATAATTTAGGTACTTAATCCCCATTTCAGAGATGGAGAAAGCAAGGCCTGTAGTGATTTGGTAATCATCCTCAGACCGCAAAACCAGTAACTGACAAAGAAGTCTGCAGAAGTTCAAAGCTTGCAATTTCCCACAGAGCAACCTGCCACAAAGACAGGTTGAAAAGTTCAAAAATGTCATGTAATGCGTTTCTAGAAATCTAAAAAAATGTATAATAAAAGAAAAACCAGTGTTTCTTTTGTTTATTTCCTCTCTAAACAAACACAGCCCAATCACTGTCTTAGCAGGTATGGCATGACCCAGGTAAACATGGCTTGTGTTTTTCAATAGTTAATTCAAATCCTCATCTAGGGAGTTGTTTTTATTTATTTTAAAATTTCATTTTGAGAGCTGAATCTCTAAAACAGCAGAAGGGTTATTAGAATAATTCCTGAGTAGTATAGTTACTCGAAATTCTGGTATAATTCTACTCTTCCATTGATGTTTAATAATATATACCAGTGTAACAAAACTGCACAATTCTGCACATGTACCCCAGAACTTAAAGTATTATATATATATATATATATATATATATATATATATGCCAAAACCAGTTGTTCCTGTGAGTTCTCTAATAATAATGAAGTAGATTTCCATGGGATCAATCTAGTGAGAAACATGTAATTTATTTGTTTCTCTGAAAAGGAAACCTGCCCTTCTGGTAGAAGAATCAAGGTGATATGATGCATTCAATTGGAAAACCACTGGATAACCCACTTCTGTTAAGAATATCTTGTTCTCCTAGGCAACCAGGAATAACCTGCTGATTCTTTGAGAGTTCTTTGTCTTGCTAGAGTTCCTTTATTGATCATCAGATATATGGGGATGCTGAGATAGTTGTGAAATATAGAAAATCATTTACAAATTTTTCTTCTATAAGTTAAGGTTGTCTTAACTTACAGAACCTATGAATGAACAATTAGGTAAAATGATAGCAGACTCCCGCCACTGGCAACCGCTGTGCAATCCTGTTAATTTTCAAGAGTATTCATTTTAATGGGCTACAAAAGCAAATACAATCTTACTTTATACTCCCGAGTCAACAACTCAGTTAAAGACCCACATGTTTCTCCAGCCACAAAGAACAGTGAAATGTCTGTATGATGTTTAACATCTACATATGCATGAGACTTACAGCCACTCTAGGCTGAAAACAGTTCTTTGGACTCTGCCAACCACAGTATTCATGCTGCTGATGTTCAAACAACTGGGTAACCTGGCTTTGTGGCCCAGAGTTTTGAGAAATTTCTAAAAGTTTACCCTTGATATGCCATATTATGGTGTTACCTATTTCAAGAACAGCTAGTCTTGAAAATTCCACTCCATCCATACTGCTGGATTTGGGTAAGTTTTCATGGTGTAAAGGTTATCATATTCACCTAACATACTATTGGTTTCCCCTCTCAGCCTCTTTCCCTTTTTTTTCTGAATAGTTTCAAATTTTCCGAGCACAACAAAATACCAATACAAGTAGAAGAAATGACTCTGGCCCTATTTCCACCTACCTCTTCAAGGCAGATCCCTGTGGGTATTAACTACATGTCTGCATATTAAGGTTTAAAATAAGCAACACAATCATGTCTTTTATAATTTGGATTGTCTTCCAAATTAAAACTGAGTATTACCTAGACAGAAAATCAGATAAAGTGATGATAAAAATCTTAGTAATTGCTTTGTTAGAATAAATTTCATATTTTTTTCATTTCCCAAAGCAAAAAATAAATCTAATAAAGAATTTGGGTAAAATATTTAAAATAAGTAAATAAATAATAAAGTCCTTTAAAACCAAAACCAGGTGCAAAAGTGTCCAGGCACAGTGGCTCACACCTGTAGCCCCAGCACTTTCGGAGACCGAGACAGGGAGATCACTTGAGGTCAGGAGTACAAGACCAGCCTGTGCAACATGGAAAAACTCCTTCTCTACTAAAAATACAAAAATCAGCTGAGCGTGGTGGTGAGCACCTTGGTTTCAACTATTTGGGAGGCTGAGGTGGGAGGATCGCCTAAGCCTGAGAGGTGGAAGCTACAGTGAGCCAAGATCATGCTGCTGCATTCCAGCCTGGGCGACAGAGATCTCTCTCTCTCTTTCTCTCTCTCTCATACACACAGATTATTTTTAATATTTTAGTGTGTATTTAAAAATATGCTCACATTATTATTGAGTTCCCTGTTTTAGATAAAGACACAGGTATTTATCTGTTTAATATAATTAAATTTACAGATATCCCTTCCATGTTTTCTTTTGCAGAAGAAATTTTCATGTACTAGACTACTTCTATCGTTAAACCCTACCCAGAGTTTTAACAGGAAGCTATCTGCTGCCCCAGGTTCACAACTTATGACTCATTCTGCTTTAATAAATTGAAAAGACTGTGTTGCAGAGCTAATTAGGCAACTGGCTATCATTAGTGTTGCAAAGTCTCTTGCAGTTTGAATTTTATAAGTGAAATTGGTGTGATGATTCCAGTTCACTTTCTAGCAGACATTACACATGATTAAGCTGTGTTTGGCCCACCTCCGCAATTCACTTACTCTCCAATTATACTGTTTTTCTCTAGTTTCTCCAAAAGCAGATAGAAAGAAGATTGGAAAGCCAACCAATTCCAAGTCATGACATAGATAACTAACTAAACTATGTGGGAAGCCATATGGTGTATGCATGTTTTAATCAGAAACATCTCACATCAAACCCTAATTCTTGATGAATTTTAAATGTATCCCATGGCGTCACCCATTTAGTCATTGGTAGCAACTGCTATATTTATATTAAGATCTACCAGGACCAGGGAACTATGTCTGAAAAGAAAACAGAAGTAAAATATACAGTGCCAGGTAAAATTCCCCTTTTAAAATTGTTATAGATAAGAAAAACCCAAAATGTTTTTCCTACTCTCACAAACCATTTAACACAACATTTCTGAAAACAAATCTGTGGAGTTTTCTCCCCATGCACCAACCAAGCAATTCTGCAGTGGACACCAGCTGGGTGTCCTCTAGTTCAATTTAATTGGCACTGTCTTCCTGGAGAGAGTGTCAGTACAGCAAAACAAAAATATATACACCTACACACATACATGTGAAAAAAAACTAATAAAAACTGAGCTGACTAGGGAATGATTTTTTAATATGATTCTAGAGTGTATTTTTTGTATAAATTTAATGGGTACAAGTGCAGTTTTGTTACATTGATATATTGTATAGTGGTGAAATCTGGGCTTCAAGTGTATCCATCCCCTAAATAATATACATTGAATCCTTCAAGTAATTTCTCATCCCTACCCTCATCCCACCCTCCCACCCTTTCGAGTCTCCAATGTCTATTATTCTACACTGGGTGTCCACCACATCATGATTCCTATTATAATGCTTTCTAGCTTAAAGCCCTCACTTATTTCTTATTTCCTAAGACAGGGGTCAAAAAACCTTTTCTTGAAAGGTCCACATAATAAAAGCTTTGTAGGTCACTGGTTTTCTGTGGCAACTAGTCAATTCTCCTGATGTAGTGGAAAGTATTAGCCACAGACAATACCTAAACAGGCATAGCTGTGTTCCAATAAAACTTTATTTACAATAAATAGGATGTGGCTTGAATTTCACATTTAATACTCTTTTCTCCATTGTAAAAGGATAATCCCAAATGAACTGGATTACCAGGGTAAGAGAAGAACAATTGAATTTTCATTATTTTCAAAAGACATTTGAAGAAACACTATACTTGATTCTTCCATCTGTATAGTGATAAACAGACTTCTATAACGACGGATTAACGCATCTCAAGATTTACATGACTAGACTGAGGTACAAACTATACATTTGCTGCATTTCAGCAGAGTAGCTATAAAACTGGATGTTTTACTCTTTTTCTTTGCAAACCATGCATCCCAGAAGGGAGTGCGACTCTGTGGCAGGGTCTGAATTGAGAAAAACAGGAAAACTAGAGCTATAATGGTTCAGCTACAACATTCTCTAGCTCCTTTTATTAACTGTTCAGTTTTAGATTTCTAACCACAGTAAACACATTTAATGCAGCCAGGATGTAAATTGTTGTTGTAGCAAGGTAGTTCTCTTGGGGGTAATTGCACAAATTCCCTTCTATGAAGAAAAAGGAGAAAGCCTAGGTTTCAAAAAGGTTTACTTTGGAATATTGCTGGTCCCTAGTTTGAAACAAAAGACAAAATCAGCATCATTCGTCATCTTGTTCCTTTGATGCAAAACCATTTTAGTATTATTACTTTTAACTTGATGTATGATCCAAAAGAGGCTCCTAGTTAAGGAGTCAAAGATCTTAGTTCATATCTCGTCTCTACTATATACAGGTTTTGTTGCTCTAGACAAAGTCTTTTTACTTTTGTATTCAGTTTCTTCACTTATAAGACTGTAATCAGAACCCTAACCCTGTCTACTTCTGAGGATTAATATAGTAACCAATAAAATTATTTGTGTGAAAGGGCTTTGAGAAGGTGCAGGAAATAAATATTATCCACTTCCCAAAGTTGAAATAATTGTATGTTTATATATAATCTTTCAGTGCCTTGAACACCCACATACTTTATCAGTAAGAAATGCTTTTGAGTATAAGTGTCAATATCCGAATAACAACTGCTTATACCATAGGGACACTTATTTTCATTTAAAATTGTGTCGTGGGTTCAATAAAGGTCACGAGCTTTCTTTGTGTTCTGAATTTTCCTTAGAGTATGGATTTTTTCACCCACGTGCATGTTACCATCTCCCTTTTCCAAGTAATATAATGACTTTCTAAGCTCCAGAGGAGCATCAGGTACACACATAAGTATGGGAAGGCAGGCATTGGCAAGGGAAAGACAGCCAGCTCTCTTCTTGTATCTTACCATTTCATCTAGAAGCTATCTTTTTCAGGAACTCTCCCTATTAGATTTCTTTTTACACATCAGTGTCCAGAATTAGATTATATGCCCCCGCCTGCAGTGAAGGAGACCTAACTTTACAGCTTATAAGATGGGAAGGCTGCAGGGATAGAGGAGTCAGAAATGGCTTTGGGATAACCAACCAACAATGTCTGCTACATGTTAACTACAGAAAGTTTGGTACGTCTCCCTCAGAATGTAACCTCAGATCTCACAGTTGCTGCTATTGATTCAGATGATTACGTGATTCTATTTTTCGTTTAAACAACTATAGCAAGGTGACTTTATGGGCCCAAGTCCCTTCCCAAGTCTTATTTGGGGTATGTAGTTATAAGCTGGTTTTTTTTTTTTTTGTTTTTTTTGTTTTTTTTGTTTTGTTTTGTTTTTGAGACGGAGTCTCGCTCTGTCGCCCAGGCTGGAGTGCAGTGGCGGGATCTCGGCTCACTGCAAGCTCCGCCTCCCGGGTTCACGCCATTCTCCTGCCTCAGCCTCCCAAGTAGCTGGGACTACAGGCGCCCGCCACTACGCCCGGCTAATTTTTTGTATTTTTAGTAGAGACGGGGTTTCACCGTTTTAGCCGGGATGGTCTCGATCTCCTGATCTCGTGATCCGCCCGCCTCGGCCTCCCAAAGTGCTGGGATTACAGGCGTGAGCCACCGCGCCCGGCCATAAGCTGGTTTTGAATTGTGCCCTTCGCTCTGAGCCATTATTAGAAACACACACACACACACACGCACACACATTATTCTGTGGAGACTGAAGCATCAGCCTCATCTTGTTAAGTAATCATTTCTCACCATCAAATTCTTTGACTCTCTTTTTAAGACAAAGTCCGTAGCCTATCTTATCTTTCTTCAGAATTATTTTGTTACAAGAGCCTCATTGGCCTATATTTTTTTAACTAGGTCAGAGAAGAGAAGGTTATATTATAAAATTATCTCCTATACGGCTTTGTCTATAAATACAAACTTAATGATGACTCCCTACCCATTCTTCACTGAAGAAAGATTATTTGAATCAAGGTGAATTTCTATGCCTGCTCTCAAGATAAAGAAGGTGGTAATGATTATCTTTCCATCTCACTCCTTCAAAACAAAATTATTCCTGTTTCATCCGGGCTTCTTATTATTTATGATGTGCTTATTAAACCATTTTCTTTCGCATTATTAACAAAAACCTAAATTAGAATAAAGGAAAACTCTGATCAGTCATTGAAACCAAAGTAGTTTCTTCCTCTCCTCATTTTGCCCTTCAAAATCCAGTAAGAGTCAGAAAATAACTCTATTCCTATGTACATGGCTGTGGAACTTGTTCATTGTCTCCGAAGCAGTTCTAAAAATGGGTTGAGGAAACTAGTGTGGTAACCACAAGGAATAATAATTAGATTTTGCAACCCCCATAGATGCCTCTGGTATACTTGATTAACCTTGAGAGGCTTTAGGAAATGTCTCCAGAATAATAAAACAAAAACGTATTGGCCAGTGCTCAACCTTGCATACTGAATCCAAGGAGCTCATTTTCTCCTAAGTCAGGTAGGGAACATCTGGAAAAAAAATTAGGAAATCTGGTTTTTTTTTCCCCTTTTAATGGAAACAACATTATTTTCCATAGAGGAGTTACGCTCAAATTGTCTGGGATAGAAAAAGCATGGTCTCTATATATGTCATGAGAAAGCCTCCACTGGAGCTGTTTCTTAGAGTATTTCTAGACCTTATTTTATTCTTTTTATGCAGAAACCCCTTCACCTTCTTCCTGGTATTTTTCTCTCCCAATGTAACTCAGTGGAAAAGACATGTGTACATCCTTCACTTGTTTATCCTTAACACTATTCTTCAGTGTGGGAGTTAAAAAAGTAATGGTTTAGTAAAATATTAGTTTATGATATTAAATAAATAATATTTGTATAGTATAATAGAGAAAGATTTGTTGAATAAATATGTAAATGAGAGTAGCAACTTGACCACATAATGGGAAATGTTGGGCAGAGCATATAAGGACAAGCAAAAAGCCCTCAAATTCCAAATGTAGCTTAGGAAAAAAAACTTGAGCTTCCCATAATGAAGCAGGATCTCAAAGAAAGGTGACCTACCTTAAAGGCATGGATAGCCTGACAGTAAGGTGAAGGAAGATGACAGGTGCTTCCAACGACATTAGAGCTGAGAGAGTTTCCTGAGGCATAGAGAGTTTGTGTCTGAAATAAATGTGATGCTTGATGGGTTTGATATTCATTGGAAACCTTTGGGAAAACATTTCAAGTAGTTTGCTTTCCAAGCCGTTTTCTTGGTAAAGTAAAGATTGGGAATGTGTCACCTAAAGCCCAAGCAACTTGCTTCCCTTGGCAGCAAAGTCAATCTCTATTCATAGAATGGGCATGTTCCTGAGCCTTAGCAATTTATGTTTCTTTTATTCTCAGAACACATATCAGCTGAGCAAGTCTCAGTTCATGTGCTTGACATATTTCAATGCTATGTTAGGAAATAAAACATTCTTTCTCTTCATGTGCACTGAGTTTTCAGATGGGAGTTCTCACATTGCAAAACTATCAGTCAAATCAAAGTAGTATGTCCACAGACCCTAGTTTCTGTTTATGCACTACACATTCAACAACAATGAAATATTCAGTTTCTTCATAGTAATAACAAGTCTCTTGCTAAAGAACTCACAGAGCAGAAATAACTAAGAGCTAATATATAGTTTTGAATATTTTCTCTCATTATGTATATTTCCTAGAGTAATCTGGGGGAAATTCCAGATGGGTTATTACTATTTTGCTTTTTACTTATGAAACATTAGCTTAATTAAAATACTTATATCATCTGTACCTGACAAAATTATAAAAATATTTCAAATGAAAACATTCTTACTAAGTTTATGGTTAAGTATGTCACCCTGACACAAACTTATGTCACAATTCTGTAAATGAAATAACAGAGCAAAACAAATGGTAACTTCTCACAGAAAAAAAAAATCAACAAAATGAAAAGGGCCAACCTACAAGTTAAGAAAAAATATTTGCAAATCACATATCAAATAAGAGGTTAATATTCAAGACTTATAAATAATTCACACAATAGTAAGAAAACATGAAAATAAGTAACCCAATTAAACAATGGGCAAAGGACTTGAATAGATTTTTCTCCAAAAATGACATAAAAATGGCCAACAGGTACATGAAAGGTGCTCAACATCACTAATCACCAGAAAAATACAAATTAAAACCTCCATGAGATACCACCTCACACCTGTTAGGATAGCTATTATCAAAAAGACCAGAGACAAGTGTTAGTGAGGGGGCAGAGAATATGGAGCCCTTGCGCATTGGTGGTGGAAATGTAGATTGGCGCAACCATTATTGTCAAAAGTATGGAGGTTCCTCAAAAATTAAAAATAGAACTACCATATGATCCAGCAATCTCTTTCCTGAATATTTACCCAAAGGAAATGAAATCAACAGCTCTAGGAGAGGTTTGCACTCTCATAATCATTGCAACATTACTCACAATAGCCAAGATATTCATCAATGGATAAGTGAATAAAGAAACTGTGAAACAATTTATAAAAATAAATGTTTGTTTATATATAAATATATATACTTATTTAATATTTGTATTTGTGTATATACATATATACATTTGTGTGTATATATAAATATACATATATATAACATAAACTATATAAATCTATATTATATATAACATGTATTTTATATATAAATTTATACATATGCATATATGTATGCATTATATATGCATATATGTATAAATGCATATATATGTATTTATACATATATGTATATATGTGTATATTATATATAAATATATATTGTAATAATGTATTTTATATATAAATACATAAGTATATATAAAATACAAAATAAAAATATATAAAGTATAAAATATATAATACATATTTATATATAAAATACATGTTATATATAATATATATTTATATATAAATACACACATATATATGTATATGTATAAATATACATCTATAAATACATATATATATTTTATACATGTATGGAATATAATCCCTTTTTATGTATAAATATATACATATATACATGCATATATGTATGTATGTATATTTGTATATTTAAAATGGAATATTCAGCCTTAAAAAAGAAGCAGATTCTGCCATTTGCCACAACATTGATGGATTTAGAAGACATTGTACTAAGTAAAATAAGCCAGAAACAGAAAAATACTGGATGATCTTACTTACATGTGGAATCTAAAAATAAAAAAGTCAGATATACAGAAATAAAAAGTAAAACGGGTTATCAGGGACAGATTAAGGGGAAGAAATGGGAGATGTTGATCAAAAGATACAAAGTAGCAAACATGAAAGAGTCAAAAGATGTAATGTACAACATAAGGACTATAGTTAATAATAGTGTATTGCATTCAGGATTGTTGATAAATGAATATAGCTTTTCCTGCCACAAAGGGAATAAAACAGGCAACTATTTGAGAGGATGCATATATTAATTTGTTGAACAACAGTAACCATTTTCCTATATAGTTGTTCCTATTTATCCACAGAGGATTGGTTCCAGGATGTCTTGTGAATATCAAAATTTACAGTTAGATACTCAAGTTCCTAATATGAAATGGTATAGTGTTTGCATATAACCTACACGTATCCTTCCATATACTTTAAATCATCTCTAGATTACTTATACCTTATACAATATAAATAATTGTGATACTGTATTCTTTCATTTGTATTTTTCATTGTATTGCTTTTGTAATTTTTATTTTTAAATATTTTTAATCCACAGTTGGTTAATTCCACAGATGAAGAATGCGCAAACATCAAAGGCCAACTGTATGTATGTATGTATCTTATAACATCAGGCTGTATACTTGAAATGTTTGTTTTTGTTTTGTTTAAAACATTTTAAAGAACAAAATAAATAAAATATAAGCATCTTGGGCTATTCTAGGCTCTTTGCTTTGCCATAAATTTTAAAATCATTTTGTCAACTTCCATGAAAAAAAAGCCTTCTAGATTTTGATTGGAATTGCATTGAATCTATAAATCCACTTTGGGAAAATTGACATCTTAGCAATATTCAGTATTCTGACCCATGAACATGGTATATCTATTCATTTATTTGAGTCTCCTTTTCTTTCTGTCAGCAGTGTTTATCATTTTCAATGTACTTTTCATTATAAACCTTTATATCCTTTTTAATTTTGAAGTCACTTAAAAATTACCTGTTAAAAATTAAAATAGAGAAATTGAATTTTTAAATTAAAAAGAAGAAATATAATGAGAAACCAAGCCTATTTTTTGATCTATCCTTTTTCAGATACTATCTTTTTTTACATTTTAAATACAAATTTTAAAAGCCATTGTTTATCTTATGCATGTTTTGGAAGATTTCTGTAGTTGTATGAAGTAAATTTTTGTACATTTTGTTCTTGTCTATACACATGTTAAAAGCCATTGTTTATCTTATGCACATTTTGGAAGATTTCTGTAGTTGAATGAAGTAAATTTTTGTACATTTTGTTCTTGTCTATTTTGTTTTAGATGAGACGTATTAATGTTTCCTACATCTCAGTTTTTATTTAAAATAACATAAAGTATTGTGACTTCCTAATAGCCTAAAAATAACAAGATACTGGATTTTTATTTTTGTAAACACCAAGTGCTTATCTGAGTGTCAGTTTCAAGGGTAAATCAGATATTTTCCAGGATACTTAAGGTCTTTTCCTGTTCTAAAAATCAGTAATCAATGGATATGAAATATATGAGACTTTTCACTGAAATTTCTTGGTCTTACTGCTGAGTACCATCTTTACTAACTCTCCAAAGATACATACCCACTCATGGACTGAATCTTCCCATGACCTGCTTTTAGTAGCTCTTAATCAGTAGAACGTGATAGGAATTAAGAAGTGTGACTTCCAACATCAGATAATAAGAAATCATGGCTTCCATCTGAGTATATGGAATCACTTGCTCTGTGGAAGTCACCCACTATGTAAGTAGTTTTACTACAGTGAGAATACCATGTTGTGAAGAGGTCTAAGCTTATCATGTTGAAGGCCACATGTAAATCAAAACACAGTCAGCTAACTTCCAGCTGTTTCAGCTGTATCAGTTGAGGAACAGTCTTGAGAATGAAGAAGCTATCATGAATATCCACCCTAACTTGGTGTTCTGTGTTTGTTTTGTTTTGTTCTGAGACAGAGTCTCACTTTGTCGCCCAGGCTGGAGTACAGTGGCGCAATCGATCTTGGCTCACTGCAACCTCTGCCTCCTGGATTGAAGTGATTCTTCTGCCTTGGCCTCCCGAGTAACTGGGATTACAGGTACCTGCCACCACCCTAGCTAATTTTTGTATTTTTAGTAGAGATGGAGTTCTACCATGTTGGCCAGGCTGGTCTCAAACTCCTAACCTCAAGTGATCCACCCGCCTCAGCCTCCCAAAGTGCTAGGATTACAGGCGTGAGCCACTGCACCCAGACCCTCATTACCTCATTAGTTGTTTTAAGATGACTCTTGCTGCAGCTACCATCTTACAGCAGCTATATGAGAGATCTCAGCCCAACCCACCTTCTGTGAGAAATAAAAGCAACTAAGATTTAGGGGGTGATTTGTTACAGAGCAATAGGTAAAAAAATGTTAACTACATTTGTAATTGTATGTAGTTGTGTGAAGCAAATCGATATCACCCTTTAAAATCTACGTTTGCCATTAAAATATTTTAACTATCACATTGATAACATTTTCCTCTCATGTAATGATTTAAAAAAAAAAAATTTCCACTAATGGTGGAAAATGCCTCATATTTTGAAAGATAAAAAGATAAATAAAAACATGCCCTGTTAGGTAGTAAATACCCTGTACAAATATATCAGCAAATCTAGTTTCTAATCCTCATTTCACACAGTGGTTGACTTTCTTTTGACTGGAAGTAAGTCTTTGCATACCTTTCCCAAACCTCACTGTATAGAGTTTGTGTAATTATAGCAAAGTTTACTGGACTGAAATATTTACTAATGCCAAGAAGCAACAACAAAACCAGGAATTGAAAAAAACTGTAGATTCCACTATGAAAGAAAGATTTTCTAACAGAAAATGTTAAGTTTTCTGTCCATTCCAGAATTTTATTATGACCTACTTGATATCCATAAAGCTTATCTTTATATCAGCCATCTCTTCATTTTAAAAAAAAGCTAAAAAAAATGACCTTATGTTTATCTCAAATGTTAATGTCACATTTAATTACATAGATAAGAAGTTATATCTGATTCTGTGCTTAATATTAAAAGTTCTTATCTAAGTAATAGTGATAAGAAAAAATAGCATGTTTTTCTAGTACTATACCGTGCACATTTAATTAAGACCAACTCCACTAAACCCTGTCCTCTCTTGCTCATCCCGTACCCCTCAAGAAATAGAGGAAAGGTTTGACTTCTGTGAAGGATGGTCAGTTTGACATTAAAGAGAATGGAGAATTGCATTATTTGCAAACAAACAATCAAACAAATAAAAATACTGTCCAGAAAAGGGCCAGAGCAGAGTGTTGATGCTAAAGAACATGCCTACAATTTCCCCTGGGTCTGGTTCCCTAGATTTTTAAGACTCCCCTTTTTTTGTCACCATCAATTTCTTGGGAAAATAATAAAAATATCTATACTCCAAAATATAAACTGTTTTGCTATGAAGATGCAAGTGTGGATTTGGATTTTAAGTAGCATTATCAATTGGATAGGATGAAGAGATGGTGAGTGGACTGGTTGATCACATCTGTGATGGCTTATAAAATCCAGAAGTATGACCTGTTAGCCTACAAAAGAAAAGGGCTGAGGTTCCTTTGAGGCATATGCATTATATTAAACAGCATATCAAACATCTTAATGTTAAAAATCCCACCTTCAAGCACAGTGTCTCTAATAATACTGAGTGCTGGGGAACACTCCTGAAAAAAATGTTTTCTCAGCGCAGACTAGGGTAGCCTATTTGGAGTCTCTATGGACACAAAGACAAATCTTATCCCTGTTATTCTCCCAGCCTGCTATGAACATACCCAACCTGCTATGGAAAGATTGTGGTAGTGCCCTTCTTGCCTAGTACTCAATCTTATGTGTGGATAGTGGTGGCATATATGAATATGAACAATTCAGCACATAAAACCTTGAGGAGCTACCTTCTCTGGATGGGATCCATCCCAGTACTGAATGTCCATATTATGCTCAGTATAGTGGGAGAAATTCACTTGTGTATACATTGTCCTATCCTATTGTGTAACTGCTCTGCACCATTGCACCTTTCAGAGAGAGAGATGCGGAATGTAGGTGAGACCACTAAATTATAATTGAAAAGAGAAATATATGTGGAGGAAGAGCTTTACTGCAAAATTCATATAAATATTAATTGACTTTTGACATGTAGAAAAGAAAAGGAAGTAAATGGTCCTTAAAAATCAAAACTAAAACATCAAATTGCATGCAATAGTTTCTCCCATATTATTTTTAAAGGAAAGAGGGAGGGATTTGCCTGAAATATGTTTCTGGTGATACATATATTTAAATATATTTGCTGGAATTTCTATTTTTAACCTCTCAATGTAGGTTAAAGCTGTATATTTTCTCACTCTTTAACGGCTGTTAAATGAATCTGTTCTCAAACACCAAAGATAATAATTTTAGAGTACAGAACAAAAATGTTTCTGTCATTTACTCTCTGAATGTTAATGCACTAAGCTTATTGCTAGAATGCATGATTAAAACAGCATATTTTAATAACTACCAAAAGCATAAAAGTTATGTTCATATGTCTGCTTGTATAAATTTATGTTTATTCAACAGAGAGGGTGTTTCTATATACACAGAGAAAAAATTAAAATAAAAACTTCTTTCCACAAACACAATTCCCTTAGTATTAAAGTAACTAAATACATAAAAGCAGTAGTTCCTTAATTATAGAATTCATAAAAATTATTGGAATATCTGTTTTTAAAATTGTAGTTTTGGAGGCTCCTGAAATTCTGATTCAATCAGTCTTGGGAGGGGCTCAGAAACCTGTATTTTAACTAAGCATTCTGGGTAATTTTAACACAGGTAACCCATGTGTCGTATTTAGAAAAACATTGATCTAAAATTATATGTTTGATTAATTTACTTTTTGCATACATGTTTGTGTGTGTGTATGTGTGTGTACATGTGTTATAGCCGAGTATTTTAAAGTGAATGAAGATGAAAATGTGAAAATGTACAGAGGTATTGTTAACAACCACAAAAATTGAGAGCTTTGATAAAAGAGGCTCGCGAATGTATAATTCAGGCATTTTTCAGTGAATTTCAAGGTCACGTAAGATTTTTTTAAACAAGAAAACTAGAAAAAATACGCCAGGCAAATATATGGAGCTAGAGTCTAAAGGAAAGATGAGACCCGCTGAAAGTGGATCCCACAGAAGCATGGGAGTTGGAGCACATGGCCAGCATGGATGTGAAATTGACCTTCAAGGGAGAATTACTCTGAGAATATAATTTTTGAAAATTGAATTCTTTTCAGACTCAGATGCCACAAATATTATATTTCTTTCTAAATATAACCATACAGGCAAAATATTGCTACATACATAAGCAAAACAAAGACATGCTCTCAAAAGAGAAAACAGAAAGAAGAAACTCTGATCAGAAAAAGTGTTAGCCCTAAGAACAAGATCAATTTAAGAAACAAGTTGTTGTTTTGTTCTTTAATGTAATAGACTTGAAGAATGGGGAAGAGGACTGCTGGAGAGTTTATAAAATTTATAAGTAAAAAAGTTACAGTAAGCTAAAATTAATTTATTATTGAAGAAAGAAAACTTTTTTTTTTTTTAAGATAGAGTCTCGCTCTGTCAGCCAGGCTGGAGTGCAGTGGTGCGATCTTGGCTCACTGCAGCCTGCACCTCCCGGGTTCTGGGACTACAGGCGCGCGCTGCCACTCCTGGCTAATTTTTGTATTTTTTTAGTAGAGACACGGGGCTTCATCATGCTGAGCAGGATGGTCTTGATCTCCAGACATCATGATCCTCCCGTCTCCGCCTCCCAAAGTGCTGGGATTACAGGCATGAGCCACCGCACCCAGCTGAAGAAAGAAAACTTTTTAAAGCCAGGTGCGGAGGGAGGCTCATGCCTGTAATCCCAGCACTTTGAGGGACTAAGGTGAGAGGATTGCTTGAGTGCAAGAATTCAAGACCAGCCTACGCAACATGGGAAGACCTCATTTCTACAAAAAAAAAATAAAAAATTAGCCAAGCGTGCTGGGACACACCTGTGTTCCCAGCTACTTGGTAGGCTGGGGTGGAAGGATCACTTGATCCTGGAAGGTTGAGGCTACAGTGAGCCATAATTGTGTCATTGCACTCCTGCAGGGCAATAGCAAGATGCTGTCTCAAAGAATAAACGTAAATAAAAACAAATAAATAAATACAATTCATTTAGTGTAGCCTGAGTGTACAGTGTTTATAAAGTCTACAGTAGTATACAGTAATATCCTTGGCCTTTATATTCACTTACCACTCACTCGCTGGCTCACCCAGAACAAGGTCCAGGCCGGCAAGCCCTATTTATGGTAAGTGTCCTATACAGTTATACCATTTTTAATCTTTTATACCATATTTTACTATACCTTTTCTATGTTTAGATGCACAAATGCTTGTCATTGTATTATAATTGCCTACAGTATTCAGTACAGTAACATGCTGTACAAGTTTGTAGCCTAGGAGCAGTAGGCTGCACCATATAGTCTAGATGTGTAGTAGGCTATACCATCTAAGTTGTGTAAATATACTCTATGATGTTCACACAATGAAGAAATCACCTAAAAAGGCATTTTTTCAGAACTTATCCCCTTTGTTAAGCAATGCATGACTGTGGTCTTCTTGAAGATATCCTATTAAAAGTGGAGTACTCAGATTATACGAGAGAGAATATTGTTGTCCTGTAAAGAACCATATGTAGTGTCTAAAAGAGAGAGGAAAAAGGGAAACTAAAATTAATAGCTTTAAAATATAAAAGGACACTAAGATGGCAAACAGAGCCACAGGAAAGACAGGAATTAGATTAGCCGCCTTTGTAAAATGCAAAATATTATAAGACATTAGGAGGGTTTCAGATGCTGTTTTCTAAGAGAAGAGGCAGTTTTTATAGAAGTAGATTATATTACTAGGCTATAGAAATAGAATACAAAATAACTTTTTGATGAATGATTTCTACCAAATTACTTCTAAATTCACAAGCTGTAGTCTTGAGATGAATGTTAGATGAATTGTAATTCAAATAAAATTTAATGAGACATTCCTAGTGGGTAGATGACTTTCCATATGGTCGTTCATGGTTTTTCCACAGTGTTTCTTCTACTTGTGACGTTTCTCAACTATCAAGCCTCAGAATCTTCTCCATTCAGCTAGTGAATAAGGAAAGAGGGAGGGTGGAGGATTGTACAGGAATCTTTTATAGGACAAGCTAAGCAAAGGCATACACCACTTCAGACCATATTGTATCCAAAATATTCATCACGTTACCCAAGTTGGATACTGGAGGAACTGGGAAACATAGTCCTTGGCTGAGCATTTTTTTTTCATCCCAGCAACAGCTCTTCATCATTGAAGGGGAGCACGAAACTTTGGTGTGCAAATAGTTACCTGAACTGGCATGGATAGACTCTCAGGATAGCCAACCTGAAACCAAGATTTTTCTTGTTTTTTCTTTCCTGCTTTCTCTGTTAGCCCTTTTCTCCAGATACACTAATCTCTGGGCTTATGTCTCCTAGTAGTAAAAATGTGAGCTGCCACTGCGATAGGTAAAGGGTTACATGAACGTTTTGCTTGGGATATGTTATCATATTGTATCACCCTTAATTAACAATATTTGTTCCTAGAGATTTATTTTTGCTTTCTAAATTTTCAAACTTTAAAAACATAGACCACATCCAGTCTGGAAAATAATGAATTAAATAAAGAACCTGAAGAATCTAAACATGCTATTTCAGGTCCAGGGGAAGACAGCTAAGGATATTCCTAGGATAAGGCCTCTCCAGTTATTTTCGATGTGAGGAGGAAGAAAAAAGAAAGATTTGATGATGTTAACTTTTCTAGGAAAACACAGTAGAGGGGCTTATTATATATTGGGCTTATTTTGTTTGGGCTTCATTATTAGCATTTTGATTATCTATTGCAGAAAAAAATAGAAGAGTTCCACTTGGGTAACTCTACTTTATGGAACTTTAAATTACTTGAAGCAACATGGAATTGATTTAATAATGGGAGGGGAATCTTATTATTCAATATATATTATAACATGCATATAGAGTTATTGGGATATACATATCATGTAACTTTATCTGCCAAACTCTATCAAGCAATATTACCGAGCATAATTTCAAGTGGGAAAATGAATGGCAAGACAGTGGAGCTAATGGTAACTTTTTTTGGCCTATCAAGAGTGTGGCCTTGGGATAAACTTAATTAATATCCAGGTTTTACCTGTTCTAGTAGTTTCAGGGTGCTTTGAGGAACTGAGATGTCCATCTCACTGGACCCAGGAGCAGTACAGAAGTAGTATTAAAGATTAAACAGATAAATATGCAAACTAGACTATATATACACATGTACATTTCTTATATATAAGATAGAGATATAGTTACAAACGTATATACACACATATATTACATACTTTTTTTCAAGTATTGAGTGATATAGAGTCAGAGAATAAAAGTCTATAGAACTAATACTGGCATAATCAATTACCCAGCTATTTATGCACCTGGCATCCAGATGACCCTCTGAAGCAGCATTGTGAGCAGAATGTCTTCAACAGCTGGCACAGGTAATGTTACAGAAAAATAATGCATAAGGCTATAAATAATGTACCTTCATATGGCTAGGTACAAATCTAGAGCATGAGGTAGAGAAGCAACTTTTTCAGTGGAGGGGATGGAGGGGGTATGGAGACATCAGTAAAGAGAGTCTTCTTCCTTCTTTATTAGACAGCTAAGTTTACTTGCATATTCTAGAACTTCAACAAAAGAATAAATCTCTTAATTTGTAACAAACTCTATCACAGCAGTATCTGAAGTTGGTGCAAATTCTATAAATTCCAACTTCTGTTTATACAGGCTTTTTACCTGAGAGACAATATAATGAGCTGCTTAAGAGAGCTTAAGAGTCAGACACAGGCTTTATCCTTGACTCCATCAAGCAGGTAAATTTTGTGACTTTTAGGAGCCTGCTTCTTTAGTAGTAAAAGGATGAAATACATCTACTTCACATGGCTGCTCTGTTGATTGAATTAATGAGTCAAGAAACACAAAGTAGTTTTGCTTAATAAAAGTTAGTAATTATTGCATCATTAATCATTGCAAGGTAATTCAAGTTGCCAGCCTGCCTGTTACCCACGTCCTCTACCTTTTCCAAGCACAGACATGCGACAATATATTGCAAGACAAAAGTCATGGAGAATCAACTGATAAGTTTTTAATGCTTGTATTTATGCTGAAATATAAGCACTAAATAATCATTTAATAAAATCATTAAATCATAAAAAAGCATTGTCATTTTTATGCTGAAAGTGAACAGGAGGTTTGTGGGACAGAGATCAGAGTTATTATAACTTATAACCACCACATTAATTTCCAATGCCTGGTGCTCCCCAGGTGAAAACATGAATGTCCGAGTCAGACCTGCACATACAGGGGTCTGTTCTGCAGGAGAACTACCCTGAAATTAAATTCTGGTGTTTATGCAGGTTACATGCTGCCCCTCTTCTCTTGAGAGAGGGAGTAAAACCTTTCTCTAGTAATTTGCATTCCATTGCAATATAAATGACTGGCTGCCTGGCTCCAGGTTTCACTTCCCTTTGAAATGTAAACACTAGGGAAATTGCTCTCTGAGATGTCTAGCTTTTCAACCACCCCTTAACTTCCAAGGCTCCTCCTTTAACCCAAGTGTCAGCAACATTTTCTCAGACAACCCTTTGTAGAAATGTTCAAATATTCACTTGCTGATGATAATCATTTCTTTTTGAAATGGCTAGCCATTCACATGATAATCTAAAATTCATCCCTTCCACTTTGCCAACATTGCTCTGACTGAAATTGGGCCAGTGAGCAGTTTTTATCTTTGTTTACTTGATTTCAGAGTCGTTCTCCAGGTACCACAAGCTGAAAAGTCAGAAAATCCACATTTTCTTAATTGATGGATATTTGGGTTGGTTCCAAGTCTTTGCTATTGTGAATAATGCCGCAATAAACATACATCTGCATATGTCTTTACAGCAGCATGATTTATAATCCTTTGGGTATATGCCCAGTAATAGGATGGCTGGGTCAAATGGTATTTCTAGTTCTAGATCCTTGAGGAATCGCCACACTGTCTTCCACAATGGTTGAACTAGTTTACAGTCCCACCAACTGTGTAAAAGTGTTCCTGTTTCTTCACATCCTCTCCAGCACCTGTTGTTTCCTGACTTTTTAATGATTGCTATTCTAACTGGTCTGAGATGGTATCTCATTGTGGTTTTGATTTGTTTTGCTTTCTGCTGTGACACAGCAGCACTGAGTTCAATGTAAAGTCTCCCAGTTTCTGCACTCTCCTTCCCCAAGTGTGCAGACTCTCGGTGCCACATGGCTGCTACTGGGGGCACGGAGGAGGGGTGGCATCAGTGATTCAAGACTATCTCTCTCACTCTTTTTAATGCCTCCTCCACTGATATGAAGTAAAAACCTGGTACTGCAATTGTGGTGCTGTCTTTCTGTGTGCAGATAGTAGTTAAAATCTGGTGTTCCTGTAGGGGGAGGGGGAGAAATGGTATAGGCTTCTATTCTGCCATCTCGCTCTACCTTCTGCAATATATTTTTTTAATGAAAAAATGAGTTGTAAAGTCCAAGGACCTCATTTAATCCCAGAATTCTACTATCTTTCTGGTTTTCATTTTTATCTTACCCTCTCATATCTTTTTATTCCTTTCCTTCCCAGATTTAACTGAAAGTTCCAAATAATTTTCCTTTTATTATACAGAAAAATATCCCACTAGTTACTCCCTTAGCCATTCACTTTATTTTTTTCATAAGTTATTGGGGTACAGGTGGTATTTGGTTACATGAGTAAGTTCTTTAGTAGAGATTTGTGAGATTTTGGTTCACCCATCACCCAATCAGGATACACCGCACCGTATTTGTAGTCTTTTATCCCTCACCTCACTCCCACTCTTCCCCCCAATTCCCCAAAGTCCATTTTATCATTCTTATGCCTTTGTGTCCTTAGAGCTTAGCTCCCACATATCATTGAGAACATACGATGTTTGCTTTTCCATTCCTGAATTACTTCACTTAGAATAATAGTATCTACCCAGGAGAGCAGAAGTCATTATGTGAAAAAGATACTTGCACACACATGTTTATAGCAGCACAATTCACAAATGAAAAATCATGAAACCAGCCCAAATGCCCATCAATCAACAAGTGACTAAACAAACTGTGGTATATATAGTGGAATATGACTCAGGCATAAAAACCCATTCACTTTAGATGAATCTCTTCCTCTGGTCAAGTCCCTCACCAGGTGGTAAGAAATCTGCAGGCCCACTGGGATGTGCCCACCAGGAGTCAGCAGTCTTCCTTTAGAAAATGCATTTTTAAATATACATCTCTTGGCCATTTGTGTGTGTGTATTAGTCCATTTTCGCACTTCTATAAAGATACTACCTGAGACTGGGTAATTTAGAACAAAAGAGGTTTAATTCACTCACAGTTCTGGATGGCTGAGGAGGCCTCAAGAAACTTATAATCATGGCAGAAGGTGAAGGGGAAGCAAGGCACGTCTTACATGGCAGCAGGAGAAAGGGAGAATGGGGAAGTGCCAGATACTTATCACACAACCAGATCACATGATAACTCATTCACTATTATGAGAACAGCATAGGGGAAATCTGCCTCCATGATTCAATCACCTCCCACCACACCCCTCCCTCAACACTTGGAGATTACAATTTGAGATGAGATTTATGTGGGGACACAGAGCCAAACCATATCAGTGTGTCTTCCTTGAGAAATATCTATTCAAATCCTTTGTCCACTTTGTAATCAGGTTGTTTCTTTACATATTTTGGCTATTAACCCCCTATCGGATGTATGGTTTCCAATCTCCCATTTTGTATGTTGTTTTTGTTTCAACTTGGTTGTTGATTGTTTCCTTGGCTTTGAAGAAGCTTTTTAGTTGGAATTCTATTTGTCTATTTTTGCTATTGTTGTCTGTTTTTTGGGGTTCATATCCAAAAAATTATTGCCCAGACTAATGTTGTGGAGGTTTTTCCTGTTGTTTTCCTCTAGTATTGGTTGGTGCAAAAGGGGTTTCAGTTTATGCTATTACATTTAATGGCAAAACCTGCAATTACTTTTGCACCAACATAATAGTTTTATAGTTTTTATGCTTATGTTAAAATCTTTATAACATTTTGAGTGACTTTTGTGTATAGTGTAAGATATGGGTCTAATTTTATTCTTCTGCCTGTAGATATTCAATTGCTCAACCCCATTTATTGAAAAGACTGTCCTTTCCACATTCTGTGTTTTGGCACCTTTCTCAAAAATCAATTAATAATAAATGCATTTATTCCTGGGCCCCTTATTCTGTTAGTTTATTCTGGAATAGGCCTATAGTCTGAGTCCACAAGGTTTTACCTGGTAAAGAGGCAGGATTCTGAGTCTGTGGGGGCAAGTCTGGATTCTGGGTCTGCAGGGGTGGACTTGAAATCTCAGTCCATGGGGTCCCTGGCACCAGGATCTAATGAGGTGGGTCTGGACCCTGCGTCTGCTGGAGTAGGTCTACACCCTGGAGCCTGGGACCCTGAGACTAGTCTGGAGCTTGGGGACAGCCTAGTGTTGGGGCTGACACAGAGCCTAGGTATACAAGGGCTGGTCTGGAACCTAGGATTATGGGCACTGGCCTGATGCCTGGAGCCGCTGGGGCTAACCTGAAGGCTGAAGCCATGGAAACCAGACTGGAGCCTGAGTCCACTGGCATAGAGGTTGTGTGTGCAGGTGCTGGCATGGAGACTAGGTTCTGGAGGGCTGACCTGGGTCCTGGGACATCATGGGCAGGCCTAGGACCTGGTACACAATAATGATCCTGGAGCCTGGGCCTGGGGCAGCTGGTCCAGTGCTAGGGTCTACTTGGGCAAGCTGAGATTTTGGGTCTGCTGGAGTGTGGGGTCACAGAGAATGATCTGGAAGATGGGGCTGAAGAGACCAGCCTGGCCCTTGGCAGGCCTTGAGCCTGTGTCTATAGTACCTGCCTGATATTTGAGGCCACGGGTGCTGACCTGGCACTGGGTTTGGCCAAAGTGCTGGATGGGCCTGCATTTTGTATTTACAGGGACCAGCCAGGAGGCTGGGTATCTGGGTGTTGGTCTTATGTCTAGGGCTTTGGGAATTGGTCTGATGCCAGGAGTAATTCATAGCTTGAGGTTTCTGAGATCAACTTGGTGGTGGGGCAGTGAGAGACTGAGTTTGCCCAGCAGACCAAGGACTCATCATGGCACTGAAGGCTCAGTTTGTGGCATGGGGGCCTTCCCAGTGCTGGGTTTTACTGCAACGGGACCAGTGTTGGGATACAAGGCAAGGTCCAGTGCTTATTTTCTCTCTCCTTTCCCCACATGGAAGTTATGTACCTCCACACTGTGCTGTGTGGGGTTGGGGGGAAGGGTGACAGGGATAATATAAAACTATGCCTTCCTACACACTTTAATGCATGTTTTCTTATTTCTGTGCAACACCCAGGTGCTATAATCCCTCACCTTGTTTCTTTAGTTCCTGTGAAGTTATTTTTGTGCATAGAGAGTTGTTTGAATTGTTGTTTCTGTAACAGAATAAGCATTGGAAAGTCCTATTCCACATCTTGTTGACATCCCCACTCTACTATTTAAAATATTTAGACATAAGAAGGTATGTAGGTGTCCATTTGTACTCTTGATCTGGGACCTGCAAATGTTAGGCTCCTCTTGTTCTTAAGCATGGGCCCCATAACACTTAACTCTTAGGAGTAGCAGGGAGACTTACTTTCTACCCCAAGAACTTTCCAAAGTTTTATTTTGCATTTTTATTTCAAACAAGAACATTTTTGTGCCTACTAGGATTCCTGGTATTAGCTTTTAAGTAATAAGCTATTTTACAACATTTTTATACAAGGAAGACTCAAAACTGAAACATGGGCTATAAAGCTCTGTGTACTTTGTTACCTATACAATTTACCGTCCTGTCTTCTCATAACCTGATTTTTACTACACGGGTCATACTGGGCATTGTTCAGTTCCCTTGACAGCGCATGGTCTTGCCTGCCACAGGGCTTTTGACTATGCTGCCATTGCTATTTAAAGTGCCCCCCCTCCTTTGTTTATCCTAGCCAAATCCACCCATACTTAAGGTATTTGCTTTAATATAATCCTCTTGGGAAATCCTCTGTGGGTAGGTTAAGGCTTGTTCTTGTTTCCTTCTCCCTTGTTCCGTATATTCCCATTAAACTTAACTCCACAATTAATTACTGTCTGCTCCTTCCACTATATGAGTAAATCCACATCTGTTTGTGTATCCATTTATTTCTAGTTCCTAGAGTAATGCTTGCCACGTAAGACACCTTTAATAAATATGTGTTGACAGACCTGCTAGCAATTCAATTTTTGCAAATTTATATAACAAAGACTATATCTCTATAGTCTAGTAATATGTGAAAGGCTGCTGTGCAGAACTGTTTAATAATAATTATATACTTCAACTCTGAAATTTTTTGTTAAGTCATTCCATGCTGCAACAAGTTATTATTTGAGAATTTTAAACTCATGAAGTCCTGCAGTGAGTTTGTTTCACAATATTATCTTCACTTCAAGACAGTTTTGACTTCCCCATCTCAAATGTTTCAGTACCATGTGTTTGTGCATTAAAAAAACCTGTTATTCAAAGACACACTGTGGGGCTGAAGACCAAATTTGTCCTTTCTATATTATCTTTCCCTGACTTTAGCTTCATGTACTATTTCATGTACATGAATAGTACATGAAGGAATAATTTCCTTCAAATCTGTGATCCATTTTGCATAATCTTCATACTGAGTTAAAATAAAATCTTGTTTCCAAGGAGTTTAATAGGTGGCTAAAATATAATTGGCTAAATTTGCTGGCATCAACATCCCAGGAATGTCTGCCCCATCTGTGGGGAATGAAGTTTGTGAGTGTATGAGTTCCTAAGTGGCCTACCTTTTTTTGCAAGGCACTAACATCATGGTTCTTTCCATTTGTGCATTAAAAAGAAAGGGCTTAACTGTATGTTAACATGGTTAAAACTTGTAGTTGAGGAATGGCAAATTCATCTTAAATTATGTGCCTGCCCAGAATGCTTAGTTGAATGGAATTCTGAGAAGTTCTCTGAAATATAAAGGGAAGCACATACAGACATTGTTCTAATACATATATATAATGTATGTATATAGGCGTACATACATTTAATATGTTGTATATATATTACAGATTTATGTAATCCCATAAATTAGGAACTATTATATGAGAAAACTTAGTGAAGACGTTGAGATCCTTGCCGAGGTTCACAAATTATTTCAACCAAGGCAAATTTTACCACAAATATAAGATTATGATGATAGTGATGATGCTTACACCTACTACTATGGGCTCCTCAAGGTCTGCGTTATTTGCATAGCACAAATTTGAACCCAGATAGCCTAATACTAGAGCCCATGTGCTTCAATACCAATCTATACTTTGCCTTTGGCTAAGCTAGGAAAAGTGTTTTGATCAATGAGCAAAATCTCCTCTCAGCATCGGAGGAAGAGTGTTGGTACTCACATCAGACACGGTTGCACCTGCAGTCATCTTTTAACACTACAATTGCGCCCTTACCTTTGAACTGTCTTTAGGCAACAAGAACAATAAAGCTCATTAAGGCATGATAAATAGAAAGAAGCTTAGTTGGGTTGGGAAAGAAAGAGTTTTTCTTTTAACTTTTACAAACTATTTACTATATAGCAAATATTAGCTAGTTGTTTTCATAAATTTTCTGCATTCATACTAAATAACCATTGTTGTTACTATTTTAAAAATGAAAAACAAACTGACATTCAGAGAGTATAGGTGACTTGCAAAATTGTATATCCAATAAGTACTACAGAAGGCCAGATCCTCATATTCTAAATCCACTGCTCTTTTCGATACACAGTGTCTGCTTAATGTAATTAAGTTCATATCTGAATACATGGGAAATTTGAGATTTTAAATCAGAAGAATATGCTTGTCAAAAATATAAATTCAGTACAATGAATAGCTCCATAAAATACTTCCTAAAGAATGTAACATCTTAATCCTTTAATATCTCTAAGCCTGAATCGAAAATAGAAAGCCCTTTAACTCATTTTCAGTCATTAAATACACACTAATTGTGAGCCTTGTATATGCCAGAGTCCCAGCAGGATTCTAGAGATTAATTAATTTCAAAGATATTAGACGGCTGTCACAGAATTAATAGTCTATCAAGTCATCTATTCAAAAAGATTTCTGCACTCCTACTATGTGTCAGACACTCTAAAGATAAAGGTGAGAAAGACAAATGTGATTCTTGTCCTCTGGATTCTATTCTAGTAGAGAAGAAACACTTTTAAAGTAGTTAACAAACTGTAATTCCTGTAAAACAATCTCATACGGGAATTTTTTTAAGGATACATGGAAGGTGCTGAGAAAGAGAAAACTTATCTTTTAAGAGTAAAGTCAAGGATGATTTCTGTGATAAGACAATACTTACTTTAATCCAGAATAAATACAAAAAGCTAACCATGGAAAGAGCACTCCAGGAAAAGGGAGCATAGCAGGATTTGCTTGCTGTGTGCTAGACTGTATAGTAAAGAATTTGGCCTTGAGCAAAGAGAGGTGTGGCCTTGTCCCAGACTCCTTGCAGGCAATCTCCAAATCCTTGGAAGTTCTTCAGTGATGAGTGTCTTTGTTATTTACGATGGGACCCTCAGGCCACACCTAGTGATAGTTTATACTCATGAAACTCAAGGTGGGCCCTCGTGGACCACATCATACCAGCCTGAACTCCAGGAAGAGGGTGCAGAGAGCTGGAGACTGAGTCAAAGCATGTAGAAAATTAATCGATCAATTATGCCTACATAATGAAAATACAATAAAAATTCTGGACAATGAAGCTCAGGCAAATTTCCCTTGTTGGCAATCCTCCATGTGTATTGTCACACATTGGCGTCAAGAGGGTAACATCCTGATGACAATGGAAGCTTCCTTTGGAACCTTCCAAGACTCTGTGCCTATTAGTTTGGCTGGTTCTCATTTGTATTATTTCCTTGAAATAAACTATAACTGTGAGTATAATAGCTTTCAGTGGGTTCTGTGAGTCCATCTATTAAATTATCAAAACTAATTTTGATTTTAGGAACCCTATTCAAATTGCAGTCAGTGTCTGTCGATAGCAAAATGTTCACCAGGAAGAAGCAAAGGAGAAAACACTGGAGTCTTAAAAAGTGCTTACATAACACACTCTAACACAAAGAATTATGCATGTGGGAATTATAAATGTGAATACAGTTTTCAGTGATCAGTTGTGACTGTTATGACAGGTGGTATAGCTTTTCTTTCATACCCTCAGAGTATGAATTCTTCAGATTCTTCAATGAATTGTTCATTTTTCAATTCTAATTTGTTCATTCTGGGTGGAGCCTGATGAAAAGATTAGAGAGAAGGGAAAATAAGAAGTATGAAATCAGAAGGAAAAGAGATCCTGATTTTGTGGTCTATCTTCACATAATCAGACCTTTCACATCGACTAGGAAGAATAAGTATAAAAGAGGAAAATCTAGCCTGCCATTTATAATATGTATCAAAAAAGTCTGTAACCAAGTTACACACTTAGATATTGTAACTTGAACGAATGTTATTTCTATAATTTACTTTAATATACTTTGAGTTTGACAATGCAGTATATTTGTGCATAAGTTAACTTGTATCTATTCTCTAGGTAGTTTTTAACATTTTTAAGTATCCTTATCAGGAATCCACACATCAAATGAGGTTAAACTAGCATTTGAAAATAATCATAATCACCTTTCTACATTCCAAAAGCAACTATGGGCAAATTTCAAATACTGATATTTAAATGTGTGCTAGAAATTTTGTTAATTAGTACAAATAATGCTAGAAATAAATTTTAATTTTTAAAATGAGTCATGTTCAAGATAAATGGCCAGAAATATTTTACAGATGAGCCTAATTTTTCATAAATGGGTTATAACAATCTAATGAATACAGAAGCTTAATATCTTCAGGGTAACTTTTTAAGTCTAGAAATATCTTTTAACTAAGTATTCTGTTGCAAAGTTTAGCAAGCCCTACAGTCAGAATATTATTGCATTATTGTTTTCTATTGAAATCTTTACACAAAATGTCTGAAAGCCTATGATCAACAACAGTTTGTACAATTATAACTGTATGCATATAAATGTATGTAAATAAACATGCAAGTAATCACATATACAAATACACATACATATATACACACTTACACATACCTATGTATGTGCATAGGTATATACATACCTAAGTATATGTATGTATACACACCTATACATACCTATGTATGTGCCTATACATACACAAATATATATGCGTGTGGAGATACATACATATATATGTAGTAATAAGAGGCTTGTACATGGCAAAATTCATTCTGAGAAGACTTGCTTTAAAACCATCAGGTAACTTAATTTGGGGGAGGAAACTAAAAGTTTCTGCCACCTGTATTTGTAAGGGTTCATTACTGCTCATCAAAAATAACCTAAATAGCCAAACTGAATTAAGTTGTCTTGCAACAATGTTTAAAGAAAAATTATCTCCATCATTTCTAAGCCAACTGATATTATTAATGAATTCCCACTAGCTGAAAAACAAGAAATGAAACTAAAAATAAAATTGTTTTGAAACAATTTATTAATATTTTTCTAATAAAAATATAAACATGTTTTGGGTAATTTGTCAATTTTATTATATAAAATCCTCTTTTTCTCAGATCTCCTATTTTTTCCTCTGTTTCTTTCTGCAATGGTGGCTGGATACATGGAAGAAAGGAAGGTTTCTGAAAGAGTTATAACCAAGGCTAGAAACACATATGGTGTCTTCTGGATTATTCAAACTCTATTCAAGCTTGAATTTCAACTATTCTTCTGAGATACATACTTGTATAGCCACCTCCATTCTTGACAGCTATACTAAGATAGCTCGTAAATATCTCAAAGCAACAAAGTCCAAAGATTGTTTTTTTCTACACCTAAACCGCCTCCTCCCCCGGTGTTCCACATCTTAGTGATGTCTCCACCACACGCTTCATTGTTTCTGCCCCAAATACAGAATTTGTCTAAAGTTCCTCTGTCATACTCCACATTATCAAGTAGACTTGGCTCTTGTCTATTATACACCTGTTCTATCCTTTTATATTTACCTCCAAGCTGCCATCATCTCTCAACCTCACCTACTATAATGGCTTTATCACCATTCTCCAGGCTTCCATGGTTACAACTCACAATCTATTCTTCACATTGAAGTCTTAGTGATCTTTTCAAACTGAAATCAAATCATGTCACTACCATGCTTAAAATCTTCCAGTGGCTTCTTTTCATATTTATATTGTACTCACATTAGGTGATATACTTTTAAAAAAGAATTTGATATGTCTCTTGAATACTTTTCCAACCATAACAATGTATGTTGTTTGTGCTATAGAATTCCCTGCACTCTAGATATGCTTGTGGTATAATTTCACATGTTCTTCTATCCCCACATATTTCTGGTAGCTGGTAGCTACATCTAGAAGTTTGGTGTGATTCCATTCTTCTTGTTATTTTGTGCGTTTCTTTTTTTTTCTATTTGTTTTTCCCCATGATATCAGGAGGTACATAATGTGAAGTGATTCCTCTTTTGGTAATGTTAACATTGATATGAACATTTAGGCTAATAATGCTAAAATCTATTAGCATAAATCTTTTATTAAAAACTTTCATATCAACATTTCTCCTAATGTTTTAGCATCTATTGATGATCATAAACTAGCTCCGTTATTTCATTAGGTAGAAGTCATATTTATTATATGCCAAAAATCAGTCTACATTGTCTTACTTCAAAGGAAGTTTTTTACATGAGTTTCTATGAACTATATATGCAGAAAAGTACTGTAGTGTTTAATTAATAGAGACCTCTTAGCCCTAGCCTAATGGAATTTTACTCTTTCGTTAACATGATGGAGTCTGAGTTACTTTTTAATGGCCTTATACAATTGACTCTTCCCATTAGAGAGCAACACTCTTTGCTGTATATTATTTTTATGCACCTATAATGCAATTTGTGTTTTGAAAGCACTTTATATTTTACCTTTCATTATCTGGCTATTCTTTTGTAATTCTTCTTTTATACAGAACACAACATGAAATCAGATAACACTAGAGACTAGCTTATCCTTCAGTTGAGGCATACACAAAAATTCACACAATTTAGCTGAGACATCAACTGAGAAGTTGGTCATACAGAGAACAGCGTACTATCATTCCAGTCAGAGAGGACAGCCAGTGCAAAGAGCCTAAAGAAGGAATGAATTTGTCTTCCTTGAAAACCTGAGAAAAGATTAATGTGACTATAGCATACTTAGTGAGAAGTGGAATTATACGCAATAAGATCATATGAGTGGCTAAGGGCCACATTATATACGTCTTTCAGTGGAGACCATGATAAATAATTTGAATTTTAATTGATTCACCCTGAAAAGTAATTGTGAGGTTTGTGTATGGTGGTGACATAATATTATTCATGTTGTTAAAAGATTAGATTGATGCTATGTAAATAAAGCATGTGTGACAATGAAATTAGAAGGATAAAATAAGAAAGCAATTGCAATAGTCCAGGGAAGAGACAGCAGTCTGGTTTGGGTGTTAGCAGTAGATATGGAAGAAATAAGGACAAGTTCAAAGACTATTTTGAAGTAAAACTAATAGGAATTTCTAAGGTATTGGATGGAGCCAATGCTAGGGAAAATGGAAGAATCAGGGTAAAACTCTGCCTAAGCAAATGATTGATATTTGTGTTATTAACTTTAATAGAGGAAACTGAGAAGGGAACAGTTCTGTAAAGTCCCAGTTTGAGCTTGATAATATTAGACTTAAAAATGGAGCTCTCAATAGGTGGTTAGATATTTTGCTTCAGAATTCTGGAAGTTAGTAGCTTAATAAACAACTTTTGAATCCATCAGCAAAAAACTGATGGTGGCGTGCACCTGTAGTCCTAGCTACACAGGAGGCTAAGGCAAGAGAATTGCTTGAACGCAGGGGGCAGAAGTTGCAGTGAGCCCAGATCGTGCCGAGCCGAGATCATGCCACTGCACTCCAGCCTGGCAACAGAGTGAGACTCCGTCTCAAAAAAAAAAAAAAAAAAAAAAAAAAAAAAAAAAAAACCTAGGAAGAGAGTATGGGTAGGAAACAGCAACTGACAAGGTCTCAACTCTGGACCACTTCAAATATTTAGAAGTTAGAAGAAAAAACAGCAAAGGAACCTGAGAAGGAGCTGCCAGTGAGGGAGAAAATTAGAACACTGTGATATCAAGAAAGCTGAGGGGAAGTTGAGAGCAGCAGAAGTTAACTATTGGCTATGGCAGCATGGAAATCATCTGGGACTTTGACAAGGAATATTTCATAGGGAAAAGGCCCAGACATAAAAATGACATGATTTAAAGTGAATCATAAAGTACACTGAGATAAATAATCTGTTTGAGTAACAGAAATATATGTAACACAAGAAGGAAAAACAGCCCCATTAAAATCCTTGAAAATGAGAGACTAAGATATGGGGCTTAAGAGTTGGGTTTGTCTCTGTTCAGAGTAAACAATTTTCTTCTGCTGTTAAAGATGAAAAGACAGAAAACATTGAGCGTGGATGAAAGTAGGGTGGTAAGCCATTTTGTTTATCCTTGTTTATTACAAACCTGAGGATGTCAACTTAGTGTGAAGATCCAGAAAAGAACATGGAAGCATAACGAGTGTAGGTATGGAATAGTTCTATTGGGAATAGAGATTTAACAAGGGATAGAGATAGAAGTTTAATCTCAGTGCCCATTTGAGAGATATAACTTGGACATAGCAAGGACGAGTTTTGTCAGGCAAGTATTTGGAGTGAAAAAGGGGCAATGGTATTGAGGGCATTTGCAAAGAAGTGATTATGATACTGGAAGCTACTGAGGTAGGGGAGTGATAAACAATGAAAGTGTTATGTGATGGGTAAATGGAATGTCTAAAGAGAGTAAGAAATTCTGAAGTAATGCTTAGAGCAAGTGAGATGGATGAGTAGAAGTTGGTAGTTTAAGAATGTACACTTGGGGCTGGGCATGGTGGCTCACGCCTGTAACCCCAACACTTTGGGAGGCCGAGGTGGGCAGATCACATGAGGTCAGGAGTTCAAGAACAGACTGGCCAACATGGTGAAACTCCGTCTCTGTAAATACAAAAATTAGCCAGGTGTGGTGGTGCATGCCTGTAATCCCAGCTACTCGAGAGGCAGAGGCATGAGAATCACCTGAACTCAGGAGACAGAGGTTGCAGTGAGCTGAGATCACGTCACTGCACTCCAGCCTGAGTGATAGAGTGAGACTCCATCTCAAAAAAAAAAAGAATGTACACTCGAAAGTGGAATTTTGAAGGAGGAACAGCAGAAACAGAATAAGAACTTCAGAGACCCCAGACACTACAAAGATTTGGGGGAACCCCTTATGAAAGATGAAATAAAAATAAGTTGTCATCTGTAAAATAAGTGAATGAAGTTAAAAACTCATGTTTGTGATGATTATTTCAATAATGCTTATGTAATATTACCACATTCTTTTTAAAATAAACTTTTGCTATGCTTGTGGCTATGTGTTGCAAATGCCCCTAAGCAAGAGTTCTGGCTGCCTTTCAGGTTTTTGAGCCCTGGGCTGCAATTTCCGTTGATAAGTGGAGAGACAACGCATGTGTGGAAAACCATAGGTTAATTGATTAACATCTCTATTTTGTAGTGTTATAATCTGCGAAGAGGGGATAATGCTACTTAACTGGATGAGTAGTTTGACAATCAGTGTGTGTGTGTATGTGTGTGTGTGTGTGTGTATGTGGGGGTTGTACTGGAGGTGTTCAATAATATTTGCTTACGTTTGCACTCTGGTCATGTTTTCAAAAATGCTGTATCAATGTTTGCTTAAATAAATTTGCAGAATCTTAGGTTAAACAATTCTAAATATATGGTTTTGATTTTAAAATATTGTCATTGGTGGCATAGGAAATGAAGAGACATTGGTTAAAGGGAGTATACTTTCATTTGTAACATAAATAAGTTTTAGAGATACAATATACAACATGGTGACTATAGTAAACAATATTATATTGTATACCGGAAATTTGCTAATAGAGTAGATATTAAGTGTTTAGCCACACATACAAAAAATAACTATATAAGGCAATGGATGTGTTAATTAGTTTTAGTATGGTAATCACTTCACAATGAATATGTATATCAAATTATTATGTTGGGCACCTTAAGGATATATGCAATTTTTATTTGTCAATTTTACTTCAGTAAAGCTGGTAAAAATATTATTATATCTTTTTTCTTCAGGACCTCCTAGGATCTTTATTTTGCTTATGAATATTATGATTAAGTGAAGAGGAGATTGGTTATATTTATTCTGAATTCTACAAAAATTTGTTATGATTAAAACTATTTCTAAGACACTGAATTTCCAAGGATCACACTTTGGGAATGCTGAGCTACATTGTCTCTCAGAATATCTTTTTCTCAAGATAATGGGAATAGCATTTTTTTAAAATACATGGGTTAAGTTTGAGTATTGAGAGCAAAATGCAGTTAAGATTTGTTGATATAGGCCAGGTGCGGTGGCTCATGCCTGTAATCCTGCCTTGGGAGGCCAAGGAGGGCAGATCATGAAGTCAGGAGATCGAGACCATCCTGGCTAACATGGTGAAACCCCGTCTCTACTAAAAATACAAAAAATTAGCTGGTATGGTGGCGGGCACCTGTAGTCCCAGCTACTCAGGTGGCTGAGGCAGGAGAATGGCGTGAACCCGGGAGGTGGAGCTTGCAGTGAGCTGAGATCACGCCACTGTGCTCCAGCCTGGGTGAGAGACTTCGTCTAAAAAAAAAAAAGAAAAAAAAGAAAAAAAAAATTTGTTGATATAACGATTAAGAAGAAAGGATGCTATGGTTTTTGCCTTCAAGGAACTTAAAATCTAGTTACTTTTGGTTCTTTAAAGTTATCCCCCCAAATATTCTTCAAGGAATACTTTTTATCTATCCTTGTTTTCTGGCAATACCCTAAATAACATGTAGCTAGTAATTAATTATTGTAACAAAATGACAAGGGCTTAGGGTGCAACTCAAAATTGTCAAATACCAACATTCCCAGACAGATCGCATCTGCTGCAAATATTCTCATCAACATCTTCAAAGTAAAGGCAGTGACTTTGTTAGACCTTTTAAAGACTAGACAGAAAGATAAAAAAAATTAAGCAAATCAATACATTGTTTTCACCAACTGGTCTATAGCCAGACAGCAGAGGCTTCAAGCTCCAAGCCAAACTTAAAATCAGAATTTCTAATGTCACCTAACCTTCACAATGAGCAGAACTGAGATAATAGACATGAAGCTCCCATTTACTCAAATACTTTGATTAGACCTGTCTGTGTGCCCAGCTCACCATTCAAAAGATGAGCCACTAACAATTTCCTATAGCCCAGTCCACCTTCAAAGGACATAACTGTTCTCCTCTTAGAGAAAAGCCATACACAACACATTATGTGGAGAAAATGAATCACTGTGAAACATCCCAGAAATGCCATGGAAAGGGAAGATGAGAATAGGTTATGAACTTACATAAACAGCCTGAAGCTCATCCTCTAGTTATAAAATGATATTCAGAAGGGGAGATGGGTGGTGGTAAGATCCTGGGTGTTAATGATTGCTGCAATCAAACATATAGTAGACCAGATCATGAGGTATACCTGTGGGGGCTGATTCATATTTGTAATAATTGACTTGTCAACCTCAGGCATGCTCCGAGTATTGTCCTGGACCAGCATCATTAGCATCACCTGGGGACATGTTACAAAGAAAACTTCTTGGATGCCCGTTTACACACCATCTGAATCAGAAATTCTGTGGGTGGAGCTCAGTAATCTGTAACAGGTCCCCCACGTAATTCTCATGCACATGAAATTTTGAGAACTATTGATCTATCCAAATAATTTTAATAATTTGCATACTAATGTAGTTTCGTCTCAGAAAAGCCTGCCATAAAACAATTCTGTACTTTTTCACATGCTTTGTCCACATTTGGCAATGGCCTAACCCAAGGGGGGAAAATGGAAGAATGTTAATGAAAGGCAGCCAGAAAAGAGTCACTGGCCTCAGTTTTCAAGCTAAGCTGTATGTATGCAAACAGTGTTGTGACAAGCAATGGTCAGTGATTAGCAGATTTGGCCACAACTACACACAGCTGTAGGGTCAAAAGCATCATCTTTGTTGGCAAAAAGCTACACAAATAAATCCTTAATTATAATGCCTGTTTCATACCTAAACAAAATGAACCACTAGTATTTAACATATCATTTTGAATAGTTCTATGGACTATGAAATGTTGAAAATAAATCATATTCTGGGCCATTTTCAGCAAAGAACAATAATAAGACACTATGGGATGCTTGTTGCTAATAGAGGGATATTTCATGAGGACCTGTGGAAGAAGATTTATTTTTTCAAAATTCAGGTTCATGAGACAACACTTGGTTAGCTGCCATTGTAAATCCACTAGGAATATGCTAACTAGCAGCCAAAGAGAGAAACCTGTGACAAAATGACGAACTCAGGCAAAACATATTTAGGTTTAGAGTCTCTGAAATCCTACCCCAAACATTCCCTACTATCAGCTTTGTCTGTGGCTATCTGATCCATCATAAGGTGGCTCTTTTCCTGCTGCTTAGTTTAGTCCAGGAGGGACAACAGCCAACCTTGCCCTGTCCAAACAGCAGCTGGCTGCTTATCTGACCATAACAGCTCCATGGGACAAAGTTCTTCTCCTAGAGATAAGCAGTCCCTTCCATTCTGGGAAACAAATTGGCTCTGCAAAGGTAGCATGTGCAGAGCAAGATTAGAAAGAAAATAGAAAGAGAAGCCAGAGTGGGACATTGTACAGAAAACGGGATAAAGATGGAAGGAGAAAAGGAAGAATAGTCTGTTTTATCAGAGACTAGGATTGCAACCCCTGCTTTTTTTTTTTTTTTTTTTTTTGCTTTCCATTTGCTTGGTAAATATTCCTCCATCCCTTTATTTTGAGCCTATATGTGTCTTTGCACATGAGATGGGTCTCCTGAATACAGCACACCAGTGGGTCTTGACTCTATCCAATTTGCCAGTCTGTGTCTTTTAATTTGGTCAATTTAGTCCGTTTACATTTAAGGTTAATATTGTTATGTGTGAATTTGATTCTGTCATTATGATGTTAGCTGGTTATTTTGCCCATTTGTTTATGCAGTTTCTTCATAGTTTTGATGGTCTTTACATTTTGGGTTTTATTTGCAGTGGCTGTTACTGGTTTTTCCTTTCCATATTTAGTGCTTCCTTCAAGAGCTCTTGTAAGGCAGGCCTGGTGGTGACAAAATCTCTCAGCATTTGCTTGTCTGTAAAGGATTTTATTTCTCCTTCACTTGTGAAGCTTAGTTTGGCTGGATATGAAATTCTGGGTTGAAAATTCTTTTCTTTAAGTATGTTGGATATTGGCCCCCACTCTCTTCTGGCTTGTAGGGCTTCTGCAGAGAGATCTGCTGTTAGTCTGATGGGGTTTCCTTTATGAGTAACCCCACCTTTCTCTCTGGCTGCCCTTAACATTTTTTCCTTCATTTCAACCTTGGTGAATCTGATGATTATGTGTCTTGAGGTTGCTCTTCCTGAGGAGTATCTTTGTGGTGTTCTCTGTATTTCCTGAATTTGAATGTTGGCCTGTCTTTCTAGGTTGGAGAAGTTCTCCTGCATAATATCCTGAAGAGTGTTTTCCAACTTGGTTCCATTCTCCCCGTCACTTTCAGGTACACCAATCAAATGTAGGTTTGGTCTTTTCACATAATCTTGTATTTCTTGGAGGCTTTATTCGTTCCTTTTCATTCTTTTTTCTCTAATCTTGTCATCTTGCTTTATTTTATTAAGTTGATAATCGATCTCTGATATCCTTTCTTCTGCTTGATTGATTCAGCTATTGATACTTGTGTATAATGCACGAAGTTCTTGTGCTGGGTTTTTCAGCTCCATCAGGTCATTTATGTTCTTCTCTAAACTGGTTATTCTAGTTAGCAATTGGTCTAACCTTTTTTCAAGGTTCTTAACTTCCTTGCATTGTGTTAGAACGTGCTCCTTTAGCTCAGAGGAGTTTGTTATTACCTCCCTCCTGAAGCCTACTTCTATCCAATTGTCAAACTCATTCTCCATCCAGTTTTGTTCCCTTGCTGGTGAGGAGTTGTGATTCTTTGGAGGAGAAGAGGCATTCTGGTTTTGGGAATTTTCAGCCTTTTTGTGCTGGTTTTTCCTTATCTTCATGGATTTATCTACCTTTGGTCTTTGATGTTGGTGACCTTCAGATGGGGTCTTTGTACAGACATCCTTTTTGTTGATGTTGATGTTGTTCCTTTCTGTTTGTTAGTTTTCCTTCTAACAATCAGGACCCTCTGCTGCAAGTTTGCTGAAGGTCCACTCCAGACCCTGTTTGCCTGGGTATCACCAGCGTAGGCTGCAGAACAGCAGAGATTGCTGCCTGTTCCTTCCTTTGGAAGATTCATCCCAGAGGGGCACCCGCTAGATGCTAGCTGGAGCTCTCCTGTATGAGGTGTCTGTCGACTCCTGCTGGGAGGTGTCTCCCAGTCAGGAGGCATGGGGGTCAGGGACCCACTTGACGAGTCAGTTTGTCCTTTAGCAGAGCTTGAGCGCTGTGCTGGGAGATCCGCTGCTCTCTTCAGAGTCGGAAGGCAGGAACGTTTAAGTCTGCTGAAGCTGCGACTTAGACTCCCACACAATAATAGTGGGAGACTTTAACACTCCACTGTCAATATACAAGACATAAAATTGACAAGGATATTCAGGGCTTGAACTCAGCTCTTGACCAAGTGGACCTAATAGACATCTATAGAACTATCCCCCCAAATCAACAGATTATACATTCTTCTCAGCACCACATTGCACTTATTCTAAAATTAACTACCTAATTGGAAGTAAAACACTCCTCAGTAAATGCAAAAGAATGGGAATCATAACAAATAGTCTCTCAGACCACAGTGAAATCAAATTAGAACTCAGGATTAAGAAACTCACTCAAAACCACACAACTACTTGGAAACTGAACAACCTGCTCCTGAATGACTACTGGGTAAATAAAAAAATTAAGGCAGAAATAAAAAGTCCTTTGAAACTAATAATAACAAAGACAGAACATACCAGAATCTCTGGGACACAGCTAAAGCAGTGTTAGAGGGAAATTTATAGCACCAAATGCCCAAAGGAGAAAGTGGGAAAGATCTAAAATTGACACCCTAACCTCACAATTAAAAGAACTAGATAAGCAAGACCAAACAAATTCAGAAACCGAGAGGTTTCTTGAAAAGATTAACAAAATAAATAGACCTCTGTCCAGATTAATAAAGAAGGAAAGAGAGAAGAATCAAATAGACACAATAAAAAGCAATAAAGGGGATATCACCACTGATCCCACAGAAATACAAACTACCACCAGAGAATACTATAAACACCTCTACGCAAAAAAAAAAAAACTAGAAAATCTAGAAGAAATGGATAAATTCCTGGACACATACACACATACATGGATGGAACATATCTCAAAATAATAAGAGCTATTTATGATAAACTTACAGCCAATATTGTACTGAATGGGCAAAAGCTGGAAGCATTCCCTTTGAAAACTGGCACGAGAAAAGGATGCCTTCTGTCACCACTCCTTTGCAACATAGTATTGGAAGTTCTGGCCAGGGCAATCAGGCAAGAGAAAGAAATGGTATTCAAATAGGAATAGAGAAAGTCAAATTGTCTCTGTTTGCAGAAGACATGATTATATAATTAGAAAACCCCACTGTCTCAGCCCCAAACCTCCTTAAGCTGATAAGCAACTTCAGCAAAGTCTCAGGATACAAAATCAATATGAAAAAATCACAAGCATTCATATACACCAATAATAGAGAGCCAAATCAGGAGTGAACTCCCATTCATAATTGCTAGAAAGAGAATAAAATACATAGGAATTCAACTTACAAGGGATGTATAGGACCTCTTCAAGGAGAATTACAAACCACTGCTCAAGGAAATAAGAGAGGACACAAACAAATGGAAACACATTCCATGTTCATGGATAGGAAGAATCAATATTGTGACAATATACATACTGCCCAAAGTAATTTATAGATTCAATGCAATCCTCATCAAGCTACCCCTGACTTTCTTCACAGAATTAGAAAAAAAACAAACTACTTTAAATTTCATATGGAATCAAAAAACAGCCCATATAGCCAAGACAATCCTAAGCAAAAAGAACAAAGTGGAGGCATCACACTACCTGACTTCAAACTATGCTACAAGGCTACAGTAACCAAAACAGCATGGTGCTGGTACCAAAACAGATATATAGACCAATGGAACAGAACAGAGGCCTCAGAAATAATGCCACACATCTACAACCATCTGATCTTTGAAAAACCTGACAAAAACAGGCAATGGGGAAAGGATTCCCTTCTTAATAAATGGTGTTGGAAAAACTGGCTTGCCATATGCAGAAAACTGACACTGGACTTCTTCCTTACACCTTATACAAAAATTAACTCAAGGTGGACTAAAGACTTAAACGTAAGACTTAAAACCATAAAAACCCGAGAAGAAAACCTAGGCAATACCATTCAGGACATAGGCATAGGCAAAGACTTCATGACCAAAACACCAAAAGCAATGGAAACAAAAGCCAAAATTGACAAATGAGATGTAATTAAACTAAAGAGCTTCAGTACAGCAAAAGAAACTATCATCAGAGTGAACAGGCCACCTACAGAATGGGAGAAAATTTTTGCAATCTATCCATCTGACAAAGGGCTAATATCCAGAATCTATGAGGAACTTAAACAAATTTACATGAAAAAATCAGCCCCATCAAAAAGTGGGCAAAGGATATCAACAGGCACTTCTCAAAAGAAGACATTTATGCAGCCAACAAACATATGATAAAAAGCTCATCATCACTGGTGATTAGAGAAATGCAAATCAAAACCACAATGAGATACCATCTCATGCCAGTTAGAATGGCGATCATTAAAAAGTCTGGAAACAACAGATGCTGGAGAGGATGTGGAGAAATAGGAATGCTTTTACACTGTTGGTGGGAGTGTAAATTAATTCAACCATGGTGGAAGACAGTGTGGCGATTCATCAAGGATCTAGAACAAGAAATACCATTTGACTCAGCAATCCCATTACTTGATATATATCCAAGTGATTATAAATCATTTTACTGTAAAGACACATGCGCATGTATGTTTATTGCAGCACTACTAACAATAGCAAAGACTTGGAACCAACCCAAATGCCCATCAATGATAGACTGGATAAACTGTGGCACATATACACTGTGGAATACTATGTAGCCATAAAAAAGGATGAGTTCATGTCTTTTGCAGGGACATGGATGAAGCTGGAAACCATCATTCTCAGCAAACTAACACAGGAACAGAAATCCAAACATTGCATGTTCTCACTCCTAAGTGGGAGTTGAAAAACGAGAACACATGAACACAGGGAGGGGAACATCACACACTGGGGCCTGTCAGGGTGGTGGAGGGCTAGGGGAGTGATAGCATTAGGAGAAATACCTAATGTAGATGATGAGTTGATGGGTGCAGGAAACCACCATGGCATGTGTATACCTATGTCACAAACCTGCACATTCTGCACATGTATCCCAGAACTTGAAGTATAATTGGGAAAAAAAAAAAAAAGAGAGAGAATAGTTAGGGAAGATAAAGCAGAAAGGCAAAAGGGAAAACAAATTATTATTATCCAAACTCAAAAAGATTATACAGGATTCAGAATATTTGCAAACCATGTATCTCTCTTTCAAACAATAAGACAATAAAATATTGATACTTTATATTCATATATTAGCTCTACATGTATGAAAACAAAACAAAGTTTATCTACCCAATACAATATAAATTATCCTTTGTATTAATTTCTAGCAGTCTTTTAATATTTATTATATTAAATATATAATGAATTATGGCTGTGATTAAGGATATTTTAGCAGTATCACCCAATTTGGGCAATTAACTTTAAGACATATTTTATAGGTAAAATGTACTTACCATTAAGACCTGATTTTATTCTGTAAAATAGCTAGAGTTGAATAAGTTTATTCTCCAATATCTATTTTTCAGGGAAGAATGAAGTGACAAATATTGTTGAGTCTGACTTATAGTTCAAGGGACATCTTTTTTATTCAACTTTGTGACCCACAAAATAGATCACTTTCATTGATCAGCAGACATAACTTTCCACTCAGGTGAGTTCGTCAGGTTGAGTTGGGAAAAAAATTTCACACTTCTGTTCAAGGAATTATTTCCAAATTTCCGCTTATCTTTAATATGTCACATAACACACACGTAGATGATTTAGAAGAGTACAATTAATGTAACTATTTTAAATGCCAATTGATATTAATCATGATGGATGTCCTCCAGTTAATCTCAACTAATCTCAAAAAGAAGATTCTGCCTCAGTATATCCTCTGTTTATCTTACTATAAATAGCAGGACTTGACAGATTTTTTTTACAACCTTATTTTTTGTCACAAATATTTAAATTTTTTGAAACCAAAACTCATGATTAATTCTAATCAAGAGGTAAAGACTTTGAAAGCTTTCTACTTAGTTCAAGTGTATTAATTGCATTTTCGTTGCTACTTACAAACATTCTCCATATCAAAATATAGTATTCTTATGCTGTTTGCTAATGGTAATATTACCCACCCCCCCCCCAAAAAAAAGCCAAATCATCCTACATTTAAAAATAAGCATATAGCATTCCTGAACATCATATTAAATCAAAAGCAGCAGATAGGAAGAGAGATATTACTTCACATATTTCAGCATGCAAATGTACACATAGATCAACAATTTCAATGGTTATGCCATACAAATAATCATTGTAATTCATAAAAGTCAAAACAATTGTGTAATACAAAGTTATGTAATTTTTTTCCTATTGCAATTTATATTTCAATTATCCTGGTATAAAAATAATTTGTCATATTTGTAATGACTTCCAAGAAAAATAAATTCATTAGTATCTCTTGACTTGCAGTTGAAAGATCGACTAGCCAATTTTTAGTTACTAAATATTTAATACTGCCATCTGAAAATAAATGTACATTTTTCAACTTACTACTTAGGATCACTCAGCTAATGAATGAACTCCGAAGGGAAAAATCAGCTTTTCCCTGTTGACTCAGTGATCTGTTTGATACAGAACAATGCATCTCAAAAAATAATTTAGAGGATCATTTGGATACACTACAAAGCAACAGTTTGTTCCTCTGAGACGGTGTTGATACTTTCCTACTTCCTCAAGCTCCTTCCAGCCAACCTCTACTTTATCTTTATCTTCTAGGCGTATCTGCCTCATCCCGCTCATTCAGATGTCTGCTGTGCCTTTCATTCTCAGTAATGAGAACAAACCAATTCCTTAACATTGAGTGAATCTGACAAGCACATTTCAGACATGTGAGAGACTCCTGTAGAAACAAAGCTTTTGCTTCTCTTAAGCTTTATGTTAGATTTTATTTTCAAAAAAGGAGTCTTTTTTTTTTTTTTAAGATAGAGTCTTGCTCTTGTCGCCCAAGTTGGAGTGCAATGGCATGATTTCAGCTCACTGCAACCTCCGCCTCCTGGGTTCAAGCAATTCTCCTGCCTCAGCGTCCCGAGGAGGTGGGATTACAGGCGCCCACCACCATGCCCAGGTAATTTTTGTATTTTTTAGTAGAGACGGGGTTTCACCATGTTGGCCAGTCTGGTCTCAAACAAAAAGGAGTCTTCTTAAACTGCTTCAGTGTTTCCAAAAATTGACCCAATTATTGCATTCAGAGCACTAGGACATCTTGGCTTCTGCCTAGAGTGTGCTAGTGACTTGAAAATGAAGGAATTAGGAGGGACTTGGCTGGAAAGGCCTATAGTGAGTTATTTGCTTTCTAATAGCTAGTAAATGCACCACCATGTTTTAAATAAACTATCTTCACCTACAGTCAATAATTCAGGAAACGTCTAATTGACACAAGAAGATAAATTCACCTCTATGGAAACCACAGGTTTTAGCTTTTTCCCTCAAGGTGCTTGTCTCCAGGAGATAATGGTAACTCTTCTCCGTTATTCCCTATAATAGCGTTATGAATCTGTAGACTATACTTATAAAAGTAAAATATAGTACCTGCAAATTTTCTAGGTAGTTGTTTGCATCTCTTGTCTCATTCTTATGCCTTATTAAAAAAGCATTGTAAAGACCAGTTACTTTTCATTTTTTTAATAGAAGTTGTTCCTCTCAATAAAAGTGTTCTTTTCTAAGACTACAGGATGAGGTGGTAGCCAAATGAGATAAAAATTCAAGAGAGGACAGAATAAGGGGTCTTCACAAAAATACTGTGTAAGTCAGAGACTAGGAGTTGCAATACCAAAATAAGAACAGAGATTTGAGTCTTGAATTTTTAAAAAATGTGACTGTAGGAAAATTCAAGACTAGTGGCAAAACCAGGCTACCTAGGAAAAAGACAACCAGGTCATGTGTTTCATTAGTCTTGGGTCCAAATTAATTTCATGATCAGGGGAGACTCTTAAAGTAGTAGGAGAATGTTAAATCTTAAGGTTTTAATGGTTGCAGAAACTCCAGGAGCTTAGAGCAATTGATATGATGGTAATGGGAGTTAGAGCCTAAGAAATCAGTGCAAGAAATCCTGAAATTCAGGGAAATAAATAAGGCCACAGGTTACATATTTAGAACTCATTTAGAGTTCTAATTTTCCATTTCTCAGTATAGCTAATGAGTCATGAAGTTCTATCAATTCGAAGTTTTTAAAAACTCCTGTGTATGATCATTGCACTCGTCATTTCTCTCAATTAATACAAAAGCCTTCCTGTAGGTTTCCCTGTGTCCTGCTTTAACTTCCTCTGTCCTCCAAACATCTGGGAAAGTGACCTTTCCATACTAGGAATTCTTATCTTAAAGCCATCAATGGCTTCCCATTTCCTTTAGGATGGATTGCCTTGACTCTGACAAATCCCTTACAACTACCTGATCCCAGCTGCACTGAAGTGTGCTGGTATTCTCCAGAGAAGCCAGGGTCTCTCAGGGCTAATTAGCTTTACACACTTCACTGCCTCTGCCTCCATAAAGTGCCCTTCACCCACCTGGTCAATTTCTACTTATTCCTCTAAACTAAACTCAGGCTTTACCCTATCTGAAAAGAGCCTTTGTTAGCCTCACATCTGCCTCCATAAAGTGCCCTTCACCCACCTCCATATTTACCTGGTCAATTTCTACTTATTCCTCTGAACTAAACTCAGGCTTTACCCTATCTGAAAAGAGCCTTTGTTAGCCTCACATCTGCCTCCCCAAGTCCTACTTTTCTTAAGTGTTGTCATTTTTATGATCAAATCTATAATAACATGTTAAGTACTATACTGTATCTAGTGGTTTATTGATCAGTCTTTCTCACTATTCTGTGTGGTCAGGGTATTTTTTCATTTGTCATTTGCCATACCTAGCACAGAAGTCTTAAGTAGGTCTTAAGTAGGTTTTAAATACCTTTCAACTTGCAATCTAACTCTGAAGTACTATCTACCCAGGACAGACTGTTGAGAAGAATCAAAATCATACTACCCAAAATGACAGGATTGATTAACGATGTCCATCTTGAGCCCTAGTTGTAGGAATGGCAACATGCACATCATATATTTGCTCTCTGTAGTCTAGCACATTATACATTCCCACAGTTTTTGGTGAATAATTTAATGAAAAATATGCAGAAATTAAGAAAGAAGAGTAGTAACATTACATAGGACCAAAAGCAAAACTGAGCTAATGTTGGCCCAAGGGCATTAAGCTTCTTCATGCCTGTGGACAAGATTACTGTTGGAATATGAAGATGGCTGAATCAATATATTTTGGTAATGCAGGAAGAGACCTTAAGGCTGGAGTGCAAATAATATGTTCTCAATATTCTGACTGCAAACAAAAAGGAAGAATTGTCATAGCTACCCAATGATATACACTAAAATTGAAGACTTTTGAATGGAAGGATAAAGCTTCTTGAGAATCTACTGAAGACATAGATTTGTGGAATAATCATAATAGCCATTTTCAGTGTCTCTGTAAACTAAACTATTGCAGTTATGGAAGTAGTTGAGTGAGGATGAGGGATGACTATCAATGCCCTTAGTAGATTCAATGCAATATTTAAGGCAAGGTTCACCAATCTTAATATCTTATATACATATATACGTATCAAGCTATTATCAAGCTAATAAAATCAACGATCATTATTTAAAATTAGAATTCAAAAAACTTTGTTATACTCACTGGCTACTCCAAAATAAAGAGAGAGAGAGAGTGGGGAAGGGCTGAAAAACTACCTATTGGGTCCTATGTTCACTATTTGGGTGACAGGTTTGATAGAAGCCCAAACATTAGCATTACTCAATATATACATGTACCTCCTGAATCTAAAACTTTAAAAATTTTAAAAGAAGCATCTACGTACAAAGAGAAATAAACTCCTTGTTTTGTCTCTGTCACATTTAAGAAAATTCACTTTATGTTTCTTGGCCTTTTTCTGCTTATTTGAAAAACGATGGTGTTGAAATAGGATGATCAACTTTTAATAACTCTTTTTGTTATTAAACTCTTAAAATCTCATGAGTCATTTGGCTAACTAACAATACATTTACCTTATGCATATTACTCATCAATATTTTAAGATTAGTTGATATTGAGTAACAAATTTTTTCAAAATTCTCAGGGTATGTAAAAAAGAAACAAAGCATAATGTATACAAGATCGATTATTTTTAAAATGCATACTGTAGAATGATTTCATTCATTCATTATTAACTCAGCTTTTTTTTTTTTTCTTTTTTTAACTCCAAGTACTGCCAAATATATTACAAAATGGCCTGGTGAGCACAAATTTAAGGTGAGAGTTGGGTTGCCTGATCATTGCTGCTTATGCAGTGGGGTAGATATTTGCCTCTTTTGTGAGAAAGAACTGCTTCTCAAAATCTCAATTCTTTTCCTTTGTTTGAGGATGGAGGTAGACAGAGCCCACCTCAAACAATAGAATCTGAAATTGCCTGATAATTGCCTTGCCAGCTTCCTCCAAAGCTGGCCAGAAGCTCATGGAGAATCAACCTGGAGGCCAACTGGCAGCCTCAGAGGCAATGCAAACTTTTTCCAGGACATAAGAGAAGGGTGCTGCCATTGGAGGTGGTGTGCAGTGCATGAGGTGGCTGGGCCTCAGATGTGCAGTCCAGGGCTTGGCAGTATGGCAGCAGGGTCCTCACTGAACTGGTTTCATCATGTTTGACTGTGGATATCGAAGGCTTTCCATTGCTTTAGGCTTCTCAGTGAAACTGAATTACTCAATATTCTTTCCATAAATTTATTTTTCTGCTTTAATAGATTGGAACCAGGCTATGGTGCTTGCAGTTAATGTTCTGAATTGGGCCAAGTTTGTATAGGCATAGACACTTGTGCAACAATTTTTAGCTGTGATTTTGACAAAATAGATTGATCGCAGAAAAATATGTTTTAAAGCATATATCTATTTAATAGTGTGTGTAGAATATTGAGTTATCCAACACTTTCTTAATGTGTGACCTTGGGAAAAGTAGGGACAAAATCCTGCTTACCTCAAAAGCCTGTTTTTAGAATTAAATTAAAAACATATACACAAAATATTTGGCTGAAGTAAACATTTTATAAATATGATCTGCTATTTATAATAAATGCATTCTAATGTTACAATAGAAAGAATACACTTTTTTAGAATTTATTTGACATTTAAATTTTGCTTCTGCTTCATTCTGATAATGTTGACAATTTTATTTAATGTCTTGGTCTCATCTTGTTTAAATACCTTATTGTATTGATTCACAGACTTACATATGTGAAATAACCTAGGCAAAAGGTTTAAAGAAGTAATATTAGAAGCTACCTATTTTATGCAGTATTTTTTAGAATATTGTATTAAGTCTTTACAAAACTTGATTTTATGGTGAGAAGGCTTGAGTCAGAGAATTTAAGTAATTGCCTGGAGCTACACAGCTAGTAAAGAGGACAACCTGTAATTAAACTCAAATCCATATGACTCAAAAGTCTTTGTAACTCATGCATGAGGTGCATGGTAAGCACTGAATACACTTTAGTTCCTATACTGTTTTCCTCTTAATTTAAACAAATATATTTACTTGAAAAAAAGATGGTGGGGGGAAGATGAGTGATAAATTATAATAAAAGAAAACTGACTGGAGATCATTGGTCTCTTGTTCTCTCTGCCCAAGGATTAGAACATGCAAGGTTATTAGATGCAGTGTCAGAAGGTCATGTATACTCACAAGAGACTGAGTGAAATCTCCTTTTCTTCACTTCTCACTCTAATAGTGTCTCTGGCTTCCATTTACTTTTCTGTATAATAGAGGTATTATTGGTGTTTTTATAAGGAATGGATGCAATAAATATCAACTGTACCTGGACTGAAAATAAAAGATATTAAGTTTCCTTTCATTAGGAGAAAATAATACACAATTGGAATCCTCAACCCAACTAAAACAACATCTAATTTAGCTAGACTTGGGGCATCAGCAAAAACTGTGAACACTGTAAGCCAAAAATAAAACTCTAAGCACTGTCAGCCAACTGTATGGACCCCTCTTCTAAGCCAAGGGCATTCCAAAGTGAACGTGAAACACAAGTTTCGGTCATAATGGAAATGGGTGGTCAGACATAACTCATTATGCCCTCCTCCCTTTGGAATTCAGGCACAACTGACCAGCATTAACATTAAAAGAGACTTGAGGACAATATATTATTTTTGAAGCCTGCTACCTGGAGGCTTCATTTACAAAATGTAAACCTTGGTCTCCACCACCTCTTATCTTAACCAAGGAACTCCCTTCTGTTGATTCTAAGTCTTGATAAACTCTTTTGGGCAATTGCCTGTCAGAAAATCTTGGAATCTACCTATGACCTAGAAGCCCTCCATCTGGCTTCGAGTTGTCCTGCCTTTCCAGACTGAACCAATGTACATCTTACATGTATTGATTGATGTCCTATGTCTCCCTAAAACATATAAAACCTAGCTGTAACCCGACCACCTTGGGCACATGTTCTCAAGGCCTCCCAAGGCTGTCATGGCATGTCCTTAATCTTGGCAAAATAAACTTCTAAATTGATTGAGATCTGTCTCAGATACTTTTGGTTTACAATTCCAGTAGTAATTGTAAAAAGCCATTAAGCTAGGTCTCTGCAATGATCAGGAAATCGGATCAAAATTATGTATGTTGCTTTAATTTTCTATGGTTTGTCAATGCAGCAGAAATAGAGAACCAAGACTAGATAGTCTGGCTTCATGACATCATTCATTAAGACAATTGGCAGGGAGAACTCATCTAATTCATGTATTGATTTCAATTATCCAAGGATACATTCATGTATATTTGTACAAAATTGATTTTTCTGCCATTTAAACTCTTTCATAAAGTGAGTATTTGGTTTGTCTGGTTTCACTTATTTTAGAGCCCAAAGTAAAGACTATTCTGCAATTGTATTCTGTTTATTATGACATATGTGTTGCATTGTTTTCTTTTTGTTTTGTTTTGCTAGGGTACTGTTTAGGAATATGCTCAGCATACTTATCTGAGAATAAATTCATTTAAAATATTAATTTTCTTATTTATTTAACCATGAAAATGATAAATTTTGGATTCAGCCTTGATTTATCATCTCCCAAATCCAAACAAGCACATGCAAACAGACCTGTTGTTTTAGGTCCTAAATACTTTCACATTTCTCCCCTTCCAGCTTTACCACACAGCCTGATGTCAAGCTCTTACCATCTCCTGCAACTACAGCCTTGTATTGGCCCCACCTATATTCAATCTTGGGCCTCTCAAATGCAGTCTCCACACAATTCATGGAATGATCTACGTAGATGCAAATTTGATCAGGTCATTCTCAGGTTTAAAACCTCAACAGCTCCACATAGCCTGAGGCTAAAACTAAGTCTCCTTAACAGGACAGAAAAGCAAAAAGTTACCATAATTTAACCCCTCATGCCACTTCATCTTATGTTTATACTCAAGTGACACAGAACTACTTGCAAATTCATAGACATGCTATGCTAGTTCTTACTCCCATGTCTTTGCTCATGTTATTTTCATTCTTAGAATGCTTTTATTCCACCTTTGGTCTAGCTAACCCTCATCATCCTATAATATTTAGCTTTGGCATTATTTCCTCCAATAAGTTTTCCTCATCTGTCTCTCACCACCAGGCTGATTAGGTGCTTCCACAGCATTTTGTGTATATCTCTGTTGCTATCATTTCCTCAATAAAATGTAAAACAATCAACTTGCCTATTTACTTTCCCCTACTTTTCTGAGAGCTCCTTTAAAGCAGAGGATATATGATCATCATCTTTTATGTCAGCACCTAGCACAATGCCTGGAATGTTGCCTAGAAGATGTATAATAAATATTTGATTAAATGAATATGCTTGTGGCATAATATGCCAGAAAATTTGTTTTCTGCTCAATTTTAAATGCCTTACTGAAATTTTTCACATTTATCAGCTGATTCATATTTTGCTTCAAGTCCAATGTGAAAGCATCACAGTCATAGAAGACTTACCAGTTAGCAAAGCTCTGTTTCTTGTTGCTGGATATAAATGCAGATGGACCCCTTGAGAGCTTGCCTTGCAATGAACATTCCTAGAGGAGATTTGAATAGAATTTTTATATTGAGTTCCATCAACTCTGGGGGACTTTTACAATTAACTAATTTAAGTCAACTTTAAATCTGTCCCACCAAATTCTCTGGCAAGGGCAATGTGGTCTTGCTAACAGCAAAAAACCAAGCCTGAAACTGGGTTGTCTTGGATATTAGGAAAAAAAACATATTATTTTTTCAAACAGAATGAGTAATGAATAAAAGGCTGATAATGGTTTATTTAAAAGAAAGAAAAGAAATAAAATTCAAGAAGCTATTCAAAAGTCCCAGATTTCATACCAAAGACATAATGGTCTATTTTCATATAAATAGTTTCATTACAATGAAAAAAAGAATAACCTTTTTCCCTTCTGAGTTCAAGTCTGTCCAGCAATGGCTGAACTCTTATTCATTAGTTGACTAATGATGAAAGCTTACTTTTTACTAATACTGTATAAAGGCCAAAGGCAGACCTTTGCAAATGTAAGGACTGGGCTCAGCATTATGTGTTAAAGGAAGTAAAAATCAAAGCAAATTAGACTAGGAGAAAGATCTTTCAAAGAATAGTATTATCTTTAGCAGTCCTAAGAGTAGCTCCTCTTTTTTGTGATCCAACTAGTCAACAAATAATTACTGAGGAAATCATATGTGAATAGCACTCAGGGTATGGGACAGAGGAGGGGGACAGGGAGGATAAACAATAGAGCAAGGGAGCCCCTTTTACATGTCAAGCATGGTTCTAAGTACTTTGCATAAGTTAACTCATTAATGATTCACAACCCTAGGAGGCAAGCATTATCATTATCTTCATCTTACTTATGTGAAAATGGAGCTGCAGAACTGAAATAATGTGCTGGGTTTTCAGCTTTTACTCTGACTGCAGTGTCTGGGCTGGGGGTAAAATGATTAGGACAGAAATAGACATCACTCCATGAGTGCCAGTGCCACTCATGAAAATAAAAATATGGGCACTTGTGGAGTGATGTCTATTCCTGTGATATTCATATATTTGTTTTAGTCACCACGTCATCCCTGGCAGGAGAAAAGTGTTTGGTAAACTGGAGGCACTCGGCAAATATTTATTGAGTCAATTCATTAAACAAAGGAAACAAAGGCATCATTTTAGAGGGTTCAGAAAGATAAAAGAAAATGGGAAGAGAACAAATTTATTGACTGGCCTTCTTTGGGATAGACACTATCACTCCTCAGTCAATAGCTTAGTGGTGTTGTTACAAACAATAATTCTAGTACTAGACTAGCTGGTTTCAAATCCTACCTCTGCCACCCTCTAATCATGTAGACTTGGGGACACCTACTCTCTCTATACTTCACTGCCCTCATCAGTAAAACGGGGATAACAGTAACTACTCAAAACATTAATATGAGGATTAAATAAGTGAATATACCAAAATGTTTATTAGAATAGTACTTTTGCAATGTTAGCTATTGTTGCTATTAGTTACATTTAATTTAACCATAATTAACCATATTTAATACCCTAACTAGAGAAGAATCCAAATCAGCTCTGCTTTGAACATTGTATGCCCTGTAATAAATGTTTACATTTCCATTGATCATTAGAATATCTGTTTTTATCAAGACTGAGTAATATAAATGTTCCTTGACAATTGACAATTGACACAGATCCTGTACTCTCAGGTTCCATGTGTTTGAATTAAATCTGTGTGAGAGCAGTAGTGGCCTAAAATCATACTAGGGGATATCTGTTTAATGACTTGTTGAGAGCATCAGACAGGCCTTAAGAGAGATCCCAGTGAATTGAAGCTTACCTGTTAGCTGACATTGTAATTGGAATTTCTCAACAGACCAACAAAAGTAATCAACAGTCATTGAAAATGGATGGCCCCTTAATTCTGAGCAATGGTCCTTCTGGACCACGATTCAAGCAAAATGACACAACAGCACAGGGCAGTCTGCTTTACTAACTTCAATGCTATGTTCCTAGTCTAAAGACAGGCAGACCAAATGATGATGCATTTTGCATCTCTTCTCAACCCTTAATTTTTTCTTTCAAGTACTTTTTTTGTTTTGTTTTTTGTTTTTTATTTTTGAGACGGAGTCTTTCTCTGTCCTGCAGTGGTGCAATCTCAGCTCACTACAAGCTCTGCCTCCCAGGTTCAAGTGATTCTCTTGCCTCAGCCTCTCGAGTAGCTGGGATTATAGGCGCACGCCACAAAGCCCGGCTATTTTTTGTAGTTTTTGTAAAGATGGAGTTTTGTTATGTTGGCCAGTCTGGTCTCGAACTCCTGGCCTCAAGTGATCCGCCCACCTCGGCCTCCCAGAGTGCTGGGATTACAGGCATGAGCCACTGCACCAGGGCAATTTTTTTCTTTTAAAATACCTGTTTTTATAGGAAGTAACTATTGCGTTTCTCTATGGTGGGGGTTGGGGGTGGAATGGAGATTCTCTGGCCATCTATAATTCATTCTAAGGGCAAAAGGATTCAGGCCTCAAACTTCTTAGCAAACTCACTTTTTCCATATGGTAAAATCAAATAATTTTTATCCTGTCTCCAAGGTTGGTTTATTTCATCCCTGAATCAGTGGAAAAGAGGCACATTAAATGATAATCATGTGCTCAATTTCAGGTTGTTAGACTCTCACTGTTGACCTTTATATGTTAGCCTGTTTATGAAAACAAATCATGGGGAATGCAGTCAGCAAATTCGGGCCTTTATGGAAAAAGGAAAAAAAGCTTCGGACTTAAGCAAGAGGCTATGATAAAAGCACTTGCTGCGCAAATATATTTAGTCAGTAAGACAGTGAACTAGAAAACCAAATTAGGATCTTTAATTTAAAAATCTAGAGCTTAGTGGGAAATGCTTAAAGAGAAAACTCACTGAACTAGTAGAGTGATTTGTTGTAGAAAGCAGTCCCATTGAACATGATGTAGATTTGTTTCCTAGTTTGAAAGAATATAGAAGAGAGTTACAGGACAGAATAAAGCTTCCACAACTCTTGACTAAGGATACTTGGGAGATAAACAGAAAATAAGAATAACATTTAAATTTGAAGAATGTCGATTTTTCATTTTTTTTCCAAAGTAGAAAAAAGGGACACATCAAGATACTGTATACACTTAAATATAAAATTTGAAATGCTATACTTACTATATTATCCCAAGAATAAGATAAAACAGTGTATATATTTCCAGATACTTGCCTGAAAATTTCTTAAAATTGATTTTTTGTCAAAATGAGAACAAATAATTATATTGGAAGTTGTAAATGGGTAAAGGATTCTAGAATACTAGGAGAGAAGCAGAGTAAATTGTACCAGTTGTTAATCACAAATCAGGCTTACACAATTCTCATTAGAAAGATAATTCCAATAGTCTATTATTTGAGGCATTTTAGACACAAGTAAAATGTGCTTTGTCTGATATTGAGACTTCTTGGTAAGGAATGGCATTTGAAAACCTGGAAAAACCTGCATTACTGTGTAGGTTTAGCAAGAGGAACCAAAAAAGGGTAGTAAGCTGATTGGACTTTATGTCTAGGGTGAAAGAAAGGATTTGCAGCAGCAGCATATCAGAGCTAGAGAAATAGTCATGAATATTGAGAAGTTTTAAAGTGCAAATGGTAAAATGAAAAGAGAATAGATATGATACTCCACTACATACAAAGACAAAGACAAATTCCAGAAATAAGGCATAGTGGCCCAAAGTGGAGGGTCTTGGGCTAGAGAAATGTTAGAAGGAAGTAAGAAGTGGACAGATGTATGAAAGGAGAGCCTCAAAGGATTCCATGATTGAGGTGATTCTGAAGTCTCTTCTCCAAAGACAGACTACCCAGTTCCATGCTCTTCTTCAAATAGGTTTTTCTGGTAGTACAGAGGGATTACAAAATCAACTAAACACCATCATTAATGAGGACCGTAAAAGCTTTCCCCATGGAAGTATGCAATAATAATTGTTAATTCAAGTAGATGAAGCATTCATTCATTCTCCCATTCAGTCAGCAAAAATAATGCACGGAAAGGATTTGCACAGTACATGGCAAATAGTCGTTCTCATTAAAGGGTAACAGGCATTCTTTCCTTCTTCCTTATTAGTATTACACTAATATTAAAATTATTATTACTACTATTCTTAGTTTTACTTATTGCCAAATTCTTGTTCTAGACAACCAATTATTGAGAGCAATGACTATGATTAACTTTTTTTTCCATTTTTTTTCCTTTAGCACCTAATATTGCATACAAGACATAGCTGACTGGCATTCGATGACTGTTGAATAAAGACATTAATGATGGAAAGACAAAATACAGATGTCTTTGCAAAGGTGCAGCTTAAGGGCTTATAGGCACCTATAAATCAGTGTGATTAGTGCTTTAGTAGAGATCTGCACAGGAGGTTGTCAGATCACAGAAGATAATTAATTAACCAAGGTAAGTTAGGAAGCAAGACACTCAGAGAAGACACAGCATATTTGGAGAGTAATAAAATAGAACTGCTAAAAATGAGTAATATAACCATTGAAATTTAAACAGAGAAAAAGCAATTTAAATGTTAAACAGAAGATGAAGTATAGCTAAAGAAAAACTTAATAACCCATAATATTCTTGAAATTAATTCAACAAATGTTTATTGTGATGCTACTATGTGCAAAGGATTATTCTAGGCACCAGGGTTACATTAGCTAACAAAGCAAAGTCTACCATCATGTTTCTAATACAAATGGAGGAAGCAGATAATAATCCAAAACCACCAGAAAATATTTATAAACATAACATAGAAATACGCACAATAACAAGGAGTTAAAAGGGTAAGGAGGAAATGCCAGCCTGCTGGTGTTGGGGGTATTAACAACATATTATATAAAAGTTAATAAGCAAAAGCCTCTATAAGAATATGACTTTCAAGCAGAGAATTACAGGAAGTGAGGGATCAAATGACTCAGATATCTGGGGGAAACAGATTCTCAGAAGGAAATTACAGATGCAAAGATCTTGAAGCAAGAATGAATTCTGGCACAGAGAGGAAAAAATATTCACTCAGAAATATGCCCAGAGTGGTGGTTACAAGGGCGTGTTGCCCTTGGTCTGCTAATCTCCTTCTATGCATGGTAGATAATTAATTCTTGTCTCATGATTGTCTTTGCTGAAACTGGTTTTTTTCTTTCATTAGAAGGGTTGGACCAAACTTGGTTTCTGCTTATGTAGTTGTTTAGCTCACTTTCAATGTACATATTTATAGATATATTTTATTGAGGCTTTGCAAAATGGCTGCTTCTCATGGCTTTTTTTTCTGGGGACTGCCTTTTCTTTCCAGGTGGCTCCCCACATTTCTGATAATGTCTTTCTGATATGAGTTCTATGTTATTTGTCCATTTGCCTCTCTTGCACGTGATCATGATTCTACCATATTTAGGATGTTGTTTTCCCTTTGCACTCTCTGTTATTGTACTAATAAAGGAAGAGGAGAGAGATCATCTTTCATAGAAAGAGCACTTTTCTCATTAGGGCAGCATCATGATGCTTGTGTATTAAGACTTCATGGCTTAACTGCTTTTGCCTTCTGCCCAGGGATGATAGTGCCATATCCAGCCAATCTGAATATGTGACCCTATCGGCAGACATATCTCTCTTGTGGCAATGGAGTCATCTTGTACAATAAGTTGCTACCATTGAGCATTAAACTCATCAAATGAAAAAAAAAAAATGCCCGGGACATTCTCTATAACAAAGACCTACTATCCTGGGAAAAAGACTTCTCAGAGCTTTATTACACCCAACAGGAGCGGTGTTTACCCAACTTCATTCCCATCTAGCAATTCTGTCTCACCTGAAAGGGGAGAACAAAACTAGGAAATACTGGTGTAGATCACAGCCCAGGAACACAGGTCTAGTAAAGGACTAAGATCCCATCATAAGATTATAGAAGGATTCCTTTAACATACTTGCTACCACCACATCAACAGGGTACTAGTGTATATAGTAATAGTGAGTAATAGTGGAGAACAGTTAAAAAACCTGCAAGGCACAGACTTTATTTACATATGAGTTTTTAGGGAAGCCCAAAGACAGTAGAGAATAAAAAAACAGAATCTCATAGAATGTGAAGTCTCTGGAACATATGGCTAAAGCAAATATTGAACACAGTACAACTCCTAGCCAAAATAACATAAAACCTCACACAAATGGCCATATACCTCCGTTCTTGTTATCTAATACATCATGTAAGTCTTTCAACAATAAAACATTTCAACAAAAGTAAAACATGTTAAAGGACAAGAAAAATCAGTTCAATATTTAAAAATACCATTTACAACAGCACCAAATACACAGAGAAGCTACATGTGGAAAACTACCAAACTTCGATGAAAGAGATCAGTGCAGATCTAATAAATGGAGGGATATTTTATATAAATATTCCACCAGATTCAATAATGTTGGATGTCAGTTCTTCCCAATGTTTTCTATAGAGTCAATGCAATCCCAACAAAAATTCCAGCAGGCTATTTATAAATATTCACGAACTGATTCTAAAGTTTACATGGAAAATCAAAAGACCTAGAACAACCAACCTAATACTGAGGGACTTAACACTAGCTGATTTCAGGACCTACTCTAAAGCTACAATAATCAAAAGAGATTGATATCAATAACAACAACCAAAAATAGGCACATAGCTGGGCGTGGTGGCACACGCCTGTAGTCCCAGCTACTCGGGAGGCTGAGGCAGGAGAATTGCTTCAACCCAGGAGGCAAAGGTTGCAGGTTGCAGTGAGCCAAATTCAAGCCACTGCACTCCAGCCTGGGTGACAGAGGGAGAGTCCGTCATAAATAAATAAATAAATAAATGCCCATAGATAAATCAATGAGAATAAAACCCCAGAAATATACCAAAATGAATGTGCTCAACTGATATTTGAAGAAAGAGCAAAAGCAATTCAACCAAGAAAAGATAGCATGTTCAGACAATTGAATGTCTGTATGAAAAAGGGGAGAGGGACATCCAGACACAGACTATACACTTTCCACAAAATTTAGCTCAAAATACCTTGCAGACCTAAATGTTAAACTATAAAGCTTCTAGAAGAAAACAAGAAAATATCTCAGTGACATTGGTTTTGGCAATTTTTAAGAATAACACAAAAGGCACAATTTGTGAAAGAACTAAAAACAGATTTAATTAAAGTAAATTTTGCTTTATGAAAGACATTGTTAAGAGAACAAAAAGATAAGACTAGAAAAAAATATTTGGAAAATACAGATCTGATGAAGAATGTGTATCTGAAATATACAAACACTTAAAACTCAAAAATAAAAAAGCAAGCAACCCAATTTAAAAATGGGGAAGAAATCCAGAGGCACTGCATTAAAAAAGATAAACAGATGGAAAATAAGGATATAAAAGAATACTCAACATCATTTTCCATTAGGGAATTGCAAATTAAAATAATAATGACATGCCAGTACACGCCTATTAGAATGGCTAAATTCCAAAAAACTGACGATACAACATACTGGCCAAGATATCGAGTGACAGAAATTGTCATTTATTGCTGGTGGGAAAGAAAAATCATACTGCTACTTTGGAAGACATTTTGACAATCTCTTTCAAAGTTAAACAAATCTTACTATATATCCAGTAATTTTTTCCTAGACATTTATGCAACTGATTTAAAACCTAAGTCTACAGAAAAACATGGACATGAATGATTTTAAGTTTTTTTTTCATAATCACCAAAATCTAGAAGCACTCAAAATGGCCTGCAATAGGAGAACGGATAAACTATGGTACAGCCATGTATTGGAATATTATTTGACAATAAAAATAAATTAGCTATGAAGCCACAAAAATACATAAATGAACCTTAAATATGTATTGTTAACTGGAAAAAAAAGCCCATCTGAAAGGACTACATACTGCATGATTCCATTTATATGACACTCTGGTAAAGGCAAAACTATAGAGACTGTCATAATATCAGTGATTTCCTGGGGCTGGAGGAGAAAAGGGTAGGGCTAAAGAAAGGACAGGTGATCTCCTATAGTGGAAAAATTATTTTGTATTATATTGTAATTGTAAATATATAACTATGCATTTGTCAAAACTCATAGAGATTTCCAGGACAAAGAATGAATGTTAATATATGCAAATTTAAAAAATCATTTAGCAGGTAAGAGGATCTCAGGATAGAATGCAGAATGTGACAAAATAATCTAATTGTGCTACAAAGATATTAACTCAATTGAATGGAAGAAAGGTTTTGGAAATGAGTGGACTGTAAGACTCAAGGCAAAAGGAGCTATACTTCAGTGCTACACTTGAGTTAATAATTTTTTTTCCCATAATGGCACAGATGAACAATTTTGAAATCACTCTGCATGTATACTGAAAAGTAAGTAAACAGATAACACGTGATTGAAACCAAGTTCTCATTGCTGGAATGGGAATTTTCAGACATGCAAGGAGAGGAGACTAGTATGGTTCATGTGGTAATGGATTAAAGTTTGAAATATCACTATGATCTCATTCTTAGCAATATAGATACAAATGGTTACATATAGAAATATGTATAGATAAGATGTACATGGGTTACATGTGCTGGTTAATTTTATGTGTCAGCTTGACTGGACTAAGGAATGTCCAGAGAGCAGGTAAAATGTTATTTCTGAGTGTGTCTGTGAGTGTTTCTAGAAGAGATTACCATTTGAATCATAGACTGAGTACAGAACGTCACCCTCACTATTGTAGGTGAACATCATCCAGTTGGGTGAGGACCTGAATAGACAAAAAAGCCAGGGGAAGGGTTTTTTGAGCTGAGACTTTCATCTTCTTCTGCACTCTGACATTGTTGTTGCTGGTTCTTGAGCTTTCAGATTTTGATCAGATTTTACACCTGTGGGCCCCAGTTCTCAGGTCTTTGGGCTGAATCACACTACCCACTTTCCTTGTTCTCCAGTTTAGAGATGGCAGACTGTGGCACATCTTAGCCTCTATAACTATGTGAACCAATTTCTATAATAAATCTCCTTGTATATACATGTGTATATGTATGTATGTGTATGTATCCTGTTGGTTCTGAAGAACCCTGACTAATACAGTATACATAAATATATTTCATACTCTGTTAGCTAAGAGGGCCTAGAAGCATCAATACCCTAGTAGCAACAACTGCCTAGGTTTTGGTGTCTAATTCCATTCTCCAATAAAAGGAACAAGGAGCTTGGATCATCTTGTGCAGACAATAAGCTCGAACAGAACAAAGCAAAATGAAACAAAACCCCACAATGTTGGGGATTTTCCAAAAGGACATAGGAACCAACTGAAAGAGCTCTAGTGGCCAAAATGAGAACATTTTGAGCAATGAAGTATTATTGGATTACAACCCAAAGTATAAAATAAACATCCTTGAGTTGTCACTGACATAAATAAATGTGAGGAGAAATAAATAAATGAGAGAATAAAGATATTTCTGATACAAAAGAATTTTAAACAATTTATGTAGATGTAACACCCTCAAGGATGAATCATAGCTTTTTATTCCACAAGGGGGAGCTGTGCCTAGTAACTTCCTTCAAAGGGTACAGTATAAAAAGAGGGAAAAGGAAAAGAGAAATTTTACAGTGGAGAAAACCAACAAATGCTACCTCAGTCAGGAGATCAAGATTAATAACAGTGATTCATCATGTTGGTAGTATATACCCTTGATATGATATGGTGAAGATGGCACTCTGTCAGCCTCCTCCCCAAAACCCATAACCCTGGTTTAATCATAAGAAAAACTTCAGAGCAATTCCAATAGAAGGGCATTCTACAAGATACCTAACCAATATTCCTCAAAATTGTTAAGGTCATCAAAAACAAGGCAAGTATGAGAAATCGTCATAGCCAAGAGAAGCCAAAGGAAACAGGATAACTCAATATAATGTGGTATCTTTCATGGGATGCTGGATAAGGAAAATGACATTAGTAAAAACTAAGGGAATCTAAATAAAATGTATGCTTCAGTTAATCCTAATATATTAATATTGCCTCATAAATTGTAACAAACACACCAAACTAATGTAAGATATTGATAGGGAAAACTGTGTGGGGTTGTATGGAGTATAGGTATATGGGAACTCCCTGAACTATCTTCTCAATGTTTCTGTAAATCTAAAACTATTTTTAAAAGTAAAGTTTATTAAAATTTTTAAAAACATAGTGTGAAATCTTATTTGTATAAGGACATGTTAATTATGGAATGAAATAGCATGCATAATATTGGTTTGGCTCTGTGTCCCCACCCAAGTCTCATCCGGAATTGCAATCCCCAGATGGTGGGGGTGGGGGGACCTGGTGGGAGGTGATTGGATCACAGGGGCAGTATCCTCCATGCTGTTCTCATGACAGTGAGTGAGCCCTCACAAGGTCTGATAGTTTAACAGTGTGTGGCAGTTCCTTCCTTGCTCTGCCATGATAAGATGTGCTTGCTTCACCTTTGCCTTCCACCATGGTTTAAGTTTCCTGAGGCCTCCCAACCATGCTGCTGTACAGCCTGCAGAAGTGTGAGTCAATTAAACCTCTTTTCTTCATAAATTACTCAGTCTCAGGTAGTTATTTATAGCAGTGTGAGAACAGACTAAAAACAATGCATAAATTTAAAAAATAAAGCAAGGGAAAGACACCTGAGACTACAGGTGGGCATTGGGAGTTGTAATCCAAATGGTGTAATCTGAGCAGGCCTCTTTGAAAAGCTGACATTTGAATTGTGGCTTAAAGGAGGTAAGGAGGTGAAGACAGGAGACACAGTAGATATCTGGTGGAAGTATGTTTCTAGGAGAGAGAAATATGGGTGGGAATGCCTAGAAATGGGTGGTGTTTGGCATCCTCAGAGAGAAGTGAGAAGGTTATAGAGGGAACAAGGTAGCAGGACATGAGGTCACTCAAAACGATTGATTGTGGATGCACAGATCTTGGAAGACCTCTTATTTTTACTCTGAAAAAAAAAAATAGGACCCTTTGATTTGGCTCATTTTATTTATTTTTTGAGACAAAGTCTTGCTCTGTCACCCAGGCTGGAGTGCAGTGGTACAATCTTGACTCACTGCAGCCTGGAACTCCCACGCTCAAGTGATCCTCCCACTTCAGCCTTCTGAGTTGCTGGGACTATAAGTGTGTGTCACATGCCTGCTTTTAAAAAATTTTTTATAGAGATAGTGTCTCCCTATATTGCCTACGTTGGTCTTAAACTTCTGGGCTCAAGTTTTCTTTATGCCTTGGCCTCCCAAAGTGCTGGGATTTCAGGCATGAGCCACTATGCCTGACTTATTTTATTTTAACAAGGGGGATATTTAGGAAACATCATGAAAAAATCATGTAAGAGAGGGTGAGAAAGAGAGAAAGACTATGTTCATATTGAGAGATATGTGTCTCTAAAGAGCTATGGCACTGTGATCTTTATCCACATGAAATATAGACAAATTAAATTCAAGTAACTAATGTGAGTCATCTAACTTCAGTGGGGAGGCAGGCAATCCCTTTAACCTTACTGATAGTAACAATGTCTTCTAGCGAATGAAGAAGAGGTTTCTCTGTAGAATCTCTAGGAGTCAGCAGTGATGCCCACCTTAGGCTTAGCAACCACAGAGTATCCCACTGGCACTCAGCCTCCAGTAGCTGTTTTAGAGTCCTCCATTGCCACGGGGATAAATCAAACTTCCCTCTCCAGTGGAAAGGCTAGGGACCAAAACTAGACTTGTGGAATGAGGTTGCCCTTAGGATGCTTTCAATTATCTTGAGGAAAGGCATCCTTTGAAGGAAAGAAAGGTATTCTCACTAGAGGAGAGAGGAGAATTTGGTAAAATAGCTTCAAATTTAAAATAAGTACAATGTTATTTTTATCACAAACTAATGACCCAGGTTATATAATTGTATTTCGGCGTAAGCTTCCCAAGCATATATGGTCTTCGCATCTTACAAAATACTCTCATTATCTATGTTGGAGGATAAGGTGTTTTTGTTTGTTTGTTTGTTTGTTTGTTTTGACGGAGTCTTACTCTGTCACCAGGCTGGAGTGCAGTAGTGTGATCTCGGCTCACTGCAACCTCTGCCTCCCGGGTTCAAGTGATTCTCCTGCCTCAGCCTCCTGAGTAACTAGGACTACAGGCACTCACCACCATGCCCAGCTATTTTTTGTGTTTTTAGTAGAGATGGGGTTTCACTATGTTGGCCAGGATGGTCTCAATCTCTTGACCTTGTGATCCGCCTGCCTTGGCCTCCCATCGTGCTGGTGTGAGCCACCGTGCCCGGCCAGGATAAAGTTTAAAGGACAGTAGAAATGGTAAATACAATGAAGGGCTCCTAATCAAAGTGCTGTCTTTCTATCCCACTGAGTTTCAATCACAATCTGCGTGAGAATTCTTGGTTTGCCCAATTGCTTCCCCTGTACAATTCTTTTATAATGAAGAACAGTTTACTCAGGTAGTCCAGAATTATAGTGGTTAAGAAACCAGACTGGAAAGCCAAAGAATATACATGGATGAATAAATGGGTGGATGGATGGGTGGATGGATGGATGGCTGAAAAGGAACAAAAGAAAGAAGAAAGGAAGGAGGGAAGGAAAGAAGGAAGGAAGGAAAGAAGGAAGGAAAGGAAGGAAGGAAGGAAGGGGAAAGGAACGGAAGGGGAAGGAAGGAAGGGGAAGAGAAGGGAAGGGAAGGAAGGAAAGGAAGGAAGGAAGGATTATTAATACATAGATGTATATCTCACCTCTGTTATTTTTGCAATATATTCCCAGTTTTGTATGTAATTTACTGGGAAGAAGAGAAGGTGGTAAACTGCAGAGAACCATTAAAATATATTTAATACCTTTAATGTCAGTACCAACAAAAATTATGAAACCATTTTACTTTAAAGCGGGTTTGCATGAGGAATTTTTGTCAGAAGTACGTAATCAGATAATTTATCCCAAAGTAGAAAAATTCTGCATCCCTAAGATGGCACTGCTACAAATTAGGATATGGGGAAGAAAAAAGATTTTAGTATGAATAACAATAACGACTTGACAACAAGAATTGTTTGCAATCATTTAAAAGGCAATCCATTTAAAGTACATTGAAAGCTGCCCTTACTCAAGTGCTGGGTCAAGAACAGAGAAACCAGGGATATCCTAGCCCGGGAGGCTGTTTCATGAAATTGTGACAAGGTATTTCTGCTAGGCAGGCATAGCCTTGACAGGCACATGTTGGTTCATGGAGTGTGGAATGGATTTCATCACATGTGTCCACTAGGCTGAACACCCTTGAATACAGGACCTGAATATTACAAGACCAAAAATTGGGTGAAGAGAGAATGCTCCTCCTGCTTTGCTCTCAGTAATAATTAGGTGAAATTCCTCGGAGCCACCACAGTAGCGCTGAACCGGAGCACTAGGTGTGAAAGTTAAAAAACTCTCCAGAAACTTAAAAAAAAAAAATAATCTTACACATAAACAATGTAAGCTAACTGGCATATACAGAAAAGAGAGGAAAGGGGATTCTGGCTACCATTTAACTTTTGTAATTAGATGCCATTTTCACTGACATCCAGCTTCTGGTGGCAGACGTGGTACCAACTCTTAGTATACACCTTGCAGAGTTATAACCAAATGTTGTATTTTATATCTATGCCACGTAATCAAGAGACATTAAGAGGAAATAATTATTGAAGCTGCATAGGCAGGAGAAATGTGTTTTCCTCTTGTGCATACTCAGTAAAGCATTAACAGAATATTAGTACTTATATTTAGGTTTTCATGACAGTGAACCTAGAAGTCACTAGAGACAACTGCTAGGTTACTCTCTCTAGAATGTCACTGATTAGAGAACTAAGTGTTAACCTCTTTCTAAATATATGTTATTTTGTTTGTTCACTTCTTTCTTTGAGGAAATAATTGAAGAAGACGTAGAAGCACATAGGGCTTTTATATTTAGAGTATGTTGATGGGACCTGAAGGATAGAAAACAAAAGGTGAGTTGAACAACTTAACCAGAGAAAATCCACTATATGCCAGATGTAACATTACACAATGAGAATATGATGGTTAATGGGATACTGACCTACTCTAGAGAGCTTAGCAATCTGGAGCAGTAGATGAAGGTGACTTTCATAGCACTCTGTCTGTACGAGACTATGCTAGCTGCTTTAGACACATATGTGATTTACTCTACAAAATACTCAATGGGGGGGGGGGTATTTAATTATTCCTTCTACATAGAGGAAATTGAGGATGAGAGAACTATAACTTGTCCAGCATGCAAGAGATGGAGCTGTGATTCAAACCCAGCATGATTGACAGTGAAGTTTTTCTACTTTATTAGTCTCTTCTAAGGTCAAAACTTATCCTTTTATTAACTCTTTTATACTTGGGTTTATATTATGACAATTATTGAGGTTAATTTTATTGTAAGACTATGGCTTTGAGTGGAGGTTTCATCTACCAATTAGGCATATTAACATAAAAGCATACAAGACATTACATTTATTATCACTTGACCTCTGTGTAGTCACTGTTAATGAACTTGTCAAAGTATCATCCAAGTTCAACCATTAAAATTTTAATTTTAATGTTAGATACAATTTTAGGGCTGGAGAGATTATATGAGGTGACATTCTAGCTTTCATTTATGTCAACGAATATAAATAATCCAGTGTTGTTAAGGGGCAAATCTGTGTGAATTGGTACTCAAAAAGTAAATGTACAACATGAATTTTAATTCTGAGGTCCCTACTTTTTTGATTAATATACTTGAGAGAGACTTGAAAGTAACGAGCAGTTATTTGTTTTTACCATAGCTTAACCTTATAAAACAAACTTCTTTAAGTGGTACATGAGTTTATTTTTTAACTACCTTTCATACATAACATTCTTTATAATGGCATTATTTAGCATCTGAGTGCCAATAGTTTACCTTCTGTTGTGTGAAGAAGAAGCCACAGCTTTTTTTTTTTTTTTTTTTGGCTTCCAATCAACAATAAAGTGTGCGGGAGTATAACAGATGCTGACTATTTAGTTGTGCAGTTTGAGGTATTGCAGGAGGACTGAGCTGCCACACGCTGCCCTAGATAAACACGCTGAGTGCCATGTGCAAGGCATATTTCAAATAATATTTTTCCCACATCTTTTCCAGGATGTAAAAATGCAGAATCTGGAACCTAAGGCAAAACAATAGTGCGAAGATGTGATGTCAAGTATTTTATCACCATAGTTATTCCAAATTTTCCATGATACTTTTCCTGTAACCTTTTCCCTCTGCAACTTCAAAGGGTTAACTTCTTCATACTCTATACCCAGTTCAGAAAATCATACCTCCTCATTTACAAGGAGCAAAGCAGATGAAGTAGAATTTTCCAATGTAGCATTAGGTAGGATGTTTTCAAAAGTCTGAATGTATGATTAAGGGAGAAATTTGTCCTCTTTAATACATTGATGCATCCTCTTGAGACCAAGGATAACAATTATGGAATCTTGGAACTTAAAATTCCCATATCATAAGTCAAGTAGGTGACTTGACTTATGAATGAAAGAACCAAAATATAGATGGTGGAAGAGCCAATAGCAGAATCTACTTTCCTTGCCTTCCAGTTTAGCTTTTCTATATAGTTCCAAGAGTGGTGTTTGCACATCGCAATTCCATCACATTGGAAATATGGGAACCAAAAAATATTTGCTAGCATAATAGAGAATTTTCCCTCCAGCACTTTTGTCATTTTTTCCTAAGCAATGTGTGAAATACTTGGGTTTTACTTTTATTTTAATTTTTTTTTACAGAATTTGTCTTCTTTCATTCCTCATGTTTATCAACACTGCAAGACCTAAATGACATCAATATATTTGATTGTAGCCAAAGTGTACACAAACAGGAGAGAGTGTTTGCAAGTGTAGAGGCTTGATAGACATTTCTATTCTAAAAAAGGAATTCTATACTAAAAAGCTGCCATGATTCAGCTGGTTGATTGACTCACCCCCTATCTATCCTTCTTCCATTGCTTTGTGGTTGTGGCAAGTGTTATAAAATGTCAATGGTGAAAGAAGTAAATTGTGTTGTGAAGATTTTGTATTTTTTGCAATTTTTTTGTTTAGTTACTTGTTACACCCTTTTATTTTATGTTTAATTAGCATTTGTGTTTTACAAACATATTTGAAGTCCAATAGGGCAATTTTTGAAGATGAGAGGTGAGATAGGAAAATTCTAGGCCTGTGCCTCTGGGAAAGTTTAATGTGGTTATTGATGCGAAACTAAAATCTTATATATGTTACTTCACTGCAGTAGTGGAGCAAGGGACACAAGATCACCTGTTTTTGCAAGGAAGGTTACTTATCAATGTGTTTTATATGGGTTGATAATTCACATCTTCTATTCTGTTGTGCATGGCCTATGGAAAACAACTTTCAAATGCACCAATGGCTCCACCAAACTCACAGCCATTTTATAAGTAAAAGCTTTGATTTTTTAAAACAACAATTGGAAATTCAAAACAGTCAGTTTTGAACAGCCTGAGAAGCAATTTACTGAGCAGCAAACTTCTTGCCCAGAAAAAGAAAACTAATGATGCCAACATGTAAAATTGGAGCGAGGAAAATGCCACAAGATGCAGTATAATAAAATGAAATGATCCCACTTTCCAGTAGTAAATAAGGTGACGTATTGATGGTGCTTCACATCATGCTGAGAAGGTTGTATGTAATGAACTGAAAACAACTTCTCTGTCCAGGTTGCTGAGTCAACAGATTTCACCAAAAAATGTCATGCTGTAGCATATGTAAGGTTTGTAAATAACATTGAGATTTAAGAAAACTTTTTCTGCTATAAGGAACTACAGGAAACAAGCAAAGGCCATGATATATTTAAGAATTTTGTAAACGAAAGATTTGTCTTGGAGAACTGGGTTGGTATCTGCATAGATGGTGCACCTTCAACAGTTGGCTTTATGAGAGGTTTCACTTCACTTGTAAAATAATGTCACCATACACTGCTTTTTTCAGAGAGATACTGTGTCAAAAACTTATCGGAAATGAAATTTTTAAGAGAATCCTGGATGACCATTTTATTTAACTTTATTAAACAATGATTGTTCACTTGAGAATGCTTTGAAACTTTGTAAAAACCTGGAAAAGAGCTCATAACTCTCCTTCTGCATACAGATATCTGAGGGTTTAACAGGGAAAGAATTCTTAGTAGAGTGAGTTGAAAGCTAAATTACAGATTTTGCTGAGTGTTTGAAGATGAAGAATGGCTGCAGAAAACCAGTCTGCTTAATACATATTTTTGACTTCATGAACCAGATGAACAAGTCTCCATGAGGCTCTTCAGAAAATGCCTTGACTTCAAATGATAAGAGTATTAGATTTAAAAGCAAACAAAATATTCTGAAAAATCATGACTCCAAAAGGAAATCTTGAAGTGTTCTTACTGCCTCTTGGTCTTGATAATGAGGAAATATATTTCTAAATCGTAAGTTGTAATTGAAACTACCTAAACGAAACAGTACAAAGTTGAACAGCATCTTCCCAATGACCCCATTTCACAATAAGTGTATAATAGAGTAACAATCCTTTCTTTGAATCTTCTCAGCCTGAGAACTTGACTTGGAGAAAAGAAGAAGAATGCTGTGAACTGTCTAATCCTATGTACGAGATAAGATTTTCCAATCTGTCCCAAGACAAGTTATCTATTTCTGTGAAAGGTAGTAACTTGCCATTCATAGGAAAATACTGAAGAATTTTCTGCAGTTTGCAACTCTTCCATGTGTGAGCAAGTTTATTCTTAACAAGACAAGCATCAAGAGTAAGGATAGAAAATGTCTCATTTCAGTTGAAAATGAGATCCATGTGCACTCATTTCAAGTTTGACTCTAAAGCATAAAACAAGCAGATGGTTTTTAGTAAACAGGTAAATTCATTTTATTTGCTTTCAAAAATAACTATATATCTGTGTGCATGTATATGTGTGTGTGTGTTTGTGTGTTCCTAGATTTTTTTAAAACACATGTATAGTAATTTTGGAACTGCTAGACCTATATTTGAGTCTAATCATGTCACTCATTGAAAAAAAATTTTTTTTTTCCAAGTGTTATTACAAGTTTGGTCTTCATATTGCTTTGGAAAAAAAGGTTTTAGTAGAGTCACTTAAAACATTGCCAAAAAAATTTCATGTAGTAAATAACACAAGTTAAAATCAATTTACAACCTAAAATTTGAATCAACCTTTAGAAATAAAAAACTTCTGATTTAAGCCAGTAGTTTAATAGAAATTCATTATGATATATGTTCTTTATGAAAAGAAAAAATAAGATAATTTCATGAATAGTAAGCTAAGTTTCGGTTTATTTCCCCAAAGAAAATTAGACTAAAATTCATTTTTAGTTTGTTTTTTTTTTTAACTTTTATTTTAGGCTTGGAGGTATAATTGCAGATTTGTTATATAGGTAAATTGCATCTCATGGGGATTTGATTTACACATTATTTTGCCACCCAGGTAACACACATAGTACCTAATGGGCATTTTTTCAATCCTCACAATTCTCCCTGCATCAACCTTCAGGTAGACCCTGGTGTCTGTTCCCTTCTTTGTTACCTTCTTTGTTGTTCTCTTCTTTGAACAGAAAACCAAATACTGCATGTTCTCACTTATAAGTGGGAACTTAACTCTGAGTACACCAAACTCTCAATGTTTAGCTCCCACTTACAAGTGAGAACATGAGGTATTTGGTTTTCTGTTCTTGTGTTGGTTCACATAGGATAAGGGCCTCCAGCTCCATACATGTTGTTGCAAAGGACATAATCTCGTTCTTTTTTATGGCTGCGTAGTATTCCATGGTATATATGTGCCACATCTTCTTTATCCAGTCTACAATTGATCTAGGTTAGTACTTCAGATCCATGAAATAAGACTTAAAATAGAAATTGTGTAAGTTGTACTCCAAGACTGCTAATCACCTTATTTCTATTTAAGTCCTTGTCATATTGTAACATACATAAATATAATTATTTGTCATGTTTTTCTATTTTTTGGTCTGTGTTACCTAATTAGTATATATACTTTCTCTGGTCAGAAATGCTATCTTTTTACATCTAAAATACTTTGCCACTTGAATACTTTCTGGTACATAGCAGTTACCCAATAAGTATTTGTTGATAAATAAATATTTGACCATCATAATTTTCTAATTTTTGATAATCAAGGAGTATATTTCAAAGTTTTTTAGAGTAATGGTTCAATTATAGGAACCCTAATATTTCAGCAAAAATGCATAGTTAACATTTTTCACAATTTTTGCATAAAGATTTAAATAATGTAGAAAACAGTGGTGGTGGGCACCTGTAGTCCCACCTACATGGGAGGCTGAGGCAGGAGAATGGTGTGAACCCAGGAGGCGGCGCTTGCAGTGAGCCCAGATCACGCCACTGCACTCCAACCTGGGCGACAGAGCGAGACTCCGTCTCAAAAAAAAAAAAAAAAAGTAGAAAACAGAGGCAGAAACTTTTGTATTTAAACTTATTAGTAGTACTTAAAGTACTAGAATTTAGAATTTATCCCAAAGTGCGTTTGAAGAGATATAAACACTCCAAATAGTTCCAAAAAAAAAACCTCTGAATCTCTCCAAAGTAGTCAGCTAAAGAAGGAAAAACACTATTTTACTAAAATAAAATTATGTAATTTCCTTAATCATGACCTTTTCTATCCACAACTGCAGTTACACAATCACGTATGATACTTTAATTTCATAGTATCTTATTCACATTTATGTGTTATATCTTGTTCTCAATTATTCTAAGTATATATTTCAGCTCTTATTTAAAAATTATCCATGTGCCTGAGTTAGGTTTATATTAGACAACTCTATTTTAGGCATCTTAGCAGTGTCAACAAGAAAGTACATTATTTAATAATTATTGGGATTTTTTTGGTAAGTGATTCATTGTACTTATTATTATGAGTCATTTAATATTCATCAATATTACCTAGAAAATGTATACAGAATTAAAATTAATAAATATTAATTTTTCATCTGCTTTTTGCAAAGTTCTCTGCTAAATGAATTAAGGAATGTTAACAGTGCCCAAGCCATGTTTCCTACATCTCCATAATTTGTAATCTGCAGAGATGATATGTAAATTTAACTGCAATAAAAGACAGTATGTAAATTGTTGCCCATGAGTGGTACAGAAAACAATTTTTTCAAGAATTCATGAGAGGCATAAATAACTTTAGAAAAGAAGTCAAAGAAGATTTCATAGGAAAGGCGGCCCTTGAGCCAGGCTTTGGATAGTTAAAAAAAATAATAAAAACAGAAGTAGATAAACCAAGACCAGAAATAGAAGCAAAAGGGTGAACTGACCAGAAATAACATAACTGGACTTTGAGTGGACTTGTCTTGGGAGAAGTGCAGGGATTGTGCTGAAGAATATGAGCAAGGTAAGCAAGGAATGGATGGTTTGAATGAATTTGAATGACGGGCCAAGAAAGACCTCAAATAATCATTAGTTGGATGATATTCGAGGCATTTGGAGGGATTTTATCCTGATCATCATATGAAGTGTGATTTAGAGAAGTGAGAGATTAAAAGCAGAAAACCAATTAATAATCTCTAACAATAAACTGTCATAAATTAGTAAAGGCCTTGACTAGAGGCATTGGTAGTGTTCATGGAAAATAACATCATATTTTTTCTTGCATTTTCATAACTTTTTCTGGATGAACTTCATCAAAATATTCCTGGAACTTGAAATCTATGTTTATTCTCCTGTATCCAATTCTGCAAGTCTGAATAAGTGAAATGAGTTTCATAAAGTTGATATGAACTCATTAACTTCATCAGTGAAGGTGTGAAAGGCTGCAGTCTTACTTTTCCCAGCCAAGTGGATTGTCTATAATAAAACACCTATCACTTCAGGGACTTTAAATTAGCAAGCCATCTGGCAGAAAAAAAAATAATGAGGACAGCATTACTCATGAGGGAGGGCTTGAGTTTGACTCAGAGGGCTAAACAGCACTGAGGATGATCTGATTATATATTTTTTCAAGCTAAAAGTTTCAGTTCTTATTAAAATATCATGCCTCTAAGGGTCACATTTGAAAATAGATCTCTGTGTTGTAAAACCAAAAATATGCATGCAAAAATGGACAAGTAGTTGTTAATTAGAGGTAGACCCCATTATTTTGTTCAAGTGTAGATGGTACCCTGTGAAGTTCTCACTGTTGTTCATATTCACTCTCTACCATGCAGTACCTGTTCAGGCTACAATGCACTATTCAAATTACTTGTCTGCAGGGTCCTCTTGACCTGGCTCCCCTGATGATCCAGGCCTATCACTGTTAAAAAAAAACAAAATAAAAACAAAACCTAGTATGGGAGAGGGTGAGAGGGTTTGAGGGTTTATTCACTGCCGACTGGTGGAAGAGTGATTTGTTCAGTCTTTCAGAAAAGCGACTTGGCAATATTGTTAAAAAAGAAAAGGTCTTTCCAACTTTTAACCTATTTGTCCCATCATAGATTTGCTCAAATAATAATAATTAACAAAATTTAAAACAACCCGATTGTCTAAGAGTAGGTCAATAAACTATAGTATTTTTGCAGACTGAAGTATTATCATGCTTATGACAGTTGAAGGGGGTTGGGGCTATCCTTGGACAATGAGTAAGTGAAGAGGCAGAGGACCAGTTTATTTGAGCTTTACATTCACAGAGACTGAAATTTAGACTTTTCACATTATATCCATACAGCATAAATATAGTCATACATTTATATTAACAGAATTGAAATATATATATATTTCAATTGTACATACACATGTTCATTTATTTATTTTACAGCTTTAAACTTGTATCACACTAACTGATGAAAACTCTTGGATGGCAGGCCTATAAGCAATATTTCTATAGACTTTTGTAATATCTAAATGTTCTATTAGGAATATATATTACTTTATATATAGAAAAACAAGCAATAAATGCTGTATTAAAGAAAACACTGAGGAGATGAGCGACTCGTATAATTGTTTTGCTCAATTCATTTTAATTTGGTACATGGAGCACAGCAATGCAAGATGTCTAATAATAAGCATCTTAACACAAATGACAGATGGACTTTTCCCCAACACTAGCATTATTCCTGGCTGTCCGACTTATATAATGTAAAACTCTTTTTATTGCTTCTGAATTACTGTACTTGGTTATTCTTTGCCCTATTTGGCTTCCTAGACACATGAGTTAGTTGTTATATGCAATTCTCATATATATGTATCCTTGTTTTCCAAAGTACCATCATAATTGTTTAGTTTGAATTATCCCATAAACAGAACCTGAGACACAAATTTAGGTACAGGTATTTTACTTGGGAGTTCATTCCAGAAAGCTGAAGAGAAGAAACAGAGAAAATGTGACAGAAAGCAGGAAAGCTAATGAAAGGTGAATTATTGAGGTCACATTTGTAGGCAACAGGGTTTCAACTCAGCCATGTCTTCTGACAACTATGTAGAAGGCCTCCAAACAGCATCCACGTGGAAGATGGCTGAGGTTTTTATCAGATCGCAACCCCTAAAGCATTAACAGCCCTGCGCTGCCAGGCAATGCCTGCCCTTGTGAGCTGACTGGACTTCTGCCTCTTCAGTGAAAATTGTGAGACAGAAATGCAGCAAGATTCTTGACTCACATTCAAGAAGGGGTACTGTCAGCATGCAGAGAACTATCTACCATCACTGCAACTAAAATTAGGAGTGAAATGAGAGGATGTGCTGCAGGCCAGTAAAAGCATCTTATCCGACCCACCCATATATCACCCAGATCTATTTGTAACCCACATCAATTATAGTATGTCAATTAACTCTTCATGAGTTAGCCACATTTTCTTAATAAGAGTCAATAATTAAGGTTAATGAGAAAAACACAGTGCCCACTCCTGCAGCTTTTCCTGAGGTGATAAACAATATTCCTTGTCTCCAATCTCTACCACCCATTTACCTTTGTCCAACCAGCATGGTAGCTGATTAAGTGTTTGTCCAGTCAGATGATGGAGTTATTCCCTGAGAAGTCTGAGACTTTGGATGCCTTTTTCTTTTCAATGACTGATTACTGAGAAATACACTATTAAACTTCCATATGCTAGGTGGTATGATTCAAGACTATATTCCTGAGGAGTCTGAGCATTTGGTTGTTTTGCTTTTGTCAAGCTATGGAAAATGCAATTTTCCATTCAGTCTTATCAGGCATGGGAGCTCCAAGAAATGCTTCAGTCAATCTCCAAGTTCCAGATGTACTCCCTATTTTGGTTTTGTAGCTGTGAACCTAGCTCCTCATCATAATCAGAATTCATTTTCCCCCACCAGCATAGTAAGCATTTTCTTTGCTGGTCTTCTCACATATGATGCTCCATATGACCATGCAGCTATCATAGCTTTAGTTTCAGTGAAAGTGTCACTCTGTTCATTGGTGAAAGCATTCCTCTCCTAGAAAACAAGGACTTTTAAGTAAACAGAGTCTAAAGTTGTAGGGATAAGAAAGATATAGCCTGTAGGTAGATCTCTGGGCATAATAGTAAGAGGGTCTAATTCTACATATATCCCTTGATTGCAAGGCCTACATATTATGAGTACTTGAGACACAATAGTATTGAGTCAGTGCTTTACAACATTTTAGAGAATAGCACTCCAGCTCCACCAGCTTTCATCCCTAAGCTGGAACCTTGGGTGAGCTGTGTAAGGATCATTACAACATTATGGCTACTGCCAGGTGATGCAATGCATTGTACTACAAATGGAGCCCTTGGTGATGCACTCGTTGTACATCCTTTGCCACAAAATGGGAAGATTACTGATAGCACTCCCAGGAGCTGGGCACCAAATCCTTCCTAGAAGGAAAATTGAAGCAGCACATGTCCACAATCCCATTAGTAAGTCATTCAAAAATCTCTGGACACCACATAAACAATTTTTATGATCAATTCCAACTTAACTTTCCAAACCGAATTCCTTCTACTCTGGTTTACCCACTGATTTATTTTTTCCAGCCAAACCACAAAACATTCTTTTGGAGATATACATCCAATTATTTAAAGATTCTGGGGTTCTTTGCTCATGCTGTTTCTTCTATTTGGAATGACTTTGCCTTCAACTCCACATGATAAAATACATCTTTCAAGGACTGGTGCAATGCAGACTCAATTACCAAGCTTTTGCTATTCCCCCTTTTCCACACCATCTCTCTTTGTTCCACTACAAAACTTTCTGCACCACCACAAAGTTGCAATATTTTTCTCCTTCTCAGAAAAATCCATAATCTCTCATCTATATCTCTGCCATACCACCTCCTATTACTGCTATTACTGTTATTTATGTGTCCAAGTTAAAACTGTGGCCCTGGGGTTCAGTCTTTGAGCATTGTTGTGCTTAAAAAAGCATCCCTCTTATGCCTCCCCTTTCCCCCTGGTTTTGTACAGCAAACACCCAAAGAACAGCAAATATCTCTTAACAGGGGAACGTAGTTTCTGGAGGAACAAATGCCAACTGCTTAAATGTTATCATAATGTCCTGTTTCTATCTTCCCTAATAGGAGCTTAACTCCTTGAGGGCAGGAACTATGTCTGATAACACTATTCCCCTCAGAATAGTGACTGACACATATTAGGGACTCAATAAATAACTGAGTATGCAATATTTATCTCACAGTGGTGTTGAGAGAATAAAAGAGTAAAGAATTTAAAAATATGTACTATAAAGTATTATCCTTATTACTATTATTATTATTTACCATGACCATCTGGCTTATTTTATTGAAGAAGAGGGGTATGTATAGTAAACAATGTGAGCAAGATTACTGAGACCTGGAGTTAGAAAGAACATCCCCCTTTATGCACATCTGTCTTCTGAAAAATTTAAGAAAATATTTTTTAAAACCCCCATGGTTACAGAGGACAAGAGGAAGCAGACATCAACGTAAGACCACAGTGGTAAAGAGGCCATGTGTGTGCTGGGTGGCCATGAGGCAGTGGCTACACAAAGCATGCAAGCATATGTCTCTCTTTCATAAAGGTGTATATAAATATAGATATTTATTATTAACCTTTTTGTACTCTTTCTAGACTTTCTGCTCTATTCTGCTTGCTTCTATCATCCAATAACAAAGGCAAATAGATGAGATTTCAGTAAGTCATCTCTAAAATTCAACAGACTCAGACAAACTGACTTCTGGATCTTCTGAGCTATTAAAGGATTCACATAGTTGCTGTGTATCTGGGGTCCTTCTACATTTATTCCAGGTTGAGTTGCATTGTCGGATTATTCATTATCTGTTTAGCCTCAGGGTCATGGTTTATCACTTCACATCTTCAGGGTTGCTGGGTCACATGTAGAGGGGCAGAATATAATGTGTGTAACCATCTATTTCTTCCTTTTGGTTGAATTCTATTCTAGAGGCTGCGGGGTGGTCCTTTAGAACATTAGCAGACCTTCTCTCCTAGTGTAATTGTGCAAAATTGGCTTCAGCTAGAAAGATTTTTTTTAGTACATGCTAAATTTGGTACTGTATATCATTTATTAATACACTCGTGTCCCATGCTATTCAGAGAAAGTATAATACTTTTATTTATTGTAAGACAGTGCTAAATCCTAGACTTACTTTGTTTATGAATTAAACTAGCACATGTTTCTAAAATAACTACTATGGTATATTCTAGACACAGTACTTAGGGCTTAGATACAATAATAATATAGCTATGGTCTTTTCCAATATGAAGCTTACATAGGGGAGAGAAAACAAAACAAGAAGACAAGCACATGAAATAATTATAAATTGTGCTTCATGCTGTAAATACTAGCTGAAATAGAAAATGACAGGAAGTGGGGTGACATTGGGGAGGGGTTTCACTTTAGATAGGGTAGTTGAGGAAGACTTGTCTGATAAGGTGACATTTAAACTAAAACCAAAATATAAGAAAGGGATGAGACATTTGAAGAGTTTAAGGAAAACATTTTATGTTGAGTGTCTGAAGAAAGTGGAAAAGCAAAGGAGGAGCTAAGAGAGGAAAACAAAAGCAGTGAGGCAGGGCCTTGTTCACCATGGGGGAGAGTTTAGGTTTTGTTATGAGTGAAAGAAAAATGATGATAAGGTTTTAAACACTAGCATGAATCTATTTACATATAAAGGAGATGGCCCTTGTTTTAGAGAGTGTATTGAAGGTAGAGGCCAGGAATAAAGAGAAGAAACCAGCTAGGAATCTGTTATCATGGTTGAAAAAGAAATAAAAGTGCCCTGGATAAGGGTGGTGGCAGTGGAAGCAGAAGTAGAAGAACTCTAGAACCTATTTGTAAGGAGAAACAATAGACTATACCGTGTAGGAATTAGGAACAAAGAAATTTTGACTTGTTATAGGAAATTATTTTGTGTTTATGCAAGAGATTGTATTATTGTTCAAAATGATATCCTTTAGAGGATTTAAAGTCCTCACTCCATTAACATCAGTATTGATCATATCACTTGCTTTGAATATTGAAATGTGAAGGGAAGTGATATATGCTGCTTCTGAGCAGAACTTAAAGAGCCATTTTATAGTTCGAACCATTGCTCTGCCAGAAGAAAAATATATCCTCAAAAGGGGCTCTCTTCTTTTCTGGATCCTGAAATAAAGACTTGTGGAGCAGAGCCACAGCTGACCTACAACTGATATGTCATGTGAATGGGAAATAAGTCACCAAGATTTGAGATTTGTTGGTTACTGCGACATAATTAGTGACTAAAATGATGTGCAACTATTCAAAACTCAATACATTTTAAGCATTTTGTCACTTTAAATTGTGTCTACAACTTGTTTTTCTGTTTCTGTTAGTTAATGCATGGGTCCAAGAAAAATTTGGAAGGTTAATAGATCTACCCTCTTCCAAATTCTTTCAGTTTCCAATGTATCAGTATCTGACTATCTAACTCATTGTAATTCCCATGGTTGTTTCTTCACTTGGCAACATTGGCACTGAAGACAAAACATTTCAACATTTTCTGATTTGGGCTAGCAGGAAAATAAATTGAATTCTATAGAAACATAAACCACTTAGAAGAATTCATTGATGGTATGCTACTTTCAGTATCACATACTTTAGATAACATGTTTATTACCTCTCCACATGCACTACTCTCAGAAGATATAATTAGTCAGGTATGGTAGCATGTGTCTGTGTTTCCAGCTACTCTAGAGGCTGGGTGGGAGGATCACTGTCTTTTCACTGTGTATTCATATAGCAGTGGGTGCAAATGAGCTCCCCTGTGCCTCCTTTCTAAGGTCACTAATCCCCCATTCATAAGGGCTGTACCCTTAAGACCTAATCGCCTCCACAACAGCCATACTTGCTGATACCACTGTCTTGGGAGTTAGGATTTCAACTTATAACATTTGGGGACACACAGACATTTAGATTGTGGCATCTTCCATTATTTTCTCTCACATATTTCTCTTCCCACAATTTGCTGCCCCTAGAAGCCCAAACTCCTTTTCTTTTGTCTTGCCACTTCTCCAGAAATTTGTCACTCTTTGTTAAGATGGTATATAAGCTCCCAAATCAAACCACTTCTTCAAGTTACTCATCACTGAGTTCTCTCATGCATATGCATGTTGTGTGCATAAATAAACTCTGTCTTCTTCCTTCTGCTAATCTGTCTTTTGTCAGTCTAATTTGCAGGCCCCATCTGTTGAATATAGGAGGATAGAGCAAAAAAATTCTTTTGTCCTTTCCATACATGCACAAATGTAATAATAGAACATTATTATTAATGATTATGTCTCAGACAATTCTTTTTTTTTTTTTTTTTTTGAGATGGAGTCTTGCTCTGTCACCCAGGCTGAAGTACAGTGGTGTGATCTCGGCTTGCTGCAAGCTCCGCCTCCAGGATTTACACCATTCTCCTGCCTCAGCCTCCCGAGTAGCTGGGACTACAGGCGCCCGCCACTGCACCTGGCTAATTTTTTTGTATTTTTGGTAGAGATGGGGTTTCACTGTGTTAGCCAGGATGGTCTCGATCTCCTGACCTCGTGATCCACCTGCCTCAGCCTCCCAAAGTGCTGGGATTACAGGCATGAGCCACCGTGCCTGGCCTCAGACAATTCTTATATACTTATTAGATAGAGTTTTTTTTCACAACTACTATATTTAATCCAAATCATGTATATTTAATCTGTAGCATATGGGGAGAAACTTGGAGGATAAAACAAATTTTTAATTGCCAGTTTTATACAGCAGAGGAAGCTCTAAAAATTGTCACTTTAATGATGTTTTACTATTTAAAGAAGTAGATGATTATTCTGAAAATGATTACCTGGATACTATCACAGGAAATTAATATTCAATATTAACTTATTAATGCTTGAGTCCTTAAAAATATGTTAAAAGCTAAAACTTACAGGTAAATTTCTTCTGGTCTGTCTGTACAAATATCTCTTGTTGGATCGAAACACTTAATTGATGTAAAAATTTTCCTGTTGTGGATTCTTTCTCATAGTTTCCCAATATTTTTCTTCTTGATCATCCTGATTTCTGTCTACTAATTTTCTTTGTCATTAAAGAACATAAATATTTTATTTTAGGCAGCAAATCAAATAGTGAATTTCTACCAACTATGGATTATTAATTAGGCTTAGATAGTATGTTGTTTCTCTGTTATTCTTTTCTAATATGCAAAAAAGTGGAGAAATCGAGGATATTTTATGTACTGGAAGGAAGCTAGGTATTCAAAGTCTCCCTCTTCCATGATTTGCAAATTTGGGCATGCCATGTAACTTCCCTCTGTTGCATTTATTTCATTCAGAAGAAAATATTTTTATATATCTCACCTAAAAATAAGGAGATATATGCCATTACATCTTTTTAACACTTACCAAAGACACAGGAGTAAAAGCTGCAATTTTATTAAATAGACCACTGACCATTTGTAACTGATCACAACAGGTCACGGATGTGGACTTGCTACCTATTTTGTACATGTGTAATTCTATATTTAATTTTCCTCTCTAATATTCAGCTTTAATAAAACACAAATTAAAAATACTAATTGTAGGCTGAGTGTGGTGGCTCACACCTGTAATCCCAGCACTTTTGGAGCATGAGGCAGGCGGATCACCTGAGGTCAGGAGTTCAAGACCAGCCTGGACAACATGGTGAAACACTGTCTCTACTAAAAATACAAAAATTAGCTGGATGTAGTGGTGCACACGTGTAATCCCAGCTACTCAGGTGGCTGAGGCAGGAGAATGGCTTGAGCCCAGGAGGCGGAGGTTACATTCTAGTCTGGGCAACAGAGCAACACTTTGTCTCAAAAAAAAAATACATATATACATACAATAAATAAAATATTAATATCAAATACAAACATCATATTATAGGGCTACCTCAGTGGTTAGTTGTTCTCATTTTAATTTTAAATAAGATGATCTACCTTCATCTTCAAACTAAAATAAGGCTTAAACATATGCCTCTTCGTTTATCAGTTCTAAAACAGTTCTTCAGATAATCTTAAGAAGACACAATATTAAGAAGATTAAAGAGATGTTTAATAAAATTTATCCCTAACTTTGGGAATTTTAAATCTCTCATTTTAAATACTGACAATACCTCACTATCTATGCCCTGAGATTGTGTCTCTCCAACATCCTATCTTATCTTTTCAGGGTGCATTTCAAAAACCATAATAATTTTCCCTAGCCAAGCTTAAAACCAGGCACCTCGAAAGTTGATAAGCAACGTCCCCCTACCCTACTTTATTCCTTCTTGGCTCTTTCCTCTTGACAGCTGTCACATATTCATCAGGTTAAAGTATAATTATCAAATTAATTCCATGGATTATTTTTCCACCTGTGTTTCTTGTGTCTTAGGCTGGGACAGCCCTTGGGTCTATGAGAGATTCAGATGTTATCTCTATTTCTATCATGGCCTGCAGTAGACTTTGGTGATTTAAGTTAGGTTAGAATATTGCCAGTCAGACTTTTATAAATTTTTACTTATAACAAGCCAGACTGATGATTTTCATAAGACATGCTTCAGTGCCCAACCGTATGACTGCAAGGCACAGGACAGATTTCAGAGAAACTCCTTTAGCTTTCTAAATGATGTGACTTCATTTCTTTCTCAGGACACACAGAAAATAATCTTCCATTTTGTTTTAGTTGCTTTCCAGCAACTCTACAGTTTAATTAATTTCTCACATAGCTTTAAAATGTGACAAAGTCTAATCACTCCCAATTGTCTGTGCTGCCTCAGGGAGTGCAGCAGGGATTAAAGGGAAATAGTCACAGGTGATGTCCTCCTCTACTGCTCTCTCTCACCTCAGCCACCTCCTGCCTATATCCTGTTGATTTAAAGTAATAAGGATTTTCTCCCACAGTGTGTTCCCTTCTTCTTCTTCTACATTTTTTTTTTTTTTTGGAAGGGGAGGAGGTCCTTAGCAGGAAGAAGTGTTTTATGGCTAATTCTACTAGGTAAAAAAGATACAATCACTCTCTCTCCTCTGAGGGCAAACGAAAAGGTGTTATTTAAATAACCACTTATCAATTTCATCATTAGAGATAAGAAGATGAAAGATAAGATAATGATAATAATTTCCCCCTTTTCAAGTTACATTTATATTTCCTTTGGATTAATCTGTAAATTCAATCATTTTGTTTTAAAAAAGGAAGGAATGCTAATATCAGGTAGCAATCAGCTTCCTAAAGTTTTTAATTGGTTACAATTGGAATAAATTGAACTTAATATTTCATATTTGTCATAGAAATAAAAGTAAAATACTATAATTGTGTCCCAAAACCTGCAGCATCTGTATAAATGAAGAAGATGTGGTTTAATAGAATCCAACATGAAGATGAATTAGGTTTCCTCTAATGAACAATGTGATATGTACATCTAAGAGGCTAATGTGACCTTATGCTACCATTAATGGCAGTAGAGTGCCCAGAAGAAATGATGTGATAGTTCAACAGCTTTGCACTTTTAAGGAATTCTGCCCCATTCTGGAGACATGTTCTTTCCAACTGATTATAATGTTGAGATTACTTTTTTTTTCTACTTTTATTTTAGGTTCAGAAGGTATATGTGCTGGTTTGTTACATGGGTAAATTGCGTGTTATTGAGGTTTGGTGTATTAATGATTCCGTCACCAAGGTAGGTGAGCATAGGTAGGTGAGCATACCCAGTAGGTGGCATTCCAGCCCACACACCCATCTCACCTTCCCCCACTCAAGCAGTCTCCAGTGTCTCTTGTTCCCATTAAGAGGACTTTAAATAAAATAATAAATATTTTTTAAAAATTTAAAATATGAAAAATAATATTTATGAGATGGGATGGGATACAAAGAATATTATAGTTTATTTACTTGAAGGACAATTTAATGAGAAGTTATTCTTATCTTGCTATCAAGCACTCCTCATGCCGACATGTTAATTAAGTTCAATTCATGTTTATTGAGTGTCTACCCTATTCCTGGCAACATGATGGGATTGAGAACTAGAAACTGATCCCAGTTTTGGCTCTCTTCATTTGCTGTTATATGACCCTGAGAAAGTATTTTACTTTTTTGTATTTCATGTTTCTGAGCTGCAGTATTCTCAACTGTAATATGGGCATGATAATACCTATTTCAAAGGGTGGTGCCAAGTATTAAATTAGGTAATGTATGGAATGTAACAGAGTCCAGCTCGTAACAAGATCCAGCTATGTATTTCTAAGTATTGTTCGTTTTGTATTAGTAGTCAACGTATTTAGCAGATCCCTAGTGGAATGAACTAGGACCAAAGGGTAAAAATTGCTGACATATTTCTTTTTTTTTAATGGAGATTTTTTTTCTTTATTGAGAAACGTAATACTTGGGTACATGAAATAAAACCAATTTCTTGGGGGACAAATCAAAACCCACAATAGAAAAAAAAAAGTTCACACTGGGCCACAGCAGAACCCCAAGAACATATTCGTATAATTGAAAAATTCTAGGCGCTTCATATTCGACCTTTTGATACAAAATGACCTATTAAATTTGCAATTTGTAGTTCTTGGTTTTGAGGTCCACAGGACAAGCTAGGAAGTCTACAAACCTTGAGCTGAACTCCATGAGGGGTTATTTGGCTTTTGAATCGGTTTTTCCTTGTCTAAGAGGTAGCAGCAGCAACAGCGCCCACTTTCTGGGCAGCTTCTTTCTTGGCATGATGAGCCTGTAGAACTGCTACAGCTTCATCCACCTTGGAATGGAGAGACTCGGGGAACTCTAACATGTGCAGCAGCTCAGAGTTGTGGATCTCCAGCAGCATTCCCGTGATCTTCCCAGCCAGGTTTGAATGCATTGTTTGGATGAGTGGGAACAAGCGTTCTCCCAGCATCTGCTTCTGTTCCTGGGGGTGTGCTGCGGCCAGCATGGAGGTAGTCAGTGGCTCCTGTCCCTGCACTTGGACCTCAGGCTGGGGTGCATGCAGGCGCTGTACTGCAAGATGAGAGCTGCGAACACTGGAGGCGTATTTGTAGCGGGCAACAGCCCCAGCCCGGGGAGCAGCAGCGGCAACAGCCGCGAACAGCAGCGCGCTGCGCTGAGTTCTGCACAGCTGTGGGAACGCCTCCAGACTGGCAGCTGCTGACATATTTCTATTCAAATAAGCAATAACTTTGTGTTTCCCCAATTTTAAATGGTTTTTAAGCATATTTTAGTTTACAGATGCCTTGGAAATTCTGATAAAAGACATGAGTCTCCTTTCCATATATGTTCCTGCGTAAATAAACACAATCATATGCATACAATTTTGTTAAATGTTTCTGGAGATAGATTGGCTCATTAACATTCTTCCATTAGTTTTTGTCTTCAATAGGTAAAAATTAAATCAAATTGGTAAAATTAGAAATTTTACAAGGAAGGGTGAGGAATGCTCTTCTGTTGAATAAAAGATAGTATTCAAAAATCATCTATGTCAGGAATGCTAATATTGTGCTTTCTATCTCTCTAGGTGACAATGTGATAAAGATAATAGAGAAGAGATTGAATATGTTATCTCAAGTTCAATTAGAAATTAGAGTTCATCAAGAAATATTCTAAAGACTTACTAAATATTCCCTAGATATGGCATGGCACATATGTAGAAAGTTAATTATTATTTATTTGCTGACATTTAGCATTTCGTTTCTAAGCATTACTTTGGGATCAATTTCAGGGTTTGGGTTTTGTCAATAGAACAAAGTAAGTTGTGTTACACTAATTTTCTAAATCTTTATAAACCCATGGTCACTTTTGCTAAGCATAAAAATATTAAAATCTCATTTAATGTCATTTGGAATTGCAACTAAATATTTGAATAGATTGACAATTTTGAAAACTTTTTCCAATTAATTGGCTTCTGAGGATTCCAATATACCTCTCTCCATGCTCATTCCCCTCATATATTGCCCTTGTTAACTCCAGAGCTTGCATGTACTTACCTAATGTTTTTATATCTCTGACCCAGAGGGAAGCAAAAATAAATAAAGAATTAGAGTAATTGTTCAAATTATTCTAACCAAACTTTTTCTTTGGTTATTGTGGTACTTAACATCTTCACCCAGTAGATCTCCTCCTCATTTCTGATAACCTAACCTGGCCCCTGACCCCAGGGGTGACATGTGACCCAAGTTGAGAGATTCAAAATCTATAAACTGGCTTCAAGGCATTGGTCCAGGGGTAGGCATAATAATACAAGAAGGGACAATAATAATCACTTCCCTGGCTTTTTAACTAGAACATGTGTATGTGTTAGAGTTGGAGTTATTATGTACACGTGCATGTTTAGAGGATGGTGAATATCTCTTTCTTCTATGGATATAGAGTTGCAGGAATATAGGCCCAGAATATATTTACCTGTCACACAGACAGAAAGAATAAGCCTGCATACAGAGAAAAGCAGAGATAACAGACAGCAGACTATCCTGAGAGTGCCAAGTTTCAATATTCCAGAGATGCCCTGAGGCTTAAAATTCTTCCTTCAATTCTGTGAAGTACGCTAATATCTTGTATATATACGTGTGTGTGTGTGTGTGTGTGTGTGTGTGTATGTGTTTGTGTATTTGCTTAAGATGGATTGAACTGAGTCCCAACCATTTACAATTGTAATGGTCAATACAATTGCTAAGAATCCCAGCTTATTATAATACAGTTATGTGTCACTTAGCAATGGAAATATGTTCTGAGAAATGTGTCATTAGGCAACTTCGTCACTGTATGAACATCATAGAGTGTACTTACACATACCTTGATAGTATAACCTACTACACATCTAGGCTATACGGATAGCCTATTGCTCCTAGGCTACAAAATTGTACAGAATGTTACTGTATTGAACACTGTAGGCAATTATAGCACAATGGCTTTTGTGTATCTAAACATATCTAAACATAGAAAAGGTACAGTAAAAATATGGCATGAAAGATTTTAAAAAGTGGTATTCCTATATAGACCAGTTCCATTATAATCTTATAGGACCACCATCATATATGCAATCCGTTGTTAACCAAAATGTCATCATGTGGTGCATGACTGTGTGTGTGTCAGTGTGAGGATGACTGCATCTATTATGCTTTTATTAGTGATATATTTGGACTTCTTTTTTCTCATATTAGTTTTTTAAAAAGTATTCTTTAGCTAATATGTTATATAAAAAACCTGTGAGATAATAGAACTTTGGAGAAATATGTGTGATTACACTGTTTTCCTAATATAAATATACAACTTGACATATATTTTTCTTAAAATAGTATTCAAATGATTAGTATCATATAATCAAGTTTTCAATTTAATTTTCATTTGCTAGAACTTCAAGCTAATATTATATCAAATTAACAACACCAAGCTTAAGATTGGCTTTTTAATTTTAACATAAAAGTTATGTAAACAAAATTTATAAGGAAAATTCTGTGAAGTGGAAAATGGGAAAAACTGCTTTAAATAGATTTTCTTATAATTAACTTGAAAAGTAAAATATAATAACAAAAGTTTAACTTGGTGATAGTGAATATAATTATGCTTTATATTTATTTAGTTGTTCTTTATATTTATTCTTTAAAATAGGAAATGATTATATTCATCTCAACTTAGGGTAATGAGCAAACATAATTTTAATATAGTGCCTTTCACATAGAAGTCAAGAAGCTTGATATGATGATAATGACAATTATATTTTTAATTTGAATCTATGAGACATAAGTTATCTCAATTAAAGCAAATTGGAAATGAAGAAATATAATCAATAGAAACGTAGTAACTTAATGTCATTTTTTTTTTCAATATATAGCAGCCATTTTGCCTCTCAACCTAGCAGCTCTTCCTCTCTGGCATAAAATCTCAAATTTCCTTCAGGAAAATATCCTCCATCCACACTCAGATCACAAGGTTCAGGAGGGTCTTTGTCACAGGCTAAATCTCTGCATTTGAGATTTAACCTGGCCAAGGAAAGCCCGGAACTTCCTTAGACACAGGGATTGGTTGAATGATGAGTATTTGGCCAACTATATTGAAGCAGAATTCTGGGGCTTGTGAGGAGCCACTAGGACAAAATGCTCTCTGTTTTGCTAGACTTGAAGCTATGATCATATATGTAAGCCTGGAACAATTGACAAACATTTTGAAACTATAAGAAGTCTTAGAATGTAACCTGTATAGAGGAAATTGATACTGAGCAATGGAAATAGACTCAGTCCTAAAGACTTAAGTTGAGATCCTTGAATCAAGTGGCACGTCAAGTCACTTCTGAGGAAGAAATTTCTTTTACTTATCTAACTTGGGTGCATTTTTTGTCAGAAATGGAAGAGTGTGTACTTATAAACTACACCTGGAGTTGATTTTTTAATGTTTTATAGATGTTTATCTAATTCATATTACTAGTTAAATGAAGCATAATCCTATATAATTTTACTGTCAATATTCCACACTGTAACCTAAGTTGAGACTTCAGTAAATTCTCAAAGATAATCAGTATGGATGCACAGTCATCTAGTGCATGCTCAGCACTTTATTGATAATTTTTTTAAGGATGAAAGCATGATGCTTGCTGTTAAGAAAGTTATAGTATATTTTTGAAGGAAATAAAGATACATTAAGCAAGAGCTGCTCCCTGTGTCTTATAATTAAGTGCTCTGATTACGCACTTCCCCACTGGGTCTCTGCACCTTACCATAAAAATTACACGTCTCATCCACTAGAGGGCCGAATACAAGCAACTCTTTGGTCAGAGTAGCATAGTAAATTTAGAATTTAGTGATTAGACAAAGGACAAAATCTAGGGAGATTATTAGCAAGAAGAGGAAGATTATTTGCTAACAGAGGATGAAAATACTTGAGCTTGATTTCTATGTTAATGGATGATAAGATAGGAATTTGCAGGAGGAGCAGGGGACATTTCATGAGGAGCAAACAGCAAATAGTCCCTAGGCATTTTGCACATAGCCATTCTACACTTTATAAAGAAGAAATTTTGTTTTCTGATGTGTTTACGTAATTTTCCCTATTTCAAATACAAATGTAGATTATCTTTCTGAGCCTATGATGATTTTATTCAAAATTTAGAATGTGTGCAATTAGATTTATTAGAAGAATTAAGTGTCAAGCTTCCATCTTAAATCTTATTGCAAAAAACAATAACTCAAAATCATGGACCAAATCTTAGTAAGTAGGAGTTCATCAGGTCAAGAAATGGGAAAGAGCATTATAGGCTTATGAAACAGCATGAGGCAAAAAAAGGGCAGACTTATGAAAATAAGGAGACACATATGTCTATATTTTAGAAATTATAAAAGGATTTATTAAGAAATAGGTCTGGAAAGCTAAGTAGTGATACCTAATGAGGAATTTTCATACCATGCTCTTGATATTGATCTTTTTACTTTACAAAACAAAAAATTCATTGAATATTTGGAACAGTGGTGGTAATTTGATAAGAATCTAGGTAGAACATGAAGGTTAAATAGTCATGAGGAAAATTTGAGTGAAAGATTAGATATGGCATATTTATGGGATATAAAGAACTAGGGGATTAGATATAAAAAAATAGACTGTAGACCTATGTGAATTAGAACAGGGACTACAGGTGGGGTGTGGCAATGTACATGGAGATGGTAGAGCCCTGTTGATTGATTTGTGACATTTGTATTGTTTTTGTTTTCTAGCTTTATGAAAAATAATTGTAACCAATGCTACTTTCTCTTAGTGTACAAGTCAAAGTCCTTTATCTGATCAGTAAGTTTCTAAAATTGGTCCCTATTTCCCTCTAAGATCTCATCTGCTGCTTTCTCCCTTTCTATCTCTGAACACTGCTGAACACTTTGCCCTTTCTTGAACATGCCAGATATACTCCTAACTTAGAGCTTTTGCACTTAGTGTTTTCTTTGCTCAGGATGTTCCTTCTTCAGAAATCTTCATGGCTTGTTTCTTCACCTCCTTTATCTTTATATGCAAATATCACCTAATTTGCATTTTCCATTCTATCTAAAATTGTAACCTCTTTATCCCCCTTCCCTGCACTGTTACTTTCTTAGCACTTATTATCTAACATATTTAATGATTTATTTTTTTGTTTATTGTTTTCTCCACTAGAAAATTATGTGTTCTAAACGTTTTACTATTTTGTTTACTGCTGTAAACTTAGCATTTAGAACATCTCTACAATTATAAGTACTCAAATATATTTGTCAAATGCATAAAGTAATATGTTTTACGGTTTATGTAGCTGTTTATGTGCTTTTAATATTTTTATTCATTTGTCATATATACCACCCTACTACTACCACTTGTGAATTTGGCCAAATTGGTGTGCAGAAAACCTCTGAACACAAGATGCAACTCCCCCATGCCCAGCAGGCCCTGTCCCTAAAAACACCTGCACAAACATACAAACACACTTTCTTTCTCCCTTTCTGTCTAGGAGAAAATATATGAGAAAAATATTTTCTATTTTGACTTAATAGCCTTGTGGATGAAAGCTATATTACATAATGTTTTTTTACCTAATTTTATCTATTAGGTGAAATTCATTTGTGTATATTAAGCTAATATTTGTAGCTTATTATGTCAAGTTCCACACCATGACAGGCACCTAATATTTATCTGACCTTCTCTCTATTTTTCTTTTTGTTTTTTGTTTTTCAGTTTTTTGTTGTTGTTGTTTGTTTTTTTGAGACAGAGTTTCACTCTTGTCATCCAGGCTGGAGGGCAATGGCACAATCTCAGCTCACTGCAATCTCCGCCTCCTGAGTTCAAGTGATTCTCCTGCCTCAGCCTCCCAAGTGGCTGGGATTACAGGCACCCACAACCACATCTGGCTAATTTTTATATTTTTAGTAGGGACAGGGTTTCACCATGTTGGTCATGCTGGTCTCGAACTCTGGACCTCAAGTGATTTGCCCGCCTTGGCCTCCCAAAGTGCTGGGATTACAGGCATGAGCCATCACGCCCAGCCTATCTGACCTTCTCTTATTGTTACTAACTTGTTAGAAATAGATGAAAGGCCCTTGAGCTCAGGCAAGACAGAGTCTACTGAAGCTTCAGGGAAGAATCACCACTGGACGGTTAAGGAGTGGTCACATGGTCACCCAGTCAGTTCTGGCTAGTGAGATGGCAGTGGGGGGCTCCTCAAAATGGACTTCAGAAAAGGCCCCTTATTTAATGAGTGAAGGGTCACGTTCAATTGGCACAGCACTTTGCCCCTCTGCACTGCATCGTTTGCACTTTCCCAAACATCCTACCTGGAATGATTGGTGGAAGTGATGGTGAAAGGTGCAGCAGTCATGAGGTGATAAACACAGTGAAAACCATTTGTCAGTACTAAAACTGACAAAGCAGAAAGTCAGAAAGACTCTTGGTCTCTGATGGCATCACTCAGACTTGAAACAGCTCTTAGGCAGCCATTTCTGCATTTCTCATTACATGAGGGGGATAAAACTAATTTGCATAGGCCACTGCAATTTGGTTTTGTATTTCTAAATGCATTCCTAATGACTGCAGTAGTAAGTTAGTGGTTCAAATATGTTGATTAGATAGTTTGTTTTAATTAAGAGTATTATAATACATAACTTACTTATTTGCAATACTACATTCCTTGTGAAATCCTTTATTTGATAGCAATGAGTTATATTGAAGTAAAAATGGAATATTAGGGAACTTCATATGTAATTTTAACTTACTGACATGGGTTAATGGCTTCATGAGGTAAAATTATATTTGAGAGGTAGGATCTTATAATAGATAATAATGGCTAATATATATTGCTTATTATAAGTGAAATAGAGTTTTAAGTGTTTCACATTTAATTTTCCATCCAATTTTTAAGATAATTCTATTAATTTGTATCAAATCAAATGTAAATCTGTTACTTAATATTTCTCAAGCTCTCTTTGTTGCATATATATCATTTTCCCACAAAAGTTTCTCTAATTTCCACATTGTAAAATGTTCTGTATCTATTAACAGAATGTTACATAATTAATATCACCCAAAATAGAACTGCATCAAGATAGTTTGGTTAATAGGTGAGACTGGCACAGATTGATTATCAATGCTCCATTAATATGTACTTTAAATGCAAGCCCATAAGTCTTCCCCTTATGATGACCAACAATTTTCAGGTTGATAAATTTCAGAACTGTTACCTTTTCTTATTATTCAAAAAGTGTAGTTTTAATTACTATCTTGAAATAAACTGTGTGATAAAAGTCCAGGACAAAAATGAAAACATTGAATAATATACTTGCATTAAAAATAATGATTAGAAGGTGAGATCCAATTTAGAAGCAATTTTTAAAAAAGGATGGGGTGAATCTACTTTCTAGCCCAGCATCTAAAAACTTGGAAGTCACTTCTCTGTTCTAACCACAAGTAAAAAACTGAACAAACCAAAAAGCAGCAACTCTTCTTAGCTCCATAAGAGTGAAGATCAGGGAGCAAGTTGCTACCCTCCTGCTCAAATGGAAACACCAACAGGTAAATACAGATAATCCGATTTATGGAAGCAGAAACCATGAGTAATAACCTCTGCAGGAACCACTGTCAAAGGCGTGTAAACCAGAGCAACTCCATCTTAAATAGGAGCTGGGTAAAATAAGGTTGAAACCTACTGGGCTGAATTCCCAGACAGTTAAGGCATTCTAAGTCACAGAATAAGATAGAAGGTCAGCACAAAATACAGGTCATAATGACCTTGCTAATAAAACAGTCTGCAGTGGAGAAGCCGGCCAAAACCCACCAAAAGCAAAATGGCCTTAAGAGTGACCTCTGGTCGTCCTCACTGCTGCACTCCCACCAGCTGCATGACAGTTTACAAATGCCATGGCCATGTCAGGAAGTTACCCTATATGGTCTAAAAATGGGAGGCATAAGTAATCCATCCCTTATTTAGCATATCATCAAGAAATAACCATAAACATGGGCAACCAGCAGCCCTCGGGGCCACTCTGTCTATGAAATAGCCATTCATTTATTCCTTTACTTTCTTAATAAACTTACTTTCACTTTGCACTGCGAACTCATCCTAAATTCTTTCTCGTGTAAGATCCAAAAACCCTTTCTTAAGGTCTGGATCAGAACCCCTGTCCTGTAACACCACTGCCCAGGTAGCAAAGCTGAATTGTATTTGAATTGCTAGAGGCTCAATGAGGACAAATCTGAGAGATAAGTACTCTAGGGGGACCCAGCCATCAGAGGCTACCACACACTTTTATAAGACTTGCCTCACGGAGCTCTGCCAGGTCTTCACAGTAAATATCAGAGAAACACCTCATGCTTCTGGCAGGGTGAGGGGGAAATGAACCATTTAGAAATACCTCAGAGCATTCCATTCTTAACAAGAAGAAACTAGTTAACCAAAGCCTAACCTTCTGGAGTTGTATCCAAGTCTAAGTGACCCTAGAGAAGGGAAATAACCAGCTCCATCCAGCTCTAGCCATCCTATTCCACAGAAGGGGATGAAAGGAGATTGAGAAGCAGATGAAGTTCACAATGCAGACACACAGGCTCACTAAAGACTGAAACATAAGTAGAGGACTATAGAATGCTCCCCTCCCCCACACCTTACCACCACATTACTAAAGGCCTATTTACATCCATTTATTTTACCCAGTTATTTATGTCTGGATATCAGGAAAAAATTATAAGACATAATAAAAGATAAGAAACAAAACAAAAAGCACATTTCAAAGAAACAGCAAGCATCAGAGCCAGACTCAGATAAGGCAAGGATGTTGGAATTATAGGACTACAAATTTAAAGCAACTATTATTAATATGTAATGGGCTTTAATGGATAAAGTAACAATCTGCAAGAATCGAGGGGGCAATGTAAGCAGGGTGATGAAAATTCTAAGAAAGAATCAAAAAGAAATGTAAGAGCTCAAGAACACTTTAACAGAAATGAAGAATGCCTTTGGCAGGCTTCTTAGTAGGTTAGAAATGACTGAGAATAGATTCTCTGAGCTTGAGGATATCTCAATAGAAACTTTAAAAACTAAAAAGCAAAGCCCCCCAAAAGAGAGAGACAGAGAGAGAGACAGAGACAGAGACTGAGAATACCCCAGAATATCAATGAACTGTGGGACAACTATAAAAGGTATAACATATGTGTAATGGGAATACCAGGAGGAGAAGAGAGAAAGGAACAGAAACAATATTTGAAACTAATATTTGAAAATAATCACTAAAAATTTCTCCTATTTGATGTCAGACACCAAACCACAGATGGAGGAATTTCAAAGGACACCAAGCAGGATAAACATCAGAAAAGCTACATCTAGGCATATAATTTTCAAAGAACAGAAAATTAAAGATTAAAAAAAAATCCCGAAAGAGGCCAGAGGGGGAAAACACCTTACTTATTAGAAAAGCAAAGATAAGAATTGAATCTAATGTCTCAGAAACCATGTAACCAAGAAGACAACACAGTGAAATATTTAATGTGTTGAGAGAAAAAAAACTGACTAATTTTTGATTCTGTATCCTATGAAATTAACTTTCAAATGTTAAGGAGAAATATAGAGTTTCTCAGAAAAACAAAAATTGAGGGGAGTTGTTACCAGTAGAACTCCCTTGTAAGAAATGTTAAAAGAAGTTCTTTAAAGATAAGAAAAATTATATAGATCAGAAATTTGGATCTACAGAAAGAAAGGAAGAACATCTGAGAAGAAATAGGTGAAGGTAAATGTAAAAACTTTTAGTTTTCTTATTCTTTTTTTTTTGAGACGGAGTCTCGCTCTTCCGCCCAGGCTGGCGTGCAGTGGCGCTATCTCGGCTCACTGCAAGCTCCGCCTCCCGGGTTCATGCCATTCTCCTGCCTCAACCTCCGAGTAGCTGGGACTACAGGCGCCCGCCACCACGCCCGGCTAATTTTTTCTATTTTTAGTAGAGACGGGGTTTCACCGTGTTAGCCAGGATGGTCTGGATCTCCTGACCTCGTGATCCGCCCGCCTCGGCCTCCCAAAGTGCTGGGATTACAGGCGTGAGCCACCGCGCCCGGCCTAGTTTTCTTATTCTTAATTTGCCTAAAAGATAACAGTTTGTTCAAAATAATAATGGCAACAATGTATTTGATTATGTATGCATGTATATATATAGATAGATGTATATTTTTTCTTTTAATTTTATTTTAAGTTCTGGAATACATATGCAGGATGTGCAGGTTTGTTACACAGGTAAACGTGTGCCATGGTGGTTTGCTACACCCATCAATCCATCACCTAGGTATTAAGCCCCACATGCATTAGCTACTTACCTTCCGCTCACCTTCCCACTACCCACCCAACAGCCTCCAGTGTGTGTTGCTCCCCTGCCTGTGTTCATGTGTTCTCACTGTTCAGATCCTGCATAGGAATGAGAACATGCAGTGTTTGGTTTTCTGTTCCTGTGTTAGCTTATTGAAGATAATGGCTCCTAGCTACAGACATGTCCCTATAAAGAACATAATCTTGTTCCCTTTTATGTCTACAAAGTATTCCATGGTGTACCAAGTTTTCTTTATCCAGTCTATCACTGATGGGCATTTGGGTTGATTCCATGTCTTTGCTGTTATGAATAGTGCTGAAATAAACATATATGTGCATGTATCTTTAAAATAGAATAATTTCTATTCATTTGAGTATATATCCAGTAATGGGATTACTGGGTAAAATGGTATTTCTTGTTCTAGATCCTTGAGGAGTCGTCAAAATGTCTTCCACAATGGTCGAACTAATTTACTTTCCCACCACCAGTGTAAAAGCATTTCTATTTCTCCACAGCCTTGTCAGCATCTGTTATTTCTTGGCCCTTTAATAATCATAATTTTGACTGGTATGAGATGGTATCTCATTGAGGCTTGGATTTGCATTTCTCCAATGATCAGTGATGTTGAGGTTTTACATATGTTTGTTGGCCACATAAATCTCTTCTTTTGAGAAGTGTCTGTTCATGTCCTTTGCCCACGTTTTAATGCGGTTGTTTTTTTTCTTGCAAATTTGTTTAAGTTCCTTGTGGATTCTGGATTTTAGACCTTTGTCAGATGGATAGATTGCAAAGTTTTTCTCCCATTCCGCAGGTTGTCCGTTCACTCTGATGATAGTTTATTTTGCTATACAGAAGCTCTTTAGTTTAATTAGATCCCATTTATCAATTTTTTCTTTTTGTTGCCATTGCTTTTGATATTTTTGTCATTAAATTTTTTCCTGTACCTATGTCCTGAATGGTATCGCCTAGATTTTCTTCAAGGGTTTTTATAGATTTGGGTTTTACATTTAAGTCTTTAATCATTCTTGAGTTAATTTTTGTATAAGTTATGAAGAAGGGGTCCAGTTTCCATTTTCTGTATATGGCTAGTTTTCCCAGCACCATTTATTAAATAGGGAATCATTTTTCCATTGCTGGTTTTTTGTCAAGTTTGTTGAAGATCAGATAGTTGTAGATGTGTAGTCTTTTTTCTGAGACCTCTATTCTGTTCCACTTGTCTATGTGTCTGTTTTGGTACCAGCACCATTCTGGTTTGGTTACTGCAGTCTTGTAGTATAGTTTGAAGTCAGATAGTGTGATGCCTCCAGCTTTGTTTTTTTTTTTGTTTGTTTGTTTGTTTGTTTTTTCGGCTTAGGATTGTCTTGGATATACAGGCTCTTTTTTTGACTCTGTATACATTTTAAAGTAGTTTTTTCTAATTCTGTGAAGAATGTCAAGGGTAGTTTAATAGGAATTGCATTGAATCTGTAAATTACTTTGGGCAATATGGCCATTTTCATGCTATTGATTCTTCCTAACCAGAAACATGGAATGTTTTTCCGCTTGTTTGTGATCTCCATTATTTCCTTGAGCAGTGGTTTGTAGTTATCCTTCAAGAGGTCCTTCACATTGCTTGTTAGCTGTATTCCTAGGTATTTTATTGTCTTTGTAGAAATTGTGAATGAGAGTTCATTCATGACTTGGCTCTCTGCTTATCTGTTGTTGGTGTATAGGAATGCTTGTGATTTTTGCACATTGATTTTGTATCCTGAGACCTTGCTGAAGTTGCTCATCAGCTTAAGGAGTTTTGGGGCTAAGATGATGAGGTTTTCTAGGTATAGGTTCATGTCGTCTGCATATAGAGACAATTTGACTTTCTCTCTCTCTATTTTAATATGCTTTATTTATTTCTCTTGCCTGATTGCCCTGGCCAGAATTTCAATACTACATTGAATAGGAGTGGGGAGAGAGGGCATCCTTGTCTTATGCTGGATTTCAAAGGGAATGATTCCAGCTTTGGCCCATTCAGTATGATGTTGGGTATGGGTCTGTCATAAATATCTCTTATTATTTTGAAATATGTTCCAAAAATACCTAGTTTATTGAGAGTTTTTAACATGAAGGGATGTTAAATTTAATTAAAGGCCTTTTCCACATCTATTGAGATAATAGTGTGGTTTTTGTCTTTAGGTCTATATGATGAAATATGTTTATTAATTTGTGTATGTTGAGCCAGCCTTGCATCTCAAGGATGAAGCCAACTTTACTGTGGTGGATAAGTGTTTTGATGTGCTGCTAGATTTATTAAGGATTTTTGATGTGCTGCCAGTATTTAAGATTATTAAGGATTTTTGATGTGCTGCCAGTATTTTATTAAGGATTTTTGCATCGATGTTCATCAGGGATATTGGCCTGAAGTTTCTTGTTGTTGTAGTATCTCTGCCAGGTTTTGCTATCATGATGATGCTGGCCTCACAAAATTTAGTTAGAGACGAGTCTTTCCTTTTCAATTGTTTGCGATGGTTTCAGAAAAAATGGTACCAGCTCCTTTTTGTACCTCTGGTAGAATCTATCTGGTCCTGGGCTTTTTTTGGTTGGTAGGCTATTTATTACTGCCTCAATTTCAGAATTTGTTATTGGTCTATTCAGGGATTCGGCTTCTTCTTGGTTTAATCTTGGGAGGGTGTATGTGTCAAGGAATTTATCCATATCTTCTAGATTTTCTAGTTTACCTGCATAGAGGTGTTTATAGTATTTTCTGATGGTTGTTTGTATTTCTGTGGGGTCAGTTGTGGTATTCCCTTTATCATTTTTATTGTGTCTATTTGAGTCTTCTTTGTTTTCTTCTTTATTAACCTTGCTAGCAGTCTATCTATTTTATTAATATTTGAAAAAAATAGCTCCTAGATTCACTGATTTTTCGAAGGGATTTTTGTATGTGTCTCTATCTCCTTCAGTTCAGCTCTGATTGTAATTACTGTCTCCTGCTAGCTTTTGGATTTCTTTGCTCTTGTTTCTCTAGTTCTTTTAGGTGTAATGTTAGGGTGTTGGTTTGAGATCTTCTAGCTTTCTGATGTGGGAATTTAGTGCTATAAATGTCTCTGTTAACACTCTTTTAGCTGGGACCCAGAGATTCTGATATGTTGTCTTTTTGTTCTCATTGATTTCAAAGAACTTCTTGATTTCTGCCTTAATTTCATTATTTACCCAGGAGTCATTCAGGAGCAGATTGTTCAATTGCCATGTAGTTTTGTGGTTTTGAGTGAGTTTCTTAATCTTGAGTTCTAGTTTTATTGCACTATGATCTGAGAGACTATTATGATTTCAGTGCTTTTGCATTTGCTGAGGAGTGTTTTGACTCCACCCATGTGATCAATTTTACAGTAAGTGCCATGTTGCACTGAGAAGAATGTATATGCTGTAGTTTTGATGTGCAGAGTTCTCTAGATATCTATCAGGTCCACTTGATCCAGAGCTGAGTTCAAGTCCTGAATATTCTTGTTAATTTTCTGTCTCAATGATCTGTCTAATATTCACAGTGGGGTGTTAAATTCTTCCACTATTATTGTGTGGGCATCTAAGTCTCTTCGTAGGCCCCTAAGAACTTGCTTTATGAATGTGGGTGCTCTTGTATTGGGTGCATATGTATTTAAGATTGTTAGCTGTTCTTATTGAATTGATCACTTTACCATTATGTATTGCCTTTCTTCGTCTTTTTTGATGTTTGTTGCTTTAAAGTCTGTTTTGTCAGAAATTAGAATTGCAACCCCTGCTTTTTTCTGCTTTCCATTTGCTTGGTAAGTTTTCCTCCATCCCTTTATTTTGAACCTATGTGTATCTTTGACAGGAGATGGGTCTCTTAAATACAGCACACCAATGGGTCTTGACTCTTTATCCAATTTGCCAGTCTGTGTCTTTTAATTGGGGCATTTAGCCTATTCACATTTAAGGTTAATATTGTTATGTGTGAATTTGATTCTGTCATCATAATGCTAGTGAGTTATTTTGCAGACTAGTTGATGCACTTTCTTCATAGTCATTGGTCTCTGTATTTCAGTGTGTTTTTGCAGTGGCTGGTACCATTTTTCTTTTTTCTCTACATTTAATGCTTCCTTCAGGAGCTCTTGCAAGGCAGGCCTGGTGGTGATGAAATCCCTCAGCATTTGCTTGTCTGAAAAAGATTTTATTTCTCCTTCACTTACGAAGCTTAGTTTGGGCAGATAGGAAATTTTGGGTTGGAAATTCTTCTCTTTAAAAATGTTGAATATTGGCCCCCACTCTCTTTTGGTTTGTAGGGTTTCTGCTGAGAGATCCAATGTTAGTCCAATGGGCTTCCCTTTGTAGGCAGCCTGGCCTTTCTCTCTGGCTGCCCTTAACATCTTTTCCTTCATTTTGAACTTGAAGAATCTGATGATTATATGTCTTAGGGTTAATCTTCTTGTGGAGTATCTTACTGGGGTTCTCTGGGTTTCCTGAATTTGAATGTTGGCCTATCTTGACAGGTTGGGGAAGTTCTCCAGGATGATATCCTGAAGTTGTTTTCCAACTTGGTTTCATTCTCCCATCTCTTTCAGGTACTCCAATTAGTCATAGCTTTGGTCTTTTCACATAGTCCCATAGTTCTTGGAGGTTTTGTTCATCGCTTTTTATTTCTTTTTTCTCTAATCTTGTCTGCTTGCCTCATTTCAGCAAGATAGTCTTCAAGCTCTGATATTCTGTCTTCAGCTTGATTTTTGGCTATTGATACTTGTGTTTGCATCACAAAGCTCTTGTGCTGTGTTTTTCAGCTCAGTCAGGTCATTTATGTTCCTCTCTAAACTGGTTGTTCCAGTTAGCAGCTCCTGTAACCTTTTATCATGGTTTTTAGTTTCTTTTCATTGGGTTAGAACATGCTCCTTTAGCTCAGTGAAGTTTGTTATTACCCACCTTTTGAAGTCTATTTCTGTTAATTCATCCATCTCAGCCTCTGCCCAGTTCTTTGCCCTTGCTGGAGAGGTGTTGCAATCATTTAGAGAAGAGACACTCTGGCCTTTTGAGTTTTCAACATTTTTTTGTTGCTTCTCATCTTCATGATTTGTTTAGTTTTGATCTTTGAGGCTGCTGACCTTTGGAAGGAGTTTTTGTTGGGACTTTTTTGTTGATGCTGTATTGTTGCTTTCAGTTTTTTGTTGTTGTTTGTTTGTTTTTCCAGTCAGGCCCCTCTTCTGTAGGGCTGTTGCAGTTTGCTGGGGGTTCACTTCAGGCCGTATTCACCTGGGTTCCTCCTGCACCTAGAGATGTCACCCAAGGAGGCTGGAGAACAGCAAAGTTGGGTGCTTGCTCCTTCCTCTGTGATCCCTGTCCTCGAGGGGCACTGACCTGATGCCAGTTGGAATGCTCCTGTATAAGTTGTCTGGTGACCCCTGTTTGGCAGGGGGGGTCTCAACCAGTCAGGGAGCAGGGGTCTGGGACCTGCTTAACGAAGCACTCTGGCTGTCCCTTGGTGGAAGGGGTGTGCTGTGCTGAGGAGAAACCCACTGTTTGGGCTGCTCGGATTCCTCAGAGCTAGCAATGAGAAAGACTAAGTCTGGGAGACCAAACCACCTTTTCCCCTAGGGGCTCAGGTCCTGAGAGATCAGAGTTCTCTTCCTAAGCCCCTGGCTGGTGTTGCTGAAGTTCCTGCAGGGAGGCCCTGCCCACTGAGGAGGGATGGGTCAGGGTCTGGCCTAAAGAGGCAGTCTGGACACCAGCTGCCACAGCAGGTGTGCTGTGCTGTGGGGAATACCTCTTGGGTCCAAGCCGTCCAGTTTCCCAGCACCAGCGGGGAATAATGATGGCCTGGAGCTGTAGTAATGGCTGCTGCCCTTCCCCACTGGGAGTTCAGCATTTTAGGCAGCTGGCAGTGACAGTGATGGCTGCCATCTCTCCCCTGGGGAGCTCAGTTTTCTTAGGCAGCAGGTAGCTGCAGTGATGGCTACCACCCCTCTCTCAGGGAGCTCAGATGACTTAGGCAGCAGGCAACCACAGTGATGATGGCTGCCCCTCCCCCAGGGAACTTGGTAGTCTTAGGCAGACTCCAGCTGAATGGCTGCTGAGAATGAAACAGCTCTGTGGTTGGGACCCAAGGCCCTGGTCGCATGGGCTCACGAGTGGGATCTCCTAATCCATGGGTTGCACAGATCTGTGGAAAAAGCATGGTTTCCCAGTCTGGGTAGCACAATCACTCACCACCTCCCTTGGCTAAGAGTGGGGGCTCCCCTTGCCCTGTGTGGCTCTCAGGTGGGCTGACATACCACCCTGCTTTTCCTTTCCCTCTGTGGGTCACATCAACCACCTAGTCAGTCCTGATGATAGAACCTGGATACCTTGGTTACCAGTGCAGGATTTGCATGCTGTTTTCATTCTTTTCCGTGGGAGCCTTCGACTGCAGTTGCTTCTAGTTGGCTATCTTGGCCCTGCCCTCCCGCACGTATATATTCTTATGCATGCTTATGTATAAGTGAAATGAACAACAGTAATGATACAAGGGATGGAATAATTAGGATGATTTTGTCATTATAAGGTACTCACACTACCCATGAAGTGACACAGTGTTTTTGAAGGTACACTTGAATTAGTTGTAAGTGAGTATTGTAAATTCTAGGGTAACCACTCAAAAAAGTAAATAACTGGTATACTTAGAAAGAGGAGAAAATAGAATAAAATGCTAAATTAAAACCACAAAAAGCAGAAAAAGAGTGAAAGACAAACATAGGAACAAAGAACAAGGGCAGCAAATAGAAAATAGTAAGAAATTGAGTAGATATTAATCCACATATATCAGTAGTAAGTCAATGGTTTAAAAGGACCAATTAAAAGAGACTGTTACACTGGATCAAAAAACAAGACCCAACTATATATCGTCTACAAAAAAAAAAAAAAAAACCCACTTTAAATATAAAGATGCATATAGATTAAAAGTAAATAGATGGAGAAAGATATACCATACTAACACTAATCAAGGGAACAGAGGGAGCTATATTAATTTCAGACAGAGCAAAATTCACAGGAAGGAAAGTTGTCAAGTGAAAAGAGGGGCATTGCATAATGATTAAAGAATCAATTTTCTAATAAGACCTAACAATCTTTAATGTATGCACCTAACAACAGGTTGTCAAAATACATAAGGCACAAGCTGATAGAACGATTTGGAGAAATAGATGAATCCACTTTTATAGTTGGAGACATCAACCCACTTCTATTAAAAATGAACAGATCCAGCAGGCAGAAAATCAATAAGGACATAGTTGAACAACACTATCAATCAACTGGACATAACCTGCATCTATAGACTACTTCAACCAACAATAACAGAATATACATTCTTCTCGAAGTCACATGGAACCTTTACCAAGACAGACCACATTCCGTGTTATAAAACACATCTTAACAAATGTCAAGGAATAGAAATCATATAATGCCTGCTCTCAGGCCACAATGGAATTAAACTAGAAATTGATAACAGAAAGATAGCTGGAAAATCCCTAAATATTTGGATATTAAACCACACACTTCTAAATAAAACTAGATGGAAGAAGAAACCTTAAGACAAATTTTAAAATATTTTGAACTATACTAACATAAAAAAAATCAAAATTTGTGGAATATAGCTAAAGCAGTGCTTAGAGGGAAATTCATACACAAATTTATATATTAGAAAAGAAAAAAAAGAAAAGAAAAAACATGTGAAATCATCCATCTAATATTCCAACCTTAGAAAATAGAAAAAAAAAAGAGAAAATTAAATCCAAGTAAGTGAAAGAAAAAATAATAAAAGAGCAGAAATCAATGGATTTCAAAACAGGAAATTAATGAAGAAAATTAATAAAACCAGAAACTGGCTCATTAAAAAGATCAGTAAAATTGTTAGGTCTCTAGTCAGGCCATGTAAGAAAAATAGAGAGAGAAAACACACATTACCAATGTTAGAATGAAAGAGAAGACATCAGTATAGTTCCTATGGACATTAAAAGGATAATAAAGCAACACGATGAACATCTCTATGCTCACAAATTTAATAACCTAGATGGGCCAATTCTCTGAAAGATATAATCTGCCAAAACTCACATGAGAACAAATAGACAATATGAATAGGCCTGTACCGATTAAATTAATAAAATCAGTAATTAATAATATCCCCAAACAGAAAGTATAAGGCCCAGTACTGTCTTTGTTCACACATGACATAATCATTTATGTAGAAAATCTGAACTAATTGACAAAAAACTCCTGGAACTAATAATCAATTATAGCAAGGTTGTAGAATATAAGAGCAAAATACAAAGTTCATCACTTTCCTATATACCAGCAATGAACAAATGACATTTGATATTAAACACACAATACCATTTACATTAGAATCCCCCAAATTAAATACTCAAGCATAAATCTAACAAACCACATACAAGATCTACGTAAGGAAAACTACAAACATCTGATAAAAGCAACCAAAGAATAACTAAATGGAGATATAGTCCATGCTCATTGATATGAAGACAATATTATCAAGATATCAGTTTTTTCCAAGTTGATCTACAGATTCAATTTAATCCCAATCAAAATCCCAGCCAGGGGGGTGGATCCATGATGGCTGATTAGAAACAACGATCGTCTGTGGCATGCATGGAGAGGAATGAAAAGGGGCAAATGAATTCAGCACCTTCAAATGAGATATCCAGGTTCTTGCATTAGGACTGACTGGAAGAACATCTCAACCCACAGATAACTAAGAACAGTGGGCAGGGCCAAAGGAATCCCCACCCCAGCCAAGGGAAGTGGTGAGTGATTGTGTGAGCCTGCTGGGAAACCATGCTTCTCCCACAGATCTTTGCAAACCACGGAACAGGAGATCCCCTAGTGAGCCCACACCGCCAGGGTCTTGGGTCTGATACACAGAGGTGTGTGGAGTCTCGGCAGAGCAGCTGCTCACGCACTCTCAGAGACCCAGGAGTTTTACATAGTCCAGCCCTGGGATCCTTGGCAAAGTGGGAAATCCATCTGTACATATCCCCAGGAAGGGGGCTGAATCCAAGGAGCCAGGTAACTTGGTTCTGTGGGCCCCACTTCCATGGTACCTCACAAGTTAAGACTCACTGGCTTGGATCCCAGCCAGCCAATGGCAGTGGGTTGAAGTCTGCCTGAGACAGGTCCAAGTTCCCTGGGGGAGGGGTGGCTGCCATCTCTGTGGTTTGGTAGACTTGGCCACTCCAGCTTGCCGATTGTGAATACAGATGGCTCAGATGAGAAAGGATCCCCCACAATGCAGCACAGCTGCCTTGCCAGATTGTGACCAGACTGCTTCTTTAAGTGGGACCCTGATTCATCCCTCCTCACTGGGTGGGACCTGCCTGCGAGGCTTTGGCTACTCCAGCAAGGGTTCCACGGACAAAGCAATCTCTCCCTGAGATGGAGCTCCTGGGGAGAGGGGTGGCTGCCATCTCTGTGGTTCAGTTGACTCAGCCACTCCAGCCTGCCAGGTTTGGAGAATAAAGGTGGCCCAGATGAGGAAGGGACCCTCCCACCGCTAATGTAACACAACTGCTCTACCAAAACACAGCCAGACTGCTTCTTTAGTTGGGTCCCTGATCCCATTCCTCCTGATTGTGTGAGACCACCCAATGTGGGTCTCCAACCCACTTCCTACAGGTAGGGCAGGCTGGCAATGGGTCACTACCCACCTGGGACAAAGCTTCCAGAGGAAGAAGCTGGCTGCCATCTTTGCTGTCTCACATCCTTCACTGGAGAAACCTCCAGGTATGGGAGAAAGCAAGTCGACTGAGGTCTGGAGCGAACCCCCAGCAAATTGCAGCAGCTCTAAGGCAGAGTGGCCTGCCTGTTAAAAAAACAAATGAACAAACAGAAAACAACAGCAACATCAACAAAAAAGATCCCACCAAAACTCCATTCAAAGGTCAGCAATCACAAAGATACAAGGTAGATAAGCCCACAAAGATGAGAAAGAATCAATGTAAAAACATTGAAAACTCAAAAAGCTAGAATGCCTTCTCTCCCTCAAATGACTGTAACACCTCTCCAGCAAAGGCACAAAACTGCGCTAGAGCTGAGATGGCTGAACTGACAGAAGTAGGCTTCAGAAGGTGGATACTAAGGAACTTGCTGAGCTAAAGGAGAATGTTGTAACTCAATGCAAAATCCTAGCCAGTTATTTTGTGGATATAAATAAACTATTTCTAAAGTTTAAATGAAGAGGCAAAGCCCAGAATAGCCAACACAATATTGAAGAAGAATAAAGTTGAAGGACTAACACTACCTGACATCAAGAATCACTATAAAGCCACTGTAAAGCAAACAGTGTGGTATTGGCAAAAGGATGAACAAACAGATCAAGGAAACAGAATAGAGAGTACAGAAATAGACCTACATAAATATAGTCAACTGATCTTTGACAATGGGAGCAATAGAGGCAACAGAATGCTATGGAGGAAAATTTTTTCAACAAATGGTGCTGAAACAACTGAACACTCACATGTAAAAACAAAAAAGAAAAATGAAAGTAGACACAGACCTTAAATCTTTCACAAAAATTAACTGAAAGTGGATCACAGATCTAAATGTAAAAAACAAAAACATATAAAACTCCTGGAAGATAACAGAAGAGAAAATCGAGATGATTAAGGGTTTGGCAATGGCTTTTTAGATGCCAACCCAAGGGCACAATCCAAGAAAGAAAGAATTGACAAGCTGGACTTCATTAGAATTAAAATATTCTGCCTCCCCAAAAACACTGTCAAGAGAATAAGAAGAAAAGCCACACACTGGAAGAAAATATTCGCAAAGGACATATCTGATAAAAGACTGTTATCCAAAATATACAAAGAACTCTTAAAACAGTAAGAAAACTAACAACCCAATTTATAAATTGACCAAAACTCTAGACTAACACCTCAACCCAGAATATATACAGATGGCAAATTCACATATGAAAAGATGTTTTACGTCATATATCAGTAGGGAAGTAAACAGCAATAAGATACTACACACGTATTAGAATGGCCAAAACCCAGAACACTGATGATACCAAATGCTGGAGAGGGTGTAACAGAAAGTCTCATTCAAAGCTGGTGGGAATGCAAAATGGTACAGCCACTTCAAAAGACAGCTTGATGGCTTTTTATAAAACCAAACATACTCTCACCATACAATCCAGCAATCATACTCCTTGGTATTTATGCAAAGGAGTTAAAAACTTATGTCCAAACAAAACCTGCACAAGGATGTTTATAAGCAGCTTTATTAGTAATTGCCAAAAGCTGGAAACAACTGAGATGTCCTACTGAAGTAGGACATCTAGATTGGAACATCTAGACAATGGAATATTACTCAACTTTAGAAAAGAGTAAGCTTTGAAGCCATGAAAATACATGGAGGAGACTTAAATGCATATTCCTAAGTGAAAGAAGCCAGGTGAAAGGACTACATTCAGTATGATTCTAACTAAATAACGTTGAAAAGAGTCGAAACTATGGAGATAGTAATCAGTGGTTACCAGGGTTTAAGGGATTGGGATGACTATTTTGCGTACAGAGTTCCAGTGCACTGAAACTACTGCACCATGCCAAAAGTGAACCCTAATGTAAAAACTATGAACTTTGAGTAACAATGTGTCAATACAGGTTCATCAATTGTGACAAATTTACCACTCGAGGGGCCGGGGTGGGGAGTCATGTTGATAATTAGGGAGGCTATGCATGTGTTGGGGCAAGGGGTGTATGGAAAATCCTTGGACTTTCAATTTTGCTGTAAACATAAACCTGCTCTAAAAAAAATGGTCTATTTTTACAAAAAGTCCAGAGAACAAGAATAGGCTGGGAAGGGGTTTGAGGGGATCTTCTGTGATGCCAGTAATGTTCTCTTTTTGAACTCCGTTTGTTTACTCTGTATAAATCTATTAAAATGTATACTCACGAAAAACAACAGTAAAAATTCATTTGAGCCCTTAGGAATTCATTGTATTTTTGGCCGTGTCTGACTTCTATTGACATTGTCAATTATGTCCATTCAGACAAAAGAAATGCCCTTAATTTGGTCTGGTGTGGAAAATTATGTTTTGATTAGCATAGAGTAACAGCATTTAATGGCCCTTAAGAATATGTAGTATAGATTTCATTTCAAAAATTTAACATGAATTTTTTTATTTTAATTTTAATTTAATAAGCAATACAGGTTTTTTCTTACATATTATAGAAATATATATGCATGTACTTTCTAAGAAACAGCACAGACCTGCAGTAAAAATTAGTGATAAGTAAGAAACAATAACTAAAATACAGTAAGAATAGAGTACAGAGGAACATGGACAGGGTTAAACTGCATAATTCAGACAAGAGAGATTCTGATTTTATTGCAACCTTCCCACCAAACTTTCTGTCCAAAAACAATAAATAAAGCTCAGCAGATAGAAGCACTTATGATCAAGGTCAATGTTGAAAAATAAGTAGCACCTTTGGTCATTAAAATGATTGTCGACATTTCCAGGAAGCTTAAATACAGCATTTCTGATTTTGAAAAGAAAATAAAACTAATTAATATGTACCATAAAGTTTAGCTGTTGCATATTTCAATATTTGCATAGAATGTTTGACAAAATAAAAAGGATTCAAAACAGAGTTTCAATTTTAAATAAAGAAAATGCTACAGGTGTTTTGTTTTCTATGTCTTACTTTTAAAATTAGCCAGAGAATTACTGTAATATACATTCAGCCTGCATCGTAGAATACTGTAGTAGCATTTTAATAATCAATATCTATCAATTCATTTCAATAAAGGAATACTCTATGCCTGGCACTTTGCTAGATATTAAAGTTGTCATTATAACTAAAATAACATCCTTGTCCACAAGGAGCTCACAGTCTAGTAAGAAAGAGATGAATTTGAAAATATATTTGAAACTGTAGGCAAAATAAGTACCCTCACAGAGAAATTCAACATTTGGTTTCAAATTTGTTATGCAGTGAAAATTAGAAACTACAACCAAGATTTTTTTAAAACATTATGTTCATATAACGCTGTAGTATACCTGAAAGGCAAGAACTTAAACAAGTGTGCTGAAAAACAAATTAGGAATATTTGAACAAAATATACTTTAAAAATGATCAACAACGTAAAATATTCCTGATTTAAATAAATCTAAGTTATTTTATTTAGTTTAAGCAAAATATGTATCCATATGAAAATGCCAGTTCTTTCATTTTTGGTTAATTCCTTTACACATATTATTTGCTAAGTTCAGAAATGCTATATATACAAAAATTTCAAAAATAAATAAGTATCCCAAGATCACATAACAATACTTTAAGTACATTCATGTGTAAGAAGGCAAAAAAAGAAGGTTCTATCTTATATTTTAAAACTTTGACAGGTATTTTAAATGTATTATTTTATACTTTATTTTCTTTAAAAATGAAATAATACAGCCATGATTTAAGTCATGTAAAAACAACTGTTTGGATCATTTAGGTGTCAAGCAAAACTATCCTCTTTATTTCACTATCATAGTAACCATAGTTGATAGACCATGTGGCAATATGATCATTTGTTCAGTGGTCATTAAGATATCTATAGAATAAACAAGACAACTACATTTTATTTTTTTCACTTAAAAATCACAAAAATACAGCCTAAAATATAATTTATATTTTAAAAATAATTCTAAACATTAACCCCTAAATCTAATCCCTTAAAAAATTCTTGCAAAAGTTAGCTGGATGTGGCTGTTGCCAAGGAATGTCTTTTATTAGCAACAAGTGACTATCTATAACTTTTATTCCAACAATCTTATTTTAAATATTTGTTTCAATTTAATGCTGGGATTAGAAAAACATATTTGTTCAAAGTATGTAAGTAGTAAGTAAAACAATTTCAAAAATCTATCAAAAAAGGAGAATTATTCATTCTAGGAAATAATTAACATACTGGTTTAAAATATCTGGGAGAAGAACTTTTACATAAAAAGCTTCAAATTTAGTCAGTTGTAGCAAGCACTTGAAAAGACCCTGCTCTTTCATCTGCAATATCAGGAATTACTATATCTGACTCATATTTGATTAAGTTACAATCTCATTTTTGTTGTCACTACAAAGAAGGATCCTTATATTAGTAAATGCACTCACTGCAACTACTGAGGCCTGCCTCCTGTCAGAATGACAATGCAGTCTTAGCATACGGGTGTCGGTTTGGCTGAATCTAACCAAACACATCACGTACTACAGATGTTTTTAGGGCCCACCCAATTCATAAAAGATTTTACTGCGATACATGAGTTTACCCAAATTTTTATTAAAATGTGTTTTTAGGGTAAATATCTTGATGAACTAGGCAAACAAATACTGAATGCAGATTACTGTTTTTACAGTTTTACCGGGAAAACTCCTAATAGCAACCCCTCTTCCCCTTCACCACAGATCTTTAATTTAGGTGTGATTTTTGTTTGTTCTCTACATGGGAATAAAGGAGAAAGTTTAGAAAGACTGTATCTAGCTAGATAAGATGCAGAGGTAGATGGAATCTCTAACATAAAAGAAGCTCTAATTACACTGTTGCCAGACAGCTGTTATGGATTTTAGTATTGTTTATTAGGTGAAGAAAACATTCATAAAATAAGAAATTTTTGAGATAGAACTTACTCTAATAATTTCATTAACATATGTTCAGGTTCTTAGATCAAGAAATACTGTAGAGGTGTTCTCCTCAAGACTATGCTATGGCAATAATTTCTTGCATACAATTTAATAATTTAAACTTGAACTGTGTGTTCTGTGCTCTGGCGTTCTACTTCAGAAAAAAATGAACACTGCTTCTAAAATAAAAAGGAACATAAAATAAAAAAGGAATTAATGAGATATTGACATGTTTTCTATTAATACAATATTGATGTTTTAAATGATTTTGATATTGCTATAACAACATATATTGTGCAAAATAATTAATCTCACTAAATATTATTTCTGATTTGCCACGAATTATCTGCCGTGGCAATCAGGAAATAGTCTTCAAAGTAAGTTTGCAAACATGATTTTGCAAACCATGATTGGAAAAATATATTCATTTGGGCTATAAACTATCAAGTAGGGTTGTTATATATATTTCTAGGAAAATATTTTATTTACTCTACAAAGATCATCATTATGACCTTACGGCTTCTGTAGTGCAATGGAGAAAAAAGTGTGTTAGAAGTTAAAAGACCTGAATTCTATCTCCAACCCTGCATTTATTCAGAGTATTGGTATAGGTTTAGGCAAAATCCTTAATCCAGTCTAGTTTTATATGGTAAAAATGTGGATACCTATCAAAACTGAGGGTTGAGAGGATGAAATGAATTCATTAAACATATCTTCTGAGACATAAATATATCAAAACAAATCAAAATACAATTAGATCTAATGTTTAGAAATAAATATTTTAATTCATATTTGCTATTTCACTAAATCTAGAAATACTAATGCTTTAGTTAAATATAGAAAGTTGATGATAGAAAAATAAAATCCATCGTACCATTGAAAAGCTTGTCAGAAATATGTACTCTTGAGATTCGGAGGATGAGAAAAAAAATGTGTACTCTAACGAGGAAGCTATATAAACTGAGTCTAACTCAAAACATTTATTTTAGATGCATATAAGAATTAAAGTCTTAGTCAAAAGAATGTTTTAAAATTTCATCCTAAATTTATGTGAGATAAAATGCCATTCTTTTGTTTTTCTGAACAGAGGAGCTTTTATCAACTTATTCTATTTTATTTTTATTTTTATTATTTTATTTTATTTTATTTATTATTATTATACTTTAAGTTTTAGGGTACATGTGCACAATGTGCAGGTTAGTTACATATGTATACATGTGCCATGCTGGTGCGCTGCACCCACTAACTCGTCACCTAGCATTAGGTATATCTCCCAATGCTATCCCTCCCCCCTCCCCCGACCCCACCACAGTCCCCAGAGTGTGATGTTCCCCTTCCTGTGTCCATGTGTTCTCATTGTTCAGTTCCCACCTATGAGTGAGAATATGCGGTGTTTGGTTTTTTGTTCTTGCGATAGTTTACTGAGAATGATGATTTCTAATTTCATCCATGTCCCTACACGAACTTATTCTATTTTAATAGAATGTTCAGTATCAGTGTTTTCACACTGAGATTCTCTAGCTTATTTTGCCATATTTAAATTAAAAAGAAACAAAAAATCCTGTTTGATCATGTGAAAAATATTTACTGAAATGTGAATAAATTTATGATCATTAATTGCCTACTGAAATATTCCTGAATATTGCTCACCTTATTAACAAGTATATATGGAGACTGAAAAACATGTAGATCATGCAAACAAGTGTAACTAACTATACCAAAGAAACAAAAGTCCATACTAAATATGTCCATAATTAAATAAAAAATGCTAAACAAGTTTTACCTAGATATTATAAAAACATAGAAAGGAAAACATTTAGGAGATGATGAAGAAGCAGGAGATTGGGATGGGAGATGTAATTTGATCTAAATTCCCATATGCTTCTGTAAAATCAAAAATTCATTTTGCAATATTAATTTTGCTCTTAAGGTAGAGACTTTTAAAATGACCATTCTCAATACTACAGCAATTCTTCCCTGATTTGCACATAAATGAATTAAAGTGAAGAAAAAGCAGTAGAGGAGAGAAGACTAAAATAAACCAGATTGTAGCACCCTGTAAAGAGCTAAAATCTCCAGTGTACAAACAACTGATAGGAAAGAAGAGAAAATCAGAACTATAAAAAAGTGACATAAGCTCAGAAAATTACTCATTTTTAATTGTATCAACAAAGATAATTTGTAATTTTGATCATGCAAGCATTATAATTACTGATAATTGGGCCTTTCAGCTTTTAAGTGCCTTCTCAAACATGAGTTCTGCATATGGTTGTGCAGAAATCAAAATCTTAAAGAGAGATGAGTAAAGTCAAGTTTGTAATATTAATCTTATATTCTCAATATAGATGCTAATTAGTGCTCTGAATGGTTGTGGTTAGAAATCTTGTTGGTATGATGTATCAGTGATGTCACTGCATTGATGGAGACAGAATAATACATAATGGTGCAATGTGGTGATGGTAAGCTTTGTTACTCAATATTGTCAGGCACTTTAAGAAAATCAGAAACATTCAGGATAGTGCCAAAGAAGATCAGTTTTTCAAGACTCTAAAATCATATTCAATTATATGTGTATGTAATTATAAATATGTGCATCATGGCTGACTTTGAGAAGAATGCAGCGCCTTGCAAGTGCACTATTTGAATAGAGCTAAGGAGAACTATAGTCTAAGGACTGCAAAAGTCTAGATGGAGAAGACAAAAGCAATGACACTTGTTTTCTCTACAGAACAAATAGACAAAGAGGTGAATGACAACAAAGATGTTCAGAGAAACTTGAAAAATAAGCTACGGTGTAGGGTAAGTTGTATTAAATGATGAAAATTAATATGTAACTGTATGGGTAAACCAAATCATTTGTATCTTATAATCTTTTTTTTGGTAGCTACGGATAATATTATAAATGGAATAATCACTAAAATTCTAAATATAATGTTTTCTAGTAAGAACATTTTATTTTTTTTTTAATAGAGACAGATTCTCACTCTATTGCCTAGGCTGGACTGCAAGTGGGGCCATTATAGCTCACTGAAGCCTCAACTTCCTGGGCTCAAATGACCCTCTCGTCTCAGCCTCCCGAGTAGCTGGGACTACAGGTGCACATCACCACATCCAGGTAATTATTTTACTTTTTGAATCATGATATGTAGCAACCAATCTGGGAATTATTTATTCATAAAAGATAACATTTTCCTGCTAACTCCAACCTCAGAAAAAATGTATTATGCCTGACTCAAATATGTCATTATTTTTATGAGAAAAAGAGTCATATTGAAGTAATTATGTCTATATGTAATAATTATCATTATTTGAGATAATTTGCATTGGGGAGAAAAGCAGGCAATCAGAAATTACATATTCAAGGCTGGGCGCAGTGGCTCACGCCTGTAATCCCAGCACTTTGGGAGGCAGAGGCGAGTGAATCACCTGAGGTCAGAGTTCAAGACCAGCCTGACCAACAAGGAGAAACCCCATCTCTACTAAAACAAAACAAAACAAAACAAAACAAAAAAAGCCACAAAATTAGCCGGGCATGGTGGCACATGCCTGTAATTCCAGTTACTCGGGAGGCTGAGGCAGGAGAATTGCTTGAACCTGGGAGGCAGAGGTTGTAGTAAGCCGAGATTGTGCCACTGCACGCCAGCCTGGGCGACAAGAACGAGACTCAGTCTCAAAAAAAAAAAAAAAGAAAGAAAGAAAGAAATTACATATTCAGGTTCTAGCAAATGCAGTTCTCTAATAAACACTAAATAAATCATAATACAAGTTACAGTTAAACCTAATTGTTTTACTATATAGGATGTATCTTTTTTGTACCTATATTTTATCTTCCTTTGCTTCTCTGGCCTCTATTGGGAGGCAGCACGGTAGTGAACACCTCGGGGATCTTTCTGGTTACGTAAACCTGAGTTTTAATTTTGGTTCATACTACCTTTTAACTTTGGGTAGTCTGCTGAGCTTGTTTTTTGTTTTCACTCATCTGTCATATCAAGCTAGTAATAATTCTGCCATGGTTTTGGTTTTCATATTGAAAGGCATTACATAAGCAAAATGCATAACATATAAATATTAGTTCCCTTTCCACTATGCATCCAATCTCCCTATTAAATTAAGCCTAAAAATAATAATTTTTGTTTTATTAAAAGCCTTCCACATTCTACATATGAAAGGGATTTTTTAAAGGTGTTTTAGATAAAAAATGTTTCAACCAACTGACCAAGAATATCTCTTCATATTTATGTCATCTACATAAAAACTTACATTTATATCATATATCTTTTAGTCTTCTTTTCTATATTCTTGATTGTCATGTTGTACAGCCAGAAAAGAATGAGTATAAATTATCTAGATTTTTTAAAGTGCACATTCAAACATAGAAAATCTAATTATTTTACTTGTTTCTTAGTATTAGGCTGAGGCCAATGAGTCCATGAGCTAAAGGGTTGAAACTTGGCACCAAAAAAGTGATTGTTTATGAGTCCTGTAGATTTATACTGAGAAAACATCATGTCTTCCAATGTGAAATACACTAAAACCTGATTTTTTGTCTCTTAAGGTGTGCTAGGTGAATGCAAAAAGGATCAGGAAAGGGGGTGAGGATAGGTCAGGAAAAGTGCAAACACAATGTTCTATTCATAAATTAGTGATGGCATATTTAAGGTTAAGTAGTAAAAAATATGGGGGGCTCAGTTAACACGAATGAAAAAATAGTTAAAGTAGCCATGAATTATCTGGATACCTTGATTTAATGACACCCTTTCTTCTGTACAATTTCATAATGTGGGAATAGAGATTAGTGGGGATTGTAGTGGTATACCCTGACTTTGCTTCATGATATCTCAAATGTTTAAAACCTATTATTCCCTAGAGAAAGAAATATGTTCATACTAATTGTTGCAGAGGCAGAAGCCAAATATATCTCCTCCTCCATTTATGTGACTATATAGTAATGAAAATCCTAGGTTGATACACTTTTCTCAATCTTGGAAAGATTCTGCTAAAGCAGCAAATCTTCTAACAAGTTCAAGAGGGTGGGGAGAGTGAACAAGTAGAATAATTTATATTACCCTGGAACAATTCTGAATCCTGTAGGTATTTATGTCACTGTTTCAATTGTGTTCTGGTTTAACTGTCAATATTTATGCATAGCAGTTAACGTGTGTGCATATTTGTAACTGTGCAGTGCTACTGCCAGGTGTGACTGTACAAATCATGTGCTTTGAATGTGCAAGTTTTACTTTCTTTTCTAACAATTTAATACAGTGTTAGAAATAAATAACGAATGAAGACAACCAAAGAGCAGCCAGACAAATGTGAACTGGTTTTGACGTGACGAGAAACTCATCAGTAAGTAAATAAACCTCCTCCCTGGAGAAGGCCACTGAAATGCACCCAGGAGGATGTCTCTACTAGAAGGTAATAAAAAATATATATAATGTAGTCTTTGACCTAAAACCTCATGATTATTACTTTGCCATTTATTTCCCCCTGGTATCTGATGTTCATATTAGTTTAATGTGCCTTTTCAGAGAATTCAAGACACTTTTTGGAAAGTAGAATTTTTTTTTGAAAATTTATGATTGGAGAGGTACTACACAATTTAGAGGTTACATTTCTTGACAAATCTGAGTTGAATAAAAAAGAACTAAAAATATAAACATAGCTAATTCAAGAATCAAGATCGGGTGAAACTAAATTAAAAACAGCCATAAAGTCCCACATTTTCCCTAATTTATTTACCTATGATATTGGCACATCTTGTTTTACTTAACATTTGAAAAATACAAATATCTCTTCATATGCAAAAGAGCAAATGTTAAATGAAAAACTGAATTTTATATAGCTTCCTAAATATGAGCCACATGCTTAAGCAGTGAATTAACTTTATGAATCAAATGTTTAATGTTAACTATTACAAAAGCCTGGTATCCAGGTGCAATCTCACCAGAAAAAAATAGCACCTGCCTTTATTACAATAAAAAAAATGGCTAATTCCCTTTGACATCTTAAGAGTGACACTACTTTGTCAAGCACTAAATACTTTTTAAATTAATCATGTTAAACTTCAGATTTATAGATATAAATATTGTATTTATAACTTTAGTCATAATGTACAATTTCTTTCTTGTTTAAAAGTACTTTCTCACTCAAAATGGTATTTATAGTTTAAAAAGAATATGCCTCTGTATTCAGGAGTGATTCAAATTCCCAGATGTTTTCACATAGTTATGAAAATGGGAAAGTGCTGAATTAAACTGGGCTGCAATATTTCAAGTTTTTTGCTATCAGGTTATAAACTATACCTACGATTGCAAGTCATACAGTGCCTCTATTTCTAGAAGGCTTTTAAAGTTTCCTGGCTTAGTTATGTCCAAAGGCAGCAGGAAGTCTCATCAGTAGAGGGCAGAATTTTCAAGTGCTGCCATTCTTATCCCAGGAGGCATTTCCAGTGGTTGAGCACAAGGCCTGTTTGTAGTTTGCTTTTGCTCTTGCATTTTGTGGAAGGGAAGGAACTGAGAGAGCTTAGAGGGTTCATTAAAACCACCCCTCACTCTCTTAGTCGTAGTCAGATGGAGTATTCATAACAGTAACCTCCAATTACCACTATGTGTTGGGAAAAATTAGAATTCGGTCTACTTACAATCCTGCCAACTAGGATTTTACTTTGATATTTCAGTATAACAGTGAATCTGGATTGATGCCTGATTAAAATAAAATCCCTGATTATTACTTTCTGGATTACGAACTAAAATCCCTGTAAAATCAATGGATGTGACTCATTGTTAAGAGTCATGCAGACTTTTACATATTAGGTAAGAATTCTAAAAATTATTTGAGGGTTCTATTCTCTAGCACCAGGTACTAATGCTCCCTACTCAAAAAAAATCATGTGCATGGATTAATCAAGTCTAACAGTGCTCAGATTTAATGGTTTAACATTGATTTTCTTTTCTTTGTCAAACTTATATATGCAAATATTTTTATAGTAGTCAGATGTTATTTTTGAATAAGGATCACCCTCATTTTTACCCATGTGCTTATCTTTAAAACCAACATTGTAAAGTAGCACGCAGACATATGTTTCTTTTATCTTCATGGATTATTTTTACCTTAAAAATAAATTATCATTTTTTTTTTTGAATTTGGGTTTTATTCTCCAGATACTCTGTGTACATGTGGGTAAGTATGTGGGAGTATGTGTGTTTGTGTGTAAGAGGGGATAATTAATTGTCTCTCAACTCTATCTCATACTTTAATATCAAATAAAAAATGAAATGTATAAAGGGTCACTTTGTAGGATTAGGCATCCTCCTTCTACCTACTTAAACCAGGGGTTTGGGATTCAGAATTCTCCATATAACCAAGACCGAAAGTCACTGGAAGACTTTAAAATTAGTATTTTAACCACCACACCCAGAGTCAGGTATGGAAATAAACCTATAGCATGGATTCTTTCTATGCATAATCTCAAAATTTAACTACCCAAATAAGTAAGTTTTTAAAAACTAATTTAAAATTTGCCATTGAGGAAAATATCACCTCCATCCTTAATTGTGACTCCTCATTTCAGCTAAAACCTTTTCTAATACTTTAAAAAAACAAAATGAAAAACAAACTCCTAGATAAAGTCATAAACACTGAAATCAGAGATGTGATTCTTGTTAAATGTTAGTTTCTCTTTCTGAGGTTACACTCTGTGCATTTGAAACTTTGACGTTAACATCTTCCGAATGTTTAGATTTGCTCAAGGGTTCAGATTCTCTGGTCTTCTGCCTTGCATTTTCCTCCTTCCTTTCCTTTGCAAGCAATCTATAGTTGATAGCATTGCCAATGAGCAGCCACACGCTTGCTGCTACCACAATAGCCCCACAGGACATGTACATGTATTTATATTCTCCAGTTAAATCCACCAATTTACCTAGAAGACAAAGAACATCTTTTAAGTTGGCATAATAAAACAGTCATATAATGATAAAAATTCAAATAAATTATTCTTCAAAGTATATTCCTCTTATTTAAATTAATGTCAAATAAGACTTTAAAAATAAAAAAATCTAGATTATGACTTCTACATATGCTTAGTAAAGGTATGCAGAGACACTTACAGTATTATATTACTAGTACATTAAATTTACTAAAAATTATTTCTCTCAGTAAAATATACAAACAAGACAAACTAGGCATTTTTTGTGTGTATATATTAATACATACATGAGTGAGGTATATTTTTATATCTATACATGTGAATATAGATATCTCTATTTACAGCACACGTTAGGATTGCTTCACCCTTTCCATGCTTCCTTTTCTCTTCAATAGAGAAAAATTACTTTCTTTAGGAGAAACCCAAAGGCTTTTACATGGTTCCTAACAGTGTCTAATATTTACTAAGTGCTTTCTCTATGCCCCATACTAGCCTAAGAATTTTATCTGTAATAGCTCACTTGATCCTTACAAGGAGTACTGTGAAGTAATCTGGGCATGGTTATGTAGCTAGTTAGTGGTAGAATCTAGACTCTTAACTGAGGTCTGTCTGTACTCATTCTTAACTACTCTGCAGAATGGCTTCACCTAACCTGTTGTTTAAGTGCCATGTCACTATTTGAGCTAATCCTAGTTTTTCACTTTATCTGAGTCTAAATTATTAAGGTGAAACTAATCAGTAAAAAAACTATTCCACTTGATTATTGAGACCATTTAAAATCTAGCCTGGTGCCATTTAATATGAAGGTTAATTGACTTTTAAAATTTTGTCAGCTTATATTTAGTTTTGTCTCTTGCTTATGCAGGCATCTAATTCTTCGTAATTATTAACAGCAGCAAAATTTAGTGTATACAAATCTATATAAATTAGCATATGCATTCCAAGTGATTCTGATATACAACTTTCAAACCAGTCTGTTTAGTCAGAATCCATAGCATTCTCCCTAGAATCTAGTCAGTGGCTCAACATTAAATTTGGCTACTTGTAATATATTACCTATTTAAACAAAATTTTCTGTTTTAATCAGGTAGATGGTATAATGGGTTTATTTAAGTAAGCATGACATAGTCATAAACATAACAAAAATGGCATAATTTTAATTTGCCTTCTTAACTTGAGTCAAATATTTCTATTTCTACAATGATTATTATACTTCTAAATATAAAAGCATTAGGTCCATGGCCCATCAGAGTTAATACCACTTTGGGCTGCCACATCAGCATACTTTCTAAATGTTTTAAGAATTTTTTATTGCGGCACTATTCACAATAGCAAAGACTTGGAACCAACCCAAATGTCCAACAATGATAGATTGGATTAAGAAAATGGGGCACATATACACCATGGAATACTATGCAGCCATAAAAAATGATGAGTTCATGTCCTCTGTAGGGACATGGATGAAACTGGAAATCATCATTCTCAGTAAACTATCGCAAGAACAAAAAACCAAACACTGCATATTCTCACTCATAGGTGGGAATTGAACAATGAGAACACATGGACACAGGAAGGGGAACATCACACTCTGGGGACTGTTGTGGGGTGGGGGGAGGGGGAGGGATAGCTTTAGGAGATATACCTAATGCTAAATGACGAGTTAATGGGTACAGCACACCAGCATGGCACATGCATACATATGTAACTAACCTGCACATTGTGCACATATACCCTAAAACTTAAAGTCTAATAATAATAAAATAAAAAATAATAAAAGAAATATTTTAAGGATTAAATAATAATTAGCCTAATACCTCTAATAAGAAAAAAAAAAGAATTTTTTAGCATCATCAAGAAACCAGATATGCTTTCCAGAACTAAAGCTTCAATTCTTTCTGAGAGGAGCAGTGAAAGTTCAGTCTGAAAAAAACAAATATGAAATAGAAACCACACACTCCCTACTTTTCACTGCTGTGCTGCAACTATGTAAGACGTAACAGCAATAATATTCAATCATTCAAAAATATTAACTCAGTGCCTACTATGGGCCAGCAGTTCTAGCGATAATCAAATACTATAGAGAAGAAGCCAATCTAAAAGTCAAGAAATATTACGGGTAGCAGATGGCAGACATGGAATGAAAAAATGGATATATAATGGCTACAGTCTGAGAGTTTCAACAATAGGTCTAAAATCAATTATTGCCATTTGCTGCCAGTGGCACATGGTTTGGCAATGTTAACACAATAAGCATTCAAAAATATTGAAACTGTTTTTTAAAAATATTAATGCACATTATCTGCTCAGGTGGGAGTGGCCAAATAAGATTCCTTTATTTTAATTCTTAGAGTCTATCCCCACTATGTATTTGGACTTGATTCTTTTTTCATCCCCTCATGCATGGTAACTTCTCTGTTTACACTAAGAATTGTGTGGATAAGAATAGGCTCTAAAACTCAGTTGATCAAACTAATTCCGTATGAAAAGAAGGACCAATTGTGCTTATCTTATGTAACAAAATCAACTGCCTGATAAATAACAAGACCTACTGGCTTTCACTCTCTTTTGACAATTGTTTTGATGTCATGGTATATTTATATTGAGAGATATACCACCTAAAACACCTGTGCTAGATACCATAGGATAGCCCTGGTGGACAGAGAAAGACAACAACCACACCACCTAGGTCTTAGAGCCGACTGATACATTCCTAACCAAGTGAAAAAAAAATGAAGAGACAAAAGGTCAATGATGTCATTAAAATTAACAAATTAAACATAACTTTTCACACTTTCAGAATGGTTCCTTGATGTCATGTAGAAAACAGTTTAAAAACTGACTAAATAATGGAAAAATTTACATTTAGCCTGGCAATGACTCTGACCATGAGAGAGCAGGCCAAGAGTCTAAGTGAATACTTAAGTCCGGTATTAACCAAAACAATATACATTGGTTGCTGGCAAAGGCTGGTGCACAAACAGAATGTAATATTTATAACATTTAAAGTCTAAGACTAAACAAAGTTTTAACTTCAAAATGCTCTGATACATGTCTTTAAACCATAAGTTCAGAAGGCATAATTTACTTCTAAAAGCATTCACCACTGTAATTCAGAAGGAAACTATAAAATAACCACAAGCAATTCCAACAAAAATCTAATGCTTCTGTAATGTACATTTTATCTATTTCTCTCTCTCTCTCTCAAGTATTAGACCAGCTTCTCAATTTGTGAGGGTATTCTTTGGTCATGCTCTAAACATGTACTGCATCTTTTTACTGAATAATTTAGCACAGACACTTTTATTGGCATCTTTGAAAATATTTCAGATCTTAAAATCTGAAGGTAATCTTTCCAATTTATAAACATGGAACATGAGTGGCCCTCAAAAAAACTGTGAATAAATTTTCGGTCATCCCTGTCTTTCTCTATATGGAATAGATACATGAATATATTCTTATCAGTGATATTATAAATGTATTTTCTCAGCATGTAACAAATTTCAAATTAATATATCCAATGTACTCAACTAAAAAATAGATTCTGACCTTTTGAGAGAATATTTTACAATTTTGGCTCATTTCAATATAAACAGACGAGAGATCTGTTCACCAATGATAAAGATAAAATAGCATTTTTTTCTGATATATTTTTAAGAGACCAAAACAACTGAAGTAGATAAAAATCCTGAAGATTATGTTACTAATTATCAGTCTAACATAAGTTCTTAAGTTCACAGGTCCAGGTTCTGAAACAAATTTAGTTCTAAAATTGACTAATTATGAAATTTTAAAGTTTATAATAAAACCTAAAATTAACCTGCCCATATTCCTTCAGGCTATTAGTATTATTATAAAACACATTTAAACATCTGTATATAAAGTCTCCGTTAATGGATATTAATTTTATGCTTTACATTTTCCTTGATGAAAAACGTTCTTACCTGCAAGAGGAGGGCCAAGAAGAACTGGGCCACACTCCACAATTGTGACAAGTCCGACGGCACTGGAAAATCTTGGTGCACCCACGAGGTCCATGAGAGTTTCAAAGAGAACACTGCTAACACTCCCAAATCCAAGGCCAAAAAATACAGCATATAATACCAGGCTTGTGTAGTCCTGTGCCAGTGGGCACAAGAGGTGACACACTCCATTGAACATGATTGCAAAACTGAAGAAGTACTGAATTCGAGGTCGAATATATTTGGAGTTTGCAATTAATCCTACAGAAGGCCTAGCAAACATATCAACGAAAGCCATAACAGATAGCAGAAAAGCTGCCGAGTACTCATCAATTCCTTGGTCTTTAGCATATGGAGCCAAGAATATAATGGGGGCAAAAAAACCTAGGAACATAATGACATTTCCAGACAGATATATCAGAAATCCTCTATGCTTAAAAAGGGAGAAATCTAAATACTTATTAACTTTTTCCCAAGTTGATTTCTTCGTTTTGATTTTCTTTGGGCTTGAATCATCTTCTGTTTTGCCAGTCTTATTTTTAGACTTAGAAGTGGTTTGATTGGGTCCAAGGGGTCTCATGAGGGAACCAGCCACACAGGCATTCAAAAGTAGACTTCCCAAAATCAGGAAGCTTCCTTTCCAGCCAAAAGTATTAAAAAGGTACTGATTGAAAGGAGCCAATGAACTTAAGAAAACAGGACTTCCTGCCATGGCCAATCCATTTGCCATGGGTCGCTTCCTATAGAAGTATTTGCCAATTATGGTTAAGGCGGGTTGCAGGTTGAAGGCTAAACCTAAACCTAAAAAGAACAAAACAAAAGTGGGGGAAAACACAAACACATTATGGCACTCACAAAAGAAATTACTCCTCAAAATGTACATTCAAGTGGGAAAGGCAGAATTAAAAACGCAATATCATATAGTACATTTTGATTATTATAAATGTAATTGCACAAAACAATAAGGTTTTCATAACTGAACACTTGAAACGACAGTTTCATTTCAAGTTTAATTCCTTTAATTTTAAAGCACAAAAATGAAATTGAGAATTTCTACTGATATATCAACAGTCGTACAATAGGTTGAAACTAGGACAAAATTATTAGTTCTCAATTAAAATCATTTAATTCCTCAGATCCTTTCCTCTTGACATATACTTATATACACATATATAGAATAGATTTCTTCCTTGTGAGCAAGAGGGCAATATAAAAATGAATACTTTCCTTTCGGCATTGAAGAATTATAAACAGACTAAAAAGGTCGTAATTTGTAACAATCTTATGTCTCCCCACAAACATTTGTTTCAATACTATGCAAATAACAAAAATTTCATGCTGTACATCCCTCACAGTCCACATTTAATGTATATAGATGCACTTGTGTGCTAAGTAAAAAGGAGGTTTTTGCTTGAAACATAGTTTTAATTCAGGGATTAACACTGATTGTTTATATGAGCCAAAGTCCCACTGTCTAGGGAGTTCCTTGGCAGTGTTGAGTATCACCTTTGGAAAATAAATTACCTCTTGTAGCTCACTAAGGCACTACTGAGCAATTGTAATAAATAAGATCCTTTAAAAAGTACATTGATTTAGGCCGGGAGTGGTGGTTCATGCCTGTAATCCCAGCACTTTGGGAGGCCAGGGCAGATGGATCATGAGGTCAGGAGATCGAGACCATCCTGGCCAACATGGTGAAACCCCGTCTCTACTAAAAATACAAAAATTAGCCGGGTGTGGTGGCACATGCCTGTAATCCCAGCTACTTGGTAGGCTGAGGCAAGAGAATCGCTTGGACTGAGGAGGCGGAGATTGCAGTGAGCCGAGATCATGCCACTGCACTCCAGCCTGGCGACAGAGCAAGATTCTGTCTCAAAAAAAAAAAAAGTACATTGGTTTATATAAAATTGGGCTTATATAAACTATCTCTTGTTTTCCCTTAAACTAGGAATTACTCTATATTTATTTTAGGGGCTAGAGAGGTAAGAGTTCTTCTATATTAACTAATTTACCTAGATTGAAACAGTTCTGTAAGGTGGTTAAGTATTCCAGTTGTGAAATACACAGGTCTGTGTACAAATACTCCAACCCTTTAATACAGACATTTTCTATAAGTAAGAGGACCCCTAAAAGCTGACAAGAAGGAACAAGAACATGCTTTGGAGAGTAACAGGACAGCATGTTCTCTAACGCTATACCTCAGCCATACCTGTGAGATATGCAGAATGAGTGTAATTAAATCCGATTTATAAATAACAAAACTGACCAGCCTATGGTCAAGTAGCTTGTAAGTAGAAGAACCCAAATTAAAATCCAGGTATTATGTTTCAGAGCTTAAGGTTTTTTTTTTTTTAATCTTATATCAATCATTTTCCCCATTCTGTCGCCTGGAACTTTTGCCTTCAAATCTTAATCCATATTTTCATTTGGAAATAGTTGCCATCTCTTTCTCATTCTGGCATGGTTAAACAAACATAGGCTTGAAATCAATAGAACTGATCTACTCCAAATAGGTACCTATTTTATATTACTGGGCAAAACACTTAGACTTCCTGAGCTTGACTTCACCTAACAACACAAAAAGATTTTGCCAAAATAAAGTAAGTTTTAGAACTGTAAGATATTATATAAATGGTATTATGATTATTTGCAAATATTTATTTATGATCATCAAAATTCTGGGTACTCTAAAGTACTACGTATTCATTTTTTACATTTTTCTAATAACTCCTTTAAAAAGAGCTATTATTTATCTAATTTTATAGACAACGAAAGTATAAGGAGGTTAACGTACCCATGATCACACAGATCATATGTATCAAGTTTAAATGCTAGATCTGTCTACTTTTGGAAACCAAAGTCAAAGTATTTGCTGATAATGATTTAAAGTAAATCCCTCATAGATGGACTTAATAATTGAATTTGGGGGCATCAAAGTATTTAAGAGCCAAAGGAATACAATTCTAAGTTGAAACACCAATAATGCCATTGATATCTGTAGTGAAGGAAATAACAAAATCATCTTTTCCCTACTTGTAGGCGCATCCCGACTTCTACAGTCAAATGCAGTAGTCAATTTCTCTACACAAAAGAAAAGGCACTCTCTTCACTATGATAATGCTTACATATAAGACGGTTTTCATTTACAATATTAAATGCATTTTGTTATATCAAAAAAGGAGAGAGATGTGGATAGATTGTAAAGAGAAAGATTTTAACATCACTATTACTGTAAGCTTCAATACATGTTTTTCATCAAATGATGCATGAGTGTAAGATTACATGAGTGTAAATATGTTTGCCTTTTTATCTCTGGGCAGAAAGAAAAGATTCAGTCTCTTTATATATTGAAGTCCAATTTTTCCTAATACGTTGAATATAAATTTGTAATGCAATTTTTTATTTAGACTAATAAAAATAGTGCTTTCCGGGTGTACATATTGTGGTCATTTTGAGTCAATAGATATGTGCATGAGAAACAACTATCATCAAGTGACAGTAGGTCATTTTTAATATTTGTGTTAGAAGAAAGTGTGGCTCACTGAGCTTTTAAACAGGATCATTTCAGTAAGAAAAAGAAGGAACACGGTTAATGAGCTCTACCACTAATCAGAACAAGTAACAATAATTTTATTGTTAAAGCTAAATCAGTGCATCCAGAAAATATCTCTCTGGCATCGTTTTAACATATTATGAGTGGAAAGTCAGATACTGCAAATGCAGATAAGTCATGAAAATAAGTTTTATAATAACGAAGGTATTTATTTACATCAGAAAGTCTGTGTCCAACAACACCATCTCCATTGGCTGAAGAGAAAAAAGCAAAAAAGGAAAAAAAGCAAACTAAAGCTGTTTTCTTTTTAAATTTATATGATAACATGTAACTTGTCTGATAATTTTTTATTTTTTTAAAAATGAAATGTTTGCCCATTATATAGCTTGAATTTCAATGTACTAGATGAAAATATTTTAAAACTGCATTGTTTATAAAAAAATAAATTCAAAGAAAATAAGAATTTTCTGTTGTTCATTCTTCTCATAGAGCTTTGAAAATAACAGAAGAGTTAAGAATAAGCTGAAGACTAAATGGCTTACCTGTAATGAATCCCATAGTGAGGTACAGCTGTACCACGCTGCTACTAAAGGAGGCCAACACCATTCCAAGACAGCATAATAAGCCTCCTGCTATCACCACCGGCCGGCTGCCGTATTTATTCACCAAAACACTACTTACAGGACCTACAGCAGAGAGGAGATAAAGAAATACTCAGTTGCTCTTGTCATTTATTTGTTTATCTTTAACATCCAATCATTTGGAAAGGCAAGAAAGCACATTTTAATGGTCAGAGGAGAAATACTAGTTCACATGAAACATAATGAGAACTTTTCAATACTTCACAAATGATCAGTTTGACAGGTTATTTTCAGTCATATGTATAAAAGCACATGAAATAATAAATTAGAAGTGTTGAACATATATTTCGTTGTAACCATAATCATTCAAATCTTGATGGAAAAGTTTTTCAATAGAACATACCTAAAATATCCAAAACATCTTAAAAGATGCAAGTAAATTTATGTAACAAAAAAATCTAGGAATTACATAAATGACTTGTCTGTTAAAATTTTATTTTCTAGAATAATGTGTCTGTATTCACATACATATGCCATTAATTAGAGCTGAAATTGTTTTTTAAAATTATCTTCAACAGTGATTTTTCTTTAATACTATAATTTATTGATTCTAAGACACCTATTGTTTTCACATCCTATCATATTAGCATAAAGGATGTCTTACACCTAATGACTTTTTCCAATATAGGTTCATCAAGAGGCAGTCATAGGTAGTAATGTTGTTATCATGGACTATGCATGTCTGAATTTGGTTATTATTTCCTGTGGCTTGATTGGACAATGCTTAATCACATTTCAGTAGAACCTTTTAAGGAGCATTTGAAAAATGAATATAAATATAAATCCTGATTTTTGACAGGAAAATCTTCTGTTGACACGTTCTAGTAAGGTGGAGTAAATAGCAACATCAAAACTTAAAGATTGGGTGTAGCTCTTTAGATGAAATCACTGGAAAAATGGTGGATCTCTCTGTTAAAATATATTGCACACTGACAGAATAAGCTTAGGTGTGAGATGTGAATGTTGAAAACTCAGACTCCAAAGTAATTTAGAAGAGTCCGGTAGTGAAAGGGAAGAAGGTTTAGGAATGCCTTACCAATTTTTTAATGTATATTTTCCAATGTATGTCTGTGTGTGTATATACATAAAATATTCACAAGTGATTAAAATTATTAAAATAATCTGCATTTAAGTCTAAAAAAGTTCTTTTAGTAGTTATAAAAATTCTAAATGTTAAGAAACTGTGTTTTACTTCAGTGACAGCATTATTTTCTTTCTTGGTGTACTATAAAATAACAGTGTAACTTAACAATTGAGACTATCTTAGACTTGATTAAATTCCATAGTACTTTATGGGACTTGTCAATGTATAAATGGCTTGCTTTCATATTTCATTCTTAAATTAAAATTGTATTTCATCTGAAACTAGGGACACTATTTGGAGGAAATAAATACTAGGTTAGGTCAGAATTTTCAATCCAATATTTGGCCTAAAAAACATAATTTTTCAGCTAATACTATGGTATTAAGAATTTCCAAGTGTATTGTATTTGAGAATTTTTACATGGATCATATATAAAACACATTGAGATTCACTTATCAATGCACTCATATCCTTTTATACAAATATAATTATTATTTTTATTCTGCAAAAAAATTTAAAATTAAACTTCAGTGCCTAATACTATTAACTCCACAATATCTTTTGAAAGAATATTGGTAATAACACAATTTCAGAAAGAGATAACTCAAACACAGAATACAAAAGTTTGCATTTATAATAGCAAGCAACATAAAACTTTAAAAAGGCCACATGAAAGAATGCTCTATAAAAACAACAGGGTTTGGAGGGAAGAACTAAAAGAAAATTGTACAAGTTGTATAAAAAGAATATAATTCTGTCCCTAACATGGTAAAGTTCACCTGAAGAGCTGAAGAAAATAAATTATACACGTAGAGAATATATATAACACATATTATATAAGACATACCTCAGAGACACTGCAGGTGAGGTTCCAGAGAACCTTGATAAAGTGAATATTGCAATAAAGTGAGTCACAAATTTTTTGGTTTCTCAGTGCATATAAAAGTTACGTTTACACTTTACACACTATATTAAGTGTGCATTGAATTATATCTAAAAAGTGTGCATAACAATTAAAAATATTTTATTGCTAAAAAATGTTAATGATCATCTCAGCCTTCAGTGATTTTCAGTCTTTTTGCTGGTGGAGGGTCCTGTTTTGATGTTGATGGCTGCTGACTGATCAGGGTTGGCAGTTGCTAAAGGCTGGGGTAGCTATGGCAATCTTTTGTTGTTGTTGTTGAGACAGAGTCTTGCTCTGTCACCCAGGCTGGAGTGCAGTGGATCGATCATAGCTCACTGAAGCCTTGACCCCCTAGACTCGAGATCCTCCCAACTAAGTCTCCCTAGTAGCTGGGACCACAGGTGTGTGCCACCATGCCTGGCTATTCTTTTTAATTTTTTTCATAGAGACGGGGCCTTGCTATGTTGCCCAGGCTGGTCTTGAATTCCTGGGCTCAAGTGATACTACCACCTCAGCCTCCCTAAATGCTGGGATTATAAGTGTGAGCCATTGCACCTGGCTGGCAATTGCTTAAAATAAGACAAACAAGTTTGTTGCATCAGTTGATTCTTCCTTTCATGCTAGATTTCTTTGTAGCATGCGATGTCATTTGACAGCATTTTACCCACAGTAGAACTTCTTTCTAAACTGGAGTCAATTCTCTCAAACCTTTCCACTGCTTTATCAACTAAGTTTATGTACTATTCTAAACTTTTGTAGTTATATCAACAATATATACAGCATTTTCATCAGAAGTAAATTATATTTCAAGAAACCACTTTCTTGGCTCATCCATAAGAAGCAACTCTCCTTGATTCAAGTTTTATAAGATTGCAGCAATCTAGTCACACCTTCAGGCTCCACTTCTAATTCTAGTTCTCTTGCTATTTCTACCACATCTGCAGTTACTTACTTCACTGAAGTCCTGAGCCTCTTAAAGTCACCCATGAGGATTGAAATAAACTTCTTCCAAACTTCTGTTAATGTTGGTATTTTGACCTCCTCCCATAACAGTGAATGATCGTGATGTTATCTAGAATAGCAAATCCTTTCCAGAAGATTTTCCATCTCCTTTTCCCAGATTCATCAGAGGAGTCATTATGTACGGCAGCTGTAAGCTTACAAAATGTATTTAAATTTTTTTATTATGCTTTAAGTTCTAGGGTACATGTGCACAACGTGCAGGTTTGTTACATATGTATACATGGGCCATGTTGGTGTGCTGCATCCATTAACTCCTCATTTACATTAGGTATATCTCCTAATGCTATCCCTCCCCCTTCCCCCCACCCCACGACAGGCCCCAGTGTGTGATGTTCCCCTTCCTGTGTCCAAGTGTTCTCATTGTTCAATTCCCACCTATGAGTGAGAACATGCGGTGATTGGTTTTTTGTCCTTGCGATAGTTTGCTGAAATTGAAACTTGAAATGACTCCTTGATCCATGAGCTGCAGAATGAATGTTGTATTAGCAGGCATGAAAACAATATTAACCTCCTTGTACATCTCTATCAGAGCTCCTGGGTGACCCAGGTGCATTGTCAATAAGCAGTAATATTTTGAAAGGAACTTTTTTTCTTAGCAGCAGGTCTCAACAGTGGGCTTAAAATATTCAGCAAACTACGCTGTAAACAAATGTACTATTATACAGACTTTGCTATTCCATTTATAAAACACAGGCAGAACAGATTTGGCATAATTATTAAGGGCCACAGATTTTGCAGAATAGTAAATGAGCTTTGCTTCAACTTAAAGTCACCAGCTTCATTGGGCCCTAACAAGAGAGTCAGCTTGTCCTTTGAAGCTTTGAAGACAAGCATTGGCTTCTGCTATCTACCAATGAAAGTCCTAGATAGCATCTACTTCCAATAGAAGGCTATTTCATCAACACTGACAATCTGTTGTTCAGTGTAGTCACCTTTATCAATGATCTTAGCTAGATCTTCAGGATAACTTGCTGCAGTTTCTAATCAGCATTTCTTGCTTCACCTTTCACTTTTATGTTAGCAAGATGGCTTCTTTCCTTAAACCTCATGAATCAACATTTACTAGCTTCTAGTTTATTTGCATACTAGAAGCTAGTAAATGTTGATTCATGACGTTTAAGGAAAGAAGCAATCTCGCTAATAAACTAGAAAATCTAGAAGAAATGGATAAATTCCGCAACACATACACCCTCGCAAGACTAAACCAGGAAGAAGTTGAATCTCTGAATAGATCAATAACAGGCTCTGAATTTGAGGCAATAATTAATAGCTTACCAACCAAAAAAAGCCCAGGACCAGATGGATTCACAGCTGAATTCTACCAGAGGTACAAGGAGGAACTGGTACCATTCCTTCTGAAGCTATTCCAATCAATAGAAAAAGAGGGAATCCTCCCTAACTCATTTTATGAGGCCAGCATCATCCTGATACCAAAGCCTGGCAGAGACACAACCAAAAAAGAGAATTTTAGACCAATATCCTTGATGAACATCGATGCAAAAATCCTCAATAAAATACTGGCAAAACGAATCCAGCAGCACATCAAAAAGCTTATCCACCATGATCAAGTGGGCTTCATGCCTGGGATGCAAGGCTGGTTCAACATACAAAAACCAATAAACGTAATCCAGCATATAAACAGAACCAAAGACAAAAACCACATGATTATCTCAATAGATGCAGAAAAGGCCTTTGACAAAATTCAACAATCCTTCATGCTAAAATCTCTCAATAAATTAGGTATTGATGGGACATATCTCAAAATAATAAGAGCTATCTATGACAAACCCACAGCCAATATCATACTGAATGGGCAAAAACTGGAAGCATTCCCTTTAAAAACTGGCACAAGACAGGGATGCCCTCTCTCACCACTCCTATTCAACATAGTGTTGGAAGTTCTGGCCAGGGCAATCAGGCAGGAGAAGGAAATAAACGGCATTCAATTAGGAAAAGAGGAAGTCAAATTGTCCCTGTTTGCAGATGACATGATTGTATATCTAGAAAACCCCAATGTCTCAGCCCAAAATCTCCTTAAGCTGATAAGCAACTTCAGCAAAGTCTCAGGATACAAAATCAATGTGCAAAAATCACAAGCATTCCTATACACCAATAACAAACAGAGAGCTAAATCATGAGTGAACTTCCATTCACAATTGCTTCAAAGAGAATTAAAATACCTAGGAATCCAACTTACAAGGGATGAGAAGGACCTCTTCAAGGAGAACTACAAACCACTGCTCAAGGAAATAAAAGAGGATACAAACAAATGGAAGAACATTCCATGCTCACGGGTAGGAAGAATCAATATCATGAAAATGGCCATACTGCCCAAGGTAATTTATAGATTCAATGCCATCCCCATCAAGCTACCAATTACTTTCTTCACAGAATTGGAAAAAACTACTTTAAAGTTCATATGGAACGAAAAAAGAGCCCGCATTGCCAAGTCAATCTTAAGTCAAAAGAACACAGCTGGAGGCATCACGCTACCTGACTTCAAACTATACTACAAGGCTACAGTCACCAAAACGGCATGATACTGGTACCAAAACAGAGATATAGACCAACGGAACAGAACAGAGCCCTCAGAAATAATGCCACATATCTACAACTATCTGATCTTTGACAAAACTGACAAAATCAAGAAATGGGGAAAGGATTCCCTATTTAATAAATGGTGCTGGGAAAACTGGCTAGCCATATGTAGAAAGCTGAAACTGGATCCCTTCCTTACATCTTATACAAAAATTAATTCAAGATATATTAAAGACTTACATGTTAGACCTAAAACCATAAAAACCCTAGAAGAAAACCTAGGCATTACCATTCAGGACATAGGCATGGGCAAGGACTTCATGTGTAAAACACCAAAAGCAACGGCAACAAAAGCCAAAATTGACAAATGAGATCTAATTAAACTAAAGAGCTTCTGCACAGCAAAACAAACTACCATCAGAGTGAACAGGCAACCTACAGAATGGGAGAAAATTTTTGCAACCTACTCATCTGACAAAGGGCTAATATCCAGAATCTACAATGAACTCAAACAAATTTACAAGAAAAAAACAAACAACCCCATCAAAAAGTGGGCGAAGGATATGAATAGACACTTCTCAAAAGAAGACATTTATGCAGCCAAAAAACACATGAAAAAATGCTCTTCATCACTGGCCATCAGAGAAATGCAAATCAAAACCACAATGAGATACCATCTCACACCAGTTAGAATGGCTATCATTAAAAGTCAGGAAACAACAGGTGCTGGAGAGGATGTGGAGAAACAGAAACACTTTCACACTGTTGGTGGGACTGTAAACTAGTTCAACCATTGTGGAAGACAGTGTGGCGATTCCTCAGGGATCTAGAACTAGAAATACCATTTGACCCAGCAATCCCATTACTGGGTATATACCCAAAGGATTATAAATCATGCTGCTATAAAGACACATGCACACGTATGTTTATTGCGGCACTATTCACAATAGCAAAGACTTGGAACCAACCCAAATGTCCAACAATGATAGACTGGATTAAGAAAATATGGCACATATACACCATGGAATATTATACAGCCACAGAAAATGATGAGTTCATGTCTTTTGTAGGGACATGGATGAAGCTGGAAACCATCGTTCTCAGCAAACTATCGCAAGGACAAAAAACCAAACACCACGTGTTCTCACTCACAGGTGGGAATTGAACAATGAGAACACATGGACACAGGAAGGGGAACATCACACACCGGGGACTGTTGTGGTGGAGGGGGAGGGGGGAGGGATAGCATTAGGAGATATACCTAATGCTAAATGACGAGTTAATGGGCGCAGCACACCAACATGGCACATGTATACATATGTAACAAACCTGCACGTTGTGCACATGTACTCTAAAACTTAAAGTATAATAATAATAAAAAACAAAAACAAAAAAATGTACTAGCTTCAAACTTCTCTTCTGCAGATTCCTTACCTTCAGTAGAATTGAAGACAGTTAGGGCCCTGCTCTGGATTAGGCTCTGGCTTAGGGAATGTTGTGGGTGGTTTGATCTTGTATCCAAACTTCTAAAACTTTCTTCACTTTTCCTTTGCATTCACAACTTGGCTAACCTTAGTGCTAGACACCTAGCTTTCAGCCTGTGCTTTCAGCACCTTTCTCATTAAGGTGAATCATTTCTAGCTTTTGATTTCAAATGAGAGACTTGCAACTCTTCCTTTCACTTGAACACTTAGAAGCCACTGTAGGTTTATTAAGTGGCCTAATTTCAATACTGTTGTATCTCAGACAGTAGAGAGGCCCTAGGAGAGGGGGAGAGATAGCAGAACAGCTGGTCTATGGAGTAGTGATAATGCACACAACATTAAACTTACCCTCTTATATGGGCACAGTTCATGGCACCCAAAAACAATTATAATAGCAACATCAAAGATAACCATAACAGATATAATAACAATAAGAGTTTGAAATACTGTGAGAATTACCAAAATGTGACACAAGACACAAAGTCAGCACATGCTGTCATGAAAAATGGTGCCAACAGAGTTTCTGAAGGCAGGGTTGCCACAAACCTTCAATTTGTAATTAATGCAGTATTTGCAAAGTGCAATAAAGTGAAATGCAATAAGTAGAAGTATACCTGTATTTTAATTTTTTGATTTTTTGCCTCTAAATGATAAAAAGGCAGTATAGTTATTTTCATTTTTTAAGTTTTGGTAAATGTTTTTGAGACACTTCTCAGAAATGCTAAGTTTATTGACTAGAAATAATCTTTTTGTTAATCAGATGGTTTCCAATTTTCTGCTCTTCACAATATTGAGGGAAGATTCAAGTGAATTGTCAGTCCACAGATCATTACAAATAATTTTTGATAATAAATCATTATGTGATTTTTGGCAAGTTCAAATAATTGACTAATACTGAAAATAAAATACTTTCCACTGTCATCTACTTTATTATGTGAACAAGTTACTCAGCACGTACCTCAATTAAAAACCAAGAAAAACCAAGAAAGAAATATAATTGAGACAAAAACCTGTATCTGCTTAACTAGCACTAAAAATTATTCATCTATAGATATACAGGATGCCTATTGATTTCATTAAAAGGGACATTTCTAGTCAATGTTTACATTTTATTCAGTAATTATCTTATTTTGATTGAATCTGCTATAAAAGTATAATAGAATATTTTAACCATGTAGTCTTATGATCCCAGAAAATTTTTAAAAATTAGATGTATGTGCAATGTTTTTGCAAATAAAAATAAAATGAATTAAAAATACTTAAACCCATGAAAATAATTTGCAGAGATGTAACAAAAATATAAGTTCAAATGTAGATTGAATACAGAATTTATCATTTTTCTGTCCCATGATCATTCATTCATTTATTTTTAAATGATTGATACTGAGCATCAGATTTTTTTTTTTTTGAGAAAGATGTGGTCTCATTATGCTGACCAGCTTCAAGTACAGTGGCTGTTCCTAGGCACTATTATAGTACACTGCAGCCTCAAACTCTGAGCCTCAAGTGATCCTCCCACCTCAGCCTCCCAAGCAGCTAGGCCTACAGTCATGCTGTACTTAACCAGACTAATTTTGATATTGAGATTCCATTGTTGTTTTAGAAAGAAGTTACTGTTTCTGTTCTTATGCAAAAATTTGTAGTAGAAAGAAAATTCAAAAGAAATTTTTAGACCTTTTTTAGTTCTGGGAATGATTGTTTTACATTGAATATGTCCCTTACGGACAATTTGCAGTCAGTGGATAATTTTAGAGATATAAATAAATAATACACAAGCAACAGCACAGCTTTTCAGAATTTTATAAGACCTTTCATTCAATTCACAATGTGTCATAACTATATAAATAGTATAATAATAGAAACGTACTTATGAATTTATCGTAACACATTCCATTTCGATATTCAAGCTAGAATGAAACAATTCAATAAGAAAGCTTTTCATGAAGAGTTTCAAGAGAGTGTATAAAAAGAAAGGCTCCATATTCATCCCATTGCATTCTGGCTTATGACACGAAAATTGTAAAAAATTTCTCAAATAGCAGGTGAAAAACAGAACAACTTAGACTCCAGAAACAGAGAAAATTCACATGACACAGTAGAATGACAAAGACCCTCTCCATTTGTTCTCCTTGAGTCAGATTACATTACAGAACAATTCAGCCAGAGCTTAAGTATACCACTCATTGTATATCGTGGTAGCCTGATGAGGGCCCAAAGAAAGATGGAATCCCCTTAATACAGTTGGCATAATGAGTAAAATCATATATAACATTGCATAAACACCATGTGCTACTGATTTCTCCCATAAAATGACCATGTTTAGGACTTCTCTTTTAGTAAATATTGTAATGATGCCCAGATACCATGAAAATGCTCTGAATTTCTGTTTAAAGCCTTGAAACCAAGGGAACAAATAGATAAATATGTGAAAACAAATGAGTAGCCCTGCCAAGAGCTTCCTTGGGCATTTTGGCATTGTCACTTCCAAGGAATTATGCCTGGGCCTCAGCCATTTACTCCTGTTTCTTGACAAGAATGTGTGTAGTTCACATGAAATAGCTACTGTTTAAGTTGATGTTCATTGATTTACACATGTACTCATGGTACATATTTTTAGAGAGCAATCTATGCTACAAATAAAACTATATACTACAATTTGGTATCATTGTGATTAGTTAGAAAGAAAAATTAAATAAAATTTATATGAGCCAAACAAGGCAATGGTAATAAAAGAGTTGAACAAATAGATTCAGATGTAAACAATAGTCTATGGTAAATCACTGTTTTCTGTACTCTTTGTATAACAAATTACTAGAGAGTCATATAAATGCATTGAGATTTTATATGTGCCATTACCAATAATAAAGCATTTATGTAACTTAAGTAGTACATTTACCAATCCAAATACTGGAAAAGTTAGAAACCTAACCATCAGACTTTAAGAGAATATAAATGCTTCTAAAACAGAAGATGAAAAAAGAAATCTAAATCTTATCAACCAAGTATTTAACAATACAGTTTCATGTACCTAGGCATGATCCTGATTGAGTAAAGCTGCACTGAATCCTCAAGGATGTGAAGATCAAAAAGCTTTCAAATATTCTACCTGTAAACACAAGTACATTTTGCAGTAACTTCTTCAATTAAATATCATATTGTCAAGACGTGATTTTTTAAATATTTAAAGTATTTGAAGACTAGTTGTTTAAAAAATACACGTGGTTTAATATTTAACAGAAGAATCCATGCACAATGTTACGATATATTTCACTAACAACAATGAAACGATTAACCAATCTGCTCCTTGCTTCATGTCTTTTTATTTCAGTAGTCCCCCTTACCCAAGGTTTCACTTTCAGCGTTTCAGTTACCTGTGGTCAACAAAGGTCCAAAAATATTAAATGGAAAATTCCAGAAATAAATAATTCATAAGTTTTAAATTGTGCACTGTTCTGAGTAGCATGATAAAATCTCGTGTTGTCCTGCTTCAACCTGCTTGGGATGTGAATCCTTCCTTTGCCCTGTGTATTCACGCTGTATAGATTACCTGCCCATTAGTTACTTAGCAGCCCTCTTAGTTATCAGGTTAACAGATTGCAAGAAGAAAAAAGGCAAGTATAGTACAGTAAGATCTTTTGAGAATAAGAAACCACATTCACGTAACTTTTACTAAAGTATATTATTGTTCTTTTTTATGAATTGTTGTTAATCTCTTCTTGTGCCTATTTTAAGGGCATATAGTGTTGAGTATTATCTGTGATTTCAGGTCATCACTGAGGGTCTTAGAACATATCTCCCACAGATAAGGAGAGATTACTGAATATGCGATTGTGAGTTTACTATGAAATGCAGCTTAATCTCCAGAGCCCTGCACTTTTATAGGTCACTTCCAAGGACCTGGGAGGACCTAGAGATGTGTTCACATGGTCATAAGCTTAATAAAATTTGAAAGGTAAGACAACATTCATATTTTTCTTTCTCAAACAGTTTTTCCCAAATGGTATAATTTTTAGAGGGAATAAAATCTAGATTTATTCCTGGAAATGCCAATGCTTTTTGTCTGCACTCTACATAAAAGTCTCAAGTTTAGATTTATTTTAGTTTCACAAGGCCGAGTTTGAATTGTTTTGTTCTTGTAATAACGGGTATAGTTTCTGTGTATTTCTCAGACACTAAGATCTATGATAGATTTTTAAATTAATGTGATCCATAAAACTGGGAAAATTCCAGGGTGTTCACAAGAAACATATTTATTTTCTCTATGGCCATGAAGATCAGAGGCCATCTATTTTTGATCTACACATAAATCTCATTAGAAAAACATAATTGCTAGGTTTAAAATGTCATGCTAATATTAGTTAATTGTGCAATTTAAGGAAGAAAAAAGATTGTTTATAGGAACTGACCAAAAATAATTCCACAGAAAAGATAGCCTTTAATATTGCATAAGTTATCCTAAACACACCACTGCATTGTTCTATATCTCAGAGGCAGAGCATCAGAGCATTCTGAAATAAAATATTTTCCCCTGAATTTATCTCAAATACAGCCTACAAATATTTTATAAAATATTTACTATTGTGCCTTAATAACATAAATCACAAGAAAGATGTCTATTTACATTCATTAATAAGACTGTTACTTTTCTTGAAATATAAATATTGTTTTTCATAGTTCAGTAATCTGTAAAGAAACATTGGGACGTAAATAAAAAACTGTATTCTAAAGGCAAATGATAAAATTAAAAGTATCTGGCAAATAACCGACAAAATAAGAACTTCAAGGATATAATTTACCATGTTTCTTTGCATCCCTAACTATTGTCAAGAGGTTTTAAGAAAAATGCCCATAAATATGAAGTAAATCTTATTCAGTGAACAAGAAAATGGGGTCCTATTTTAATGACCCTCGAATGTTTCCAATGGTATATAAAGAACAGACTTTAACAGACAGATAAAAGTGCAGCTATGTAGATAGGCACATAGAAAGATGGATTGATTTTAACTCAACTACTATGCTAGATACTTCTTCACACTCTACCCTAAATACTATAAAATATATGCTTACTTTCATAATTCTGAAGGATAAAAGTTCCAAGTTACATGGTTATTATTAAAATACTCAGTAGTCATCAGATTAGATTAGTATATGTAGTAGTAGATTAATAATATATGTCCAGTTTCAGAATGTACATGTCTTTCCTTAAATAGAAAAAAAAGTCCATACAGAAGACTCATAAAAAAGACTAATGATTGACCCAAAATATTTTCCATATCAAATTATGTAATACAGCTGACAGCCCTTAAAAATGGCAACAAGACTTGGAGATGAAACAATACATACACGCATTAAAATAATGTTATCCTAAAGCTATCTGACAAATGAAAATGAATTTGTCATAAATTGATGCCCAAGAACCAGTTCACTGTGAATTACAGACTTATCTTAAAACAAAGTGGCACAGAGATGTGCATGTGGTACTGTAGCAACAATAAATAATTATCATAGTTAAGAAATTTGTTAAATTTATAGAAATGCCAATCATATGAGACAGTGGTTTACACATTCTTCTCAAATACATATTATGTACATATAAACTGGTAATCATTATGATTCCATTCACATTCTGCTGGGTCTATCTCTTTTTTTGTTTCTCCCTGCTTTATTTTTTTACATCAATATTATCATTTTATTCTATTTGTGTTATGAATTATTATGATTGAATAAATACCCTATAATAATTATGCTATCTGTTGTAGAGATTCTACTCCCCTTTTTGAGGATACCTCATGCTAGTTTCATTAAAAACAAAGTTTTAACATTTAAATGTAAATTGTTCCCATCTTCCTTTGTAGAGGAAGTAGCATATGAGAAAATACAGTATCTGCTGGAAAATATAGAATATCCTTTAATAAATTAAAATCTAATAATTATTCCTAAGTTTTCTAAAATCTTTCTGAAAAATTTATTTTACTGTGGTAAGAACACTTAACATGAGATCTAGTCTCAACAAATTTTTAAGTGTACAGTAAAGCATGGTATAGTTTTTTTCTAATTTTTTTTTGTTAATTGACAAATAAAAATTACATACAATTGACCCTTGAACAACACACTCTGTGTATGCAGTTTTGAATGCATGGAGGATTGGTCCCCCTAACCCTTGTGTTGGACCCTGTGTTGTTCAAGGGTGAATTGTATGTAATACTTATTTGTCAATTAACAAAAAATAACTAATAGCTAAAATGGCTAAAAAACTAATAGCCTTCTGCTGACTCTGGAAGCTTTACTGATAACATAAATAATAGATTAACGCACATTTTGTATATGTATTATATACTGTCTTCTTATAACTGAAGCTAGCAAAAAGAAAATGCAATTAAGAAAATCATAAGGAAGAGAAAGTATATTTACTATTAATGGAGTGGAAGTGGGCTATCAAAAAGGTCTTAATCCTCATTATCTTCACGTTAAGTAGGCTGAGGAGGAGGAGGAAGAGGAGAAGTTGGTCTGGCTGACTCAGGGGTGCCAGAGATGGAAGAGGTGGAGGAGGTGGAAGGGGAGGCAGGAGAGGCAGGAGAGGCAGGCACACGGTGTAACTTTGTGAAAATACACAGAAATTTCTGTCTGACATTTTTGCACTTTCATTTCTCTAAAAATGTTTCTATAGAGGACTAATCTTCTTCCACCATTTTGCTTTAGTTCCAGTGCCTGTATCATAGAAGAGTGCAAGTCATGAAAAAAATCAAAAGCAGTCTTGAATAATTAGAACCCTCTGTCAGATTATCTAATGTCAATTTGTTTTCTGGAACTACTTTGTCTTCTTTTTTTATTATTATTAAAGTTCTGGGATACATGTGCAGAATGTGCAGGTTTGTTACATAGGTATACACGTGCCATGGTGGTTTGCTGCACCCATCAACCCGTCACCTACATTAGGTATTTCTTCTTTTTTTATTTTATTTTATTTTATTATTATTATACTTTAAGTTTTGGGGTACATGTGCACAATGTGCAGGTTAGTTACATATGTATACATGTGCCATGCTGGTGTGCTGCACCCATTAACTCGTCATTTAGAATTAGGTATATCTCCTAAAGCTATCCCTCCCCCCTCCCCCCACCCCACAACAGTCCCCAGAGTGTGATGTTCCCCTTCCTGTGTCCATGTGTTCTCATTGTTCAATTCCCACCTATGAGTGAGAATATGCGGTGTTTGGTTTTTTGTTCTTGAGATAGTTTACTGAGAATGATGATTTCCAATTTCATCCATGTCCCTACAAAGGACATGAACTCATCATTTTTTATGGCTGCATAGTATTCTATGGTGTATATGTGCCACATTTTCTGAATCCAGTCTATCATTGTTGGACATTTCGGTTGGTTCCAAGTCTTTGCTATTGTGAATAGTGCCGCAATAAATATACGTGTGCATGTGTCTTTATAGCAGCATGATTTATAGTCCTTTGGGTATATACCCAGTAATGGGATGGCTGGGTCAAATGGTATTTCTAGTTCTAGATCCCTGAGGAATCGCCACACTGTCTTCCACAATGGTTGAACTAGTTTACAGTCCCACCAACAGTGTAGAAGTGTTTCTATTTCTCCACATCCTCTCCAGCACCTGTTGTTTCCTGACTTTTAATGATAGCCATTCTAACTGGTGTGAGATGGTATCTCATTGTGGTTTTGATTTGCATTTCTCTGATGACCAGTGATGGTGAGCATTTTTACATGTGTTTTTTGGCTGCATAAATGTCTTCTTTTGAGAAGTGTCTGTTCATGTCCTTCGTCCACTTTTTGATGGGGTTGTTTGTTTTTCTCTTGTATATTTGTTTGAGTTCATTGTAGATTCTGGATATTAGCCCTTTGTCAGATGAGTAGGTTGGGAAAATTTTCTCCCATTTTGTAGGTTGCCTGTTCACTCTGATGGTAGTTTGTTTTGCTCTGCAGAAGCTCTTTAGTTTAATTAGATCTCATTTGTCAATTTTGGCTTTTGTTGCCATTGCTTTGGTGTTTTAGACATGAAGTCCTTGCCCATGACTATGTCCTGAATGGTAATGCCTAGATTTTCTTCTAGGCTTTTTATGGTTTTAGGTCTAACGTTTAAGACTTTAATCCATCTTGAATTAATTTTTGTATAAGGTGTAAGGAAGGGATCCAGTTTCAGCTTTCTCCATATGGCTAGCCAGTTTTCCCAGCACCGTTTATTAAATAGGGAATCCTTTCCCCATTGCTTGTTTTTGTCAGGTTTGTCCAAGATCAGATAGTTGTAGATATGCAGCGTTATTTCTGAGGGCTCTGTTCTGCTCCATTGATCTATATCTCTGTTTTGGTACCAGTACCATGCTGTTTTGGTGACTGTAGCCTTGTAGTATAGTTTGAAGTCAGGTAGCGTGATGCCTCCAGCTTTGTTCTTTTGGCTTAGGATTGACTTGGCGATGAGGGCTCCTTTTTGGTTCCATATGAACTTGAAAGTAGCTTTTTCCAATTCTGTGAAGAAAGTAATTGGTAGCTTGATGGGGATGGCATTGAAACTAGAAATTACCTTGGGCAGTATGGCCATTTTCATGATACTGATTCTTCCTACCCATGAGCATGGAATGTTCTTCCATTTCTTTGTATCCTCTTTTATTTCATTGAGCAGTGGTTTGTAGTTCTCCTTGAAGAGGTCCTTCTCATCCCTTGTAAGGTGGATTCCTAGGTATTTTATTCCTCTTTGAAGCAATTGTGAAAGGGAGTTCACTCATGATTTGGCTCTCTGTTTGTCTGTTATTGGTATATAAGAATGCTTGTGATTTTTGTACATTAATTTTCTATCCTGAGACTTTGCTGAAGTTGCTTATCAGCTTAAGGAGATTTTGGGCTGAGACAATGGGGTTTTCTAGGTATACAATCATGTCATTTGCAAACAGGGACAATTTAACTTCCTCTTTTCCTAATTGAATACCCTTTATTTCCTTCCCCTGCCTAATTGCCCTGGCCAGAACTTCCAACACTATGTTGAATAGGAGTGGTGAGAGAGGGCATCCCTGTCTTGTGCCAGTTTTCAAAGGGAATGCTTCCAGTTTTTGCCCATTCAGTATGATATTGGCTGTGGGTTTGTCATAGATAGCTCTTATTTTGAGATATGTCCCATCAATACCTAATTTATTGAGAGTTTTTAGCATGAAGTGTTGTTGAATTTTGTCAAAGGCCTTTTCTACATCTATTGAGATAATCATGTGTTTTTTGTCTTTGGTTCTGTTTATATGCTGGATTACATTTATTGGTTTGCGTATATTGAACCAGCCTTGCATCCCAGGGATGAAGCCCACTTGATCATGGTGGATAAACTTTTTGATGTGCTGGTGGATTCGTTTTGCCAGTATTTTATTGAGGATTTTTGCATCAATGTTCATCAAGGATATTGGTCTAAAATTCTCTTTTTTGGTTGTGTCTCTGCCCAGCTTTGGTATCAGGATGATGCTGGCCTCATAAAATGAGTTAGGGAGGATTCCCTCTTTTTGTATTGATTGGAATACTTTCAGAAGGAATGGTACCAGTTCCTCCTTGTACCTCTGGTAGAATTCGGCTGTGAATCCATCTGGTCCTGGACTCTTTTTGGTTGGTAAGCTATTGATTATTGCCACAATTTCAGAGCCTGTTATTGGTCTATTCAGAGACTCAACTTCTTCCTGGTTTAGTCTTGGGAGGGTGTACGTGTCGAGGAATTTATCCATTTCTTCTAGATTTTCTAGTTTATTTGCGTAGAGGTGTTTGTAGTATTCTCTGATGGTAGTTTGTATTTCTGTGGGATTGGTGGTGATATCCCCTTTATCATTTTTTATTGCGTCTATTTGATTCTTCTCTCTTTTCTTCTTTATTAGTCTTGCTAGCAGTCTATCAATTTTGTTGATCCTTTCAAAAAACCGGCTCCTGGATTCATTAATTTTTTGAAGGGTTTTTTTGGTCTCTATTTCCTTCAGTTCTGCTCTGATTTTAGTTATTTCTTGCCTTCTCCTAGCTTTTGAATGTATTTGCTCTTGCTTTTCTAGTTCTTTTAATTGATATGTTAGGGTGTCAATTTTTGATCTTTCCTGCTTTCTCTTGTGGGCATTTAGTGCTATAAATTTCCCTCTACACACTGCTTTGAATGTGTCCCAGAGATTCTGGTATGTTGCGTCTTTGTTCTCATTGGTTTCAAAGGACATCTTTATTTCTGCCTTCATTTCGTTATGTGCCCAGTAGTCATTCAGGAGCAGGTTGTTCAGTTTCCATGTAGTTGAGTGGTTTTGAGTGAGTTTCTTAATCCTGAGTTCTAGTTTGATTGCACTGTGTTCTGAGAGACAGGTTGTTATAATTTCTGATCTTTTACATTTGCTGAGGAGAGCTTTACTTCCAAGTATGTGGTCAATTTTGGAATAGGTGTGGTGTGGTGCTGAAAAAAATGTATATTCTGTTGATTTGGGGTGGAGAGTTCTGCAGATGTCTATCAGGTCTGCTTGTTGCAGAGCTGAGTTCAATTCCTGGGTATCCTTGTTAACTTTCTGTCTCGTTGATCTGTCTAATGTTGACAGTGGGGTGTTAAAGTCTCCCATTATTAATGTGTGGGAGTCTAAGTCTCTTTGTATGTCACTCAGGACTTGCTTTATGAATCTGGGTGCTCCTGTATTGGGTGCATATATATTTAGGATAGTTAGCTCTTCTTGTTGAATTGATCCCTTTACCATTATGTAATGGTCTTCTTTGTCTCTTTTGATCTTTGTTGGTTTAAAGTCTGTTTTATCAGAGTCTAGGAATGCAACCCCTGCCTTTTTTTGTTTTCCATTGGCTTGGTAGATCTTCTTCCATCCTTTTATTTTGAGCCTATGTGTGTCTCTGCACATGAAATGGGTTTCCTGAATACAGCACACTGATGGGTCTTGACTCTTTATCCAATTTGCCAGTCTGTGTCTTTTAATTGGAGCATTTAGTCCATTTACATTTAAAGTTAATACTGTTATGTGTGAATTTGATCCTGTCATTATGATGTTAGCTGGTTATTTTGCTCGTTAGTTGATGCAGTTTCTTCCTAGCCTCGATGGACTTTACAATTTGGCATGATTTTGCAGTGGCTGGTACTGGTTGTTCCTTTCCAGGTTTAGTGCTTCCTTCAGGAGGTCTTTTAGGGCAGGCCTTGTGGTGACAAAATCTCTCAGCATTTGCTTGTCTGTAGAGTATTTTATTTCTCTTTCACTTATGAAGCTCAGTTTGGCTGGATATGAAATTCTGGGTTGAAAATTCTTTTCTTTAAGAATGTTGAATATTGGCCTCCACTCTCTTCTGGCTTGTAGAGTTTCTGCCGAGAGATCCGCTGTTAGTCTGATGGGCTTCCCTTTGTGGGTAACCCGATCTTTCTCTCTGGCTGCCCTTAACATTTTTTCCTTCATTTCAACTTTGGTGAATCTGACAATTATGTGTCTTGGAGTTGCTCTTCTCGAGGAATATCTTTGTGGCGTTCTCTGTATTTCCTGAACCTGAATGTTGGCCTGCCTTGCTAGATTGGGGAAGTTCTCCTGGATAATATCCTGCAGAGTGTTTTCCAACTTGGTTCCATTCTCTCTGTCACTTTCAGGTACACCAATGAGACATAGATTTGGTCTTTTCACATAGTCCCATATTTCTTGGAGGCTTTGCTCCTTTCTTTTTATTCTTTTTTCTCTAAACTTCCCTTCTTGCTTCATTTCATTCATTTCATCTTCCATCACGGATACCCTTTCTTCCAGTTGATCACATCCGCTCCTGAGGTTTCTGCATTTTTCACGTAGTTCTCGAGCCTTGGCTTTCAGCTCCATCAGCTCCTTTAAGCACTTCTCTGTATTGGTTATTCTAGTTATACATTCGTCTAAATTTTTTTCAAAGTTTTCAACTTCTTTGCCTTTGGTTTGAATTTCCTCCTGTAGCTCAGAGTGGTTTGATCGTCTGAATCCTTCTTCTCTCAACTCGTCAAAGTCATTCTCCGTCCAGCTTTGTTCCATTGCTGGTGAGGAGCTGCGTTCCTTTGGAGGAGGAGAGGTGCTCTGCTTTTTAGAGTTTCCAGTTTTTCTGCTGTTTTTTCCCCATCTTTATGGTTTTATCTACTTTTGGTCTTTGATGATGGTGATGTACAGATGGGTTTTTGGTGTGGATGTCCTTTCTGTTTGTTAGTTTTCCTTCTAACAGACAGGACCCTCAGCTGCAGGTCTGTTGGAGTTTGCTAGAGGTCCACTCCAGACCCTGTTTGCCTGGGTACCAGCACTGGTGGCTGCAGATCAGCGGATTTTCGTGAACCGCTAATGCTGCTGTCTGATCGTTCCTCTGGAAGTTTTGTCTAAGAGGAGTACCCGGCCGTGTGAGGTGTCAGTCTGCCCCAACTGCGGGGTGCCTCCCAGTTAGGCTGCTCGGGGGTCAGGGGTCAGGGACCCACTTGAGGAGGCAGTCTGCCCAATCTCAGATCTCCAGCTGCATGCTGGGAGAACCACTGCTCTCTTCAAAGCTGTCAGACAGGGACATTTAAGTCTGCAGAGGTTACTGCTGTCTTTTTTGTTTGTCTGTGCCCTGCTCCCAGAGGTGGAGCCTACAGAGGCAGGCAGGCTTCCTTGAGCTGTGGTGGGCTCCACCCAGTTGGAGCTTCCTGGCTGCTTTGTTTACCTAAGCAAGCCTGGGCAATGGCGGGCGCACCTCCCCCAGCCTCGCTGCCGCCTTGCAGTTTGATCTCAGACTGCCGTGCTAGCAATCAGCAAGGCTCCATGGTCGTAAGACCCTACGAGCCAGGTGCAGGATATAATCTCCTGGTGCACCGTTTTTTAAGCTCATCGGAAAAGCGCAGTATTGGGGTGGGAGTGACCCGATTTTCCAGGTGCCTCTGTCACACCTTTCTTTGACTAGGAAAGGGAACTCCCTGACCCCTTGCGCTTCCCGAGTGAGGCAATGCCTCGCCCTGCTTCGGCTCGCACACGGTGCGCTGCACCCACTGTCCTGAGCCCACTGTCTGGCACTCCCTAGTGAGATGAACCCAGTACCTCAGATGGAAATGCAGAAATCACCCGTCTTCTGCGTCGCTCACGATGGGAGCTGTAGACCGGAGCTGTTCCTATTTGGCTCCAGCAAATCTTGGCTCCAGCGATCCAGGTATTTCTTCTAATGCTGTCCCTCCCCTAGCCCCCCGCCCCCCGACAGGCCTCAGTGTGTGATGTTCCCCTCCCTGTGTCCATGTTTTCTTATTGTTCAACTCCCACTTGTGAGTGAGAACATGTGGTGTTTGGTTTTCTGTTCCTGTGTTAGTTTGCTGAGATTGATGGTTTCCAGCTTCATCCATGTCCCTGCAAAGGACATGAACTCATCCTTTTTTTATGGCTACATAGTATTCCATGGTGTATATGCGCCACATTTTCTTTATCCAGTCTATCATTGATGGGCATTTGGGTTGGTTGCAAGTCTTTGCTATTGTGAACAGTGCTACAGTAAACATACAAGTGCATGTGTCTTTAGAGTAGAATGATTTATAATCCTTTGGGTATATACCCAGTAATGGGATTGCTGGGTCAAATTGTATTTCTAGTTCTAGATCCTTGAGGAATCGCCATACCATCTTCCACAACAGTTGAACTAATTTACACTTCCACCAACAGTGTAAAAGTGTTCCTATTTCTCCACATCCTCTCCAGCATCTGTTGTTTCCTGACTTTTTAATGATCGTCATTCTAACTGGCATGAGATGGTATCTCATTGTGGTTTTGATTTGCATTTCTCTAATGACCAGTGATAATGAGCTTTTTTTCATGTTTCTTGGCTGCATAAATGTCTTCTTTTGAGAAGTGTCTGTTCATATCCTTTGCTCACTTTTTGATGGGGTTGTTTTTTTCTTGTAAATTTGTTTACATTCTTTGTAGATTCTGGATACTAGCCCTTTGTCGGATGGATAGATTGCAAAATCTTTCTCCCATTCTGTAGGTGGCCTGTTCACTCTGATGATAGTTTCTTTTGCTGTGCAGAAGCTCTTTAGTTTAATTAGATCTCATTTGTCAATTTTGACTTTTGTTTCCATTGCTTTTGGTGTTTTAGTCATGAAGTCTTTGCCTATGCCTATGTCTTGAATGGTACTGTCCAGGTTTTCTCCTAGGGTTTTTATGGTTTAAAGTCTTATATTTAAGTCTTTAATGCACCTTGAGTTAATTTTTGTATAAGGTGTAAAGAAGAGGTCCAGTTTCAGTTTTCTGTATATGGCTTGCCAGTTTTCCCCACACCATTTGTTAAATAGGGAATGCTTTCCCCATTGCCCTGCTTCTTCTATGTGTTCTTCCTCAATGTCTGGCGCTGGTTTGGAAACTTTCATCTCCATCAAGTCAGCTTCTACTAATTACTCTGGTGTGATTTTTATTATCTCTTGAATTTCTCCAAGATCCATATCTTGAAGTCCTTTACATTCCAACCTTTTCTGCCACATCCACAATCTCTTTCATGATTTCTTTGATTGGCTCTATCATAAATCTTGTGAAGTCTTGCAAAACATCTTCTCTCTAGCAGAAATTTATTGCTTCAAGCTTGGCGACTTTCATGGCTTTTTCTATAACAATAACGACATCTTCAAGGGTGTAATTCTTCCAAACATCCATGATACTCTCTATATAGAGGTTCTCTTCCACAGCGTTGACCATTTTTTCCATAGAGTACCATGTGTAATGAGCCTTAAAGGTGCTATGACCTCACCTCCTGATCTAGAGGCTGAATGAGATATTTTGTGTATGGGGGCAAGTAGACCACTTCGACACCTTTGGCACTGAATTCGTGGGGTTTTGGGTGGTCAAGGTCATTATCCAATATCAAAAAAACTGCCAGTATGGCAGCCCTTACTGGCAAGGTACTTCCTGAATTGAGGCACAAAGCATCAATGAAACCAATACAGAAAAAGGGTTCTCATTGTCCAGGCCTTCTTGTTGTACAGCAAAAAGACTGGCAGCTGGTGTTGATCTTGTCCCTTCAAAACTCAGGAGTTATCGCCTTTGTAGATAAGGGCAGTCCTAATCATAAATTGCATTTGCTCAAAACAGTACAGTTAGCCTGTCCCTTCCTACCTTAAATTCTCAATGCTAATTTCTCTTCCTTACTAATAAATTTCCTTTGTGGCATTTTTTTCCCCAAACTAGTGTACTTTTGTCTGCATTAAAAACCTGTTCAGGCAGATGTCATTTCTTCTCAATGATTTTTTCAGTGATGTCTTGGAAGTCATCTGCTGCTTTTTGGTCAGTAGAAGCTGCTTCTCCTGTTATCGTGACATTTTTTAAAGCCAAATCTCTACTTAAAATTATCAAACCACAGTTTGCTGGTATTAAATACTCTGGATTTAGATATTTCATTTAGCTTTTACTTTAAGTTGTCATTTGCTTGTTCTCAAATCATATTAAAGTGCATATCTATAGGTAAGTCTTATAGCAATCCCGAACCTACATAAAAGCTGCATTTTCAATACAAGATAAAAAGGTAGTTTGCAAAAAGTGTAAGGTTTTCACACCTGTTGGCAGAGTCTGCAACAAAAATTTCATAAATTTCCTTTTATTTTCTTACAGTAGTATTTTTGCTGTATTCAATTATCTTGAAATGGTAGGCAGCTACAGTAGCCGACTTCAGTCTATGGTACATATCAAGCAATTCAACTTTGTATGGGTCCCGTGGTGTTATTCAAGGTTTATGGTATTGCACGAAACATGATACAAAATATGCAAGAACTCTGAGAGCCCATTTTTTATTGTGATAATTTACTAGAGGAAAGAACCGCTCACATAGAGATAAGTGTCACACATGTTTTAGGCATGACACAACACTTTAGCCCAGCACAGTAGCAACAGGAGATGGCTACAAAATTATTACAGTAGTACAGTATGTATTACAGTTAATTTCAGGCAGCTTGATTTTATACCGTGTCCTTATGTTTGTTTACATTTTTCTGCACTGTGGATGGTGGCCTGTAGCGTCTGTAAGGGTTCCTGTGCATAAGTTCTGATAAAATTTAACTTTTTATAATAGATTTGTAGCTAAAATCCTATCCTATCTAGCTAAAATTTTGTATCCTTTGACCCACGCCTCTCCACTTCTACCAATCCCTCGATTAACCCTTGCGATTCTCCTGCCTCAGCCTTCCGAGTAGCTGGGATTACAGGCACCCACCACCATGCCCAGCTAATTTTTGTATTTTTAGTAGAGATGGGGTTTCACCATATTGGCCAGGCTGGTCTCAAACTCCTGACCTCAGGTGATCTGCCCTCCTCGGCCTCCCAAAGTATTGGAATTACAGGTGTGTGCCACAGCGCGTGGCCTATGATTCTGTTTTTATGATTAATGGTATCTAGACTACTTCACAGATTGTTGTAGGATCCGTGTTGGAGGATCAAGTGAAGTAATATATGGGAAAGAGTTTTGCAATTATTAAACAAATAAGATCCACTTTTTCTTCTTACACTAAGGTTGCCTCTGCTTACACAGCTTCCGGTTATACAACCATACCCTACCCATTACCTAGTCTAGGGCTAGAGAGAAAGAACTGCTCAAATAATTGGTTAGAGTCTGCAAATGGATTCAACCTGTTTGACAGTATTGTTTGCTTTAAAAAGTGTGAGCTAGACAATTGCACCCTTTCACTTATGGTGCCTCCTATGTGCTCCTCTTCCTGGATTGTTTCCCTCCATTTGGCCTGAAAGAAGAAGTTAAGATCACAAGTTCTAGATATGTGGTGGGGATCAGGAAAAGAATGATACAATCAAATGTTTATTTATTAGAAAAGAGTTAAAAACAATTAATTAGAAAAATATTTTATAATTTTTTAATTTGAAACCCTTAATACATTATACTATTTTCTGTACAATATATTTTGAATTTTGCATTAAATAACAATTTCGTTGTTGTTTAGAGTTATTTATTGATTTTATTGAAATGTACAACATAATAACTTTATTATAATAGTCTAATAATTGTAAAACTTTCTGCTTAAATAGTAACTTAATTTTTAATGCCTTTCTTTCATATAACTATATCATTAGATGTATACACATATATGTATGCATGTCCAGTTCTTGGTAGTAAAATGTCATTTGTTTTAGAACACAATAGGCCAGGTGCACTGGCTCACACTTGTAATTCCAGCTCTTTGGGAGTCTGAGGCAGGAGGATCTCTTGAGCACAGGATTTAGAGACTAGCCTAGGCAATACGGTGAGACACTGTCACTACTAAAATAAAATAATTAGACAGGCATGGGGGTGCACACCTGTAGTCCCAGCTACCCGTTAGGCTGAGGCAGGAGGATTGCCTGAGCTCAAGAGTTTGAGACTGCAGCAAGCTATGATCGTCACTACACTCCAGCCTGCATGACAGAGTGAGATCCTGTCACAAAAGCAAAAACACATACATACAAACAACAGTAAAAAAACACACTATTGCCTTTCTGACTTTGAGGGGGTAGGGATCATATTGCAAGGACATCCTCATCCATAAATTTCTTAATTATGTTGCTGTTACTTTGTCAATATTCTTTGAAGGAAAAGATAAAATAATTTTCTGCTGGGTTCAGATGCATGAGAGGACAGCCTATTTGGAATGCTAACATAGCTTGAACCAAACTGGGGTACTATTAAAGATGTTCTTGAGGGAGTTAACATTAACTCAGAGTCTACTTTTGCTCAGCTCAACGTTAAATGTGAAGCCATCTTCTCATCTCACTTTCTAAGTTTTCTTTAGACTTTGACTACCTGGTGGGTACCAAATTAAAAATTGTAGATTAAAACTCTTTTCTGATTGTAGGACAAGACAAACAAGACCTTTCTAGCATTTTCAGGTGCTCATGTCACTGATGCCTCAAAATAAACTGAGTCATATATATTGTTTAATTCATGCCCTGAAATAAAATCTGCTTTGGCTCTTGTATTGCTGATTTCATTGGTAGACATCACTATCCATTCAATCAAGCCTGAAAGCCAGACATCATCTTAGATTACTCCTTGTGCTTCACATTTGACATCAAATTAATTACAAAGTACTGACAAGTCTGTTTTCTAAATATACTTCGAAGACAGTTATTTCTTTTCTCCTTGTTGCTGTTTCCTTACTTGAAGTTCATCCGACCTTTTACTGGACACAAAGAAGTAACCAAGAGTGATCTTTCAAAAAGCATATTATTGATTATGGTTCTCCTTTTTAAAACCCGTAATTGACTATTAGCTCCAGAATAAAGGCTAAATACTTTAAAATAAGACATGTCCCATTCATCATGTGACCTGTCTTCAACTTCACAATTTTTCACTTTATGTTTTCCATTCTTTCATGATTACCTTTGTGAATGTTGTTCATATTCTTATAAATATTGAGTACCCACTATGTTTTAAACATAGCTCTAGGCACTGATGATACAGAATGAACAAAAGATAATTAAACTTCCTAGTCTTCCAGTGCTTTCAGTGTAATTCTGACGAATATGCCTTTTTTGCAGACATAAGAAATGTCTATAAGAATTTCAAAATTAATCTTAAATATAACCTCTATGTACACCTTCTAAACCTTCCAGGAAGAATATCTGCTTTTTTATGTGTGCGTGTATCATAATTGCCACAGTTCTATATTATGGCATGTTACTTTGATTCTGATACTTCTGTCTCCTGAGGTAGAATGTGAATTATTTTTTGTCATTCATTGTGTGTTTGGTGACCAACCCATTGAATTTCTACTTCAGTGCCTATGTACAGAGTTTCTTCTATTATTTGTTGATTTAAATCTTAACTTGAAATTTTACTACTTTTGTATCAATTCATAGGGCAATTATCCATCATCCCCATTGTCATTATCATCATTGTAGTGGATACTATGCTTGATTCTCCAACATCCATTCCCAACCCAATAGGACTCTATGCCAGTGACAATGACCTCATTCTTTTGCTAATACTTTATGGGAATGGTTAGACCTAAACTCATTTGAGTGAATAAAATGCGAGAATAGACTTGGTTAGGGCTTTGAGGGTAAGGAAGACAAATTTTGTTTCTGTTTTCTTCAGATATGAAAAAGACAGCATATTGTCTGATTGCTCCTGGCACCCATTTTATAATCATAAAGAGAAGCAGTCTAAGGATGAAGGTGATGAGGGAGATGAGGGGAGGGGTGTAAATACCTGGTTTCTGATGACATCCTTGAACTCCAGAATCAACTAACCTTAGGGTCTACCCTACCTCTCAATTCAATGAGATGAGGCTCTCATAATGAAGCAGAAAAGTTTCCCTGACACCTTTGATGGGGGGATCTAGAGTACATGGGCACTGGATGTAGCCGGCCACTTCAGCACTGGCAGGGGCAAACTCCACTCACTGGGACCCATTACATTTCACCCCTCGCAAGAGGGAGTGCACAGATGAGTGGGTACAGGAGTTGGGGCAAGCGCTTTTGGGTGCTGGCCAGACCAATCTCCATCCAGGGCCCTGCAGCAGTGTCTAGGAGGTGCCTGCTATCGCCGAAGCCTCAGAGGGCATGTGTTACAGTCAGCACTCTTTTAGCTTTTGCCGTCCACAGACGGCTTAAGTATTTATAGCTCAGTGGGCCCTCTGCCTTTTTGCATGAGGTGGGTGCTCTCTGCCAGTGAGGGCAGAGGGTCAGTGTGATAGCCTTTAGCATCTGCACCTGTGGCACCCGAGCTCTTGTTTAGCATCCAGGAAAAATCAGGTTGCACGAATGAATTGAGGGTTGGTGAATATGGAGGATTTTGTTGCCAATGAAAGTGGCTTTCAGCAGGAAGGGGAGCTGCAAAGGGAATGGAACTGGAAGATAAGCTTCCCCCAGAGTCCAGCCTTCCCCGCTGGACTCCTCTTTGAAGCAACATTGTCAAGCCGTCACTCTGAAGTCAAGCTGCTTCTCTCTGACGTCCAACCATAATCTCTAATGTCCAGCTGCTTCTCCTCTTCTCTGCCAGCAGAGCCTAGGGTTTTTATGGGTATGGGATGGGGGTGCTGGGTGGGGGGTTATGGGTGGTTTTGGAAAAGGCAACATTCCAGTGGGAAAAAAGAAATGTATGTTCTCATTTTGGGCTGCTGTTCCAGGCTTGAGGGTGGGGCACTTGCCAGGGGACTCGCCCTCTTCTGCTCAGAATTTCCCTGCCTCCAGTCCCTATCAATAATCTTACGCAAGATAATATATGTGCATTTTGTTTAAACTGAATCTTTTTTTGTTTCTCATATAGAAAACATCCTAATAATAACTTTCAACAGTGAGTTTTAGTGAATTACAAGTACTCCACTAAGTGACTTTCATTCAGTATTTCATTTTCTCTCAGTAAGACTGTAAGTTAAATAGTTGAACTCATATTCTACAGATTTGGAAATGGAAGCTTGGAAAAGTTAAGTTCTTGTGACTGAACAAATTACAGAGCCAGGCTTTGAATCTAAGTCTTTTTCATTGCAAATCCTATGTGCTTAAGATTATTGTAAGTTCAGTATAAAAATTCCTCATTTTCAAAATTAGAAATTGATATGTAATTGGAAAATTTATGTATCAATTGTACACATTTAAATGTAATATTTGGATGTAGTAGCTTCTAAATATATTTAATTTGTTTAATAAAAATTTGTTAAAGTCTTAATTTACTTGAAAATTGATTTAGACAATTTTTACAACAATACAAGTGAAAAAATTTGTTCATTCCTTTACTCACCACATATTTACTGAGCATCTTTCAGGCTATGTGCAGGGATTATGATGAACAAGATAGTTATGATGCCTGCCTTTAAGGAGTTTATATTTTAAAGGATTTATATAAATGCTAAAAATGCAAAGCATGTCATGTAAGATTATGATGTTGTATCCTTTTCTCTAATTTAGAGATGGCAAATTATCAGAATGAATTTTAAATGCAAAGGCATTTAAATGATCTTTTGTCAATATAACTTTTACAAGTATTTTCTTAAGTCCAAAAATATTAATGTAGAAAAACGATGTTTTGATTTATAGGTAAATAATTTACAAAGTTTGCCTTTTGTTCTGACTCCTCAGTAATTACTCTAGCCTCTTTCTTTAGTGCCGGCATCCTAAATTTCTCTTTTTAAACAGTATGACTAATTATCAGTGAAACAGCATGATGAGTCCCTTGAGTAACTGATATTCATATGCATTTTCCCTCTGGTACCTCAAGCATTGCTTCTTCTGCAGCCTAGCATTATACATAATTAAGTTCTGAAAGAGTGGTTTCTTCTTTGTCAGAATAATTTCTGTGCACTGAGTCATCTACTTTTTTTGACAATTTACAGATGCATGCAATTTCTTGTGGGTGGGAAGATCCTTTCTTAAACTTCCAATAATGTAGCTCTAGTAATAAAACCAAACTAAAACATGAAATTATGAAGAAAATTAACTGTGCATGGATTTATACAGAGAGGAAAAACATGCTGAAGGAAAGAGAATCTTCAAAATATATTGACTGATAAAGATATTGATAAAGATGTAGCCCAAGAATATCATTAATTCCCCATCCTTACTTTCAGCAGAGCCTAAAATATCTCTAGAGAAATTCATTTTGATAAGTGTTTCTCTTCTTTGGGTTTATCTTTTAGATCAGGACCATTATCTACAGATGCCTGATTGTTTCAAACCTCTCTATACATTTTCAACAGCTTTCATTAGGATATTTTTCCTTGCCTTTAATTTCTCTTTAAACTGCAGAACACTTGATTTTCCCATCTCCACTGTGATTTCTCACTTTCCTCCTAGGTTGACATTTAGGGACACTGTGGAGTGTTACAGGTTGTTAGGCATGAACAGGGCAAGAGTGGGCTTTTCTCCCACATCCACTAGGAATATTAGGTGGTGGTTTGACAATTATCACACTGCCTCTTTAAAAATGATAATTCAGCAGCCCCACCTAGGCCACCAGGGAGAGACAATTTCCTGATGATCCAGAGCTGTTAACATTAAAGTGTTAATAGAATGCAAGTGCCAGGGAGAAGCAAGTTCCTGGACATGAGCATTAAGAGACAAAATGTTGGAATATGACTTTCCAGGGGCACTCTACCAGAAAAGGGAAGAAAGCCTCAGATGCACATGTGTGCAACTTCCTAAACAGACTGCTCATGCTCACTTCCCAAGAGCAAGGAGGGCACTGTGCATGTGAGCAGCCCACCCTAAGGGAAGAATCATGGGAAAGGGCTGCAAGATGCCAGCCTATAAAGTCCTAGGATCACAGTTAAACACCCCAAATCACCCGCTAGGATCTCTTTTAAGTGTTCTTTCCTGCTGTAAAACTTTTTAATAAACGTCCACTCCTGCTCTGAAACTTGCCTCAGTCTCTTTCTGCCTTATGCCCCTCAGTCAAATTATTTCTTCTAGGGAGGCAGGAATTGAGGTTGCTGCAGACCCAGATGGATTCACCACCAGTAACTCAGATAACTTCTACCATAACAGGAGGACTGGCAGGCAACAAAGTGAACATTGAACACACACTCCTTTCCTCTCTGTCCTAAAATAAGCTGTAAATCAACTAACCAATAGCACAAAGTTCTTGCTTTTAACTACTGGCTGGCTTCAGAGATTCCCGTGAATTTTCTTCAGATTCAAATTGATGTTTCCTTGCTTCTTGAAAGAACTCTAAAATTCAGTGAAAAGAATGGTGGTAACTGAAAACGGTGACTGTATTAGCATGCTATCCCTACGATAACTTGCTTTTCATTTCCTTCTGAAAGAAAGGAGCAGAACCCGTCACTGTATCTCTGGATTTTTTGCCCTATTTTTAATGAGCATCTACAAGAAACCCTAGGAAGCCTGTTATTCCTAAGACTAACCAGCACTAAGAGCAAAGAAGGGGAAATTTCTGGCATCTGTCCAGGACAGCTGTGAAAAGTTTGTTCCTCCTGACACCACATTTACAAACACACTGGGTAAGGTTTCTCAAAGTGCTCCAAGGTATAAAGGGCACTTTGATACCAACTGCATAAGAATCTTTGAGGATAGGCTTAGGATTGACTTGGCGATGCGGGCTCTTTTTGGGTTCCATATGAACTTTAAAGTAGTTTTTTCCAATTCTGTGAAGAAAGTCATCGGTAGCTTGATGGGGATGGCATTGAATCTATAAATTACCTTGGGCAGTATGGCCATTTTCATGATATTGATTCTTCCTAACCATGAGCATGGAATGTTCTTCCATTTCTTTGTATCCTCTTTTATTTCATTGAGCAGTGGTTTGTAGTTCTCCTTGAAGAGGTCCTTCACGTCCCTTGTAAATTGGATTCCTAGGTATTTTATTTTCTTTGAAGCAATTGTGAAAGGGAGTTCACACATGATTTGGCTCTCTGTTTGTCTGTTATTGGTGTATAAGAATGCTTGTGATTTTTGTACATTGATTTTGTATCCTGAGACTTTGCTGAAGTTGCTTATCAGCTTAAGGAGATTTTGGGCTGAGACATTGGGGTTTTCTAGATATACAGTCATGTCATCTGCAAACAGGGACAATTTGATTTCCTCTTTTCCTAACTGAATACCCTTTATTTCCTTCTCCTGCCTGATTGCCCTGGCCAGAACTTCCAACACTATGTTGAATAGGAGTGGTGAGAGAGGGCATCCCTGTCTTGTGCCAGTTTTCAAAGAGAATGCTTCCAGTTTTTGCCCATTCAGTATGATATTGGCTGTGGGTTTGTCATAGATAGCTCTTATTATTTTGAGATACGTCCCATCAATACCTAATTTATTGAGAGTTTTTAGCATGAAGCATTGTTGAATTTTGTCAAAGGCCTTTTCTGCATCTGCTACCTGACTTCAAACTATACTACAAGGCTACAGTCACCAAAACAGCATGGTACTGGTACCAAAACAGAGATATAGATCAATGGAACAGAACAGAGCCCTCAGAAATAACGCCGCATATCTACAACTATCTGATCTTGGACAAACCTGACAAAAACAAGCAATGGGGAAAGGATTCCCTATTTAATAAATGGTGCTGGGAAAACTGGCTAGCCATATGTAGAAAGCTGAAACTGGATCCCTTCCTTACACCTTATACAAAAATTAATTCAAGATGGATTAAAGACTTAAACGTTAGACCTAAAACCATAAAAAGCCTAGAAGAAAACCTAGGCATTACCATTCAGGACATAGGCATGGGCAAGGACTTCATGTCTAAAACACCAAAAGCAATGGCAACAAAAGCCAAAATTGACAAATGGGATCTAATTAAACTAAAGAGCTTCTGCACAGCAAAAGAAACTACCATCAGAGTGAACAGGCAACCTACAAAATGGGAGAAAATTTTCCCAACCTACTCATCTGACAAAGGGCTAATATCCAGAATCTACAATGAACTCAAACAAATATACAAGAGAAAAACAAACAACCCCATCAAAAAGTGGGTGAAGGACATGAACAGACAATTCTCAAAAGAAGACATTTATGCAGCCAAAAAACACATGAAAAAATGCTCACCATCACTGGTCATCAGAGAAATGCAAATCTAAACCACAATGAGATACCATCTCACACCAGTTAGAATGGCAATCATTAAAAAGTCAGGAAACAACAGGTGCTGGAGAGGATGTGGAGAAATAGAAACACTTCTACACTGTTGGTGGGACTGTAAACTAGTTCAACCATTGTGGAAGACAGTGTGGCGATTCCTCAGGGATCTAGAACTAGAAATACCATTTGACCCAGCCATCCCATTACTGGGTATATACCCAAAGGACTATAAATCATGCTGCTATAAAGACACATGCACACGTATATTTATTGCGGCACTATTCACAATAGCAAAGACTTGGAACCAACCGAAATGTCCAACAATGATAGACTGGATTCAGAAAATGTGGCACATATACACCATAGAATACTATGCAGCCATAAAAAATGATGAGTTCATGTCCTTTGTAGGGACATGGATGAAATTGGAAATCATCATTCTCAGTAAACTATCTCAAGAACAAAAAACCAAACACCGCATATTCTCACTCATAGGTGGGAATTGAACAATGAGAACATATGGACACAGGAAGGGGAACATCACACTCTGGGGACTGTTGTGGGGTGGGGGGAGGGGGGAGGGATAGCTTTAGGAGATATACCTAATGCTAAATGACGAGTTAATGGGTGTAGCACACCAGCATGGCACAGGTATACACATGTAACTAAACCTGCACATTGTGCACATGTACCCTAAAACTTAAAGTATAATAATAATAAAATAAATAAATAAATAAATAAATAAATGAAAAAAAAATTTACACCCAGCTCCATAGTGAAATAGTTTGCATCCTAATATATAATATTCCATGCACAAATTGATTTGGAGAACTGTAAGTTCTCCATAGATAAATGGGTAAGTGATATAAATTTAAAAATAGCAATAGTTTATAAACATGAAGACCTTAATAAAAATGTAAACTAAAAAAAAAAAAATCTTTGAGGATAGAAAACAAAAATCTGCTCTTAATAAGGATCAGTATCCTCAAGAGATTCTTTTGTACCTAAGTGTTAAATTTCCTGAGAGCTAATCTGTGTGCTCATAGTCTTTCACCTATGAGCAGTCATTAGCATTTTCTTTCTCTGAGGCAAAGCTCATCTGTGGGTCAATACTATTCCCTGCCATAAACCCTTGTTAAGATAAAGAGTCAAAATTAGTGACAAGCAAAATGTTGAAATGCCAGCAAAGGGTAGGATGAATGAAAAATACTTTATATTTTGGAAACAAGGACAGAGACTTGGTCTATGTCAGAATAGACAGGCCTTCTCCCATAACCAGTTGCAGAAAATAAAAACTCTCTTCCTCCCCAGTTCATCTGCATCTTGTTATTGGTCCATGAGAAATAGCAGCCCAGCCCTCAGTTTGATATGGAAACAAGTTTAGATTTGTACTTGTATTTCACAATCATTCACACATACGCTTTGAAGAATTATGTTTTTGTTAGGAGGTATTCTATCTTGGAAATCTTATAGTATAGTTGCATATTTTATGGATAAAATAATTCCTTGGCAGAAAGATTTCATTCTTGTGATGGTGTGACATAGACTGCTAAAGCAATTCTCCAAATCAAAACTGAAACCACCCAAATCCAATGTGGTATACGTGCTGGGCAAAATAGTTTAGACCAGACATCTGCTGTGGAGTTGATGTGAATACATTTTTTATAAGTACAATATCTCTGTGATAAAGCACCATGAGAATGCATAGCCTAGAGATCTTTAAGGATATAATTTAATATAAATCTTATAAACAACCAAATAATGAAATAAAACAGGAGAATGGATCATTATCTCATACTGTATAGGCAAAGCAGTATCAGTCTCTGCAATCCACAAGCTCTTTGTGTGGTGTACTCTAGTTTAGACCAGTGACCTACAGGCGCAAGCTGATATGCTAAACCATTGGAGAAGAAAGGAACTATTCCATTTGTTGGGTTGGTATAAGAGTTGACAGGATAAAAACAGGACCATACCCCAAGTATCAGTTAATTTAACTGTGCTTCTAGGGCCAGGAACACTGGTTCAGAGCTAGGGAAAATTGTGTAACAGGGACAGGCTAGAGTCAGGACAATCTAAAGACAGGGAGTCCAAGTCATCCCCCCAAAAGTCCAGTCTTTTCAAATAAAAGCAATGGTATTAAACATTAGAAAATCTAGAAAAAGTCCTATCAATTTACCCAGTTACTCAGGAAGTCAGCTCCCTTTTTATTGCAGTCAAAGCAGTTAAGGAGCATAAACATTTTGTTAGTAATCAAATGCCTAAGAGGACATAGTTTAAAGTAAAATTATTTAATGATGTTTCAAGAGGAAAGAGGTTTTAGAGATTGGACTGACTATTTTAAAAGGTCCATTACTAAGCAAAAATCACTCCTTAGAATTCTAATAAACTGGTCTGAAATTCCTCTTTCTCAACAATGCAATCAACCCAAACACTGGCATTTTTAACTTATTATAAATCTTCAATTTTAATTCATCAATGATTTCATAAGATAATGAGTAGCCTCTTTATTATTATTATCTAGGCTTTTAGGTGTGTGCCAAAATTCTCTCAAAGAAGATAACCTCATGGAGAGGATTAGGTGAGTTGTATGTCCTGTTTGATGCTGACCCTAAATGTCCTTTGTACCTCATTTGCAGATCCCTTCCCCATCTGCAACTGTGCCTCACAGCACAAGCACAGATGTTATCTGAGTCTTGAGAGCCGGTGTCTGTGACTCACCATTGAAAAGCTGTGGAACAACATGCAATCTCCAATATGCATATTGGAAGTCAGTCAGAGAAGACCTCAGGGCTTGCTTAGGATAAGCAAACAGAGGAATTGTTCAGTGAAATGGAGGCTGAGGGTGTAGAGAACAGATGACAGGAAATATCTTGGAAAAGCAGTTTCAGAGGGCTCAGTGGGAGGGATTGGAAGGCATGCTAATGCAAGACTAGAAATCATTGGAGAATCATTGGTCAGCATGTGGAGGAAGTTATGCATAAGGAGGACAGATGATCAGGACTTGTTTAGTAACAAAGGCTAGAAAGAGATGAAGAACTAAATAATTAAGATGAGGTCTTAATTTCTAGGCAGAATTAGGCAGTGAGTTCCAACGAGGCTGGTCATCTGTGGTCAAGTTATTTTGATAGGGTCCTAAAGTGGCATCTGCCCAGTCTGTTGTTTAGAAGGAATGATTTAACTGCAGTGGTGGGAAATACAGCATCTGCAGCAGCTGATAGTGGGGAAAGTCACCAAGTGTAGCCTCCTGAACCAATCCAGCCTTGGAGTGATGCCTGACCAAAGTGAAAATTAGCTCAAGACAAGAACTCACCCTACAATGGACCTTAGTGGCTGCTGGAGTTAGTAATTTGGATATGGTGCTTAAAATTAGTTTTAGAAAAACTTTGTTTTTGTTTGTTTTTTGTGTTCATTTAAAGCATTTCACTCAAGCCCTCCCTATTTTCTATTATTTCATATTTATGAAATCTCTTCTCTCAGATAAACCATTTGATTTAACACCCACTCTCTAGCAATTTTTATTATTTTGCCTCCATTGTGCTTTGTGTGCATGTTGTTTCTGCTAATATTTTGCTCTTTCTTTAAGATCCAGCTCAAACTCAGCCATGTCCATGATGCTTCTGTCCCTGGAGCCTTGCTCTCATATTTCCAACCTCTGATACCTTTTATTCTCAGATATGGGAATAAATCTCTCACAGTTGTATGGTGTCTCACCAACTATATCCCTGAGTTCTTATTAAAACCATACATTAAAATAATGTTTCTACCAAAATCTTGTTACCTCAAGTAGATGGTGATCTCTTTAAAGGGTGAATGATGCATTCCGCTTCTCCTTTTTTCCTATCAAAGTCATAGAGAATTTATATCTGTTAGGGGCCATTTGAAAGGTTAGTTTTATTCTAATGTTGGTATGTTTTTAAATATATGGCAATCTTCATAACATAAAATTTATAATATATTACTTATTCTGCAAAATTTCATGATAAATATATATTAATAAAGTGTTCAAAAAACCCCAGTGGAAATTGCATATTAAATTTATGTTTTAATATAATGCAAAAGCAGCAGGGCTACAGTTTTTCATTTAAAAATACCCCACAGTTACCTATGATAAGGCACAGTGAAGTGCATGATATATTGTTACACAGAACTGGTAGACTTCTGACCTGATTCCACTTTAGGACTGGGTTTATTTTCCTTTTGAAATAGTCATATTTTCTCATCTGACATCAAGAAATAAAACCTACCACAAACAGAACTCTTATTCGCCATGAACTGATGTAAAGCAGCTTACTACTAATGGCTGCAATGCATCATAAATTCAAAATAAATTAGTGGCCATTAAGCCACAGGCTCCCCATCATTTGTATTACAAATGATGCTGAGACATCAGGCATTACTGGAACCACCTTTCATCTGAAGAGTGATATTGATATTCTTCAGTCAGAGCACATGAAAATGATTCAATGAAATACACCAACTTTGGGAAAGATATAGCATGTTAAGCTTGTGATGAGAATAATACTGAAGTTTCCTAGGAGCAAAAAACATTTTCTTCCAATATAAAAACTATGTCTTCGAGGTAGAAGTTAAATATATCTCAAATCAAAGCGGCTTTTTAGGAACCTAGTAGTGGTGTACTATTTATACCTTAGCCGTTCAGCACCTAAATCACAAAGCACAAAGGGAATATTCAAAATTTATTCATAAGCTATAAAAGACAATTTCAATTTCATTTTTGTATCATGTTTTAAACTCTTTTCAAGATGATTTAGTTATACAGAAAATGCATTGGGCTTTATTGGTGTCAATAGAAAAGGAAATGTCAAGCTGAATGTTAAGAAACTAGAGAGTAATGCATAAATGCATGAATTTATAGCAATGGATGAGATTTTAAAGAATATAGCTATATACCTAATGAAACTACTCTTTTAATGTGTTATTTATATTTTTTTGAATTTAACATCTGAATAATATCTAGTTACAAATGAAATAGAGAATGACAATGATGTATATCATCAAAGTCCCCAAATCCACTCAACTATAATCTCAGAGGAATTTTACTATTTTTGGTCCTAATGGCAGCAGAGGCTGCCTGAAGTGGCCTCTGCAAAGGCAGATGCTGCAGTGGGGCAGGTGTGGCCAGGGCCCCACACTGTGCAAAGCCGGCAGGGGCCAGGAACAGGTGGCAGCCCTGCCCCCTACCAAGTTAAAGGGGTTGGAGACCCACACTTCCCAGTGCAGGTGCAGCTGCTGCTGCTGCTGCCTAGCCATGGCTCCAGACCTGGACATCCCTGCACTCTCTGGGGCCCAGGAAGCCCCCCTGCCCCTGCAGGCTCAGAAGTGCCTGCTCCTGCTCCCTGGCCTTTCCCCACTCCTGGTGCCTGCCCAGATTTAAGGTTAAAGTTGAAGCCGAGCCTGGGTGCTGTTGTGATCTGGCCATATGCACCTGCTTGGGGCAGTGTTGACATGCCAATCCTGCCTGGAACCCCTCTGAAACTCTGTGCATCAATGAGCTCTGGGAGGGAGGCTGGGGCAGGGGAGCTGAGGGCAGCTCAGTGTGAGTCTGCAGGTGCCCCTACCTGGGTGCCATGGAGGGCATGTTGATGGTGGGAGGCAGACAGATTCCTGGGCAGAAAGGGGTGGATCCTTGGTGAAACCCCACCTTTAATCCAGAGACAGCCTGAGGCCTGGGGGTCAGACTGTCAGTTCTGGGTAGTCTGTAGACCAAAGTGAGAACTTATGGAGCTTTTTCCAGGCCCACCCATGGCTGCCCACAGACCAATCAGCATGCACTTCCTCCCTTCTGACCCCTTAAAAACCCCAGACTCTGCCAGACTCACACAGACGTCAGGATTACCAGCTGTGGGAAGGAGATACCCACTTTGGGTCTCCTCAGCTAGTCAGGACGACCTGCCTGCAGAAAGAAGGTGCCCACCGTGGCTCTCCTAAGAGTTGTTTTGTTGCTCAGTGAAGCTCCTCTCTGCCTTGCTCGCTCTCCGGTTGTCCATGTGCTTCATTCTTCCTGGAGGTGAGATGGGAGCTTGGGACCTGCTGAATGGCGGGACTGAAACAGTTGTAACATAACCAGGGCTGAAACACTCCGGGATTGCCATGTTCAGGTGATGAGAAGGAGAGAGGAGCTGTGGCCCTTTGGGAAGCCCTTAGGTCTAGGATCCCTGAGCCAGGGCTGTGACACCCTTTGGGGCTCTGTGTCTCCTGGCATTGCCAAGCTTCCAGGCACCACTGCATTCCCCAGTGCCCACAGTAGAAGCCGTTTGTGGTATGCCCGGTCCAGCCAGCAGCCTCACACAAAGCCTGTGCCTTTGCCAGCGCCTGGAGCTGCCCACCCCACAAAAAGCCAGTGCCTTTGCCAGCGCCTGGAGCTGCCCACCCTGCTGCAGCCGGCATGCCTGGCTGTGTGCAGTGGCCAGACCCCAGTGCTCACTCACACACCCCTCGCCGCTTTGCACCTTGCTCACCCTTGGCAGGTATGGGATCTGGGCAGATCCCACAAGCCGAGCACAACCTACTGGGCCAAGTAGGCTGAATGAGCCCAGCAGGCTTGAACAAAACTTGGACAAAGGCGCCGCTGGTCACAGAGGTTTTGGGCTGGTGAAGCGATACCCCTAAGGATGCCATGACCCTAACCCAAATCTTCCTGTTGATTTCCTCTATAGGGCAGAAGATCCAGTGTGTATTAAGACAACTCATATTTGTTGAGTTGCACATTGAGAGTGTAAAGTTACCACTTAAATGTGTTTGCTCACCTCCCAAGAGCCCTTTTGGGTGTGTTTGCAACTTCAGGGATTTTTTTTACCCCCACATATCAATGAGAATGAATTACATACTCTTCCCATAAAGACATTTAAAAGTGATCTTGTCTGTCAATTCATAGCAGTCAGCGCTTCATATAACACCTTCTCTTTTGCAAAATTAGTGTTGGCAGTGAGAGGATAAGGAGGCCTCTAGCTATACCTAGCTCAAGAAAGCTGTCAATTTAATAAATGAGTGGGGTGAATAACTACGCATGAAAGGAAGAGTCTATATGGAATGTCAGTTCAACTCTTATGAAGTCCCTCAGAATGTGGTACAAAAATTAAGAACATTGGGTATTTGAGAAATTTAAGTAATACAGGAAGAAAGGAGTTTGAAACTCCCTGAGAAAGGCAAAAGTGTGAAGATGAGTGAGTTACAAGTCACAAATTAGGCTTCAGTCACATATGATCTTCTGTGCACAGCACCCTCTCATATACCTACTTTGGCATATTTCCTTTAGAAGCCAAAAAGATTCAGGAGCCATTATGTTTTCTGACATAGTACTAAAACTATAGCATTTTTTTCCCCTTGAGACGGAGTTTTGCTCTTGTCGCCCAGGCTGGAGTGCAGTGGCGCGATCTCGGCTCACTTCAACCTCCACCTCCCAGGTTCAAGCAATTCTTCTGCCTCAGCCTCCCAAGTAGCTGGGATTTCAGGCATGTGCCACCATGCCAGGCTAATTTTGTGTTTTTTTTTAGTAGAGATAGGGTTTCTTCATATTGGTCAGGCTGGTCTCGAACTCTGACCTCAGGTGATCTGCCCACCTCGGCCTCCCAAAGTGCTGGGATTACAGGCATGCGCCACTGTGCCCAGCCAAAAATTAGCATTTTTAAGTATACTATATGCAAATAATGCTTTTCTCTATATATATGGAAATATATATATAATATATATGCATAGCTCCTTTTCATTGTATAAAGACCTTCACACTTTTGTTTATCCCATTCAACCACTCACAGCAATTTGTCATTGATAAATATCACTATTTAAATGACTTAAATATCACTCAAAAATCCTTATTTTACAGTGAACAAAACAAATTCTCACACAGGTTCAAGGACTTGTCTGGAGTCACACAGCTTCTAGTGGTAGAGTTGAGGTTTGACCCTATATCTTTTGCCTCTGGGTTAAATCCTCATTACAAAATGCCATGATGGTATGAAACAATATTTGTTTATGTTTTTAAAAGGCATTCAGTCATTTTCAGAGCATTTTTCCTTGTTGGTGTGGGCCAAATGAGCTCTATGTGGAAGATCCAGGAGCTGCACTATAACCATGTTGCAGATACAGAAGTCAGGCTCAGAGAGTTTACATCATTTGAATAAGAATCACATGGCTAGAAAATAACGAAGACTGGAATTTGGTCTTTTTATTTTAAATTCAAAGTTCTTAGCCAGCAAACTCAATTAATTGAAGCTATACAGAGAAAAGTTAATGGGAGGGCTATCTGGGATTCTTATCCTACTATCAAGCACTTCAAAGCACTGAGCTTGGGGCTACCAGGCTTGCTTTCCTAGGAACTAGTCCTGTGATCTTTCACCATTTAACCTTTTTGTACTTCATTTCTATAATTTGGAAAATGATGATCATATCCTTCTCTAACTGATAAATTGTTTGAAATTCAAATGAGGTAACACATGTAAAAGGATGCTATAAACTTTACAATGCCATACAAATGTAAAATGTCACTGTTTTCTACCACTTAACTCATGATTTTCTTAAAAGGTCTTAAGAGCAGTTTCTTATTTGATTCATAAATTTTGAACAAACATTTGAATAAAGTTAAAAAGTATATACATATTTAAGCTTGAATATTTTACATTTAATTTTATTAGCAGTATACAATATTTACCATTTATTAGGTAAAAGGAATTATACCAGACCAAAAAAAAGATACTTGGCATAAACACATTGAGGACCTGTCTTGGCAGAAATTTAATAAACAAACATGTATGCTTTAGATTTTCATGATAATTTATTTTATAGAGTGACAACCTCCCCCATTTTGTTTCCAATTGACTCGGTAGTGCAAAGATCTTGATGGGTCTCGGGATAAACACTGCTATACATAATCACAAGTGGTGAAGAGACTTGAGAGCAAGTCTCTCAGAGACCATGAAACTTTCTTAAATCTAATAACAAAGTAATACTTTAGTGGAGGAAAATAGTACTGGGCCATTCCATTCTGAAATGCAAGTATTTCAAGAAAGAGTTTTTGAGCATACAAATGCCATTTGGCATCTGAATGACTCTCAAAATAAACTAGGAAAATAAAAAGAAAAATATATGAACTTTGCATAGATACTCAGATAAAATGTCCTCTGTCATATGGTCACCTACCTTGTCCTCCTTAGCTAAGTCAATCCCAATGTCTTTCGGTGATTTCCTTTGTTCATTACATAGCGTTATTATTATTATTATTATTTGCTTTACCAATATTTGTACTCAGCTGCAACTATACTATGTAACAATAACTTAATACTCATATGCTAACATATATCCCACAGTTATATTAATATACTAACATAGGAAATAGGTGCCATTTTGGAAATTCCAGTAGGTCATCATTTTAGGAGGTGTGTTGTCTGTTTTTTTTTTTTTTTAATTTTAGGAAGCATACCCTTTTAGAGTGGACATAAGACTATCCATGTGGACGGGAGTAGAAAATTAAGTTATTTTTGGTAGACAGTGCTAACGGAGAGGTGCCTAAATATGAGTCAGAAGTGTTTTTTTTTTTTCTTTTGTATTGGGAATCCTAAAGAACCCTGCAAACAGTGAGGAAATATGTTAGCAATAACTGATGTGGACACCTGCAAGCTAAGGCTCCAATAATTCCTGGTAGATCCTGAACTAATTTTTGGGAAGAACCTGAGTCCTGAAATTTCAAATCTAGATTTCCACAAGTGGTATGGCCATAACTGACCTCTTTGTAGACACAGAACTATCTTGCAAATGTGAAAGCTTGCAGACTACTCAGTAGAAGAATAAGAGATGCTCATTAAGTTTTAATTATTTGAAAGAATGAATCCCTTCCTAAACTTACTTTTAGCTTTTCCACAAAGGCACATGACTGGATAGCACTTTCCAGGTGTAGGGTCAGCTAAATTGTCAGCAAGCCACATTGTGCTATTGAACAGTGTGTTTAGCTTTTCCTGAACTCGTCATTCCACATTCAGATGCTTACTTTTGATAGGTCAATTTTAAGTGACAAATGAAGACCTATTTTAAGCCAAAAATTAATGAAACTATTATGTTTACATGATGAGGATCCATCCCTTTGCTATGTAATCTTTTTAAGAACCACAAAATCACCTATCTATGCAACTTATACTAGAATTAAGGGGTGGGGAGGGAAAGGGTTGGGCTTCTTGTAGAGAAAGATGAACCATAAAAGGCTTTAGTTTACACAGGTGCAATGAAAGGATTAAAAGCTATAAAATTATAACCAAATGATAGGAATGAAAATGTCAAAAAATAATGATTTGGGAATTAGAATGAGGCATTTAATAAAGACAGAATAAAGAGAGAGAGGCAGGGAAACCGAAACAGAGAGACATGCTACTTTCTACTTTTGTCCCGGAAGATTTACATGAAGCATGAAGTCAAAAGGAGATGATAGGAAAGGCAAAGACAATGCCCACCTGGGCAGCATGGTAATCCGCATGATGAGTTATAATACCAATAGATTCCTTCGATGTTTATGGATTCTGTGAAATTGTGTAAATTGTATAGGCCTTAACAGTAACCTTAATACGAAGAATAAATGACTAAAAGGAAAAGTGCATACTTATTAACTCAATTATGCAAACCACACATAAATATGATTAATAAGAATGTGTTGAGTATCCAGTGACATCATATAGATGACACAACTTTCACCCAACTTAATGGCACCACTAATAACCTGAAGTGAAAAGGTATTTTGCAATTTTTCATTGACAAAAATGAATTACAACATGAAAGTTGAGACAAATTGGAAAAATCATCTCAGACAAGTATCTAGGTAGGACACCTAATTATTTGATATTTCCCACTTAAGAAGTTAATAAACTTTCAGAATTTCTAGGTTCCTATTTTCCTCTACTAGGAAAAAAAGTACGCTACAAAGTATAAAAGTGTATGTCTTTTCATGGGGAAATAACAGCTGATTGTCATCCCATAGGTGTCACATAATGGCATTCATTATCTAAACATTGCTTGATGATAGTTTCTTATTTATTTTTTAAGAGAAAAGATCTTGTTCTGTCATCCAGGCTGGAGTGCAGTGGCACAATCTTAGCTTACTGCAGACTCAAACTCCTGGGCTCAAGTGATCCTCCCACTTCAGCCTCCTGAGTAGCTAGGACTATAGCCATGCTCCACCACGCTCAGCTAATTGGCTTCCAAAGTGCTGGGATTACAAGCATGAGCCACCACACCTGGATGACGATAGGTTCTTGTACTTGAAAGCTCCAATACTATTTTTGTTAGTAATCTGAAAGCATATCCATCTCCCAGGGGCAAACTCATATTGATCATTTGCCATCTTAGTTCAAGACATTATCATTTATCTGCAAATTGTTACTTGCTTAAAGAGCTGCTCACAGCCAATAGGGCCTCACTCCAGTGTGTAGCTAAGAGAATATGCACTGGATGCCAGGATGTCACTAAAGGAAGTGTTTGAACTCAGAGAATTAGCAGTGAGTGAGTGCCCATGCTCTTCCACCTGGCCCAGACCCATTATGTCCCAAATCCATGGTCATCCTAATCACCCCCAGAAGTGATTTTTTTAAACATTCAGGTTGCTGTATTAAACCCACCATGTAATACTCTGCTTTATAATTTCTGCCTTTTTACTGTATGTTTTGAAGCTATTTCCATCAACTCATAGCACCCTCTCCAACCTCCTTGTTGTTATTATCTATTGGAACCTGGGTCTCTACTCACCTCTTCATACTGGCTTATGGCTAAGACTCTATCTCTGTTCCATTTCCAATCATCTTTCATAGTGACATCAGTATACATGTGGCTTCTTAAGTTTCTCAACATTTTTAAATTTCCCCTGACCTTTTGTCTCTCTCTTTTTTGTCATATTCCACCTTATTATATACTGCATGGTCATAAACTAAAATTTGTCATTAACCAATATGACACTACCTCCCCCCCAACACAATTAAAATGTAAACATCGCCCTCACCAACTTAAACTACTGTCAGTTCATTTCACTTGCTCAAATACTCTCACTATTAACAGTTTTTTAGCCTCTCCAAGATTCCCAATATGCAAATGCTATTACTTCACTGAAACCTCCGGTATTTATCAAGTTACCCTACTTTTTGTTCCTTTGTTATAGAACTTAAATTAGATGGCTAATTCTTACAACAACTCCTTTGAAAGCATTTCTGAATTATTTACTCCTCTCTTCATGATGTTTATCTGGAAAATACCTAACCCAGGATGATCTCAAGTGCATCTCTACTAAAGACCTGAAAATTGCTGGATTAGATCACAAAACCATACTAACTGGTGCCTTTAAATTTCATGATATCAAACTTCAAATGTAATCTCAACAGTGTCCCAATGCTGCAAAATAATTTTCTAGTAATTTGGCTTTCCACAGTATCTGAGATTTTGTACACCTTTTCCTCTATCCTCTGTTCATAAGTAGCCACTGCTCCATTGTCAGCCTATGATGAAACTGTTAACGTCATCACCAGGGACTAACTCATCTTTTCATGACTAAATACCTCACTCTATCTGAATATGTAGTTTTACTCCTTCTAAATACAACATATATATATTATATATATATATATATATGTCCATCTCATATTTTTAATGATCTTGCTGACAGAATTGTAATACTCAATATCAGTTGGCTAAAGTTCCTCCAACACCAGTCAGTGTTTGGATAGATACTGACAAGTTTTGCCTCATGATCACTCCTTTTGATTGTCATCCTTCTTTAGATAAGTAAATGAATTTAGTATAATTACTATTGTAATCTAGATGCTTTTAAAATTTTCTGAGGTGACTTTGCATATCTCTATTCTGATCTATTATGTATTGATCATAAAGCATAAATCTCTAGACAATCTGATTTTCAAGTATTGTTTCCCATACAATTCCTAATTTTTTTCAGATTATGTATATAATGATTACTGGGTGGTGAGTTTCTGGAGGGGCTTAGTTGAGGTTGCAACGTCTCAGGACAGGAAGGTAAGGAAAAACGTGACCTGAAACACCACAGCCAGCATCTCTGACAGCCCAAGACGGAGAATCCAAGACTAGAAATCAGATCTCCTGGTCCTTGGTTCTGTACCCTTTTAATTTTTAATGTTATTTACTAACTTGCTCACAACTAACACAATCATTATAATCTAGTGGATCAGAAACTGGTTAATAAGATTTTAGACCACATAATTCAATATCCAAGAGCAGTAAGAAAACGAAGATTGTATGAAACAAACAAAGCTGTCTGTCATAGTACCTGAAATCAATCCAATCTTCCCCTTCTTTCTCTTTTACCCTATCCTTCATTTTTTTTCTATTTTTAAAGTGGAAGATCTACTTGAAAGCCATACACTTAATATTTCCACTAATCTACAACTAAAAACTTTATTCTGTGCTTTCAATAGATTTAAAAATATTGATTCTTTAAAAACATACATTTTGGCTACCTAAAAATAGCCATTCTTTATATTCCCAAGACCCTTCTCAAAAGAGTCTCACGTCACTTTTAATTTCAGTGTGAACGCCACTGGAATTCAGAGTAGCATTCTGATAATTTACAGGTCTAAGACAAATTAAATTAGATGTGTACTCACTGATCACTTTAACTAAAATAGCTTTAAACGTGGTTGGAGGAGAAACGAGATTGAGACTAAAAAATGCTTCTGAAATCTAACCACTGACTGAATTTTGATTGCTTCTTCATATTCCATACAAGATTAGAATGGCTTAGTCCACTTAAAGTTCAGTCTGTGACTTCCTGAGAACACACTAAACACAATGTGGCAATTTTAGTCACCTCTGAAAAAAAGATGTTATGCTGTAAACAGTGCCAAGTAAACTGTCAACACTCAAAAACTAAATTACAATAATAAGAACATGTAGGAGGCTGTTCAAGAAAAGACAAGTGAAATGTCTGAAGCCTAAGGAACTAATTTATGAGCGGTGATTAAGAGAACAAAAATGAGTAGCATGGCCAAAGAATACTAAGGACAGTGATGGAATAACTTCATATTTTTTGAAAGGCTCAAACATATTGAAAAGTAAAAGCATTTATTATTCACCAGGTAGGATAATAATGATAACACTATACAACATTTTCTTTAGCATAGTTTTCAAAATACATCTCATCTATCTTAGAGTGTTATTAAGCAGTAAAGAAGTCATTTAAAATCTATAAAATACTATTTTTGTGATGAAATAATTTGGCAGAGAAAAGTTATTTCTAATGAAAGAAACTGATGAACCATTTTTAATAGGGAAATGGAGACTGACCTAACAAGGATAAATAATTCTAAAAGAATGATAGAAGGTGCCACAAAATCCTGGAAGTTGGAAGCAGACACCCTCATCCTACCTCGCACTGACACTCCCTGAATGGCATTCAGAAAACTCCTAACTTTCTTAATCTGTAAAGTAAAGCAGTAGAGAAAAGTTTCCCTCACTTTGTAAAGATCTATGAATTCATACAATAGTGATTCAAAGTGGTAAATATTTCTTTAGATAATATTAAGTTCTATGGAGTTGAAAGTGGAATCTAGCTGTTTAACGACAAACCATACCTGTAGAATGGCATTAAGAACGCATCAAAAATAGTATTCTATACTTTTAGTTATGAACATAGCAATGAATGATTTCCAGTATCTCTGTGATTAAATTTGGATGTGTTCTTGAGGGAAAGCATTCATGCAACAATATTTTTGGAATTATACTATTATTCCTTGGTAAAGAATATCAATAGGTATCATTTTTGAGCATGCATTACGTGGCAGGAAATACACTACACTTTGCATAATTCATCTAATTTATTGGTATTTTCACAAACCAAAAATTTTCTATTATTACCTTCATTTCAAGGATAAAGAATTTATAGAGACTTGCTTTTAATGTCATCCTCTTAAATGCAGAAATTCCATATACATCCTAATTTTTAAAAAGTTATTCTTAAAATACATAAAAACCCTCCATTTCTTTAAATCTAATTTTAATGATAATATTCCGAGTGACATCATAAACTAGTTAATCATGCTCTGTAAAATTAAATACAAAGTCACATTTATGTTTTAAACTCTAGCCCTTTTCTTTTATGCAGCTTGGCAAATATCTCATACATAAGCACCCAACTGGTTCCAGCAAGTCCTGTAGTAATAGTTACTTAGAATTATAATTGAATTTGCTAATCTGTGGTATTACTTCCAAGTAAATACATGTTGCACTTTGCACTTTGCAACATGTATTTACTTAGAAATATATGTTGCAACATGTTTTTACTTTGAAGTAATACAGCAGATTAGCAAGTTCAATTATCATTCTTTTTTATTATCTATATTGACATAAAAACCTACAGACTAATTTATTTTCTTCTTTCTTTAGTATACACCTGAAAAGTTGTATTAAACTATGACAACAAGCTTAGCTTTCAGGGGAGATACCCAATATGTCCTTTGGCTGGTGTGAAAGGTGAAAAGTTGCCCTGCTTTATCACATTACCAGTAATTTTTATTCCACTGTCACTTAATCCTCAGCAGTAGAATGAGACACACACACAAAACCTGTATTCTGCTGAAGATCTAACAGAAGCTGCTCTGCACTTGCACAGCCTTCAGGCTTCTCTGCTTTAAAGTTTCTTGGAAAGTGTATCTGACTGATTATGGAGCTGGTGAGGTATCTAAAATATTAAAATCATATACTATACATATATCAATCGGTAGGCCAACGACATTATACATATTTTTTAAGCCACAATTACATTTTTCATTTTGAGTTTTTATAACTTGCATGCCTGTTTAAGAATGAAAAGATGAAAATTGGTAAAATATTCACTAACTATAAGTGGGAATATACTTCTCACATGGAAGAAAAAAAGGCAATGGAAACAAAAAAAGCAATATAAACGGGAACAACAGTAGAAAACAAATACGTATTGTTTTAGAATTTTGTAATAGAAAATAGCTGAAGGATTTTCAGATCTTATAAGAGTATTTGTGCATATTTACACTGTGACCTAATAATAGCACACAGAGTCATTGTGCAATGCCTTATGCCTAAATATCCCACATTTCCACATTTCATGTTATAGGAAGGAGTGAATTTTGAATATACTGTATGTTGCCTTTATACTAAAATGCTGTTTCTTTCTAAACATTTCAAACCTTTTTTATCTTCAAGAAAGTCTTGCATTTTCCCTTTCATCAATTATTCCCTTGACCATTAAGGCTGTCTTTTATTTCTTCTGTCTTCTCCCATAGCAATTCACATCTCCGTCTTTAAAAGTATCATGAAGCTTTAATAAATTTTACTTCTCTTTATTCCTAATTAAATCTTTGTTAGCACTACATCTTTGTCACCTTTGTACATCAATATCTACCATAATTCCTGGCACACAGGAGGATCTCAATACATGTTTATTAAATGAAAGAGAAAAATATGAATGAAGGAACTTGGGTTCCAAGAAAGTAAGTAACTTCTGAAAAATCACCACATTATTGAGTGGCAGGGCAAGAACTAGGATTGTCTTTCAATGTCTTATTTGATCATTATTATAATAATTTTTATAATGATCAGTTTGTTCATTCCTTCAAAAATATTGTCTACTATATGCCAGGGTATGTCTAGGAATACAGCAATGAACAAAGCAGAAGGAAAAAAAATCTCTGCTCTCATGATATTTATATTCCAGTGGGGGACTGAAAGTTTACATTCTAAACACACATTGTCCAGTATGGTAACCATTTGCCAAGGGAGGTTTTTAAAATTTAAATTAAAGTAAAATACAATAAAAATTCAGTTCCTTTCTCAGACTAGCTTCAAGTGTTTAATAGCTACATGTGACTAGTGGATAACATATATTAGACAATCAGATTTATAGAACATTTCTATCACCACAGAAAGTTCTATAGGACACTACTATTCAAATGAAAAGCAAATAATACTGATAAGTGTTATGGAGAAAAAAACATAACCAATGAAGATGGATAGAACCGTGTGACGTGTTGTTGAAATTTTAGACAGAGTACACCTAGAAGACCTCTATGAGAGGTGATTTTTGAGTAAAGGCCTGAAAGAAATGAGGGCATTTTTAAATCCAAGGGAAAATCATTCCAGGTAAAGGAAAGAATGGGTGCAATTCCCTGAGGTGAGAGCATGGCTGGTATATTCTAGGAAGAGTAGGTAGATAGTATAGCTAAAGCAGAGTGAGCAAAAGGGAGGATAACAGAAGACAGGTTCAGGGAGATAGCAGGGAGAGTAGATAATTAGAGTGAGTTGGGAAGTCTTAGGTAGGCTCGGACATGATTGAACTTAGGTTATGACAGGATTTCATTGGTAGGTATATTCAGAAACAGGAACACCAAATCATAGACTACAAAGATAATCTAGACTATAAATAATAATACCTTGGGCCAGGTAACAGCAGCAGAGGTGATGAGAAGTGATTAAGTGTTGGATTTATTTAGAAGGCAGAACCAATAAATTTGCTAATAGAAAGTTATGCAGCTGAAAGAAGAGAGAGGAAAAGTCAAAGCATGGCTCCAATGTTTTTGACCTGATCAACAGGTTTGGAGGAGAATTTCAGAAGATGAATTTTAGGTATGCGAAGTCAGAGATGCCTGTTAAGCATTTGAGTGGAAATACTGAAAAGAGGGTTTATATATAGGTCTAGAGTTCAGGAGAAGTTGAAACTGAAGATATAAATTTAGGAGGCATCAGCCTATAAATATGAGCTACAGTCATGAGAAGGTGCAAGGTCATTTATGGAGCAAGTATATATGGAAAGGAGATCCAAGAGCCAAACTTTTGAACATTGAGAATTTAAGGGGAAAGGAAGAACCAAAAATAGATACTGAAAAGATGTGGCTAATGGCATCAAAAGAAAATATTTAAGTGTAATATTTTATAAGTAAAATCAAGAATGTGTTGTATGGAAGACCGAGGGTGATTAAGTACTGTATCAAATGCTCCAGAAAGGTCAATTACAATGGGGACTAAGAAATGACCACTACATTGGTAGCATTGAAGTCCTGAGAAACTTGGAAAGAGCAATTTCAGATGAGGGGTACAAGAAAAATTCTGATTGGAGTGGGGGCAAAAAGAAGGGGAAGAGAGAAACTGGAGCAACACTTTCAAGAAGTTTTGCTTAAAGGGAAGGACATAACTATGGTTGTGGCTGACAGGTAACATTGGTCTAAATAACATTTTCCATTTGTTTTGTTTTTTTCCCAAGTTGGAGGTTAGAATATCATGGTTATAAGCTACAGGAATGACCCAGTTGTGAGAGGGAATATTGCTAATGGAGAGAGAAGATACAATTTTGTCCACAGTAATACCCATTAATAGTTGAGGGGGTGAGAAAGGAAGTGTATAGTTGGCCTTAGTTAGGATAGATACTGATACAGGAAAGAAGGTAAAGTATGTCAGATCTGGATGTAAACAGGCAGGAGAATGTGGTAGTAGAAGTATGTGGAAGTTCTACTGATAACGTAAACTTTCTGAATGAAGTAGGAATTGAAGTTACCTTCTGGGATGAAGAAAGGAGGGAAGACAGTGGCTTTGGGGAATATGGATTAAATGACAAATAATCATCTCATATAGCGAGAGAGAGAGACTGGACTAGAGTAATATAATATAAAATATGGTTACCAAGCAGCATTTCGGGCCCACCTAAGATTATCGATCATCAATTAAAGAGATTAGTAAATCCTAGAGTGTGGTTTACATTCTGCCATGGAGACTCAAAGGAACTAAGCTGATGGCTTTAGCCAGAGTTCTGGTTTCATCAAGAGATACAAAAAAATTAATGGTAGGTAGATAAGTTAAGAATGTATGCAAGAAACTTAAATTAATTGAATCTGAAGTTTAGATGGTAAGGAAGGTGAAAATGGTATGGAAAGCAGTGATGGATGAGGTAGTATATCAATAGCTTAACAGTACTGATGGAGTTAAAGGATTATTATAGTTGCAGTACTAGAAAACAATGCGGTGGAAGATACGACATGGTGATTGAGGAGTAAGTTATTTAAAAATTGAGATTATTTGAAAGCTATTGATAATGACAAGTTTAAGGGTGTGAACATGGGAGTTGGGGAGCTTCTGGAAGACAAGGAGTGGGGAGGAGATTGGATGATGATAATGGTGATGATAGCTATTGCTTAATTCATTCCCTTTTCTCAATTATGACAAAGTGTCTGGATTGGATATATAATTTTCCCCTATATTGTAGAAAAATCACTAAAATTTAGAAGGGATGGATAACACACTTAAGGAGATACCGGAAACAGGACATTCCTTGGTCTGACATCAAATATATGCTTTTGTTCACTATTTCATTTTAGTGATACAAGAAGTTTACCCTACTATGACTGGTCCTTTTCAATGACAAAAAGATATACATTTCTGTTGTTATGGGTACTAATTATGGTCTCACAAGACTAAAAACCTATTTCAAGAAAACATAGACCAAATTTATGAAAGGGTGCTTAAAAAAAGAAAAAGACCTAATAAATTTTAGTCAACTATAAATACATAAGTAACAATTAACAATAACTTAGGAAGATTCCAAACTGGAACAAATTTATTATCTTTCCAATTGTGTTCTTTAGACAGCGATCCCATAATAACACGTCAATCAACTGATGGAATATACAGCTATTGCATATGATACCAACCTGAAGAATTAGAAAAGAAAGGTATAGTCATGAGGCATTCCTATTCCAGAAAAGTTTACAAAAACATGAGATTCAAAGTCAGGTAGACCCAGGTATGCATCCTGTTTCCAATATTTACTTAGAAGATTAGCATGTTTATAATAGCTAAGGTTCCACCACTGATAAATGCCAACTTTCCAGTGGACCACGGAAAATTGTCTATTTTGGGCCACTCCGTGGGAGGCCATGGAGCTTTTATTCATGCTGTGAAGAATCCTGGAAAGTGCAAATCTAGGGCAGCATTTGCTCCAATTTGCAACCAGTTCTCTGTTTTTGGAGGGTGGAGGTGGGGATGGGGTAAAAAATCTCTCAATGAATATTTGAAATCAGATCACAAAAATAAAAGGCTTATGATGCTGCCAAGAAAAAAAGAAGATTAACATGTTTATTCTTAGTAAATTCAAAATACAGCAATCCTCAATAAGTGCAGATTGATATAAAATATATATTTAATACTTTTGTTTCCCTTTAAACCTACAGCTATCACTAATGAATTTATCTAAAGTTTATTTATTACAAACTGTTATAAAATTTGGTTTAACTCATTTTTTTGGGATCACACATTTTGTATATTTTTCCCTTATGTTATAAAATAGATCTTTTTCAAGCTTCTCTTGGGCCCCATTTTTCTGTCTTATTTCCCACTGCAATTCCAATATTGTGGAATTTAATTAACACATCTCTTCATATAATGCATACTCTTCAGGATTTCATATTGTTTTATTATATCTCTTCTTAGACTTGATATTTTTACCTTGTAAAGATAAAATCTGATTTGTCTTTCTTACTAGAACAGGTATTGTCTGTTTCAAAAACAAACATGAATTCACAAATATGTGCTTTTGATGATTTTAGCTTCTCTGTTTTTAATTTTCTCTGGATGCCATGTTATGAAGAATGGTGCTCATTTTGTGCACCTATTGTGTTATAGTCTGTTTGAACACAATACACAGCTATTCACAGCAAAGGGAAAGCACAATGACCTCTGTAATTAAAATGGATTTTACAATTTATACATTCTCACATGTGACAAGTTTTCTTACTCTAGTGCATTGAAAAAGACAAAAGAAGTGGGGGAATCGGGTCCTAGATGATAGAACATAAAGCCTGGACTAAATGTTAAAACATCTAATCTAGATAGTGTCTAGAAGTACCATAGGCTAAAGATGGCCAGAGTAACAGAAAGATGAATCACTTTTTCTCCTTATGTCTACAATTCTTTTAGGTTGAAATATAAGGCAAAGCAGGCATTATCATGTGATACTTATTTCCTTCTTATCCATTTTCCCTAGTTCCCATGCTGCAGAAGCTGTCCACATCTTTGGATAATTTTGAATTTTCAAAACAGCTTAAATAAGCTCAATGTTATAACATAACCTTAACATAAACATGTTGAGAAGGTAAGACATCTTCACCCAGATAGCCACGTTATTCTTTCTTATTGTATTTAATTATGAGATATGAGCTAATCAGTAGAGTTCAGAAATATTAGTTCATACAAATAAACCATGGGCATTTTATACATAAGGAATTGAAGCAGAGAGGTATCGAGTATCTTCCCAAAATTCCAATTAGTAGGAAGCAGCACTGGAATCTGAACACAGCCAAATCCTCCATGCCCTACCACTATTCCACTATGTCAATGCCTCTTAGAAACAAAAAAGGCAAAAAATTGTTTAGATATTTAGTAAAAACGATGAGTTATTCATCTCTGAAAGCTTTTGGTATGCTTTGAAACAAGATTGTATGCAGGCTCTTTACTTAAAATCAATGATTAAGCACTCCAAAGGAATAAATAAACAAGATTGCCAGTGGAAAAAGGAAGACCTCTTAGAAAAAAATCACCACAACAAATAAAGAGTTATATTTGGAATATTACATAAGTACCATTGAAGCTATAACTAGTACTTGTATATATAGCTAATTTAATTTTGACCTTATTAAATTTATTCTATGGTTAATAAATATTTATGACTTAGCTAAAGCAATAAAAAGAGAACTGTCTGGAACCAAACAGAAATTTAGATACTTTGTGAGATGTATTTTTCTGACACTATTACTGCCCCTCCTAAGGGAGCATGAATGTCTGCAGAAAATATATCTTTCAAAAGGCATTTCTGTGTCCAATTTTGTTTCTTCACAAATAGGTAGAAAAAAAATCTAAATATAATTGTTCAACATTCACTGCTGTTTCATTTAATAAGCCAAAGAGAATAAAATCACTCAAATAAACAAGAGATTACAAATATAAACTTAAAATATGAAGTGAATAAAAACCTTTCCTTTTTTTCTCCCACATTTGTATTTTGGAGTGTTTATAGGGCACAGAGGTGAGACTATTTTGTTAGGGAAACAGTTTCAGAAGCATGCATGAATTGCCTCAGGTTTCTAGTTCAGTTGTGTTTGATCTAATTTGGGAGCCAACTCTAAGGGGCAGAGGTTATGTTGCCTTTGAAAAGTTGTATCTAGCTTCTAAAACATATCATGTTCGATTTAAGGAATACCATTAAGTAATATTTTTGCCACAACAGAGGTACTTAATATTTCTCGTGAGAAGCAGTGTTCATGAGAAGGACTTACAGTTCATTTTATCAGGGTCATCTGATTAAACTTGTTTTTCTTTATCTGCAAGTGCCAAACTAACTCTGTGTAGATATTTTACATACATTTTAAACTAATCATGAAATACTCCTGGCGCCCAAGAGGCATTTGGAAAGTTAATGACAACCTCTGTGTATTCAAGAACACTGTAACTAAGGTTATTAAAATTCAACCCTTTGCATATTTCTGATGGAAGTGGGGAAAATTTGTCCCACATAACAAGAGACTAAGAATACAAAGGGAAGCTTTAAAAATTTTCTCAGTCTCTAGATCCATGCTCACTCTTTGGAAGATGATAGAAATCTGAAACATTGAGAAAGACCTATTTCAACAGCAATTTCTATATCCCAGTTCTTGCCCAAAAGTCAAATAAGCAACCATCTGTTGTTTGCTACGTAGATTTTACAGCTGCCGTTGCCAAAACACCTATCATTTCATCTTTGCACCAATATCACAGCCGCTTACACCAGCTGAGATAAAAGCCTAAATGTTTTGAACTTACTATACGATTTTTTCCTAATAGAACCAAAAAGATACTTTAAATGCTTTTGATTTATAGATAATTCTTTTATTTATTTATTTTTATTTATTGTGAGACAGAGTCTTGCTCTGTTGTCCAGGCTGGAGTGAAGTGGTGCCATCTCAGCTCACAGCAACTTCCCCTCCTGGGCTCAAGTTATCCTCCCACTTCAGCCTCCTGAGTAGCTGGGACACAGCACACACCACCATACCCCAGTAATTGTTTGTATTTTGGGTAGAGGCAGGGTTTCACCATGTTGTCCAGGCTGGTCTTGAACTTCTGTACTCAAGTGATCCCCCTGCCTTGGCCTCTCAAAGTTCTGGGATTACAGGCATGAGCCACTGCACCCAGCTGATTCTTGTATTTCTGTATCAGTGTAAGTCATATACATGAACTCAGGATTATCTGGGAGAAGATTGGAAAATTTAAAAGAAATTCCAAATCGCCTGCACACACATCATATTTCTCCTTTTGCTCCCCTTTGTTCACTACCCAGATTTCTCTCATAGTCCTATTTACAGATGCTCTTTACTCATCATATAAGAAGAAGAGATGAATCTGACGTAGATCGGAGTTCTATTTAACGGTTTTATTCCATTTCAGCCTTCCAAGAATGCACACTCATTTCCTGGGGTGCTGAGAATATATACAGGTTGCTTCCACAGGCTGCCGCTAATCCAATCATTGACTGCATGAGATGCAAGGCCAAAGCAGGAAACCACCACCCAACAGAATGCTACAGTCATGCACAGCACATTCTAATCAGAATAATTCAAGGCTGTGGATCTTCAGTTGTTCATCAGTTTTCAAAAATCCATCAAAGCTTCCACAGAAGCTTTCCAAAGCTTTACACTTAACACCCTTCTAGTGATTAGTACTATTCTAAGTGTAATTATTATTGCTTTTATAGCTTAAGAAAGTTGTGTTCCTTTAAAAAGAACTTCAGTAAACTCCAGGATGATAACCAATGCCTACCTACAAAAACGCTAATGTAAATTAGCTTTGTGGTTGTGCAGGCTTATCCAATTCTTATAAACAACAGATAAACAAACTGTAATAAAAACATTGGGTAATTACAAACACCTTTATAAAGTATAAGAAATGCGGTAATTTCACCAGAGAAAGGGAATAGGTATATTCAACCTTCATTATTTGCAGATTCTATATTTACATATTTATCTACTTACTAAAATTGATTTGTAACCTTAAAATCAATACTCTCAGTTCTTTTGCAGTCACTGGTGGCTATGTGCAGAGTGGTGAAAAATTTGGATCACCTGACATGCATTGTGTGCCCTCACCTTCCCAGCGGAGGTCAAACAAGATGATGAACTGCTTTCTTGGTCCAGCTCCCAGAGTGTAAACAACTGTCCTTTTCAGGGTCTATATAATACCACATTTTCTGCATTTTTGTGCTTTTAGTTGGTAATTCTTCTGTTTAAAATGGCCTCAAAGCATAATGCTGAAGTGCTGTTTGGTGTTCCTAGGCACAAGACGGCTGTGATATGACTTATGGAGGAAAGGTATGTGTTTAATAAGCTTAATTCAGGAATAAATTATAGCACCTTTGGCCAAAATTCAATGTCAGTCAGTGAAATATATTGAATACAATGTCTTTAAATGGAAACACATAGAAAACAAAGTCATGGATTGCTTGGTGAATTAAAATTTTATGATCAGAGGTTCAGGGGCCTGTAACCCTAAATCTCCCCTAGAAGCAGCAATTTGGTATTTTTTCATTCAGTGTTTGTGGCAACTTTATAGAGCATAACTACCACAAATAATGACAACCACCTGTATTTTAACACATTCTGGATTATGCATTTGCTCTTAAAATTGATTAAAAGGGAGGAGAGTACTCAGAGTTATGATCCTAGTACCTGTTACGAACTAAATTATATCCCTCCAAAATTCATGTTGAAGCCCTAACACTTAATGTATCTGTCTGTGGAGTTAAGACCATTGAGGAGGTAATTAAGGTTAAATAAGGTCATAAGAAATATTAAGTTGGGCCATAATCCACTATGACTAGTTTCCTTATAAGAAGAGAGAGAGGCCGGGCATGTTGGCTCATGCCTGTAATCCCAGCACTTTGGGAGGCCGAGGCGGGTGGATCACCTGAGGTCAGGAGTTCAAGACCAGTCTTGCCAATGTGGCGAAACCCCATATCTACTAAAAATACAAAAATTTGCTGGGCATGGTGGTGGGCACCTGTAATCCTAGCTACTCGAGAGGCTGAGACAGGAGAATCACTTGGACCTGGGAGGCGGAGGTTGCAGTGAGCCTAGATCGTGCCACTGCACTCCAGCCTGGGCGGCAGAGCAAGACTCCATCTCAAAAGGAAAAAAAAAAAGAGAGAGAGAGAGAGAAAGACACCAGGGGTGGGTGCACATGCAAAGAAAAGACCATGTGAGGACACAACTAGGAGGCAGCCATCTAACAAGCCGAAGAGAGAGGCCCCACCAGAAACCAGCCCTACTGGCACCTTGATTTTGAACTTCCTGCCTCCACAGCTGTGAGAAATAAATTTCCATTGTTTAATCCACTCAGTCTGTGATATTATTTTATGGCAGCTAGAGCAGACTAACATGGTAGCATAGATGCCTATCCTCTGATCCTCTTCTCTTTTGTTTATATGGATACAATATGTGGCCCAGGATCATTTCCAGTAGGTTTTAGACTGTCAAACACAACTTTCTCCATCTTTTCACCATAGATCAATCACATTCACCTCCTCTGGGCTACTAGAACTCTCCATGACTCTTCCACGGCTTTCACAAATACTGTTTCCTCTGCCTCAAACACTTCCTCTCCCTTGACTAACGCTGCCTCCTTATCCTTCAAATTCAGCTCCAAGAAATATTGCCTGATCACTCAATTATGAGATCGATTTCCATTTTCTGCTGTTGCATGGCACCCACTGTGCCTCTTTACTAACATTTATCATAACTGTAATGAAATAAGGAAAAGTGTAAATGGCTATTTAATATTCTGAAAGCATAGCCTGTGTCTGTTGGCTCGCTGTGGTTTTTCCAATGCCACACCAGTGTTTTGCACATTTAAGATGCTCAGTGTGTATCTATGGAATAAATGAATGAGTGAAATTATGTATAGTTTTCTTCTTAATTGTGATGCTGGATTACCTGGACATCCCTACCTCTGGTGACTACAAATGAATCCTCAGGCAATGATTGTGCAAGGCTAGTGTCTGCCATTGCCAGGGCGTCCCCTTAGGGTCAAATCTATGAACCACACTCCTGAAGCATATACTTCCAGCCAGCTGAGCAAATTCTAACTCAAGGAGAGCCATCTAGATTAACCATTTAAAAATCCCTTTGGAACAATGCATTTACTCTGCCAAAGTCACTACTATTATAATGAAAAAATATTCAATGTGTATTTACTTTGCATTTTGTGACATAATCCATCAAACTTAAGTCACCCACAGCATATGAAAATATAAAAATTAATTTCAATTTTTACAGAGCCCTTTAAAATAGTTAATTAAAAAGAACTGCGGTAAATTCTTCAATCCTAATATGTTGTTGAGGAAGAGCTGGGAAAGAGTAGGAAAGGTCCTTCTTTTAAAGGAAACATTCAGCTGGGTGCGGTGGCTCATGCCTGTAATCTCAGCACTTTGGGAGGCCTAGATGGGTGGAACACCTGAGGTTGGGAGCTTGAGACCAGACTGGCCAACATGGTGAAACCCTGTCTCTATCAAAAATACAAAAATTAGCTGGGTGTGGTCGTGGGTGCCTGTAATCCCAGCTACTCAAGAGGCTGAGGAGGGAGAATTACTTGAACTCTGGAGGCAGAGGTTGAAGTGAGCCGATACTGTGCCAGTGCACTCCAACCTGGGCAACAGAGCGAGACTACATCTCAAAAAAGAAAAGAAAAGAAAAAAAAAGAAAAGAAAAGAAAAGAAAACATCCATAGAAAGTTTTCAGAATAACCAGTTAGTTCACGAGAGCATTTCATGCTAGACCTCACTAGGACCTTTGGGGAACTTAACCACATGTATCTATCATATATCCTAGTTAAAGAAGAAGGCATTCAATAAGGACATGAAAGAATGTCAGAGAATATGAGGGGGGATTAAAAAAACCAAGCTATGATGCTGACCAAATCACATGACAAAACTGATTGCTCCAGTGGGGACATCACAGCTGCCACCAATGACCACATAGTTTACACTGCAAGTCCCATTGACCCTAAACACTGACACTAGTTTTGCGTGAATGGATTATTAATTACCTATAACCACCTCATCTGAATGTTTTTCTTGAGGAATCTGCTTCTACACATCAGTAGTTTCTGAATGAAAACGGGCCTTTCTACACCGGGTTGACGGAGACTGGGTCACATGCCTGTGCCCTTAAGTGTAATAAACTCTGAGAAAGTATATTTCTGTCTTTTCCCTTGGGGAGTCAGAAAATGGTGATGTTGGGAATTCCCTAAACATAGAAGGATTTTTCAATATAGGATGGCCCAAAAAGAATGACCAATGTCTTGTCCACTATTCAAATCATAGGAGGCACAAGAGAAATGCCACGGAAAATATGGGTAAAGGGCATAGATTTCTTTTAGAAATGATTATTGACCCTATTTATTTCTTGCATTTCCAGTCGTTTTTAAATGTTATTGGCACAGATTGCTTGAGTCAGACTTACTATCTTCTTTGTTCCTTATCTGCAGTTTCACTGCATAATGGAGAATATCAAGAACAACAGCAGCAACAACTGCAGTGAATCAAAAACTACAATTTCCTAAGTATCGTATTTGGTGTTTATTACTAATAATGACTCTGAGCAGGAGAGTGTACATTATACATACACACACACTCACATATGCACTCATAAATGTATATATTCTTGTGTGATTTTTACAGATAAGGAAACTGTGTCCAAGGTAAAATGGCAAATAGGCTGAATGACCAAGTAGCAAAGTCTCAATTTCATATCTGCTATTAATATTTTGGAGCTCACTCTCCAACTATAATGCTCTTCTGCTTCTCATTGCACAATTACATAATTAATAATCCATTTTGAGATCCCAGTACCTTCCATATCTATGTTCCACTCTAGGCACCAACTCACATAAGATGCAATTAGGGCTGGGTGGGTGTGGTGGCTCACATCTGTAAGTCCAGCCCTTTTGGAAGCCAAGGTGGGAGTATGGCTTGAGTCCAGATGTTTGAGACTAGTAAAACCTCGTCTGTACAAAAAACCAGAAATTAGCTGGGCATGGTGGTGCACCTCTGTAGTCCCAGAATATTCAGGAGGCTGAGGCAGGAGAATTGCTTGAGCCCAGGAAGTCAAGGCTGTAGTGAGCCATGATCACACCACTACACTCAGCTTGGGCAACAGAGTGACCCTGTTTCAAATTTTAACAAAATGCAATTGAGTCCTCTGGGTGGCTACTAAGCATTATATTTCATGGCTACTAAGCATTATATTTCATTAGGCAATAGTTTCCAAATATGATATATGCATTTTGACATGTAACCTATCTATGCAGCTTGCTAGCTAGCTATAAAGTATCTACATGCAAAATTCCCCATGAGTGACTAGTAAAACCCAACACATTTTTATTCTTGAAACATAACATATTAATCTCTTTAAAAAGACTAAAGTAGTAAGTGCTTATTGTTAATACTTTGTCTCTTCAGAATCCTTCCTTCTTCTGGGAACAGTAGTGCCCTTCCATTACGGAACTGCTCGTTTCCTATCTCAGATACATAGTTCCACTCAGGCTGCCAATGTTAGTCCCTCATTCACCCACTGCCTGCAGGGCAAATGCAAAGTAGGCCATGTCCTAGCAATCTTCCTTAGAATTTGTCAAAGTATAACTTAGGGAATAGTGGCAGTCTTCCTAGTGTCAAATTTGAGCTGAAATATGAGGCTGAAGTGTTGGTAGACATCTTCCTTGTGCCAGGGGAAGAATATCAACATAAATAAACAAAGCTGCCCTCTGGAAGAAACAGAAGAGAGAAGAGAGAGTGTAACATGCTGGACAAACAGAATTACTGGTGCTAGTTGAGCTGGAAGACATTGGTGTCTCTGCTTCTCCTCTGATTTGTATACATGAACATTTCTCTTTAGGCTTTAGGGTATCTGTATCAGGTTTCTGTCATTTACAACAAAAACACATCTGCATAAAGTGAGTAATGATATAATAACATATTTTTGAAAATTTTTAAGCCAAAAATCAGGAAAGATAGTCTTATTCTTGTCAGGTCATAAATTAATAAATAGGTTCTTTTTATACATCAGTAAGTGAAAGGTTCACTGTCTGAGGCACATATATCAGTCAGAAAAGATTTCAATAAAGGTTCTTAGAATTTCTGTTGAAAATAACATTTAGTAACTATCTGATATTATTTGTACTAGATTATCAGCCCTCTGTAGGGAAAGTGTGTCCTGGAATAATTTCAAAGGCTCTAAGCACACTTCCAATCTGTTGTTGACCTCTGTCCCCTTTCATCCCTGTTTTGGAAGAGACACACAGATTTCATCATAGAAAGCTCCAGGGCCATGATTCCATTCCTACTTTGTGTTTTGAAGTCCTTGCCTCTCACTTTTATTCCATGAAGACTGGCAATGATAATATCCACTCACAACTTCTTTTTCATTTGAGAAAAATGAACATGCTCTGAACACGCTCTGTCTTACTCAGTGACCCCACAGTAGTGATTAATAGGTTGACTGCTAAGCCCTAATGAATGTGTCAGATCTTAGGTGTTCTCTAGGCTACCAAAGGATACCTCTTCTCTAACAGAGATCTGATAGAGTAGCACTTGTACATTTCATGATATAATATAAGCTAAATTGACTAAGGCTATCTCATAGTGTGTTCTCATCCCATGTAATAATTTATATAACTTATATTGTTGTTACACAATAAACCAAGCCCTCATGTTTGTAATGATCAGTATAGTCTATATAACTGTAGAGAAAGGGAAGATGCATGCCAGATCAAACCACCTTGTCCAGGAGGTGTCCAGAGGGACAGATGTCCTTCCGCTTATATTTAATTGGTCAGAACTAGTCACTTGGCCTCAGCCTAAGGGGAGGAAAGCTGGGAAATATAGAGGAGTGCATGGATGCACGGTGAGCATAATAGTTTCTGCCACACTGTACCATATTTCATAGAAAGCTTTAGTAATATTTATGCCTACAGATGAAAAAAAGAGTCTAACATGGCATAGATATAAAAAGTCCACAGCCTACTTGCACAGGGCTGTCAAAGTGTACCTGGTACTTTTTGCTTTTTATAAATCTAAGATGAAAGCTCTACCTATCTCAAACACAGGAATGGAATGACTTTCTTTTTTTATTGCTGCTAAGATATTGCACAGCATGAATTATTTTAATAGCCTCCCTCATTCTGCAAAATATTAGGGCACAATGTAGAATAATATATTGAGCTTATTTAAAATTTTAAGAGAATAGAAAAATACATATTGTACATTATGACCACCAACCTGCTATGTTAAAGCCTTTTGCTTCTCGGCCTCCAGTAAAATAAGCTCAGTGTTCTAATGTTCAATCCCCATGTAAAGTAGTTCATCACAAAACTATCACCCTTACTTTAGCACAATTGGCCGTCACTATTCACATAAAACAGAAAAATAAGTTACCATGGAGACAAAGCCAATTCTTCTCTCCAGAATGGCTGATTCTTCCAAGTCAGAATAGATTTTTACCAGAAAAGTCATATAAAGTACTCACAGAAACTGGCAGTCCAAATCTGTCGCCAGTAACTGTAGAGGTAACCATATATAGATTATCATTCAATAGAATACAAAAACAAATATTGCACTAAAAGATAATCCTATGTAATCACTATTTACAAAATAAAACCCTATGTCCTTCTAAACAGTGTAGAAAGTTTAAATTATGTTTTCTACCTCTACTTAGTGCTTTATTAATGGGGTGACCACACTGTTTGACCTATTTGCTAAAATTTGCTAGATCTCCAGGAGAACATATGGACATCCAGATGGATTGCTGTAATGTGATGCCATTATTCTAAGGATGAAGTAAGGTATAAACATAATTTGCATTCTTTTCCATCCTTCCTGCGAACCTTTCATTAGTTTCATTTTTAATTCAGACATCAGAAGGGAAGATAATACCTTGCTACCAAAGCCCAGATACCAACTAATTACTACAAGAGACTCCAGTCCTGACATCACAGGCCAGGCCTCTGAACATGCTCCATCTTACTCAGTGACCCCACAGTAGTGATTAATAGGTTGACTGCTAAGCCCTAATGAATGTGTCAGATCTTAGGTGTTCTCTAGGCTAATGCAATTAGCATTGTGTTGAACAGAATATTTCAGCTACTTGCTAGAGAGACTCATTATACTTCACAGTAAACTATGTCTTTTCACCTTTGCTCTCCAAATTTTTTTTATAATCATCAACCTAAAAGGCTCCTATAAATATATTTCACATAGTGTAAGAAAATTTAAGTATTTTAAAATCAAATAGTGATTTTCTTCTACAACAGTGAACCCCTGTGTTGTATATAAAGTGAAGTTGTTTTCAGAGATGCTTGTTAAAATGCAAGTTTCTGAACTCTAACAACAGAAATCCTGATAAAAGGGGATTTGGGATAAGGCCTAGGACTTCATTTTTAACAAGACTCATGACTCAGAAGCTAAGCATTCTGTAGACCACAGTTGAAGAAAGACTGCAATGTGAGTAACAGGACTAATACCTGTGTCTTAGATTAACTGACTATATCAGACTTTTTGTTCTAAATAGTTACTATGTTTCTGAAAAAAAATTATCTGCATCCACATTAAGAAAATTATTTCCACATTAGATTATAATTTTAAATGTGCCAATTATTTTTGGTTAAAAGATTAGAAACTAATTATCAGGATAAGACATAGATGTTATTTCCAACAAACTATGTAAACGTGTAAGATCTATATTCAACAGTGGACATGGCAGGTAAAAGCATTTTCATCCACTAGACAATGGGCCTAGAATTGTGTTTCCAGTTTTAAAAGAAGGACCAAAGGTGAGCAGAATTTCTGCAATTCCTGACTTTTCTCTATGGCCAGAGATGAAACATTTGCATGTTTTAGCCCCGATAATGGAGGACTTTAGGCAATATTCCAGGTACTTACTTGGATCTCACCTAGATATTGCCTTCATCAATTACTAAATACCAAGAATTTGTATGTATCTAGCACTGCTTTCACAAAACAAGCATATATAAAATCCCTGTTAATATTTAACTTAGACATATTTTATTCATCTATCACCCTAAAAATTTTAAGGCAGCTTTTTCCAAATTTATAACTATTTTAACAAACTACCATTTTCTTCATGAATTTCAGAAGAGTTCTTTTGTGCTTTTAAAAAATTATACCATATATATTAAAATAGAAAAATAAGTATGAATAAAATAAAAACATTTATTTGTAGTAAATATAGTATATTTACTTTTTATAATTTCATATTGAGATTTAGTGGTTTGAGAAAGTTAATTATGCCATTGTTCATTCTAATGTTCCTTTTAGATCCAGCCAGAGGGTGGAGGGCTGTCATAGGCAAGTCTATAAACACATGCTTCTTTTGTTCAATGGAGAATATTGAGATACCAGGCTCTGACTAGGACTGGCTAGATGTTATGTAGTTCTGTTTCTTCCTTTGGGAAGGCTGTATTTCCCAGCATCCATGGCCCCTAACTCTGGGTAGGGCAGTATAAGAGTTCTGATCAATAGAATATGTACAGAAATAATGTTTATTCCTCCCAGGCATACCCCCTAAAATAGTCCATATGATCTTCCATGCTGTCTGCCTTTACTATTTGTCCAACAGATGGAGCAGATTTAGGGAACAACATACAAAGCCTTGGGTGATGGAATAGCCACTTTTTGAAACATTGCTTCAGAAAGAAATAACCTGTATTGTTTTAAGTCATCAAGACTCTGAGGTCTGAAAACTAACAGAGAATGTAAATTAAGATTTGGCTTAATTAAAACAGTATATAAAATTTTGTCCTACTGATGAGTTAGTCAACTATCTGCTCAATAAGGAATTATGACTATGTAAGACCTGAAGTTCAAATTCAATGGACTTATATTAATTCACTAGAAGAGACTGTTTCAATTGTATTTAAGAGGCAAGAAAACCCTCTACATATCTTAATATTAGCACGTTTTGGAGCTGAAATCAAGATGACTGTGTGCTGCTCTAGCAAAACATTATTAAACAACACCTGTCCCACAGGATACAGGAATATCTACTCTACAATACCTACTGTTTCTATGGTCACAAGAAATAACATTCTTACAATCTATAAAGCAACTGTCCAAAGGAGATTCATAGAATGTGTGTTAGAAGTAGAATTTTCCATTGACACGCCCAAATAGTATTTAAAGGATACCTTTTGATACTGGAAGAAAAATGCATGTTTAACCTAACCAAATGAATAAGGGAAACATATGCTGTATTAATATAAAGTCACTATATATAAAAAGTATAAAACACATTCCAACACCAACACACATAAACACACACACACACACACACACAGGGAATTATTTCAGGATCAACTGTTTACCTTCGTAGTACAACAAAAAGATAATGTCCTAAAGAATAATTATTATGTCACTGAACAAATGACATTGGTGGAGGTGGTACACAAGCCACTGAGCTGAAGTAGAAAGAATTGAATCAGGTTTATAGAAGGCCTGGGCCAGATCTGGCTTTGTCACTCTCTAGATGTAAAGAGAAAGTTATGAGAAAGTCAGAGACCACAGGTGTTAAATGCTAGGAGTTACAGTCTCTGTTTACTACTAACAAGTTGTTTGACTTGGGAGAGCTATTGTATATATTTCCTTAGCTATGGAATAAAGAGAAGATAATACTTATTTCACGGATCATTAAGAGGATTAAGTCATATCACACATATTAAGTACTTAGGCCTTGGGTGAAAGTAAATATTACTAAATACTGGATATTATACTAATGTTATATTTTCATGACTAAGAGCCATATTATCCTTACTTGAAAAATAAGAAATCACAGAAGATAATTGATATAATTTCTTTAAATGACTATAGTCTGAGTCTATATCTATCCCTTAAAGTCAAATATCCACTTGAAAAATAAAAACGCTAAAAGACATATTTTAAGTAATGACTTTCAAAAAATTCTACAAGAGAGTCTGGTCTGCTATTGAGATTGATTTACAGAAAATAGATGACATAATAAGGCACCAATAATTCCAAATTTGCAACATTTAGAAGTGGGATGGTACTTTGATTTCTTCATTATCCTTCATGACTAATACCCTCATTTGAACATAGAATGTAATAAGATAATTTCCAAGCAACAATTTAAGTTAAAAAGATGTCCTATTTAATGAGCCTTATAGAGATAAATAATTATTTCAGTCACACAAATTTGAATGGGTCTAGAATGTACATGTTAACCCTTCATTTTTGCAGCTTAAAGTGATGTACTTTCTGGGCTTATAAACTGTCAGCAACTTAAATTTTCTTCTCATTCAGAAGAAAGCATTTCTACCAGAGGTAGCGATTGTGAAAAATGACATCAGCAATATGTTGTGGACTTTATTTCAAACTAAATGAAGTAGCCTCACTTAGAAATTCCATAATTTAGTAAATCTTGCTTTGTGCTTACAAATTCTTATTCAAACAAATCCTCCATTAAGACTCAATTCGAAGCAAATAGCTTAAGATGCTGAATCACTAAAATCATTGAAATTTCAGTTCTAATTATACTTTTGATTGGTTTTAAGTGACTATAACATAAAAACAGGGTTTTAATATACCAAGACACTCCATGTAAAACATTGTGACATGGAGGAATTATTTTCTTAATTCAGGATTCTATTTATTGCAAGAAGCTTACCTCCTGCGTACATAACAGCCAGCATAATGGATGAAATCCATGCTATTTCACTGTAGGTAGTGTGGAATATTTGCTGAATTTCTTTGAAGAATACGGTGACAGCTTTGGGGAATGCATAGGAAAATCCAATGGAGATAAAAGCTGCTCCAACCACAATCCAACCCCATCCTCCATCTGGAGGTGGATGCACAGGTGGGGCACTTGGCATTGGTGGCATTTCTGCTCCTCTAGTGGAAATTCAAGTAACCTATATTAAAATAATGAAATAACAGTTTAAATTTTATTTCCCCTTTTGTTTACCACTCTTCATAGTCACTAAAATAGTACTTTCCAGTTAAAACTACAATATGATTTTTCATGAATATTTTTCACACTCTTATACTCAGAAAATTACCAGAAAATGTACAAAAACAATTGATGCAAGTTATATACCTTTGATTATTGTGGGCTAAATATTTAAATAATTTAATTTGATTATTGAAACAAAAATTACTCAAAGTGAAGTTAAGAATTTAGATCTGAACTGAAGTACCATTTTACATTATACATCAGTCATAGCTCTAAGATAGATCTGATACATATTCTACTTCAATCACCAGTTGTTTTAACCTCATTAATTGATACTTTTGGTCTCATTTTTCCTTCCTGTTTAAGGCTAAGCCAAGGAACGAAATGATGGATGCAAAGCCTTTTGACATGATCTATTGGCTTTTTTTATTGCTTTCTGTTGTCTACGCTTTTTGATGATTGTAGAGATAATTCTAACTCACTTTTTTCTTTTTCTTTTTTTTTTCTTTTTCTTTTTTTTTTTTTTTTTTTGAGACAGAGTCTCACTCTGTGGCCCAGGTTGGAGTGCAGTGGCATGATATTGGCTCACTGGAACCTGTGCCTCCCAGGTTCAAGCGATCCTCCTGCCTCAGACCCTAGTAACTGGGATTACAGGCAGGCGCCACCATGCCCGGCTAATTTTTGTGTTTTTAGTAGAGATGGGGTTTCGTCATGTTGGCCAAGCTGGTCTCGAACTCCTGACCTCAGATGATCCACCCACCTCAGCCTCCCAATGTGTTGGGATTACGGGTGTGAGCCACCGCATCCAGCCCCCACTATTTTTAAAAAATAAAAATTATATATTTAAGGTGTAAAACATGTTTTGTTATACATATTCATAGCAAAATGATTACTACGGTCAACCTAATTAACATAACCCTTGCCTCATAGAGTTACCACTTTTCTTTTTTGTGCTCAGAACACCTGAAATCTATTCTGTTGGCAAATTACCAGTATACTATACAGTATTACTAACTATACTCACCCAGTAGTTCAAGGCTGCAGTGAGCTCTGATGGAGCCACTGCACTCCATCCTGGGTGACAGAGACAGGCCCTATCCCTAAAATGTTTTTTAATTAAAGTAAAATAGCTAAATAAGACTTTTAATTGCCACAATGATTTGTACAGAAAATATCTCCTTTTTAAACATTTTTTATAAATATATTTTACATGTCTTCTTCACATACTCATACATCAAAAAATTAGCTTTTTTATATATTTGCTTGTATCTATTATATATTTATGGGGTACAATGTGATGTTTTATGTTTATTTTTTAAAAAGCAGTCTCAAATTACTCTTTTATAGGAAGTAGAGGTATAAATGATAAATGCACCTACCATTCTATTAGACAACGTAGGTAAAACAAATTTTAAAAATTGTTAAATGGTATGAAAAAGGCAAACCCTTTTGATTTTTCCAAGAAATTACAATAAAGTAAAATTTAAAGTTATTCCTGACTAAATACACACATATAAAATATGGCTTTGGATACAGTGGCATTAATTTGATGGAATAGTTTCAAGAGTTCAAATTACTTATCTTATTGAATTAATGCATGATACTCAAAGTAACCTATAATGTAATCTTATAGGTATACAAAAATGGATAAGGGGATCTCACTCAATAAATACTGTGTACTTATTATGCTAAATAAATGCTTTTTATTTTCAGTAAGTATTTATTCAGTTTAGTTTCAATAAAAGCCTTTTAAGGTATTTTTTCTATTTTTTAAATGTGACAAATTTCAGAGATATTAAGAAGCCTGACCTAAGTAAAATAGTAATAGCAGTGACTGGATTTCACTAATCACTGCTGACTCTACAGATAATATAAATAGAATTAGAAATAAGACTGCCGAGTGATGTAATTTAGGGAGAAAAAAAAGCAAGCAAAAAAATCCTCGGCATTTTTATTACATCCTCTCTGCATATCCATAGTATTCTTTTTATTGATCAAAATGGTCATAGGCATCTGCTTTTCAAAAAATGAATAAAATAACTTGAAAGATTTTTTATAGGTACACATTTGTATGTTAGAAGCCTACCAAAAAATGTCATGGAAACTATAGTGACAAGGTCAAATGAAAGGCTTTAACCACAAACAATTAATGCACATAATGTAGATCCTAGTCAATCACAGTAATTGGGGCAAAGCCACTTCTATAAGTTAATGTCGTGCAGATGCTAAAATTGCTAAAATCAACCCCAAATACCACACCTCTCAACAATTATTTTGAGATGGTTTGTATGTTTTCAGCATGTGTACAGCTTGCTTTTGTAATCATTTTTGCTTTCTTAGAAACATAAACGTTTTCTGTCTTCTATCTATCTATTCATCTATTAATTGGAAGATAGGTTTATTTCTCCTTGGTCATCAGTTAACCTAACATGATGAGTTTACAGCACATGTGCATTGGAAATAGTATCTTTGAAGATGTATAATATTTAAGGAAAAAAGAAAAGGAAATAAATATTGTAGGTATTAGTGAAACCAGTTGAAAATAGCAAATGATCTTTGAAAGTTGTCTAAAGAATCTGAATCTATATATTACTAAATTTTATTACTATATTTTAAAGTACCTATTTTATTGCTTGAAAATTAAAAAAAGAAACCCTAGAAGAATACTGAGGAAATACCGAAGGACATTTATGTGGTAAACTACTCTTTGTTGTATAATCAGCGTGTAAAAACAGTTATGGGGCTTAAAGTCCTCACTCTGCAGTTTTCCTGCTTGCATAAAGAAAACTAAACCATCTTTTATTACTAATTCTTGAGTTTAAACTATTGTAGTTTTTATCATATCTGCTATAGTAAACATTCAGAAATACAACTGGATTATTTATTTTTCACTCACTTCAAAGATCATAAATAACATTTCTAAGTAATCTTAAACCCATATTTTAAAATAATAACATCAATACAAATATTATAATTTGTTAATATTCAAATCATGTTATAAATATGGGATTTCCATTTTACAGACAGGAAACTATGCCCATAGGAAAGTAAAGAGGTGTGTGCAGACTCACACAATAAATAGGTGTCAACACTAGTATAAATTCTATGAATTAGAATTTTCCCAGCATTTAAATATGCCCCCCTTAAGAAATGTATCACTCTTATATTAAAATAATTTGAACTTATAGACCCTTTAAAAGCATTCTACTTGGTTTGCTCCTATACAAAGAATAAAATAGAAGACAGAATGTACACACACACACACATATACACAATTCTATTTTCTAAAATTCTAGTTTATTATGAAATTGTAAATTTAAGCCTATTTTCCTTTACATGGTTTCATCTTGTGGCATGAAAATTAAGCATAAGAGCTTCAAATGCTACGAATACTGGCTCCATCATTTACTCTGTAACACTTAGTAAAGTAATAAAACTGAGTCTGTGGTTTCATCTGTAAAAACAGGTTAATAACTATATTTAGTTTACAAGGTAATTAAGAGCATTGACAGAAGACTACATGTAAATGGCATGACTAATACGTACTAGACAAATTTACCTATCATCCTAATTTTTCTTAAAATTATACATAAAATGAAGATGAGTGAAGATCTTAAAATTACATTTTTGAAGAGAAAAAATATATATGTGGCTTTCCAAATTACATGTCTTTTATTACATTTAATGTAGAAGCTATAACTTTTAAAAGCCAAATCTTAAAGTGAACTTTGCATGACGATCTCATCTTGAGCGTCGAAAAAAATTGCATGGAGTACCTACCTCACAAGAGTAATATAAGAATTAAATGAAATAATGTATGCTTGCCTCAGATTAGTCATCTGTACATAGTTAAGTGTTCAATAAGTCATAGTTGGGGCTGAATGTGAAATCCTCCAGAGTTTCTCTAAAAATATGAAATAATTTTAGGATCTTCAGAAAATAGCAATAGCCATTTTTAATCTAAACACCTCTGTGTGTTCCTCTCTGACCACATCACTCTTTCTCTACCAAAAGGCAACAACTATCCCGAATTGTATGATGGCTTTTAACTTAATTTTATTTATACTTTTACCATATATGTACGTGTGTATATGTATATGTGTATGTGTTCCTAAATTTATATGTAATACATAAACTAAATATATTACATTTTATATAAAATTTGCATTACCTAAAATATATATAGATCAAAGAGTCAAAATTAAATTCTTAATAATTAATAATTAAATAATTATTTAATACAATTATTAATATTTCAAATATATATTAAATTTTCTATATTATATGCATGTAATAATATGCATATGACATATATAATCTTGGAAACAGTTTTTAAATTTAATATTATAATTTTAGATTCAGACATGATGCACATAGACTTATAAATCTGATGTCACAGAGTACAGTTGATTCTCATTATTCATGGAAGCTGTGTTCTGTAAAGTCACCATGAACACTGAATTACCAAATGCTGAACCGCTGCACATAGTAGAAAAACAAGGATAGGTTTCTGTGAGACTCTGATCACATTTTCATCAACCAATCAATACAAAACCTTGTTTTATGTGTGTTTCTGTTTAAAGACACCTTACTTAATACATATTGCTGATTCACTGACATTGAACTTACAGCGAATAGCGCTGTAACTCATGTCTGGATGAAGCTTATCTAACACAAGTATTTTTTCTATAAAACACTTCACAGTTTTCTTGTACTGAGGAATGCTAGAAAGCACTTCAGCATTACTCTTAGGGACCATTTTAAACAGCAAGATCACCAGCAAAAAGCACAAAATGTGAAAAACATGGTATTAGACTATAAAAAGAATACTGGTTTACAGTATGAGAGAAAACTAAAACCAGAAGGCAGGGTCTTGCCTTGTTTGACTTCAGCTGGGAATGTAAGTGTTGCATAACAAATTTTTTTGCTGTTCTGTGCATGTCAGCAAATGATTGCAAAAGTGCTGTGAATCACAAATTTCTGTGGATATGCAAATTTACAAATATGGAACCACTCATAATAAGGATTGACCATATGTCATTTCTGAATATACATGTGTATGTATCTATATCTATATGTAACCCATAACTATGTATAGAGATTTGGACTGTCTCCAGTTAGATGTCATTATACTCCTATGAACATTCCTGTACTTTCCTCTCTTGGGGCATTTGTGCAAATAATTCTTCAGAGATACTGGACAGGAATTATAGAAGATTTATTGTAGAAATTTACACTGAAACCAGCAGTGCATAAGAGTTCTCCTTGTCACATATCCTGACCAATGCATAATTTTAAAATTTTTTCTAATGCAGTAGACATGAAAAAATTCATTGTAGTTTTAATTTGCATTCTGTGATTACTAATAATTTTGAGTATCTTTTCATGTAGTTAGAGCCATTCTGTTCTTTAAATATCAGTTCTTTTATTTTACTAGTTATGCTTACACCAAAGGAAAAAAGCTTCCAACTTGTCCTTCTAAAATTTGGAAGTTTAGGCATCATATTTATACTTCAGTAATTACCCTACACATTTAAAATAAATTTTCACTTAAAGATTAAAATCAATAACTATTTATCATTTGCCAAAGATATAAATACTAATTAGTAATTTAAAATTTTAAAAATAAAAAAATACGTAAAGAAAAACATGCAAATCACCCACAATCCTAACACTAGAGTAAACTATGTAAACATACTGGTGAATACTCTGCTATAGCTTCAGTTATACATGTTTACATAATACATTTTATCCAATTGAAAATGACAACAATTTTAAGTTATATCAAAATTACGTGTATAAATATGTACTAAAAGAAAACAACTTCTAACTCATTAGGTATTGCTAAATATTTTCACAATCGGATTATGATTCTTCTGAATCACTTTTTGAATCACAGTTTGCAATAGCTGTGTTTTCTTACACAATATCCTCCTCTGGCCTATAAAGAGCATCCATGGTTTGGCATTTCTACAGAGTACTCCATTACTGTCTCTAGGAATTTCTTTCAAGCTGCTTATGCCATTTTAAATTTTGACACTGATGTTCTTCATCTTACCAGAAAATATCAACAGAAGATATTCAGTGAACAACGGAACTTATATTCCTTCCTCTAATGGTCCACAAACGGTTTATTGACTGAAATATCAAAAGACTGAAACTGTACAATCATGATCAGAAACAATTAATAGGCATAGGCCATGACTCTGCCATTCCTGCCACCTTAGCAACAATGATCATAAGATGCCATCCAGTGTAAGACATCTTCATTTCAAAGATGTTAAAATGTGAAATATGTGCTTCTTAGAATTGAAGAAACAACAAATGCAGTAAATATTTACCTGTATATATGTATATTCAATGTGTGTATATATTTATGTATATAAATTTAATAAAAATGTGCTATATAGAAGTACAGTTCTAAGATTTGAATATCTCATTTATTTGGATTTCTTTAAAATCATAAATAGTTGCATAATCAGTTTTAACAATATTTCCCTAGTTAATATTCTATAAATTATTTCATAAAAATTCAGGACTGTTTAGATTCTTATCTCAATATTATAAGCTATTGTAATAAGTACTTTTCTTATAGTTCTGATTTCAATTTGAATCGTAGGAAAACATAGATTTTTGCTCCAAATTCCTGATTCTCCCAATGAATAATTTGGAAACATCTACAATATTGTTGCCTTCAAATAACATTTCTACTGATTTATTTACTACCCATCTTTCCCATCAGAGTCTAAGATAACAAGTCAATTATTGTACCCCAAGTTCTCAGTATAGTTATTAGCATATAATAGGGTAAATAAAAGATAAATTGATCAATAAATAGCTATAAATATTTGAAATTGGAAAAAGAAAACATTTCACCCATTATGCCATCTGCTGTCATTTTATCTCTGTAAGTATGAAGTTTCAGGTTTTGTTTTGTAACAAAGATAAACAGAAATAAACCAAAATAAAATGTTAGGCCCATATATGTTTGTTTGAGGCAGACTTTTTTTTTTTTTAACAGTCTTTTCTAGACAGGGGCAGCAATATCAAGGCAAATGCTGGTAGCAATTATAGTATAAGTGCCTGAGACGAGGTTGGCTTTAGATAACATCCTAAATGAAAAGTAAAGGAAAGGAATATTTGCTAAATATATCTTGACTACAGTATATACAAGTAAATGATGAGGCCACCATCCAAATTCAGAAAAGGACTAAAAATGGAAGCATCAGAAAAACGGAAAGAAGTAAAAATGGATAGTAATAGCATATACTACCAGCCTTTTCCTTCAACTCTTCCCATTTTTCTATCTCAAACTCACATACACATGTGCACCCACGTGCGTGTGCACATGCATACACACAACTACATATCCTCCTCTAAGTATCAATCATATCCCCAGACATATTTTAATGCACAAGTGTTCTTTCGTTAATGGTTCTGAATGACAATAAGTGACCTGCACATCAGCCTTCCATAGATAATCAACTGTTTCACATTTCTCTACATTCTGGCCTGAAGGAATATCACCTAGGAATTCTGATTTATATTCCCTATTAAATTCATGTTTTTCTAATGTACTGTATGTTAGTTCTCTGAATTGTCAACTACTTAAATTGTTCCTGCTTTGTTATAAAAGTGAAGCTATTTTCTCAGATGCTACACAAATCATTCCTTTCAAAAGTTTCCTTGCCTTTAAATAAAAAACATATGATTAAGCGTTTTTTCTCCTTAATCTTTTCTGTTTTGTATTACTTGTTTTTCCATAGTTCATCAATTTATTTCTCATTTATATGAAATTTTACTTTCTGTTTTCAGCATATTTCCTTGATTTGAATGATAACTATGGGTTCCAGGGTGCAAGGCGCCACTCACATACTTCTTCATTTTCTTATCTACTACTTATTTTGTTTTTCTTCATATAAAATGACATCTTATGATCTCTTAACTGATCCATTAGAAAAGAGACCCAGAACCAATCAATTCCAAAAATTCCAATTCCAACACTGTCACCTCTTCCTCATTAGTGACTCTTGAGTTGACCAATTGTCAAGATTCAAGTCATACACACTCTGGCTTCATGCCTTTTTTTCCTATGCCCAATTCTGTAACATTTTCATACAATTTATATCTGTTGTGTCTTATTTCTTTTAACAAGCACAGCTTGTAAGCACAGCCAAGAAAAACAGAGTTAAAAGTATAGTTTTACGTGTTGATAGATGTCCACTTGAACAGATTTCTTTGGATTATATGTGGAATCTTTAAGCCTAGTCACTAAACTTTGAAGAGTGATATTTGAAGGCAATACAAAGGAAAAGATGTAGAGTAGATTTTGGATTATCTAAAGAAATAGAAAACAAATTGTTACATGCATATTTGAATTCAATAAGCCTAATTAGAGCCACTGCCTTTAAATCACCTCAATAAATTTTGAACATCTTTTAATAATTAGCAAAATTGAATATATCTTCGTCAATATAATAATAGAACTAAGATATGACTAAAATGACCAAACATGCGCATGAGAAAAAATTAAAATAAAAAGTATAAGATTAAAAAAATTAGGTTTTGTTGAAAAAAACAGTAGATTACAAGCCTATTATTATAAGAAAGAAAATTCTTATTGGCATTCACTATCTGTCACTTAAATAATTACCTATACTCATTTAAATAATTTTCTCTAAAATTCAATTAAATAAATTAAATATCCACTGACAATGAAAATAAAAAATTAAAATATAAGTATTAGAAATACTGTCAGTAATATACATGGCTTATAATAAGACAGACTGGGTTTTAGGAAGGAAACAAAAATTATTTTAGAGATCTTCTGATTTAGAATTCACACTTCCTAATCAAATCGGGGCGACAGAAAAATATGCTAAATCTCTAATCCATCCAATATCTTTGTTTCAATTTAAATATGGTGCTGAATATATAAAATTTAGTACCTAAGAGTTTGTTTTGTTTGGACCAAGGCTTTCTTTGCCTAGATCAAAACTAAGAAAATGTCAATACTTTGAATTAAATAACCAGTGTCTGCCTTATATCCAGGGCCACCTATTCTAAAGTGCTGAACAAAGGCAACACAGCCACCAGGTCAAATGACGTTTCTATGAGAGGATGAAGCAAGTGTGATCTGCATGCCAAGTCCATGAGAAATGGAGGGTGGGGACTAGGAAGACTATGAGTAAAGAGGCTTAAAAGTCAGGGATATGAGAAATTCATAAGGATGGAACTAAAGGTCTAACTTGTGGTAGGAATGAAGAGTTCACACTAAATGGGTCTCCTGGGCCTGGGATTAGAGCAGTGAGAAGAGGCTCATACATCAGCTCTGGTCCTACCAGGAGGCTTCGGACCCATCGGTGGCTTTTTAAAGCTGGGTAATTCGAGAACAGCAGCTCCATCCCACCACAAGTAACCAGCTCATCCAAAGGTAGAAAACCTTTATATTTTGAGGAAATGTATTTTCTATCTATTTCCTCTGGCAGGGAGAACTTCCCTGGCTTCAAGGCAAAGCCTCAGAAGACAGCCTAAGGCATATCTAAAAATTAGGTTTTGATCTTTCAGTCTATGTGCTTAATTACACTCATAATTTATACAGGCTCCATGTGGCAGCCCTCCAAGAAAATAGAAAAAAAAATTAATATAATTTATACAGGCCAGCTTAGGGACCAGATAAAAGAGATCTTGACAAGTCCAAATTATATATGCTCACCAACATTTCTGTGAAATTTCACAGCACCTTAACATAATTGACCCATTTTCTTCCAGAAAGACTAACTCACATCCAGAGTTCCTTTCAACAAATGGGTAAATAATCCAGGAAGACTCTGCTTGACAGTTATATCTATATTAATCTATGTTACATCCTTTTCTTTACATATATTAACTATCATATATTTCATATACACTTATGCAGATATATTTATACAATGCATTTACTAATCTTTAGTTTTAAAAATGAAAGGTAGTGTTTTAGTGGAAACATTAAAGATGAGGAAACATAGAAGCAGAGAATAGTATAGTTGTTTCCAGGTGACTAGAAGAGGAAAATGGAGAGGAATTAGTCAAAGAAACAAAGATAAAATTATGCAAGATGAATAGATCTTAGAGATCTACTGTACAGCATATTATCTGTAGTTAACAATACTGTATTGTACACTTAAACCATGTGGAATGAGGGTAGATCTTATGTTGTGTTCTTTTCAAAATGTAACAATAATAAAGAAGGCAGGAGCAAACTTTTGGATGTGGATATATTTAAGGCATATATTGCAGTGACGGTTTCATGGGTGTACACTTATCTCCAAACTAACCAGGTTGTATACATTATAGACAGCTTTTTGTATGTAAATCATACCCCATTAAAGTGGTTTAAAAGTTTTTTTAAAAAGGTAGTGTTTTAGAGTTTGTGTGTCTGACTACAAAGCCTGTAGAAAACCAACAATCCTTAAGCCAGTGAGAAGGCTTTCCTTCAATTTGGAAAAACCATTATTTAGAGGACTGCTTCCTGAAGTCCAAGTAGGCATAAAGCTTATTCCCCCTACAAAAGTAGCTTTAATTATTATAGCCAGAAGTTGGGCTTTGTCATCTGCTAATTTTGATCCTTAGTAATCACACACATGCCATATGATTTATGATTGGCTTTACTTGTAATAGGGTGCATAAAAATAAACAATGTTTTAGAGCTTTTTATTTTTCTAAAAATACAAATAATTTATTTTCATAATCCCATGAACTCCAAGGAACTGGTATTTTGAATCACGTTTCATAGATGAGGGCATAAAGGATCAGAATTGCAAAGTGACTTTTTTAAGTATAATGTCTAGTAGGTGACCAAATTGCTACCACAACTAGTATTTTTTTTCATTAGGGCTTTTGTTGCTGATTCCACTATAACACAACATGAAAGCTAACTTTTTCTGCATAAAATTATACTTCTTCGATTTTATTCCTCTGGGAATTTCCAGATTTCAGTTCTTGCGCATGTCCATTCTGATGGTCTTGTTCATCAGAATTTATATTCTTATCTTTGGAATTCAAAAACTACAACTATCCTTCAAAGTCTTTTGAAATTCATCATCTTTCCAGCTTATTTACACCTGTGCTGTCCATAATGTTTTTGAGTGTATAGGCTCCAATATAATATCACTGTTTACAAGAGTGACCTTCAGGTGTTTTTCAACAATTTATGTGGTGGGATGGACTGAAGCCCAATAACTTTGCCTTTTCTTTTAGAATCAATACGGGTTGATTAAACTATGGAGAAAAATATGTAACACATAGGAGTAATGAAACTATTAGTGATGATCCATGGCTAGACTATAATATTTTATTCAAGACTCTTTCAGTCACATAAAATATTAGAATGTTCCTTTATTTATTTTGTGAATAATCTTTCTTCAACTTTTGAAACCTAAACCAGCATGCCTCCATTCTATGAAGTCTTACCAATATTCCATGCTATCCAGAAGTTTATATTTCAAAATACAGTTTAGAAATAATGTACTCAGCAAACTAAGTCCCAAAATAATCAATAGTTCTTAGACTATTGGTTTCACTATAAATTCCTCTAGAAGCCCTACAGTTAAAGCATGAGTTTTTCTCTACATCCTACTTATAAAGTGTTTATAAGTTATATTATATTATGTTTTCACCTAAATGAATTAATTTGTTCTCAAAGAATAATTGTCTGGTTTTTTGGCTATTTTCTTTTTTTATACAAAAGGATATAGCAACATCAAATTAATGTACAGTGTTTAAGTTTAGGTGACAACTCACCCAATTTTACAACAGAAATTAAATTGAACCAAATCTTTTCTTTCCCAACATGTAATTAAATTAAAATTGGACTCTAATCCCGAGAGGCTATTTTATTCTTCAGAGTGAACCATCTCTTAAATCCTATTGACTAATTTACTTTGACATCTAGACAAGAGAGATATCAATAGCTCATAGACCACAAAATGTCAGTAACACAAAACCTGTTTTTAGACTACACTATTGCGGTGGTTAAATGACTTTGAGAATGCTAACTGGCAATAAGGGTCAAACTAACTAAAAATGCTTTATAATGGGCAAGTTAGAAAAAAATAATATAAACCAGTATATAATTATCTATGAAGAATTGGAAGTACACCTCCCATACAAAACAATTCCCCTGATTTCTAATACAGGTTGAACATCCCCAAATCCAAAAATCAGAAAAATTATGCTTCAAAATCCAAAACTTTTTGAGTGCCTATTTGACATCACAAGTGACAAATTCCACAGCTGACCTGGTTTCAAGCATTTCGGACAAGATATACTCAAACGGCAGAATTGTGTGTAAAAAGTTATAATAGGGTGAATGCCAGCTATGTCCATGTCTGGATCCCCAGAACTTGTAATATTACCTTATATGGCAAAAGAGTGTATAAATTAAGGCTGTTGAGAGAGAATCTTACCCTGGATTACCCAGGTGGGCCCTAAATGCAATCACATGTATCCTTATAACAAAAAGAGCCAGAGGGAGTTCAGAGACACACACACAGAAAGGAAGACGCAGAGAGAGATGTGATGTGAGGATGGAGGCCCAGCAGAAAGTGATGTGACCACAAGCCAAGGAATGCCAACTGCCACCAGAAGCTAGAAGAGGCATGGAACAGAGTCTCCCATAGAACCTTTTTAAGGAATGTGGTTCTTCACCTTGATGTCTAGAAATGTAAGAATATAGTTCTATTGTTTTAAGCCACCAAGTTTGTAGTAGTTTGCTACGACTGCCCCAGGAAACTAGTATAGTAGTAGTGGTGACTCATTTATAAAAGCCATTAACCAAGCAACTGCACTACAAAGATGTTTTTCTTGTAGGCACAATTGCACAGGTATGCAAAGACACATGATGTCCAGGGCAACATCATTTATCACTGTGGCAAACTGAAAGTCATTAGAAAATGTATAAATTGTACATTCATAAAAAGTGTTAATATCATATAACTATAAAATGAATAGGCAGATTTACATGCACTTATACAGCTAAAATGTTGTTAAAAGTGTAATAAATGAAAAAAGTAAGATGTAGAACAGAATATAATTATTTTAAATTGTATACACAGAAAGACTACTTAGGTTGAGAAAAGAAAACTAGCTCAGAGCAATCTGAGCAACATGAGGTATCCAAAATTTATCAGGCCCAGAGAGACATGAGTATGAGACTTCAGTCAGCCCAGCCCCTCTTCCCCACCCATGGTGGAGGCAATTGTTCAAAGTAATTTTGTTCTTGACTAGCTGCTTCATCCATTATCTTCATGTTCTGGAGTTTGTCACACAAAACAAACAAACAAAAACAACATATAGCCAATCAATAGCTGATGTTATTTTAATGTAATTTTTTTTGTAAACAACTCAAGAACCCCCTCTTCTTTTAAAAATCCACTTGTAGACTGCCACTAATTGGAGTGTATATTCGGGGCAACTGAATCGATGCTCCAGAGCTGCAATCCGCAAGCTTGGTCCAAATAAACTTTCTATGTATATTAATTTTTCCTCAGCTTCTTCCTTTAGTGAGATAATGTACATATATTTACATATCTATACAAATTATGCCTTTGGAAAGTGACCATGTATGATTTATATATTTTGAAATCTTTAAATATTATATAATGAGTAAATCTTATGTTTCTATTAAAAACTTGCAAATACAAAAATGTTGAAATACAAAACTTTAGTATGCAAATATAAATATATTTCCTTACATGTTTACTTGGTTGTGAGTTGTACTTCTGTTCATATTAAATATAAAATTTTCTTATCTTTTTTTCTAATGATTTTCTCCTTGTAGCTAAATTTCTATCATACTTGAGGAAAGAGAAATCGATCCGTGCTTATAGATATTATCTAGTGTTTACAGAAGACCGGAATATGCCACCCCAAAATATGCCTCTTTAGCATAAGGATTACTTTGAGCTGATTATTTTGAGAACCAGCAGACACAGGAGAAGCTCTGAAAGTTAAGTCACCCTTTTTGTAAGGGAAATTTATATCTATAAAGGAAATTTCTATTTTTAGTGGTGTCTCCCTCTCTGCACCAGGAAGAGAAGAACAACTAAATAACTAGAGACTTACCAAAAGAGAAGGCATGGACTTAATCTGTGTAACAAACCTTATCATTGTTTATATGCTTTTTCTAGGCATCTCCACATAACTGGCCCTTCCTACACTCTTCTTTCTTTTTATCAGTGGACAATGGTATTAAAGCCTGAATTCAAATCCACCTCCTTGAGATTTACTCATTTTTCTGGGTATCTCACAAGTATAATGATGTACATACTTTAATAAACTTCTTTTTGTTTTTCTCTTGTTAATCTGCACTTAGTTACTGGGGTCACAGCTAAGAACTCAGAAAATATAGAAAGAAAATTATTTTTTTCTTCCCTTACATAGGAAGCCTGAACAGTGCTGAACAGTGCTCCCCTCCTGAAAAGGAGAGTCAGCCCAAACTTTTAAATATGATTTTCATGTCCTTTAGGGAAAAATTTATCTGAGAGTTTTACATGTTACCATGTGTGCAGTCTTTTCTTCTCTCCCAGAGTCATGGCTTAGGGAAATTACGTATATGGCTCTACAGTAAAAGAGGATGATAACAATCATTGTGTGTATATCCCGTTTTGTTTTTGTTTTTCTCCTTCTAAAGCTTTTAAAGCCACAGAATCCTTTCTAGGAATGAAATCTTACTCAGAATCCTGCTATGCAAACCAGCTACTCTGGTTTATGGGGTTGGAAGCATCATAGAGAGCCTGGAATTCCACTTATCAGCATCCCCTGACTCCTGAAATTGTCCCTGGTTCTTCCTAGAAAGTTTAGAATTCCTTAGAGCATAGCTGGGAAGCCACTTAATAATACTTTTCTCACCTTTCAACTTAGGAAAAAAACAGAATTATATTTAAGAGATTTTGGATCCTCCATTTTGCATTAGTTTCCAAAGATTCTCTGGTGTTTTGGTTCTTTTCTCAATTTGAAAGCATTAGATCATTAACTGGCACTACGGAAGAGGAGTTAAAGAAAAATTCCTGGATACTTCTAGGAAGATTACATGGCCAAAGAATACCTTTCTGACTTTTATATTAAAATGCCCATTTTAAAAAATCAAATAAAAAAAACCCCACAGGATCTCCTGATATCAATGATGAGATTCAGAAAGATGTTAGAATCCCTTAAGTTTCTAAAAAATACAGTATCACTGAGGCAGGATTAAGAACAGTACCACAGCAAGGTGAACCAACCTGGCGACAGGTGTTTAGAAACATGGTCTTCCATTTCACCAAGACATAAGTTTCCCTGATCTATGGACTCCTCTCCCCACCTGAGGCAGAAGTTTCCTTGTGAACCATTGCTCTTTTTAGAATCCTGAACATACTTAGTTCCATCTATCTCTTTGTCACTCAACACTTTGTCAGCTAGTCTCAGGATTCTATGACCCCTTCCCCTAGCTCACTTGAGTAATCATAATATGGGAAAACTAATCTAAATGCCAACTCTGAGAAGCGGTTGCATATATTACTGTCATTCACTTGATAAACTATTATATATACATTAAATAATGATTAGGAAAGCTCCATAATACAAAGGGAAGTATTTATTATATAATTTTTAGTTTAAAAATAGTGATATAAACCTGTATGATAGCATAATTCCAAATATGTGATAAAAGACACATGTCAAAAAAACATAAACATAGGCTATAGAATTAGGATAAGGATTGCAGAAAAAATTATAATTCCTTAATTATATTAAGTTGATATAATACCACTATAATGGCATAATATATACAGTACTTAAATTAATATTACACATTTACTTATTTGCCCTAATTTTGATTTTTATGTCTGCTTTGAAAAATAGGTTGCTTTTAACTAGTCCACAACTGATTCAAATATAGTTTTTGTAAGGAAACACAATGAAACTGGAAGCTGTATTTTATTTACAGATCTTACCTACGTTGTTTTAAGTTTCTCCTTTTTTGTTTTATATTGATTTGTCTTTAGTCATACCTAAATGAAATTATGAGACTCCTGCATAATTGTAAAGAGGATACTCACAGACAGTCACCACATAAAAATTTAGATATAAATAACATTTGCTGATTACCAATTGCATATATATAAAACATTGCTGCCACCTGTTATGGTACAGGTAAGTATCAATAAGCAAGACACTTAACAATTTAATATGCATTTTCACATAATACTATCTTTTAGCTATTGTCTTCATTTGGCAGGCAATGAAAATAAAGTTCAAAGATGTCAAATATCTTGTTCAAAGTCTTAAAGTCTACCGCAGTATTCGTCTCACTCTAGAACTATGTTTTTAATGAATTAAAAGCCATACACTTCCTACCAACTTACTATCTTTCATTCATGAACTCCTTAAAGTGGTCATATTGCCACTCCTTCTCCACCCTCTTGTATTTTGCTTGTTCTAATAATGGCTTTCCTCGTGGTCACTTGCCTGGGTTTTCTGCCTCCACCATTCCAGCTATGTGCTTCCCCAATGACTTCAGGAGACACTCAATTAGTTGGTAATTATCAAAAGAAGAGGAGGAAATGAAAGCTGGAACCCACAGAATGTTAACTATCCACTGGAGTCAGAAAATAATACCAATAATCAGGATTATGAAAGAGCCATGTTGAAGGGAAGGAATGTAGAATTCATAGGAACTTAATAAAGTTACCAGGTCTTTCTTCTACCATACACTTACGAGTGAATTGAATTGGTAGATTTTATTTTTGTTAATACTTATTTGTCCCCTACTCATACTTGTCATATTTCTCTGTAGGCAAAGTATAGCCCCCATCCATTGACTTTAGGTTTGGACATGTGACTGCCTTTTGCCAATGGAATGTAAGTCAATGCAGTGTAGGCCATGTCCAAGAGTATGTTTAAAATGTGTTTGCATGTTTTGCCTTTATAGCAGTCCTTGCTTTCCAAAATAAGAACATGTCCCTTTAGCCTGGATCCCAGAAAATAAGAAAATGTTTGACGGTTAGCTGAGCCCCTCAGAACCAACCAGAGCCACAGCTGACCCATAGTGCCTAAGCAGCATGGGCAAGAAATAAATATCTGTTATTGTAAGCCCTAAGAGATTGCAGTTGTTTGACAGAATAGCAAAATCTGAGCTAGGGTGCATAAAACAAAATCCTGAGAAACACATTGGCTTCAAGGATGGGCAGGCAATAGTGAGGAATCTGTTAGAAGAAGTTAGAAAAATGGCAAGTTATGTTAAACAGTAACAAAATATTTGGTAAAACTTTTCCCTGATATCTTCAAATGCAGAAAATGTACACAATGTATTTGGGGCTCTGGGAAAAGAGGTTTGGAGATGTTGCTGCTTGCATGAGTTGGTGGTAATTAGCTACATTTAGAAGGTTACTATGGAAGCAATAAGGCCATAATAGCAGGATAGCAGGGACAAAAATAGGAAAAGGGGTAGGTGTTACAGGACTTGCAGGATTGAAAGATATTTTCTGCCCCCACCCCCCACTTAGCTTTAGCCTGGTAAAAGATTCTCAAGTTAAGACACTCAGGACAAGTAAAAACAAGGTCACTAAGCCAAGGAAAAGATCAAACCAAGAGTATGACTTTAGCATTTTTTTTTAGTTTATATGATTTTATTAATATATTTCTTAAATTAACAAGTAAAAATTATATATATTTATGATGTAAAATGTTTTGCTATATGTATACATTCTGAAATGACTACATCAAGGTATTTAACGTACATAGCACCTCACATGCTTATTTTCTGTGATGAGAACACTTAAAATCTACTCTCAGCAATTTTCAAATATATAATATATTGTTATTAACTGCAGTCACCATGATGTATAATAAATTTCTTGAACTTATTCCTCCTAACAGAAATTTTGCTTAGCATCTCTTAAAATCTTTTTGAAGGATTAAGTCAGACACCAGTAAGTCTTTTCAGTTTAAAAAAATAGTCGGGAATGTAGCAGGGAAAAGAGATCAATGGTGTGGTCTCATGCAGGTCTGATAAACTTGAATTTTCTATAATGAAGTATATAGCGAGAGGCATGTCTTTTATAAAGAACCGATGGTACTATTATTTGTATTAACTGGAACTAAATGATCTTTTTAATGTTTTTAAGAGTATTATACTGCAAAACATGCTACTAACCTGGATATGGAAAGGAAAAGCGACTGTTGGAAATGTAAAATGACCAAGTGATTAAGATGACTCAATATCCAGTAACTTGCTTTATGTGATGTGCAAAAATATAACCCTATGTGGTATTTAAAAACATATATCACAGTAAATGTCACTAAAGTGTTGTAACGTTTTGGCCAAGCGATAATAATACTGGATCTTAGTTTCTTTATTTGTAAAAAACACAGTGCAGAACTTAGTATTCTGAGTCCCTCTGAGCTCCCATACTTTGATTCTATGACACTAAAATAGTTCTCTTATCGGCTGTCTTAGCATGTAAAACACAAATTTCTTCCCTGCTCTAAGAAAATGCTACTGCCATTCAAAATAAGTAATAAACATATGGACAGTGTTTCAACAACTTTTCCAAGCTCCTAAAAACTATGGCGACAGAACAGGGACCCTCCCCTGCAAAAAAAAAAAAAAAAAAAAAGAAAAGTTCTTTTTGAAAGAATCACTTGAAGAAATTACATTATATAAGCAGACAGGGCCTGTGCTTAACAATTAAATACTAGAGGCTCCCAAAGGCCAATTCTTAGTTCCTTAAGACTGCTTAGAATTTTATTATATTCTCAAATCACAATTTAGTTTCCATAAAAGTTATGATATGAGATCCTCAGAGAATCTGGTATATGTTTAGATAATTTTTCATTCATGAAGATTAAATTATTAAAATTTTTTATGCTATTTAACAAAATATGTTCCTATAAAACTGGTACAATTTAGCTCAATATTGCAAATAAATCACATGAAGATTTTTTTCAAAGACAGAATGAAAACAGAACCTTGTATATTGTATATTCAAATATAAAAGAACTAATATTTCAATTCATAAACTATGTATGTTATTTAGTTCCCTGTATTTGCCCAGTTCATATACTCTTAAAGCAAACATTTATACTATACGACTAGCAGGTGGGAATCATATCAACCACATGTTGTTGGATAAAAATATCATGATCAATAGCATTTATATAGCCACAAAATATGTCATAAATAATGCATAATAGTTGACTATTTACAGACAGTCCAAAATGTATTTCCTTTTTCAAGCTTCTATACACATTTTATAACAGTGAGGTCTATTCACCACCAGCATTTCCTATAAAGGATCAAAAAAACCCATTAATGTAAGAGGCAAAGCTGAAATAGATCATTTCCATCGCATTCTTTAAACATCAAGATTCACTATGAAAATCCTCTCCAAGGAAATGTCACATTAAATCACAGAATTTACAACTTCAAGTCCTTATATTTAGAATTTGTTATTGTTACATAATAAACACTAAACACTGATAATGAAGTTGGTGCTGAATGGAATAAAAATGATCCCATAGTTAAATATAACCTAAATGAAAGCTATAGGAGCTGCTAAAATCAGTTTGTTGGATCCTGCTTGTCACTTATGGAAGATGACCGGAAAGAACCATCATCCTAAACACAGAGAAAAGAAAAACTTCTCTTTTTCTTTTCCCCATACCTTCCTGTACTAGTCAAGATTGTGAGTCTCCCCTAAAACACATCAACAAGCACACACAGTCCTCTGGGGATTGATGGCATACCTGTACCACACCAAATTAGAAGTAACAAAATTATTAGGAACATTTTGTCTTTACTCATTGTGTCCATTTTTCTTCCCCCTTTGCCTCCCCCTAAAGACCTGTAGGCTGGCCTCTTCCAGGTTTGGTGACAATAGGGAATAAAATATATCAATAATGCCAGGCATCAACTTGATACTAATTTAATTTCTCAAATTTTAAATTATTTTATTGTTTAATTTTGTTTCCACCTTGACCTTTCCTCCTATATCTGGGTATCTGCCCATCATCCTAGACTAGAGATTTCCCTGCCTGACTGGGTTCCACTCTGCCCCAGTCTACACACTCATGTTTGCTCTGATTTTGCTGCAGCGTGGAAAAGTAGCTCTGTGTTCCTTGTCCTAACACTTCTTCGATACATCTTCACTCTCCACCAGAGACACTATGTTTTTCTGACCTTTGGTTTACCAACCCCATTCACTCCAGCCTGAGAGACAGCCCACCAGCAGCTGAGTGGGGAGCACCAGGTTGCTGTCCTTCCTACCCTGCTCACTAGAAGGACAACATTTCAAACCTGGGAACAGCAGGAAGGAGATTTCTACCTTCTATCAGAAAACCTTTCCTTTCTTTTCTGTCCTAGAGGAAAAGGAGTCCCTCTCATGCTAATCCATTTACTTATGATTTTTAATGAAGTCTTTTGTCTTTCTAAAGGATTTGGTGTCAGTAATTTTCACACTTTATTTTTATCAGTCTTTTCTAGTTATTTTCTTAGCCTACAAAATGTGTATATTTCTCTGAGCCTAGAAAAAGTAGGAAAAATGTCCTCTTTTAGAGTTGCCTTTATCTTGAGCCACCACTAAATTTCCTTCATTTTCTTTACTTCAAAGTTTCATGCAAGAGTCACGTTTCCTTGTAAACTCTACTATCTCACCACATTGGCATTGTGAATTTCTTGCACTGGGCCTTTCTCTTAATAAATTCTGACTGAATAAATTCTTTCCTAAAGATGAGCTATAGCTTTCTAATCTCCAAAGCCACTGAACCTCATCTAATTACAATTTTTAATGGTATGTAATAATATTCAGTTGTACCTTGTACTTGAGATTTTGCAGTCCTTGGTTTCTCACTTACTATATCACTATTCTTTCTTCAATGGCTACTTTTCCTCATTAGGTCCAACATATGTGGGTTCTCATAAAGGTTAAATTGTTGGCTCTTTTCTCTTTACATACCCCCCATTATATTATCTATCTCTATAGATTCAGTTACCACTTTTATTCAAGGTGTGTTCCAATTCTCTACCTCTTGCAGTAATCTTTTTCCTAAATTTAAATTCTTCATTTATTGCTACTTCCTAGATATTTTCAAATGGGCACCCCACTGAAATGTTACATTTTTGAGTTTGTACATTGTAGGAACAGTTCCTAATCTGAAAAACCCCAAGTCCTTTCTTTAATAAGTAATTCCCTTTAATAGCTCTTGAATGCATCTTCTTTTTTTCATTTCTCTCTTGATCATCATGGTTCATGTGCTTTTCACCTCACACATGGACAACTTTAATAGTCCCTTAAAGGACTGTCTCACTTTCAGTTTCCCAACCTTGCCTCCCATCTTCTGGCCTCTCTCCAACACATCCTAGCAGGATTAATCTCGCAACAGTACTTCTCAGATTGGGTCACTCCTCCATCTTCAATAGAAGGCATACCAAAATTTGACTACCTTAAATCTTTCTTGCCTATTTTTCATAATTTCATACATTTTATTCAAATTGCATAACACTCTATCAGAAGACACCAGTCTCACAGGATGTTGACAGGTATTACATGGAAATGATTGGTAGATTTGAGAAATTTTCTGTTAAATGTTATATTTATTTCACAATTTCTCAACATCTTCATTATGTCAATATGCAATTTTTTTTTTCAAGACAGAGTTTCACTCTTGTTGCCCAGGCTAGAGTGCAATGTCATGATCTCAGCTCACCGCATCCTCCGCCTCCCAGGTTCAAGTGATTCTCCTGCCTCAGCCTCCTGAGTAGCTGGGATTACAGGCACCCACCACCACGCCTGGCTAATTTTGTATTTTTAGTAGAGACAGGGTTTCCCCATGTTGGTTAGGCTGGTCTCGAACTCTCGACCTCAGGTGATCCCACCTTGGCCTCCCAAAGTGTGGGATTACAGGCGTGAGCTACTGTGACTGGCCGCAATTTGTTTTACTTAGACAATATAGAACTCCTAGACTTGCTTTCATGTACAAAGTTTTTTTTTCTCAAGAAAATCCATTTTCCCTCCATTTACCTGACCTACTTGCATTGTCACATGATGAAATCACACCTATCCTTCCACACAAATAGGTGGCACCATTTAAAATAAAACTGAATTATTTATAATCATTTCTAAGAAAGGAAAATCTCCCTTCTCTAAATTCTCAATTAATATTTGATTATACCATACTACATTTCATTTTTGAAATTATTCATGTCTCTTTCCAAATCTAAACTATAAGCATCTTGAGACCATGAACAGTGAATAAATCATTTATATTCACTATAGCGTCTAATACAGTGACCTCAGCCCAAGGAAATAACCTCATGTCAGGATATGCTGAACTTTACTTTTTTATAACTATTCATAAAATTATTTTTTATAATAGTCTTCTGTCCCCTAAGATGTTAAAATTTATGTATGTTTAATTATATAAACTAGCACTTAAAAATAAAATGACAACCCTAACATGTAGTTTGTTATTCATGCAATCCTAAAACAGACATTGCTGCTAGAATCATTATCTGCAGATAATGATTAAGTTTAGATCTACTCAATGGATTTAGTTTAAAAGCTGAATGTGTTTCCATAAATGAGGTACAGGATTCACAAAGTACTAAGTACAGCTAGGTAAAGAAATTTTAGTCTTATCAAAAGTTTTTCTAATGACCAGTAGAATTCTACTTGGAATTTCTAGGGTGAGTTTAACCCAGTTCCTTTGGGATCAGCATGTAAAATTCATTTTCAAAGACCTTGGGGAATGAAGCTGTGTTATGAGATTCTCGGGGTCTCAGGACTCTAATTGGCTCTAAGCTGGTCCCTACAGGTGATAGAAATAGACCTATTCTGAGAGGAGTTCAGACTGAACTGAGCCATGTTCCTCAGGGGCCTAAGAAAAAATGACCTGAATGCTGTTGATTCCCTATATGCCCACAGCTGACCCTCTCAAAGAAACCAGTGACAGAGAGATCCCTATCCAAATATAAGAAATTAATAAAGAGTATACATTGAATCACTGTTTGAAATACTATGTTCAGTAACATTTAAACTTGAAAGGAGCTGCAAGGTGAGAACTACTCTTCATTCCGTTTCCTTCCATCCTCTTCCCCATGCTTAAATCTCTCTAACTTGTAGGGATCTCCTGATGAACAGGAATATTATTACAGGAAATAATTTGGTTAGGAAAAAATACTAACAATTGTTCCACAATTTTTTGAAGCAGTTCTATAAAAACATATTTGCAATGAGCCACAGAAGTATCTAGATAAAAAAAAAAATTGCTGGCACAGGTAAAGCTGGGACTCCCAACTGTATGCTTACAGAGCTAGTGTACTGACAAACATCCTAGGAGTTTATTTGCATGAAATGACAATTTTGTTTGCTTTGCAATGTGGCTAAAGACAGACAGGACAGTGCATGGATGCCCAGGAGGGAGTAAAACAATAAACAAGATGGATGACATGGTACATACACTTGTCTCGCCTGCAGGAAAATTTGAGGTTCCAGGGGATAGGTGATTAAGAACTGATGCTACAGAAGCTGTTTTCACAAAATACTTTGAGACTCTAAACACAATGATGTTTTAAGATTCGGATGGTCAGGTGTGGCATGGATTTGAACAGGGGTCATTTTTTCCATTGGTGCCTGCACCTCAGCTTTGGGTCTTTGGGAATCAGTTACTTTGGAAGCACTAGAGGACAAGAACTTTACATAGGCAGTGTTTTTTGTTGCTGCTGTAGTTTTTTCCATTGAGGGCATTATCAATGGTGAGAAAGCAGTAGTGCAAAAACTCATTTGACCTCTCTTTCAGCTCATGTGCTTCCCAGAAATATTTGGTGGAGGAATTTACAGAGAATTCAGGGTCATAGAAAAGGCAAATGAAGGGTGAACAGCCAGAAGAACTACAATTATTACTATCAACCTAACTCCATTTTTAGTCATCAGTTCATCTATTCATTTGTTCAACAAATATCAATTGAAATCCTACTATTTGTCAAGCACAGTGGCTACAGGGCTAAAAAAAAAACATGAATACATATTTTAGTAGAGGAGAGAGGCAATGAGAAAGTTAAAAGTGTAAATAAGATAATTATAGATTGCATTCTATATAAAGAAAATAAATACGGTATTATAATAGACATTAATCATTCAGGGATAGAGGTAAAAAGAAAAAAGTTTGCAAGTAGAGAGTGGCCAAGAATGTAAGAGGTGGAGAAATTTTCATTTTAGTTATTCTGAAGAGTAGAGGCTAAAGAACCTCCTTCTCTCCTATCTGCCTCCTTCTCAATCCAGAACACAATAGCAATCAAGATAACACATTTTCAGTCTAAAAGAAATAAGACTAGACATAATTCCTATAAATTCCAAGGTTATTTTTCAAATCTGGTTAAATAATATCTTGAAAACACTACATTGGAAAAAGTCCTCTATCTTCTGTGATGTTCGGCCCCAGGACTCTTGGAAGCTCTCAGGACCACCTCACTGATGCCCTGTTTCATTCTTTCTTGGCTATGAATCCCACAGACTTGGACTGGTTTCCACTTTTCCTGTCCTTTGCCTCTCTATTCTCTGTAAAAGTTCTATTCTTGGACATTTTGATTGCAAAGTGGGATAGCCTCCCTAACTTGCTTTTCCTTGATGCCAGTAAAGTTAGGCAGAAAACGCCTTTATTTTTCAGGTTATTACTAATCATTACTGTGGAAAAACACATGAGCATTGCAAAAATGATTAACATGAATAAGTTCCACAGCTTGGAGTTATGGAATATTAACTGTGCTGGTCTTCAATTACAGATCCTGCCTGTCTCTGAAATGATCGTTTCAGTGGCAATAACTTTCTACCTTGGGTTTTTACACTTAGAAGTAACTCTTACTATGCTTCTTTCTTAATTCTAATTTTGCCCTTATGATTAAATCAAGGTAAAACATTGCATTTAATGTCTTGTTGTCTCCAGCATTCATTAATTCATTCATCAAATATTTATTTGGTATTTCATTTTATGCCAAAGACTGTGCCAGACTTTGGAAATACAAAGATGACTAAGACATAAGATATAGTTTCTGATCTATAAAAGGACAAAATGTAGGAGGTAATTATAAAGTAGATAATTACATCATATGATAAACATCATGAGACAGGTAAGTTCAGATTTCTAAGGGGCTAAGAGGAGAATAACCTAACCTAGATAATGACAGTCAAGAAATTATAACAAGAAGAGTTAAGGTTGCACTCAACTGTTTGAACTGCCTTGAAGAATGAGATTAACTCTTGGGATAAGTTCAGGTAGGGTGAAATTGGGAGTAGTAATAGGTAACAAAAAATGCCAGTTGATGATGGCAGTGGTGGCCCTTCTATAGTGGCCACTGACATGATGCCAGCTGCAGTGGGAGGGGTACGGCTGGGGCTCCAAATAGCCGGGAATAGGCGGAAGTCCCACTCCCTTCTGACTTGGCAAGGCAGAAGTCTTGCACTCCCTGGGAGCAGCTGTGGCCACTGAGCCATGGCTGGGGACCCGGCCATCCCTGTGCTCTTGGGTGCTGGAGGCAGGCAGGAGCCCTGCCTTCCTGGGTGCAGCTGCAACCACCCAAGCCACACTGTGGATGCTGGCATCTCTGCACTCTTGGGGGCCTAGGAAGGCCCCTCTGCCCCTTCAGGCTCAGAAATGCCTGCTCCCACAGCCTGGCTTCTCTCTGCTCCTGCTGCCTGTTCTGATCTTGGAGCAAAGTTGAGGCCAAGCCTGGGCACTGTTGCAACCCAGCTGGGTGTGTGTTCGCTCAGGGCAGCACTGACATGCCAGCCACCTGTCACCTCAGCCCCTCTGGGCTTTGGGCATCAACAAGCACAGGAGGGAGGCAAAGTGGGGGCTGAGGGCAGCTCAGCACTGGCTTGCAGTCACCCCTTGGCACAAGCAGCCTGTGCATCATGAACAGCTTCAGAAGACAGACTCCTGGGCAGAAAGGGATGGGTTCCAGGTGAAACCCCACCTTCAAGCTGGGGAAGGCCTAAAGCTTGGGGGCCAGGCTGCCAGCCCCAAGGACCAGAATGGGAAATTATGGTGCTTTTCCCATGCCTACCCGTGGCTGCCCATGAGCCAATCAGGAGGCACTTCCTCCCATCTGAAGCCCATAAAAACCCTGGACTCAGCTAGACTCAAAGAGACGATGGGACAACCTGCCTGCGTAGAAGAGTTACTCACTCCAGAGTCTCCTCTCTGAAAAGAGCTGAGCAGACATCGGAACTACCAGCCGCAGAGAAGAGTTACCCATTTCAGGGTATCCTCTCTGCTAAGAGCTGAACACTCATCGGGACAAGCTGGCTGCAGAGAGGAGCTACCTACTGCAGGTCTCCTCTGAGCTGTTCTATCACTCAATAAAACTCCTCTTCACCTTGCTCACCCTCCATTTGTCCACATACCTCATTCTTCCTGGACACAGGACAAAAACTCAGACCCACTGAATGGTGGGGCTAAAAGAACTGTAACACAAACAGGGCTAAAACACACCCCTTCCTCGCCATGTTGCAGGCAATAAGAAGGAGAGAAGAGAGAGGCAGAGAAGAGCTGTGGCCCTTCAGGGAGCCCAGACCTAGGAGTTCCCTGAGCCAGGGCTGTGACCTCAGCCAGCATGCCTGGCTCTGCACAGTGGCTGAGCCCCACACTTGCTCACTCACATGTCCCTCACTGCTCCACACCTGGCTCACCCTTGGCAGGTGTGATATTCAGGCCAGCAGAGCAAGCCAAGTGCAGCCTGCCAGGGCAAGCGGGTGGAACGAGTCCACCAGGCTCAAGTAAAAACTTGGGCAAAGGTGCCACCAGCCACAGAGGTTTCTGGCTTGTGAAGTGACACCCAAGGATCCTGTAATATTTGTATGTCCTGGAAGTAAGAGACACCATGGCACCATGACCTATGTAGTTGGACATAAATGAGGGTAGAAAAGCACACAGCACATTTTTCTTAAACCTTTCAAAATTACTTACTGGTTTTTGAGTAAGGGAATGATTTGGCTAGTTTGCATTTAAGAGATAGGGTAAAGAAGACAGTTGAAGACAGAAGTTATAGCAACAAACTATTAGATTCTACTGCAAGTAATCTAGAAAAGCCATGACAAAACAGTAGCCTTGTGGAAAGACAAGAGGGAAGATTTGAGAGCAATTAAGGAACTAGAACCTTGCTGTACTTTGAAGGTGGATGCTAAAACTAGTGGAAGAAAAGAGAGGGATTGAGAATGAGACAGATATTTGACCTGAAAGACTCACTGAAACCATTTATTTCTTGAGACAAGTTTTAGGTAAAAGAAGATAACATGTTTAGTTTGGAATAAGTTCCAATTTGGAGTAAGCTATAAATACCACTAGCTTTGTTAATAAACATTTGCATGCAAGGTTTCAGAGCTCCTTAAAAAAATCTCTTTAATATTTTAATGTTCAATTTTCAAATTTTTCCAGTTTAAGTGTTACCCCTTCCAATATGCCTCTGGCCTACCCAATAATGATGCATTGGACCAACCTCTTCACACACAAACCCTGATTTTGTCTTTTTACTAGAAAGGAAAATGCAGTTCACAAAAAGACTGCACTCCCAAGATCTCATCCTAGATTCCATTATAAATTCAAAGTATCAAAAATTCATGATTCATTAAATATTTCTATTATAAGAAAAAACACATACACACACACGAGCAATGGGCTAAAACATATAATAAAGTTTAAAATAAGCTGTCTCTGTATGGAACAGGGTGCAGATGAAACAGGAAAGGAATAAACTCATTTCAAGTGACATTCTAGTAAGTTCTTCAGTTGAATGGTAGTCCTCTGGATATTAATTATGTTAATATGCTTTCTACCTTATGCAAATGTTACTTAAAATCTTTTGCATTTAATGAAAGATTTTTAAGTAACGTTTGCATAAGTAGAAAGTATAAATTATATAGGAAACTTAAAATAAAAATATGTCCCTTTACCTACTTAGTAGATACAAATACTCTAGGAAGGAATTATGTATTATCTGTACTCCCTCCATTTTTTGCATTTTGTTTCCTTCTTTAATGTCACATACTTTAATTCTTAAAAAATTAAACATTATAATAACTTAGAGTAATTGAGGAGTAAAGAAAAGCGATTTATTGTTCTCTATTTTCCAGAAATTAAACTTTGTTAGTGGGGGCTGTACCTAATTGTTTATAATTGTTCTTCACATCCATTTGGTATGCTTGAATGAAAAAATGGTTAAAAAAATCCATTATTACTGAATAGATTTTATGTGAGTAATAGTTTGCTGTTAGCTACAATTAAAAAAAAATCAGGAGCTACTTAACATCAAAAGAGAAAAGAGCAGAAACCATGTCAGCATCCTAAAAATAATTGTACTTTAAAAAATAAAAGTTCAATTTAAAATATTAGTTTACTCAAAATGCACATATATTCAATACAAAATTTTATTTTTTATCCAATTAGTGAAAGAACATAGTAAAAATACTAAAAATTGAAGTAAATTGTTTTTACCTAGAACCATAATAAATCAGAAGCAAATTCTGTCAAATGTTAGTCATTGAGAACATCAATCTGTACAATGACTCTGCTGTCAACTTTAGGTTTTGAGACTTAATCATTTCAGGAGCAAGAAAGCCATAAGTCATATTTTACCCAAGAGACACTTGGGAACACATATTCAAGCTGTTACCCTCATAAATTTCTTGACAATTTGCCTGAAGGTCAATTGGCAATGAAATAATAAAAAATTTAATTTTTGAACAGATTATGTGAAGGAAGATTTAAAGAAATATTTAGTCATTTGGCTATATATATATATATATCTGGGGAATTTGCAATAGCTGCAAAACTAGTAAACACATAATAGTCCTGAAGTATACTTAATATGTAAGTGCATGATGTGGAAAGTGGAAGTGCTAAATAACATCAGGACATCTGATCCAGGTCATTTTTTTTCTAAAAGTGTTCATTTAAAAATTTTTTTATATCAGAAGCATAGTTCATTAATGTATAATCCCTACACAGATTTTATTACATCATGAATTATATTTATTCAGACTGTGGCACAATTATGGTTGATTACAAAATAGGCCACAAATGGTTCCCCTCTCTGTATCTTCCTCTTTTAACATTTTCCTTTTACCTTTACTTTGAGGCTTGAACATGTGATCTGCTGTGTATGCTAGTCTGCACTGGCTGCCATAACAAAATACAGTGGTGGCTTCAACAATGGAAATTTGTTTTTTTCACAGTTCCGGAGGCTGCAAGTCTGATATCTGAGTGCCACATGGTCAGGTGAGGTTGAGGACTCTTTTGCTGTGTGCTCACTTAGCCTTCCTCTGTCCAAGAAAAGAGTGAGAGAGATCAAGTTCTCTGTTGTCTCATAAGGGCACTGATTTCATCAGAACAAGATGCTACCATCACGACTTAATTACCTCCCAAAGGCACCATCTCCAAATTCCATCACACTGGGTATTTTGGGGGTACACAAAGATTCAGCCCATAACACTACGATCAGTGAATAAGACAATAAGAAATATGAAAATATGAAATAAGTAGATATTTGAAACCATTTGTGCATTTGAGCCTGTCCTCTCTCATCAGGTCTTAAGGATGTCTTGGGACCCTTGTCATCACCATGCTATGAAGAAACAAACTAGCCTGCTGGATAATGACAGGCATACGGCCTTGTTCTATCATTGCCCTTGTTGACCCAGACTCGCTTAGTTATGGGTAAGATGACCTGAGAGCTGAGGATCAGACCTACCACTTTATGAGACACCTGTAACTGAGTCTTAGTATTTTAGAAGTCCTAAACCCTCTAGCATGTTTGAATTTGATCTATCTTCTGTCCCATTGTATCCACTGTAATCTGGGATACGAGAATATCATGTGAGTAACAGCCTTCCCAAATGTACTCCTATCTTTGTAGCATGACTTCTATCTTGACTGTTGGTTTTCACTCCAGTTCCCAAAGGACTGAAATCCTTGCCTAAATTTTAGCCCTTTTTATTGGAACATAGATCTCCTGCCTTATTTCTGCCATGCTGCTCCTCTTTTTTGCACCTTCATCCCAGCACCTCTTACTTTAGAGAGCTGATAACGCTGTAGAGAATTTTGACTTAACCTAAACAGACCTACTACCTATACATATAACATTGGTGCGCTGACAAAAAATATTAGCGCAGTTCAGATTTCCTCTGCTTTCCCCACCTGACTGGCCCTTTCAAATATCAACACTAGTTCATGTGTAATCTAAGCTCCTTGAACCTAGTGATATGGATTACCTGTCACCTTAAATAGTTCTATCAACAAAGTTTTGTGAGAAGAAGAAAGCCTCTTTCTATCATTTAATTCACAAATATTTATCAAACAGCTCCTATGTGGCAGAAGTCCAGTGTGCTAGCACTAGGGGTACAAAGATGAAACAAGATATAGTCTATGCCTTCATGGAGTATATAATCCTTTTAGAGATAATAACAAGGAAAAAAGAACGTAACACTCTATGGCAGCTTTTCCCTGCTAGAATTATCTGAATCCTTAAAAATGGAAAATTGTTTTAGTAGCTATTTTCTTAGTTCTTCTAATATTACATAAATATTATGCAACATAATGCAAAAGAGAAATGTTAATTCAACATAAAATGGATAAATCAGATGTAAGGTTTAGGTTATTAGGGAATAATTTTCTCATCAAAATCTAGTTGGGAAAAGCTGCTCTATAGTAATAACTATTGTATAAGGCAGTATAACTAAATCAGACTGAGATCATAAAAATATTTTGGTTGAGGCTTGAATGATGAGCATGATTTCATCAAGTGACAAGGAAAGAGTAAAAAAATCCAACAAGAATATTTGCAAAAATTCCTCTCAAGAGAGATGATGATATCCTTGGAGAACTAACAGATAAATAAATGCCCTCTTCCAGTTAGATAACCAATGATGTCCCAACAAGTATCACAGCAAAGACCAATAGAGACTTAAGTCATTTGAAGAACTGATACACAGAATTGAACATGCAGTGTCATCTTTATAAACCTGTTCCAATATTAAGTTCAGTGTATGGGTAAGAAATGAATATTGCAATATTTTATTCATCTTTGTTAACGTCCTTTTGGGTTATATGAGACAGTTTTTTCACTCCTATGATGTTAGGCTGCACAAAAGAGAAGAAAATATACTAATTAAGTGCTCATGTGAAATATTTTATTGCTAACAAAAATTACTAGAGATTACTTGTGGCCAAAAAAAAAAAAAACATGTTTGCTGACAACTTGCCTAGTCTATAAGTAACACAGGGTCCTACCTACTGAGTTAGGGCTTAATTTTGTTCAACATCATGGGAGTCACTTATTCTATGTTATGGCACATTCTGACTAGTATATTTTAGAATCAACTTCAAGAAATAACTGAATCTATTTGCCAATTATTGTCAAAAATAACAGCTCAATATTTATTATGCCAAAACCAATTCATCAATTTCAGCAAATGTTCTACACTCAGATATAAAATGCTAAAAGTTTTGTTCAAGAGGTTAGCTTCATTATACGTGGAAATATTATGTAGCAAAATCGTTCTGACATGCTTAATATACTGCTCAAAATTATAAATTTCATAAGAACCTTGTAAGTTACTTTATTATAGAGGCGATGGAAATGAGACATTAACCTATAAAATATCCTGAGTCAAAGTCAACTCTTTTATGCTTTAGAGTGCAGAATTCTATGGCTTTGTTAAAGCTCAGGTCAAATAGCTGACTAGATCCAAAACTGCATTTGAATTAAAGTCCTTGGACTACTATAAAGTACACTTGCAGAACTATCTTGAAAGAGAGATGGCACAGCCTTCCATCCAGGTAAGAATACAAATAAAGCTCTTTGATTATTATATAAGAATGTCATTCTTGCAACCCACACAATTAGAATCCAATGCATATCTAACTGCAATAGGTAATACAGAACTGTGATGCACTTTAGATTTGATTATTTGCTATCCACCCTTAGTCCAAAGTCAGCCAAAGAATCAACATGTTGCTGTAAATTTACATGTGAATGTAAACTCTCTTCTGCAAGCACATGGTGATAGAAACATCTGAAAAGCAAAAAACAAATTAAATATCTAACCTAAATGATGATAATAATAATAATATCAACAAGAAGAAGAAGCATCTCCATTGCCCAGAAACAGAAGGAAAACACAGCATGGTGAAACAATGAGCCTGCTGGAATGTGGGACTGGAAGTAGTCAATGAAGCAGAAGTTCATGCTCTACATGGTAGAGGGGGCTCTAAGTACTCCACACAAGATGGGAGATAAGAAAGTCTGTCTCACTGATACAGGCCTAGCGCTGGTCCGGCCTGCTTTCCATACCTTCAAACTGTATTCAAAATATAAAACTTACTCAAAAATAAAACTGTTGCTCATCAACACCTGAGAATATATATATACACATATATATACACATATATATACGTATATATGCATATATACACATATATATACGTATATATGCATATATACACATATATATACGTATATATGTATATATACGTATATATGCATATATACACATATATATACGTATATATGCATATATACACATATATATACGTATATATGCATATATACACATATATATACGGATATATGCGATATATACACATATATATACGGATATATGCGATATATACACATATATACGGATATATGCGATATATACACATATATACGGATATATGGATATATACACATATATATACGGATATATGGATATATACACATATATACATATATACACATATATACATATATGGATATATACATATATACATATATGTATATATACATATGTACATATATACATATATACACATATATACATATACACATATATATACACATATATACATATATACATATACACATATATATACACATATATACATATATACATATACACATATATATACACATATATACATATACACATTATATATACATATATACATATATACACATATATATACACATATATATATACACACACACACATATATATATATAGAGAGAGAGAGAGAGAGAGAAAGAGCACTGTAGTCAAAGGGACACAGGCAGAACTTTACAACAAAAACTGATTGAAGCTACTCCATGGGCTTAAAGCCTAAATTCTAATAGCTTCCAAACAAGTACAGGAAGTGAGAATGCATTTATGCTTCAAAAACTGCTTGGGAAAATTGTGCATATCTTATAATCATCTATTTTAATCCTAGGTGTGCACAGTTGTGCATGAGAAGAAATACAAAGGAATGTTTATAGCAGCATGATACATAAGAGTCAAAAATTAGATCAATAGAGGAATGTATATCAATAGGGGAATTGGTAACTAAAGTATACATATTCATAGAATGGAATTCACAGAAATTAAAATAAATGAGCTAAAGCTCTATGTTTGAACCATATCATTTCAAACATATTATTAAACAAATAAAGCATGTGGTTTTCTAAAAGGACTAATTCAGATGCCATATGTGAGATTTGGTAACTTGTAAAATGATATCAATAAAATATTGTATAGGGAAGCATACATATGTAATAAACCATAAGAGAAGAATAAAGAACCTCGAATTCAGGAATAGAGATGCAGATTTACAGAAATGACCGTAGAGGACCCTCTTGTCTGATGGCTTGGACCTTCATGAATTGCACAAGAGGCTGACAAGTGTTTTTGAAATTATTTTATCAGCAGAAATGCATAGAAAGAAACAGAGACAGGATGACATGAAGAGAGAGGAGACTCATGGATGCAGAGGTCTTGGTTAAGGGAATTTCTTATGTCTAGAGGGCAGGCCCACCTCCTGGGCTCCAGCAGTCAGGGCTACCAACCAGGGTGGAGGGGGCAGAGTTACTGTCTGGACCACCACGATGAGCCCAGAAGACAAGGTACTGAGCCACAGATCATGATTGCCAAGCCTTGCAACCTAATGGAATTTGTCCCACTAGGTTGAACTTGTTTTAGACCAGTGAATTTAGACCAGTGACACCATTTGTTTTTCCTTCCAATTTCTCCTTTTTGGAATGAGTATGTCTATTCCCTATCCATCCCACCATTGTATCTTGGGAATAGATGACCTATTTTCTATGTTTCACAGATTCACAGATGGAGAGGAATTTTGCTCTGGGATGGGCTGTACCCCAAATCTCACCCATAATTGATTTAGAGAGAATTTGCACTTAAGAATTGATGTTGGAATGGTTAAGACATTTGGGAATGTTGGAATCATATGTATGTATTTTACACGTGGGAAGGACTTAAATTTGGTGGGGGGGGTGGATTGGAAGGCAGGCTGTGATTACTTCAATTGTGTCCCTCAAAAAAGATCCCTTGAAGCTGTAACCTCCAGTATCTCAGAATGTGACCTTATTTGTAAATAAGGCCAACGCAGATGCAGTTAGTTAAGATGAGGTCACAATGGAGTAGGGTGAGCTTTTATCCTGTATGACAGATGATCTTATAAGAAGACAGCCATGTGAAGACACAAACACAGGGAAAATGTCATTTGAAGATACAGGCATAAATTGAAATTTTACTGCCACAATCAAGAAAAGCCTGGGTTTACCAGAAGCTGGAAGAGGCAAGGGAGGATATTCCCCTAGAAGCTTTCAAGAAAGCACAGCCCAGCTGACACCTTGATTTCAGATATTTTGTTTCCAAAGGAGAGAGAATAAATTTCTGTTGTTTTCAATTACCCAGTTTATGGTACTTTGTTATGGCAGCCCTAGAAAGTGCTTAATAAGAACTTGTAATCTACCAGGTACAGTTTTATATAAATTCACATTATTCTCACACTAGACAAGGAAGGTAAGCATTATTATTATTCTTATAACCCCCAATTATAGTTCACTTAACAGAAGTTCTTACAGGTTATGTGACTTATCCATGATTTGCAAAGCAAGTTAACTGTGCTGCTGAGACTTTAAGCTTGGTTTTCTGACGCCTTCACCCTTTACAGCATTGAAAGTATTGATAGCCTTTGTTTCTCTCCCGTTTAGATAAATCGTGTGTGTGTGTGTGTGTGTGTGTGTGTGTGTGACTATCTATGGGTAACTGCTAAAGAGCCTCAGTAAACTTCAGGAATTCATGAGGCATACCTAATACTGGGCTAAAGGAACAGAGACAAACTTTCTGATGGTTAAATGTATTTGTGTAATCTGAAATGGAAACTGAGAAGCATGTGAATATTCAATGGCCACAGTGAATTAGACCAGCACTTAGTTATTAATATGCGAAAGCCAGGCTCTGAATATAAATATCTAATACTAAAAGATAAATTGAAGAGTCTACTAAAAACAAAAGAAATCTATATATACCCCACTTTAAAAAACCACAATCTTAATTGTTAGAGACCCAATAACAAACTTGTACTTTTTAACATCATGGAAAATAATTGTTTTATCTTCAAATTGTATGTGGATTGTTTCAACCTTGAAATGAATATGATTCACATGTATTTATATATTTTGATATTATTCATACTTTAAATTTTCTTGAATAGTAAAACTTCAGCCATCTTAATGTTTAACTTATAAATTATGAACCTGTCAGCATGGCTTTGGTGTGTATCTAAATGAGAACTGGTAATACTCTCTGTATTAGTCCGTTCTCACACTTCACATAAAGACACATTCAAGACTGGGTCATTTATAAAAGAAAGAGATTTAATGGAATCACAGTTCCACATGGCTGGAGAGGCCTCAAAATCATGGCAGAAGGCAAAGGAGGACCAAAGCCATGTCTAACATGGCAACAGGCAAGAGAGCATATGAAGGGGAACTCCCCTTTATAAAACCATCAGACCTTGTGAGACTTATTCACTATCACAAGAATACCCGCTATGATTCAATTACCTCCCACCAGTTCCCTCCCACAACACATATTATGGGAACTAAAATTTGAGATTTGAATGGGGACCAAAGGCTAACTATATCATTTCACTCCTAGCCCCTTCCAAATTTCATGTCGTTTTCACATTTTAAAACCCATCATGCCTTCCCAAAAATCCCTCAAAGTCTTAATTCATTCCAGCATTAACCCAAAAGTCTACATCCAAAGTCTCATCTGAGACAAGGCAAATCTCTTCCAGCTATAAGCCTGTAAAATCAAAAGCAAGTTAGTTCCTTCCTAGATACAACTGGGGTGCAGAAATTGGGTAAATATGCCCATTCTAAATGTAGAAATTGGCAAAAAATAAAGGGACTACAGGCTCCACACACATCCTAAATCCAATACGGCAGTCATTAAATCTTAAAGTTCCAAAATGATCTCCTTTGATTACATGTCCCAAATCCAGGACATGCTGATGCAAGAGGGGGGTTCCCGTGGCCTTGGGCAGCTCTATCCCTGTGGCTTTACAGGGTACAAACCTCCTCCCAGCTGCTTTCACAGGCTGGAGTTGAGTGCCTGTGGCTTTTCCAGGTTCACAGTGCAAGCTGTTGGTGGATCTACCATTCTGCAGTCTGAAGGATGGTGGCCCTCTTCTCATAGCTCCACTAGATGGTGCCCCAGTGGGGACTCTGTGTGGAGCTCTGACCCCACATTTCCCTGCTGCACTGCCCTAGCAGAGATTCTCCATGAGGGCCCCTCCCCTGCAGCAAACTTGTGCCTGTGCATCTAGGCATTTCCATACATCCTCTGAAATCTAGGTGGAGGTTTTCAAACCTCAATTCTTGACTTCTGTGTATCCACAGGCTCAACACCACGTGGAAGCTGCCAAGGCTTGGGGCTTGTCCTCTCTGAAGCCATGACCCTAGCTATATAGCTATACCTTGGCCCGTTTTAGCCATGGCTGGGATGCAGGGTACCAAGTCCCTAGGCTGTACACAGCAGGAGGGGGCACGGACCCCGTCCGGGAAACCATTTTTCCCTCCTAGGCCTCCAGGCCTGTGATGGGAGGGGCTGCCACGAAGGCCTCTGATATACCCTGGAGACGTTTTCTTCATTGTCTTGGTGATTAGCATTTGGCTCCTTGTTACTTAGGCAAATGTCTGCTGCTAGCTTGAACTTCTCCCCAGAAAATGGGTTTTTCTTCTCTACTGCATCATCAGGCTGCAGATTTTTCAAACTTTTATGCTCTGCTTCCTCTTGAACACTTTGGCACTTAGAACTTTCTCCCACCAGATATCCTAATCTCTCTCAAGATCAAAGTTCCACAGGTCTCTAAGGCAGAGGAAAAATGCTGCCAAACTTTTTGCATAACAAGAGTAATCTTTACTCCAATTCCCAACAAGTTCCTCATCTCCATCTGAGACCACTTCAGCCTGGACTTTATCATCTATATCACTGTCAGCATTTTGGACAAAGCCATTCAACAAGTCTCTAGGAAGTTCCAAACTTTTCCACATCTTACTGTCTTCTGAGCCCTCCAAGTCTCTAGGAAGTTCCAAATTTTCCTGCATTTTCCTATCTTCCTCCAAGCCCTCCTGATATGGTTTGGCTGTGTCCCCACCCAAATCTCAACTTGAATTTCATCTCCCAGAATTCCCACGTGTTGTGGGAGGGACTAAGGGGAAGGTAATGGAATCATGGAGGCTGTTCTTTCCCATGATATTCTCATGATAGTTAATAACTTCCACAAGATGTGATGGGTTTATCAGGGGATTCCACTTTTGCTTCTTTCTCATCTTCTCTTGCCTCCACCATGTAAGAAGTGCCTTTCACCTTCCACCATGATTCTAAGGCCTCCCCAGCCACGTGGAACTATAAGTCCAATTAAACCTCTTTTTCTTCCCAGTCTCTGGAATGTCTTTATCAGCAGTGGGAAACAGACTAATACACCTCCAAACTCTTTCAACCTCTGCCTGTTACCCAGTTCTAATGTCACTTCCATATTTTCAGTTATCTTTACAGCAGCACCCCACTCTTTCAGCACCAATTTGCTATATTAGTCTGTTCTTATGCTGCTAATGAAGACATATCCAAGACTGGGTAACTTATAAAGGAAAAAGGTTTAATGGACTCACTGTTCCACATGGCTGGAGAGACCTCACAATCATGGTGGAAGGCAAAGGAGAAGTAAAGGCACGTCATACATGGTGGCAGGCAAGAGAGTATGTGCAGGGGAACTGCCCTTCATAAGACCATCAGATCTCAGGACTTACTCACTATCACAAGAATGGCATGGGAAAAACTCACCCTCATGATTCAATTACCTCCCACCAGGTCCCTCCCACAACAGGTGGGGATTATGGAAACGACAATTCAAGTGAGATTTGAGTGGGAACACAACTAAACCATATTACTCTCTTCTCTAACCTTGAGAATCTCCTTTTGTAAACAGAACTTAAATACCTAAGGAAATCCTAATGGGATTATGTAAACTGAACTGATATATAAATTTAGCAATGCCGAGCATAAATTGGGAAAATATCACTAAACAACTATACCTTAACTGCCAGCCCTTATCTAGATATACTTCAAAATCGAAATGAATTAAGGAATAAAATATGATTTCTCTAAAAAACAACATGAATATTGACTAATAACCATCAACTCGACTTTTCAGCAAGTAAACAGAGAGTTTGATTTTAGTTTTAGCACTCCCAATAACTGTTGTTGTTTCCCTCTCTAGACCTAGTTCCTCATATATGAAATGTTATGTTCTTCCAAATTCCTATCAACTCCAAACTCCAATTGTAAAATCATCAATCATTGCCTGACATTTAATTTCAGTTTGAAAAGAATACAAATGGAAAACTGCATATGTAGTACCATAAGAACATTTAGCTTTTGATGTTTACTTGAATCTAAATCCAGCCAAAGCAAGCTTTTTGGCTTTGGATACTTGCCGAATAAAGATAACAAAGGTCAGACACTTTAGAAAGAACCAAGACACACACACATAGACACACACACACACACACACACACACACACACACGTGTTATATATATAAAAGTTATATGTATATAAAAGTTACATATATGTGTGTGTGTGTGTATATATATATAAATTCCTGTAATTCATGATGCCAGTAACTTAAGCAATGCATCTCTCTATGTTGAGAGCTCAATGAAAAATGATTACTCTGTAAATGTATACAATATTTTTATTTTTAGACACCAGCTGTGAAGACTTTAAAACTTAGTGAGCAATGTCTTTAATTACAGATAATTATACATATAGCATCCCTGAAATATAACTGTACAATAACTTCATATCATACCATAATATTATACTATCCTAAATGTTTTGGATGAAATTACCTAAGTCCTATAATAAAAATCTATTAATTTTTACTATTTTTTTTCAACAAAGTACACATACATAGTTACAAATATAATGATTTAGAATAGGAAAAATAGGTTACTTTTGGCATTATAATATGAAATACAAATAATTTTAGTGATTAAACATTTAGTCTTATTTTCAGAATGTCAATGTTAAAAAAGTTTTTAATTTTCCTTACTAGCCAAGACTTGGCACACTATATAATGTACATTATTTTAAATAATTATGATTAATACATCTTTCAGCTGGTAGATTAAGAACCACAATTGATAGTTTCATAAAAACTTGTAAAAATTCTCTTCCCATCTAATACAATACAGAATCTCTCCTTAGCCTTAACTTGGTGTACTTCAAAAGTAAAATATTTTTACATTAGCCAGCATATATAAAGTTTCTCATTGTTATTCCAATATGCTTAGAGTATGAAATCACATGACACTAAAGGAAAAAAAATCACATCTCTATAATCTAAACTACAATGAACACGAATACGATTTGTATAATTTTTAAAGTTACCTGAATAGAGAGAGAACCTGCGTTTGACACTTTTCTCCAGGCTCAGGGCTAAGAAGAGAGGCAACTGATCATTAACTTTTAGCCACAAGCAAACTTACATACATATCTCCAGAGACTCTGCTTTGCCCTCCCCTCTCTCTTCTCTCAAATAGGGCAAAGTTAGTTATTTCTCTTTTTCAAGAACCTGCTTTGACGTGCACTATTAGTTCATACTTTTCAGAGTCTAAAGTAAGCTTGGCTTAAATTATATCATGGGTCAAAGAAGGTGGCCAAGTCTGGCAATTTGAACTGCTAAATTTAACCTTCTCATGTGTTGTGTTGATGTAGCCACATTTTCAAGCACATTTTCCATTGCGTGATTTAATATGCATAAAACATATTGCAAAAATACTGTACTATATACATTAATAGTTTAGTGACTCTTCACTGAGTCTGAGACTAGGTAATTTGTAAGTTATGAACAATAACAAAGAGGCCAGGGTCAAAGTGTTGAATCTCTTGTGGGCCAGTTTAATCTATTTCTTGATCACACATAACACTCCCTACATGGTCAGCCACTCTGTAAATGCATGCTCTCTGTCCCAAAGAGTCCCCAACCCTGTGTGAGGGTGAATCTGGTGATAGATCATTAGTACCATCTTCGTTTTAGAAGAAATTACTATAACCTTTGGAAAAATGCAGTGGTGTAATTTATTAAATGCTTCTCATATTCTAGGTAAGCATTTTGCCAAACAATTTATACCCACTACCCCATTCTCTAAATGATACATGATAGACATTATGATAAATATTTTCCTATGGGGACACTGAAGCTCAGCGTTTTGATTACTTATGTAAGGCCATATAGCTGTAAAATATGGGGTCCTGGATTCCAACTCTAGATTGTCTAGATTCGAGGCTCATGTTCCTCTCTATCAAACAGCATGCCAGACTCCTCTATCAGTGGATGAGAAATATCTGATTTCCTATGTGAAAGATACAATTATTTAGATCTAAGCACTAAGCAGTAGCCACTTGTAAAATATGCTTCCCAAAGATTTGGGAAGGCTGCATTTCTAAATGTGTATAATAATGAAATAATAATAACCAGGTAATAACATAAATAACCTCTAGAAATTTTATCTAATTTACTTAACCAAATAAACCAAATGCTTTTACAAAATATGTGGTATGTTTCTTTCATTTCTACTGAAAACTTAAGCTTAAAAACTAAAATGAAATAAAAGCATAAAGAAATTTTACCTAGTACAAAATCAGACATAAACTGAGGTTTTAATACAGTGAAAAAATTATACTATGGATTTCACAATTATATAGTACATCTGACAACCAAAAGCAGTCTATATATTTACTGAGAACTCTTCAAATGCTTCTTTGTCCCAACGAAACAAGGTGCTTCGTGGCTAGTAAGTGTTCAATACATTTATTTGGGGTAAAATTACTAAAATGTGATATAAGTGATTAACCAATGAATAACTTCATTTTGTACCCTGTACATATACCTCAAAGTAGTTTCTTTTTTAAAAAGGGTAAAAGAATAAAATTTCAATATTGTTTGCTTTATCAACTACTTTTTTTATATTGATAATATGAAAATAAGACTCAATTTTATGTAAAGAAATTATTAACTTTATTCAGTTAATGTTATTTATTACATCAAGAATAATAATTTTAAAAGGCTCCCATATGTATAGTTAATTTAGTTAGTATTATTACAAAATATTCTAAAGTTAAATAAGAAGAGAAATACAAAGACATACATTTGATATGTAAAAATTATATTATCAAGAAAATAGCTTGATAAGATCTATAAAGAACAAAATTGACAGGAATTTGAATAATGTATTTTGTACTTATTTTGTATTATTTTGCTTACTGTCATTACCATATAAAATCCTCAAAAAATACTATCCACTGACAGAAACCATGGTCTGTTACGTCTAGTGTGCATGTTCGAAAAGTTTAAAGAGTTCAAATTATAAATCACATATTTTCTTTCTAAATGTAGAATTCATCTTTCTTCACATAAGATATTTCTTCTACTACATTACCTTAACATCTTAAACATTTTAAGCAAATATACAAAAAATTAAAATTCACCTAAAGCAGCAAATTATGGATTAATGTTTGCTGGTGTAAAACACATAGCAAATAGAATGAACTGACTTTAACATTAACTTTAGTCACCTTTGTAATCACAGTAACACCTTTAACAATTTGACTCATCTTTTTTTATAAGAATATAACTTAAAGCACAGAGAAATCACGTTACTAAAGTTGAGCAACTAAGTTCTGTGAGATGTGAGATAAACACAGACAGTGAGGTTTCTACATGCACTTTTGAGAAAAAGAAAAGCCAAATGCAAAACAGACCTGTTCACCAGGAGCCCTGGGGAGAGAATGGCTAAAGGTGACTAAGTTTTGCCAAGGTTATAAATTCTCAAAAGTAACTCCAAAAATAGGATCATGCGAGATTTTTTTTAAATTTCTGGTTTCCAAAATTCTTCAATAATATGAGGACAGGAGAGAGGAAATGCAGATAGTCTTAGGAGAAAACCTTGATAAATAGCCTGTGTGCCCTTGGAATAGGTTATTAATTCTGTGTTTAAAACATGACAATAAGTTCTTGGCAACAGATTTATTTATAATATTATTTTCAAGTTTCACTAAGCATTTTACACATTTCCCTTGTGAGATTATGATGTTTTTCGCATTGTAACTGAGGAGTAAAACTGAATTAATGTGCAAAATCCAAGCTTTTCATCTGAATAAAAAGTGCAAGAAATTCTAAAGAACAGAAGGCTCAGATATATATTTTGAATGGAAAACGGCAGTAAATTAATCAGAAAACACAAAAAAACAAAGGTCTCACAACATAATGGAAATAATATAACACATTTCTTTTCTCATCTGGGTACAATTTTTTTTCTATTCTTTTCCTGGAAAGAGTACCATAATCCTAACATTCACTGAGTAGTACTAACAGTGATTCTATTTTCTAAATCTAGAATTACAATGGAGCTAAAATTTAGCTTATAGCAGAAGGAAACAATCCACATTAATTATCTCTTAGAGTTATAATGTAAAAAGGCAACACTTTTAACCTTGATAAGCATAAGAGAAAGATGGCATCAGTCAAATTTGCTTTCATAGAATAATTCCTTTAAAGTTTTAATACATCCTAGAAAAACCTAATTGGGGGAGGGTGGTCCTAACCACAAATATGCAAGTATTCTACCATCTTAATGGATTCCCCCTTCTTGCTGACAACAGTGGCTCACTAATGGAAAAGAATTATTGGAAAGGTGATTTGAGTACATGGTACATTTAAGACCCTTACTTTCTTAGCTATTATCCATTCAATAGAAGATACTACTGTATTTAGCCAATAGAGGAAACATGTTCAGAGAGAGAGTGCTTTAAAAATATCCTTCTAGCTCAGGACCTTGGGTTCCACTTAGCTCCCCGCCATCACTCTCAGCTTGCACTGTGGTCCCACAGCTTTCTATTAAATGCACTAACATTCTGCCAGTCAGCTCAAAGTCTCAGAGTCAGCAAAAATGTCTCCTCTTCTCTAAAATGAAACCCAAGTTGCCAATCCTTGTAAATTCCACTTGCAGAAGAAGTTAAATCTATCTTCTTTCCCTAATTCCCACAGGCACCAATAAATTTAGTAGCCTCCAATTGTTATCCCAGCCTCCAATCTCTCTACTCAAAATCCCAAATCTTAGCCTAAATTGTACATCTAATACAAATGCAGACAATGGCATGCTCCTACTCAAAACTGGTCATTATCCCCTCCCCTTCCCAACATTCACATACCACAAGCATCTTCCACCCACCCAACCACACAACCACTTCTCCTCCACATAGGAATAACAGAGAATATGTTATAAAATGTAATATGATCGGGTATGTAGTTTCCATCTATTGCTATTGCCAATTATAGTAGAATAGGTATTTTAATGTGTTTTGGCTTTTTACTGCCATTTGTAAAATAAGAAGTCATTATTTCTCCTGGTTTTAAAAACACTACAAAGGCATTAGTCATTAACCAGATATAAATAAATGAAGTTTGAGGCAACATTAAATCTACTGTCTCAGTCACATCTCACAGGGTATGAGATCCTTCCACACCTCAAAACAAATTTACATCTTAAATAAAACTTAAGGTAAACTTTTGTTGTTATTTTAGGATTTTTATCATAGTTTATTTTATTGTATTTTTCAATTTTGTGACAGGGTCTCACTCTTTCACCCAGGGTGGAGTGCAGTGGCAATCAAAGCTCACTGCAGCCTTGAACTCCTGGGCTCAAACTATCCTGCTTCAGCCTCCTCAGTAGGTGGGAATACAGATACATGCCACTATCCCTGGATAATTTTTAATTTTTTTTTTTTTTTTGTAGAGACAAGGTCTGCCTATGTTGTCCAGGCTGGGATTTTAAGTTATTTTAAATAAAAGTATAAAACCTCCATATGATGATGTCAGAATATAACAATTTAAAAAGCAATGTAAAATTATATGGCAAAGACAGTTTATAGAAGCCATAACCACGCCCTAGAAGTTAAAGTCCCATGGCTTCAATGCTTTTATTACCCTCTGGGTTCCCCATGGGGACTAGACTTTCTTGGTGTTCTCCTCAGCAGCAGATGGAAGACGTGGACCTCTTTTGCCCTGGACTGGCATTGTGAAAGGCCTCAGCCTGTTCACTAGGCTTCATTCCCCTGGGAGCACCAGTTATTACTATTATGATGTAGCATAAAATTCTTTTAAAAAAAGAGTTTTTTAAAAAAAAATCTAAAGGATTCTTTTTAAAAAAGGATTATTTAAAGGGCTCTTTAAAAGAAGAAGAAGAAGCAAAAGCAAAAACAAAAACCACAAAATAAAACAACAATGACAACAAAACACCTTGATTTAGTATTAGAAGAGTTGGGTAAGACCTATATTTTACTTTTCATCTTGAACAAATTATCTAACCTCTCTTACCCCCAGGCTTCTCAACTATATGCTGGCCTAGTATTTCCTAATGCAGACACTGCTGTTAAAATAACACTTCGATCCATTCCACATCTGATTGCTGAATTTTCAAGAAAAAATTAAGCAAGCTTGATGCAGAAATATTCTGGGCTCTCCCTTTTCCAGATATGCCTTCCTACAGAGGAGACAGATTCTGATCTGGTCTACACAGTATGATAATTTTACTAGAGCAGGTTCTTCCCATACAAGGGAAAGCCTAAGTTTTGATGATAAGTTCAAATGAGAAACCCCATTTGACCATATACCCAAGCAATATTCTCCAGTTCAGCATCAATTTTAAGAATTAAATAGATGAATCAAAGGGGCTAGCTGAATATATTTTTCCTTGTTTTTAATTAATTAACTAATTTAAGCAACATATAGTGAGTAGCTAGCTACAAAACCCATTATATTATGTACAGGAGGGATGCCAGGATAAATAAGGCAGCTTCTCTTTCCTCAAATAGTCACTCGCTGGAATAATAGACATTGGAGGGTACCAAAGGTGGGAAGCTAGGAGGAGGATGAGGGTTGAGAAATTACCTTTTGGATACAATGTTCACCACTTCGGTTATGGGCACACTAAAAGCCCAGATTTTACCACTGCACAATATATGCATGTAAGAAATATGTACTCATACCTGCTAAATAGATTAAGAAAAATTTTTAAATATTCACTTTCCCATGGTGGGAGGCTATATGTGTGTGTGTGTGTGTGCGTGCACATGCATTTTAAAACCAGAATTGTCAAAGCTAAAATAGTGTTATAAAGTAGTATTAGCAATGTCATATATTATAGAACCTTGCATAATTTAATTGATCACCACATACATTCACATAGGCTAAAGGTACGAGGCAAAATAATAAAACTACCTACTCTAGGCATCTGCTGTCACATCATAAAGCTGTTAAGTAATGTTAGGATTTTAATTATCAGGACAGTATCACAGAAATGTTCCCCTGTATCTAAAATCATTATACTCATTTTAACCATATTTTTATAGACACATTAGCAAATTTGACTGATTATTTCATATCAGAAACTCTCAATTCATTATTTCTGAACCATGTTATAAATGGACAAGACTTAACATTTAAAAACTTTCCTAGCTTTAATATACTGCCAAAATACGTAAATCTGGAGTTATCAACATGAAAGAAAAAGCCTAATTATTTGATTGTTAGCATTTATATCAACCCACACAATCCATAGTCTATGTAAAAGAAATGAGGACACAGTGAGTGGCTTAGTGGAATATTAGGGAGAATATATTAACAGCTGGGCATGCTCAGCTTCCCTCTATACTGATTTCTTGATGCAGTTTCAAGGTAGAAAGGCATGGAAAGGCAAAGAAGGCACAGCAAGGTATTTGGTACATAATTCACTTGAAACCTTCCACTAACTCACAGCAGTGATTTTTTTGGTCAAATAGTTCCTATTTTTCTCTGCTACTCTTCTGTTAACTGCTGGATTCAAGTGAAAACATAGGCAAGAAACAGTGATATCCTTTGTAGGTTCCATGTTCAAACAGTTCTCCAAGGCTACCCAAAGATCCATCTATTTCCACATAGTTAAGTGCCTTGGGGAAGCCCCTTCTCATTTTCTGTGATTTTTAGCTTTGTCCAGGTAAATGAGATGCCAATTAGTGAAGTGTGGGAGAAGTAAGACTGTAAAATGAAAATCAAAGGAATTGACTGAAAAGCACCACAAAGATACCACACGTATTTGAGGAAAAAGAGAAATCTCATTTTACTAAAACACACCATGTGATTATTGATATCTGTTTCTTAACCACAGACTCAATAGGCCTGTGATTATAGTTTTTAAGTATCCAATTTAAAGGGATGGTATCCCTTGTATTTCAGGTGTCTGTGTAAGGAATGTATTTTGTTTTGTTTTTCCTCATACTAGAGAAAACCTAGGGTGTCAAAAGACAGGCACAGACAAACTGTTTTGTAAGAGCAAAACAGTTTGCTCTTATGCACATTTTAAAACTGCATAAGAAATCATGGCATGCTGCAACTGGCCTTTGTGTGTGGGTAGCTAGAAAGAGTAAATATGTCTTACCTCCCTGCCTAACTATAATGCTAGAATCTATGCTACTTCAGGGATCATTGGTTCTTCCCCTCTATGCTGTGAACATTTTGAACAGACATCATTTGTTTATTGGCATTAGGAGGTATGTAACACATGTTGGTCGAATTAATTAATATATTGTCCCTTGGGATATAGCCACTGTGGTGAAGGCCTAAAAGACTGATCAAATATATGCTACCACCAGGTCTAAAGCAGACCCACCACCACTGTCAAACACAGAGAATGGGGCACTGACCAAAGTAGTCATTTCTATGTATCCATTTAAGAGACTCCTCTCTCAACAATGTCTTTGAAAACGCCATTCAGACTAGGTTTTTCTCACTTGTGAAGTATTTTTAATCTAGGATCTCTTATTACAGGGTGCTGCATACTTTCCCTACTACCAAGATATTCACATGCTTAAGTAGTGACATCACAACAAACCTGAAGACTCACAATATAAAACAGCTAAGACAGAACAATAAGTAAAGTCAATGAAATGAATTATTATAGAATATACAAAATTGCTTCATCTACATATGATGATGAAAACGGACAAAGAAGAGGTATTTCAAAGCATGAAAGGTTTTTAAAAATTAAGTAAAATTACAAATTACAAAATTCACATAATTATATTAAAATGCCTCTACCACAAAGGCGCTCATCCCAAAGTTTTGGATACTTTCCTATCTATATCTGAATAAAGAAAATGAATCTAGAAAATACAGTATTTGAGGAATAATTTAGTAATAATAATAGCTACCACTTAATTAGTCCCTACAATATGCCAAGTATTAATAATATTCTAAGTACTTAACACAAATTAATAGTTAATTCTCACAACAGCCCTATAAAGAACTTGTATTGTCCTCATTTTACAGATGAAAAAACTGATGCTCAGATTATAATTAGTAAGCATCAGAGGCAGCATTTGAACCTAACACTCCAAGATCCATATTCTGTACTCTTAATAAGAACAGGCAGGGTTAAGCTGGTTCCCTTAGTAAACTATGTATCTAAAAGGAACCATATGACATATTACAACCTAGCCCTATGAGCATACTTAACATGGAACAAAAAATTCAATCAAAGCAGCAAATACCCCTATGACTGACCTAATAACCTCTTGGCATAAACCGCTGTTTCTACTCTGAGGCTGTCTGTAATTTCACAGTGTTGAGCTGTATTTGTTTTCTGTTGCTGCTGTAACAAACAACCACAAATACAATGGCTTAAAGCAGCACAAATTTGTTATCTTACAATTTCAAAGGTCAGAAGTCTGAAATGGGTCTCACTGAACTAAAATCAAGGTGTGAGTGGAAGGTTTAGGAGAGAATCTGTTTCCTTGCTTTTCCATACTCTGAAAGCCACCACTGGCATTCTTTGGCTTCTGGCTGCATTCCTACATCAACAAACTGTCAAGGTTGGACTGAGCATCTTTCCTGCTGCCTTCTCTCTTTCATTTATAAGGATCCTAGTGATGACGCTGGGCCCATGCACATAATCAAGGATAATTTCAAAGTCACCTGATTAGCAACCTTAATTCCATCTGCAACCTTAATTCTCCCTTTACCATGTAACATAACATATTCAGAAGTGGCAGAGATTAAAATGTGGGGGTCCATTATTCTGTTTACTACATAGATATACCAAGATTTGTTCATGAACTTGAGGTAGAAGACAGAGTACATGATACAACAGAGGTAGAAGACAGAATACAACCATACAGTTGGTCTAGGAATTGTTCACAACAAACAGGTAATATAACTTTGTAAATTTACCATACTACTCTTATAAGCTAGTTAAAATACGTAGCAATCTAATGCAAAAATACAAATTTGACAAATTGAATACAGTTGGTTACATTCATTTGAAAGAGTATAGACTAGTTATAAGAACAGTCTACAGAAAAGAGTATAGACTGTTTATAAGAACATTGGATTTTAAATTATCTCCCTTATAAGTTATGCAGTCTTCAGCAAGACACAATGCTGAGCATCAGTTTTCTCATCTGCACAGCGAGGATTGAAATCCCTGACCTGCTTTAGACCAAGATTGTATGAAGGATTAAATCAGATTGAATCATGAGTGTGGAAACACAGTGATAAAGCCCTTTGCAAACAAAATATGAACGTAAAAAAACCCCAATATGATCATTTTTGTTCAAAATGTAGTTTTTTTAAAAAGTGCCAATGATAAAGGTAAATAACTAAAAGTATATACCTCTAGCTTTCTCGTTTATTTTAAAACCAGAATTCATGCTAGTAATAAAAATAGAATATAATTCTATTATTATTATTGAAACTTTATCATTTACTACTTTATAATCATTTAAATGAAGGAAGTTTATATTTAGCTTCTTTTTATATACAGAGAAACTGAGACTTAGTCTCTTGACCAAGATCACACAGTATATTGGATCATGGAAACACTAGAAGCTAAAAGTACCAACTTTAAGATATGTCCTATTTTAGAAAATGGATTAAAACAGTAGTCATGCCAATACTACCATTCACATTAAGATTTACCAATTGCATAAACAGCATGACTTACAAGAGCTAGATGGAAGAAAACATCATTACACACCAAGGATACTCACAGAGTAACTCTGTTGGCACCAAGAGTCCCAGAGTCTTTGGTTCCCCAGATCACCTTGTTTCAGGTTTCACAGGAAAGTATCACATCTTAAGATTGACTCCTAGAAGAATCAAAGAATATAGTAACCATCTAAATATTTCAATGCATGTTTAGAAAAATGAAAAATATATCCAACTCCATATCTGAAAGACTTAATAACATGTAGCTTTCTATTGCTGGCTGAAAATGCTATTTACTGTCTCTTAAAGCTCCAAGCTTTTATTTAAAGGACCATTTAGATATAAACAGATTATTTAGTTAAATGTGTTCACATCACCACTAGCCCCATGTTATAATTATGGCACCTGCCTGCCTTTATTTGTGCCTGCCTTTATATTTTCTGTCCCAAGTACAATTTCTCAAGGTGCAGAGGATTTCGTGCCAAAACATCAGAGAGACTCATTTCAGTCCACCATCTTTGGGATTTCAAACCAATAGCTTGTTTTTAACTTTTGAGTGATGTTTCTCTCCATTTTTGGTACAAAAATATATGTGAGTGTGAGTGTGTGTGTGTGTGTGTGCATGCCTATGTGTGTGTTTATAAAGTAATATCTTGAAATTTTTTACATAAATACATTAAAACTATTTACATTAATGTCTTAATTAAAAATTGAAGCAACATTTCAGTGAGACAAATAAGGTTTAACAATACATCAGAAATATTACAAAAATATAACCAATGTTTAATCATCAGTTCTTGTATGTTCTTTGATGATATGAACCTTGAAACAAGTTTTTCATTTCTCTGTCCAACTTCTTTACTTGAAAACAAAGGTATACTAGTATTTACCCCAAAATTGTGACTATTGAATTAAGCTAGTTAACATTTGTAAAATATCAATACATATAGTGTTTGGCAATGAAATGACAACAACATGAATAATAAATTGTTGACTGAATAATTGTTATTGATTATAATAATTGTTATTAATAGTTAATATTATTAAGTATTAATAACTATTAACTATTAACTCTTCTCTTAAAGCTCCAAGGTTCTATTTAAAGACTCCTTTAGATACAGATTATTTAGTTAAATTTGTTCACATCACCACTAACCCTATGTTATAACTATGGCACCACATAATAGTTGATTAAAATATAATTATTAATAATAACATTAATTAACATTAATATTGCTACTTAAGACAGTTAAAAAAATTGGAATATATAGATGAACAGATCCCTGCTGATTCTTTATTTAAAAAATAAGTTTAAGTATACAAATTCTGATATTTATCTTATTATTAAACCAATATAATCAACTTTGAGATGTAATCAAGAAAAATTAGATTGTTCTACAGTAGTACAGTGCAGTGCAAAGGTTTTTAAAATATAAAAAAATCACATGAGTAAGGCCAAAGAAAACAGAACAGAAATAGTCTGAGGTCATTTCGATAGCACTTGTAATGTTACGCGATTTAACCAGAGAACCTTGACATTGTAATCTAAAATGGAAGGAATTTTAGGCTGATAATCAATTGTTTACTTTGTAAATTCCAAAACTATAATAAGTAGACCATGTATATACATGGTAATTTAGTAAAAATTGCACAAAAACTTGTGAATTTTACATGCAAATACCTCCTTAAAACAATAATTAAATTCACTTGAATTTAGAATTAGCATTAAGATATACTTCACAAAATTACTGGTATTATTATACCACAATAACTAAAATTTATATACTAAATATTTTTAAAATATAACATCTTACTCTAACTTTCTGATTCAGTAGCTACCACTAAAATTATATAACTTTGAATTTATTTCATGTATAGGTATGGTGACAAATTGGTATTTTTGCTGTAATCCATTTTTGTCTGCATAATTATATTTCTTACCTCATACCTAAAAAGCAAGATCTCCCACATTTTGATTCTCATGTGAAATAAAATAATATTACTAATATTTGAGAATCATTAGTTAAGGAAGTTTTCTTTCTCTTTTCTTTTTTATTCATCAACTAAAAATTTCTTTTAACAACGTGACTTTAGAAATTCCCTGGTTTTTCTCTACAACATTAGAATATTACAGTTAATTTTAGTTTACAGTATTTTGTTCTGCAAAAATAGTGCAGTAAAAGTTTCATTTGTCTTAAAGAGTGATTTTATTTCTTTTAAACAGGAGCAAACCTTAAAAGTTATATGTTTGTGGGCTAATATGTAAAACAATAAACAGTAATTTGACAGTTCCATAATCATGTCTACCAAATAAAGATTTTTTAAAAAGAAAGGTAGCTAAAATGAAGTAAAATGTTTTCTATTTGTTTCGGCATGCCTTTTCATCTTCCAAGTAACCTTCACCTTGTACAAAAGTTAGAATACCTGACCTTCTGAAGCATGCATGTGTAAATCACAGATAAGTTCTACAAAGACTTTTATTTATATTAAAAGGCAACTTTTTCATAATTTCTTTAATATAAAACCAACAGCAAAAGTATATGCTATACTTACTTTTCTAGAAAGGTTCATAAACTAAGAGAAATTCCTTGATCTGTTTTACTGAATATAAAATTAACACATATAAGAAGGAACAGGAAAGAAAAAAAAAGGAATCTCTAGGCCTTTGGAAGGCTAGGTTAATGTCTAATTTCTCATCCAATTATCAGGTAGGAAATAGTATGGTATTTTTAATTCTATAATTTCAGAGATCATTATTTAGGTGATTTAAATGGTCATACTTTTTAGAAAGGGCCAGCAGCTATTTCAATACTGCTATTTTAATAGAATACTCTGGGTGTCATAAAGTTCCATGTCTGGTGTAACTCATAATTAATTGACTTAAGAATTTTAGTTACAACGAAATGCATTACCCAGGGTTCATGATCTCTTCCAACTCATGAAACAAATTTTAATCAAAACAGAAATGAAATATATTTTTGCAAAGGTGCTCATTCAAAGGGCTAGGAATGTATGATATAATAGGGGAAATATGTTACTCATGTTTACACCTGGTTGATTATTATCTACAGAATAATAAAAGTGAAAAATTATGTCAGCTGACATATGTAATTTTATTAACTTATTTCACAAAATAAATAAATGTCCTCCAAAAATAAGAGACTGTTTTAGAAACCACAGTAAATCTAAAAGGAATATTTAAAACTATGTAAATCCAAGGTCAAATTTTCAGAAAATCAGCAAACAATCTACTCTATAAGGAGAGTTTCTCCCTTTAACTCAACAGCACCATCCAATCATGTTTATAAATTCTCATTAGGGCTGAAAAAAAAGTTCCTTGAATAAAATATTTATTAATACCTCAAGCTTAGTTCTATACCTTATGACAGTAGTTAGCATTAGTAATAAAGCCAAAATAACTGTGAAACCATCTACTATCTTCTTTTAAATCTTTTTTGCTTTTCCCTTCCTCAAGCCCAGAAAGCATGTTTGTTTGGAAACAACTAGCAAACGCTATAAATGGAGAACTTAGAGTGAATGATTAATGATCAAGGCAAAAATGTAAAATCACATCAGCTGATAAGTGGCTGACTAACTCAAGGTTGAAGAATGTGAGGGCATTGTGGCAAAGCTGAAGAGTAACATTTCTTTTGCTGGTAAATGACAGGCATGAGACACCACATCATACTCTTAGATGTCCAAAAGCAAATCCATTGTTTTAAGTTTACATAACCAGCAAAGGTGATGTTTGAAAGTCACTGGAGACAGATTCTAAAAAGCCATGTTACAAACAGCTACATGTATATAACTGTAAACACTATTTACAGCTACAGTATACAGCTGTTTTCATGGCTGACATAAGAAATTCTATGGTACTCCTTAATAAGTAGCATAACTTAAAATCTCTAAGCAAGGGTAATACAGTTACATGAATGGAATCTAAGGAAATGGCCTACATCATCATATACTGAAAATGAGTAAGAAAAACACTAGGACAATAAGCTTTGATCTCAAAACTTTAACAAAATTATTGAGTTCACTAATCTTGTTCTCACTTCTTTGTTATAGAGACATTCATAGCCTACCCTTTTCCTAATTGAGGAAGTCAAAGATGAAAGAAAAATCAATAAACATTGAAAAAATATAATTTGTTTAGTGGTGTATTGAAAATTAACCACGAAGAGGAGCAAAGCCAAGACACACTGCAAAGGCAAATTGTACCGAGCTTGTCTTGGAATGTTGCCATGCTCAGTTTATCACCTTACTCTGAGGGAAGCATGGGTGGTTTTGAGAAGGGCTCTGCATGGGAGTAAGAGAGAAGCAAAAATAGTAGCTTCTTTTAGCTACCATCTCCCCATAGCAAAATTTACATTTATCTTTCACTCTATAAAGCAAATAGTACACTAGAGCTTTTAGCAATTTTATTTTTACATACAATTAAGATAGACAAATATGATGTGGTGCTTTTAAGCATGTGCCTCAAAGACCTACAACTAGAGGGAGTATAACTGACCAAGGGCTCAAGCTTCTGAGCTCTGAAATCCATTGCTGAATTTGCATGGAGTCCACCCTTCCCACAGGCACCTCCCAACCCACGCCTGAGCACAGCAGGGATACCAAAGCAGATCCATTCCTGGGACATAACTATATGTGAATAGATATATTCACTGAACTACAGAGAGATAGATTTTTGTTCAGTATAAGTATGACCTCATAGTCAAAGATATCTAAAAGTAAAATGGGCACTCTAGTCCTCTCAATCACTCTTTGATAATGGTAACATCTCCATTTTACAAAAGAGGAAATACTCTGCTTGGAGAAGTCAAGTTCTCAGGGGTATACAGCTTTAAGGGTAGAGACAATATTCCAACTTTGATCTTGCTCACTGTTTCCACAATACCAGTTAGAAGAAATATCTTTCATGAAAAGACACCAAATGGATATGCATCAGCCATAAATAGGTGTCTGGACTATGTGGTGTATAAAAACACTTCTAGTGCTAAACTTTGATGAATTGTATGCTTAGAATTCACTTCATAATACCATATCTCCTTTATTTTGAATAAGACACACACTCTTTTTCATGTCTTGTGAAACAAGTAAATCTACAGACCCAATTTAAATTTTCGTTACAGTTATTTAAGTGCTCAGGTAAGACTATACCCTTTTAAAATTTAACAATGGAAATTAATATCATCAAGGGGGTATCTGTTCTAATAAGCAAAAAAAAAGATGATATATATAAATCCTAAACACTAAATATTAAATTAATACAATGCAATGCCTTGAAAAAGTGAAATATTAGACAAATATCTATAAAATTTTTACTAATATTTTTAGAACTTTTTTTTTGGTGGGGAGGGGGGATGGAGTTCCACTCTTATAGGCCAGACTGGAGTGCAATGGCATGATCTCAGCTCACTGCAACCTCCACCTCCAAGGTTCAAGTGATTCTCCAGTCTCAGCTTCCCAAGTTGCTGGGATTACAGGTGCCCGCCACCACACCTGGCTAATTTTTGTATTTTTAGTAGAGACGGGGTTTCGCCATGTTGGCCAGGCTGGTCTTGAACTCCTCACCTCAGGTGATCCACCTGTCTCAGCATCCCCAAGTGCTGGTATTACAGGTGTGAGCCACCTTGTCTGGCCTAGAACTTTTAAAGTAAAATACTATTAAGTAAGGCCACAAAACCAGAGGTATAGATCCAGTTAATATCATCCAAATCTTCCACTGATCTGACCAACAAGACTCCTGTATCAGCCCCAAGCACCACTGAACTTTGAACATTGTCATCCTCACTTAGCTCAAATAATAATGTGGTTGAAAGTCAGGTCATGGCAGTATTTGGAAATGAAATAGCAAAACACCTTTAAACCAAAGCTCTGTTTACAAATTTAAAGCCACTAAATTCCACTGATGCCTCTTGTCTCTCACTCTCAAGCCCCAAATAAACTGTTTCCTCTAATCACTAATCCTCTTTCGCAATCCCTCGCTTACACAGCTATGCACTTTTTCCCTTTTGGTTCATGCTCTCCACCCTACCACACTCCTTTTGATGTCCTTCTCAACCTTGTCCATTGTACACTCTATGACTCCCATTTTTTAATAAGCAAACTTCCTTATTCCTGAGACATTAGTTTGTCTCCAAATTGTTTTCTCCTTAAAAGCCTGATTTATATAAGTCATCGTCTTCATGCATTCAGATCAAGATAGAGGCTCAGAATAATCCTACTTCCATTTTGTGGCTTTTGTGTCATTACTTTTCCACTTTCATGCAAAAAATTCTTCTTTTTCACTTACATTCACTTCACTAATCTGTATCACTCTGAATACTAGGACTCATCAACTTTTAGGTTATTCCTTCAAAATCCATTTCTCCTGATTCCAAAATCCCACCAAAATCAATATTGATAATCAATACCTATGCACCACAATCAATAATCTATCCATAGAATTCATGATCTCTACTTCAACTCTCATTTCAGAAAACCATTTCCAACTTGGATCTCATGGCCACTCTGAATGCCTCTATCACTAGAGGCTTAAACATTGATGTTCTACTTACCAATTAGTTCCCTGTATTTCACGCAATCTAAAATATTTTATTTCAATCAATCCTGTCCTGGAATCCTCTTGAGACTGGTTAGTCTCTTGATACATCTTCTCCTAAACTATGAGCCCTTTTTAGCCTCACTTTTTTTCTCTGTTCAGCTGCAATGTTTCTTCACTCAAATCCCAGTTACACTACATCATGGTAAATCTATTTTGAGAAAATTACATACCTGAATCTTCAGTTGGTTTTTAGAAAGTGGCAACAATATTTATTCCTCATAGAAAAAAAAGGTTTAAATGTGGCAACGTATATAACGTACTAAGTACAATTACTAACATATCATATGTACTCAATAAATATTAATATCATCTATAATCAATCACTAACAATCTCAAGTCCCTCATGCCTATGTCTTCTTGCAACAAGAAGTCTGAAAATTCCAAACTTGGAATGGACTATGCAATTATTGCATTAAATAGAGCTAAGGGACATGGATTAATTGTACAGATTGATACCACTACATATTTATATGTTTCAATTTCAGCAGGACCCCAAGGCCTGTCCAGTAAGCTCTTCACACATATCTTGGTATCTTCCTCTCCTCCATTACAGTTCTAACATCATCCCTTAACCTTAAGTTCCCTAAATATCCTCAATCACCCCCTGCAGTTGACCTGGCTTCTTATTGTTGTTGTTCTTGTTGTTGTTGAGACAAGGTCTCACTCTGTCACCCAGGTTGGAGTGCAGTGGCACAATAATGGCTCACTGCAGCTTTTACCTCGCCAAGTTCAGGTGATCCTCCCACCTCAGCCTCCCAAATAGCAGGGACTACAGGCATGTTCCACCACATCTGGCTAATTTTTGTATTTTTTTTTTGTAGTGACCATGTTTTGTGGTCACCATGTTGCCCAGGCTGATCTCAAACTCCCGGCATCAAGCGATCCTCCCAACTAGACCTCCCAAAGTGCTGGGCTTACAGGAATGAGCCACACTCCCAACTAACCTGGCTTATTTAAATTAAAAATTAATGCCATCAGATCAGGCATGAACTCCCACAACATCTTGATTACCTGTGCACATTTATGTATCTCTATTAGTCCTTCATTCATTTTCTTCTGCTTCTGCAGTGAAGGTGGGCCCCTTCTGGTCACCAAACACAACTTTACCTGATGTGATCATTTCTTCATGAAACTTACAGTGTATTAGTACATTCTCAAGTTGCTATAAGGACATACCTGAGACAGGATAATTTATAAAGGAAAGAGGTTTAATTGACTCACAGTTCCACAGGGCTAGGGAGGCCTTGGGAAACTTACAATCATGGTGGAAGGGGAAGCAAACACATCCTTCTTCACATGGCAGCAGAAAGGAGAAGAATGAGAGCTGAACGAAGAGGGAAGCCCCTTATAAAACCATCAGATCTCATAAGAACTTACTATCACAGGAACAGCACAGGGGTAAGAGCCTCCATGATTACATTACCTCCCATCAGGTCCCCTCCCATGATACATGGGGATTATGGGAACTACAATTCAAGGTGAGATTTGGGTAGGGACACAGCCAACCATATCATTCCACCCCCAGCCCCTCCCAAATCTTATGTCCTCACATTTCAAAATACAATCATGCCCTTCCCAACGATTCTCCAAAGTCTTAACTCATTTCAGCATTAACCTAAAAGTCCAAGTCCATAGTCTTATCTGAGACAAGGGAAGTCCCTTCTGTCTGTGAACCTGTAAAATCAAAAGCATGTTAATTACTTCCTAGATACAATGGGGGTACAGGAATTGGGTATATACACCCATTCCAAATGGAAGAAATTGGCCAAAACAAAGGGGCTACAGGCCCATGCAAGTCTGAAATCCAGTAGGACAGTCATTAAACTTTAAAGTTCCAAAAGCTGACTCACTCCATGTCTCACATTTGGGTCACAATGATGCAAGAAGTGAGCTCCCATGGCCTTAAACAGCTCTGCCCCTGTGACTTTGCATGGTACAGCCCCCCTCCTGGCTGCTTTCATGGGCTGGAATTGAGTGCCTGCAGCTTTTCCAGGTGCACAATGCAAGCTGTTGGTGGATCTACCATTCTGGGTTCCAGGGGATGGTGGCCCTCTTCTTACAACTTCACTAGGCAATGCCCCTGTGGGGTCTCTGTGGGGAGCTTCCAACCACACATTCACCTTCTGCACTGCCCTAGCCCTAGCAGAGATTCTCCATAAGAGCTCCACCCTGCAGCAGACTTGTGCCTGGACATCAAGGCATTTCCATACATCCTCTGAAATCTAGGTGGAGGTCTCCAAACCTGAAATCTTACCTTCTATGCACCTGCAGGACCAACACCATGTGGAAGCTTCCAAGCCTAAGGGCTTGCACCCTCTGAAGCAATGGCTTGAGCTGTACCTTGGCCCGTTTTAGCCATGGCTAGAGTGGCTGAGACACAAAGCATCCAGTCTTGAGGCTGCACACAGCAGGGGGGCCCTGGGCCCAGCCCAGGAAATGATTTTTCCCTCCTAGGCCTCCAAGCCTGTGACGGAAGGGGCTGCTGTGACGGTCTCTGACATGCCCTGGAGACATTTTCCCCACAGTCTTGGTGATTAACATTTGGTTCCTCATTACCTATGCAAATTTCTGTAGCAAGCTTGAATTTCTCCCCAGAAAATGGGTTTTTCTTTTCTATCGTATTGTTAGGCTGAAAATTTTCCAAACTTTTATGCTCTACTTACTTTTGAACATTTTGCTGCTTAGAAATTACTACCACCAGATACCCTAAATCCTCTCCCTCAAGGTCAAATTCCACAAATCTCTACAGCAGGGGCAAAATGCTGCTGGTCTCTTTGCATAGCAAGAGTGACTTTTACTGCAGTTCCCAACAAGTTCCTCATCTCCATCTGAGACCACCTAAGCCTGGACTTCATTGTCCCTATTACTATCAGCATTTTGGTCAAAGCCATTCAACAAGTCTCTATGAAGTTCCAAACTTCCCCACATTTTCCTGTCTTTTTCTGAGCCCACCAAACTGTTCCAACCTCAGCCTGTTACCCAGTTCCAAAGTTGCTTCCACATTTTTGGGTATCCTTATAGCAGCACCCCACTCTCTGTGGTTCTAATTTACTGTATTAATCTGTTCTCATGCTGGTATGAGAACACACCCAAGACTCGGTAATATATAAAGGAAAGAGGCTTAATTGACTCACCATTGCACAGGGCTGGGAGGGCCTCAAGAAGCTTACAATCATGGTAGAAGGGGAAGCAAACACATCCTTCTTCACTTGGCAGCAGGAAGAAGAAGAATGTGACACAAGCAAAGGGGAAAGCCCCTTATAAAACCATCAAATCTTGTGAGAACTCATTTACTATCATAAGAGCAGCATGTGGGTCTCTCCCACAGCATGTGGTGACTATGGGAACTACAATTCAAGATGAGATTTGGGTGGGGACACAGCCCAACCATATCAAATGGTTTTGCTATCTGATCTGACCCTATACCACTGCTTTATTCTCTTTTAGCATCATGTCTTCTCTTGCACTACATCCAATAATAAAACTGAACTAATTTAACTTTCTAGCCTGAATAGATGTCAGTGCCTATTAAGAAATCCTCTTAGTCACCTTTCTGTTGAGCAAGCTCCTATTTATTCCTCAAGACCCAATTTAAAGGTTTCTCCCCTGTGAGAGTGGTACACAAGAAAGACATAAGAGATAATGAAGAGTACTAACAGGATAAGGAAACTCCAGGAAAAACAATAATAGGGAAGGCTCATAATGTTTAAAGTTGATAAATGATAATGGGTTTCAATTATGATATTGGATTTCATGCTTAACTTCTATCTTTCACATACATTTTTACTTACTTCATGAAAATCATTTCAACCACTTTCTAATGGCATTAACAAATAAGAGTCTTAAACCTCGCAGGTTTGCAGATAATTACAAAAATGTCTCCAACTGTCAGGAAATTATGTTTTCTATCCGTTATAAAGAAATTTTGAAAGGGGAGGGAGGAACGAGAAGTAAAGTTACAACACACATTTGTTGGTGAGAAAATAAAAATCAAATAAACAGATCATTAACTTAGAAATTTTTTTGCAATCAGAAATTAGTTAAGTACCAGTTATTTATGATATTATATTACAGGTCCAAGGTAACTTCTAAAACTAAAACGTAAGACTTTATAACTGTTTTCATTTTTGTTTTTTGTTTTTGAGAAAGAGTCTCACTCTGTTGCCCAGGCTGGAGTGCATTTTCTTGGCTTACTGCAGTTTCCACCTCCAAGGCTCAAGCAATTCTCGTGCCTCAGCCTCCCAAGTAGCTGGGATTACAGGCATGCGCCAACATGTTCGGCTCATTTTTGTATTTTTAGTAGAGATGGGATTTCATCATGTTGACAAGGCTGGTCTCGAACTCCTGACATCAAGTAATCCACCCACCTCAGCCTCCCAAACTGCTGGGATTACAGTCATGAGCTACCGTGCCCGGACAAGACTTTATAACTTTTGATGCGCACTAAAGCCAGGGTCTAGGTTGTCGTTAACATCCGGCAAAGTTTCACATAGTTTTGCTTTGCTTTGTTTGTATTTTTTTGTTTTTTTATTTATTTTGACCACCCACCTTTACTAAGTTCTAAATGAAATAAATTCTCCTGTTATATTACTATTTTGATTTTATGCCAAATGTTATCAATATTTTAAGCCAAATATTCAAACTTATCAAATGCTGTATCCATATTTCCGATTCAAAATCTGCCATATGCTCAGAGTTGCAGCAGGACAGATAATGCTTTTTTAAAGGGTAACCTAAGAGTTATCTCCATGGATAATTATGTTCTTTTGTGAACTGATGTAGGTCATTGATGAAATAGTTTCAAAGTCACTCTCCAAAACTGAAATACCGATGTGACATTTGGTAAATTTTCAGAACCTATTGAAGTGTAACACCACGATTTTCTTCAAGAATACCACATAGTTTGCCAAAATTCCCTCTGTGCTGTGAAAAGACTGCTAGAAGACCAACGTTTTCAGACTGTTCAGCTTGATTACACTGGTGTGGTCCCATTTATCTACAGCTATTTTAAGCATCTTCTTGAATTACAGTAAGCTATATTGTAAATCTAATTATATTTGCCCACAGGGAAGTAAGTACATAAGAAGCCTGCTCTGTAATCTGCTTAATAAAAGGCACTCCAGTTTTCTTCATAGCATTTATCAAAAATTGTCATTATACAGTTGTTTATATTTCTAATGCCAGTCTCTTCCACTGTAACTTCCATGATGATATATGGATATGTTACATATGCAGTACCTAGCAGTGCCTAGAGGGCCAATAAATGTTTGATGACTAAATGAACAAATGAATAACTATGTAAGAGACAACTAGATTTATAGACATATATGCTTACCACTTTCAACTTGTGCCGAAAACTTATATGTATATTAGAGACTCTTGGGGTCATAGTGCAGAGTAGTGTAAGTACAGACTTTCAATTCAAATGGAATGGATTTAATGTCAGAAATGTTATTAGTTCTATGATCCAAGACAATTGGATTGAGCTTTCTTACCCTCTGTTTCCTCATCTGTAAAATGTGAATAATTACATTGGAGTAAATATTAAAGTTAATGCATATGAAAGTATGCAGCATAGTCTGTGGCAGAAAGTAAAGTCTAAATCAAGGAAGTAATATCATTTACCAATATTTTATACAGAATCTAAGTGAATTATATTAATCTAAATTAATTATCCAAGTGCTTTTAAAAATTGACAACATAAATGTATTCTGAGGATATGCTGGCAGTGATAACTCATCAATAATCTATGGCTCTACAATAAACTTTCCAACATCCTTTGTGCCTGTATTCCCAATTATTATAAGGTTTTTCAACAAGTTACTTTCAACTAAGTTTCAGAATTCTTTACTCTGTGTACAATTTCCAAATTCTTCACAACAATTATGGAATCTATCTCAACTGAACTCTATAAAGACAATCTTAATTGATGGTTAGTCAATTCTCTAGTCTAGATTGCATGTTCTTCCTCAATCAATTTTTATTTCATTATTGCCCATTCATTCTATAACTTTGACTACTATCACAGTGGGAAAAGTCATCATCACTGAATTGTGCTTTGTCTTCTGGACTATACCTTCCTTGAGGCTCTATCTTCTGCATGAAGAATCAGATCCATCTTCATTCTTAACTTTTATTCATCCACTAATGCAATGTACATTTACTGTGCACCATCTATAAGACAGGTACTGCATTAAGCTTTAGAGTTACAAAGATTAACACATAAAATCCTGAGTATCAAAAAGGTCACAATCTAGTAGGAGATGCAAATGAAGAAACATAATTATGAAAAATATGGTAAGCGAAATAAATATGTGCATGATTTTATGGGAACACTAAGAACGGATATCTAACCACCCTGGGGTGAATGAAGGGCAGAAATAGGTTCCAGAAAAAAAGAATGGTTAGAATAATTCTTAAAGGATAAGGAGGAATCAATGGGCTAACAGGACTATAGGTAAGGAATTCCAAGCCTGAGGGTCAAAATGAAGCACGGAAACAAAGGATAATGAATCTGTACAGGAAATGCTAACAGAGCAAATTCATTTTGAAATACTTGTTAGATCATCTATGCAGTTCAAAAACTTTGTCTCCAGAATGTAAATGTATAAGAAAGGACTTAATTTAGATTGTGTTTAAATTGAAATGAATTAGCATTATAATTTTTTAAATTGATACTTTTTTTGTAACACTATATAAAGCAATATTAGAAAACATATGGTTTGCTAGATGCTACTCAGTGTTTTAGGGCACATAGATACAGTTTTGATAATCCAAAATGGTGAAGTATTACCACTATTATACATCTTCCCACCAAGGACAAACTCTACACTGCCTTATTAATGACATCTAGGAAAGGGCCACAAAGACATTCTATAAAAAGAAAGTGACATACATTGAAAAGTACAATGAATAATGGTTCTTTAAGCCCTGGATTGTAGAAGAGCATCAGAATTGGCTCCCTTCTTTCACTAACGGAAAATGTAAGAAACAGTGACATCCAATAATGTTAAGCAACTCTCCTCAAATTAGAAATATCCATGTAAAATGGCTCCCTTCAATGTAAATATTAGAAAAGTTACAAAGGCAATATTTTGTACAACGGACTAATTTTGTTTCCTATGCTGATACCTGCTAAAAAAAAATAGCCCTAGAAACTATTGCACAATTATCATATATATTTGGACTCATCAAAAAAGTATTGGCTTATAAATAAACTATTTTTATATCCTATCAAAGCAGAAACTTCATTTTTCATTCAGCATGGTAACCCCATCAAAAGCAAAGTAGGCTGTAAGAATTGTTTTTGAATGAATGAATAAATGAATGCATACCATGTATAAGAATAGACTCTGGAGAATTTGGCAGCAAATGAACACACAATGTCTCTGCCCTAGTAGGGAATACAAATACATTAAAAAGACTGCTTTGTATCAATTAAATTTAAAAAGGATTATAAGAATAAGACATGGTGGAAATTGGTTCTTTAGCTTGTGTGATAAAGGAGGCCTCTGGGATGGAAGAGTTAGTGATAAGATAGAGATTTACCCAGGTAACTACTTTGTATGTGCTATTTCATCCATTTCTCCCTACATCATTTCCTGGCAGCTATCACATCTCCAATTTATAGATAAAGCTTAAACAGTTAAATAAGATTTTTCAAACAATATGTATGTATAGACATATAAATATATATATTTTTAATTTTCTATACAAATGTTGCCTTCAGTGTTTTGTTCAACTAGAAACCTTTCTAAGCATGCAATTTGACCACATAAGTCATTTTTTCATACATGCAGTTCCTCTTTAAAAAACCTACACAATATTAGTTTTAAAATTCTTAAGGGAACTTTGGCAAAACACCAAAATATTTTCTTTTTTTAATGTTTTAGAAAATACATTTAGAATATCAGACTCTTTATGAGGCTTCCAAGATGAAGGATGGGTATTTTCAGTTTTTAATACATGGCAGAACTTGTTTTGGATAGGGGCTGTGAAAAACTTTCATTGTATCTGTCAATCAAATGGTAAAAAAGGAAAAAATCATTGAAAAAAAATCCTACACAATTGCAAACACATGGGATGATAAACAGTTTTAGTAGTAAACGGTGGCATGGATCCTCTTGTTATCTGGATAGACAGAATTCGAGACTATTTTAGGAAAAGCACTACTTTCTTTTTCAGAATGTCACGTATTTAATTTCTCATAACAAGCAAAAATAACAATCCTAATGCTTGGAAAAGTGAAATTCTAAATTATTTTTTCTCTGGGGGGGCATAAAGTTCAAGTTAACCCAAGATTTAATTTCAAATTATAAAACAGGGACATTCACCAAAATTTAAATAGGACACAAAAGTTCTAATCATGAAATGTCCCCCAAAAGTCAAATATTAAAAACATTAGAGTAAATTGCAAATTCCCTTTCGTTCTGCTTACTAATTGTGTTGAGCCTAATGTCTTCTTTGTTTCTAGCAACATTCCTGAGTTTCCTTACAACCATTTAAATTTGGCATGTGGCTGAGAAATAGTTACAACTGTTAATGCTGCTCCAAGTACTGGGAAGGTGGCATGCCTAGAGGGAACATGAAAGCTGTGTACCCCCACCCACACCATGTCCTGTGCACCAATTCCGTGTGACTATTTCTGAGTTATATCCTTTATAATAAACTGGTAACTATAAGAAAATGTTCCCTTGAGTTCTGCGAGCTGTTCTAACAAATTATTGAACCTGAGTAAGGAGCTGGAATCCCCAATTTGTGGCCATGTTGGACAGAAGTTGTGGGAGATCTGGGGACATACTACATGTGATTGGCATCTGAAGTATGGAAACGTATTGTGAGATTGAGCCCTTAACCTGTGGAGTCTGCACTAACTCTGGGCCATTAGCATAAGAATTGAGTTAAATTGTAAGACACTCATTTAGTATGAGACAAAATTGGAGAATGGTTGGCAAGGGAAAAATTATCATATATTTGGTGTCGGAAGGGTTGTGTGCATGTGTAGATAAACAGTAGTTGGCCAGGTATGCTGGCTCATGCCTATAATCCTGGCACTTTGGGAGGCCAAGATGGGAGAATCTCTTGAGCCCAGGAGTTGAGACTAACTTGGGCAATATCGGGAGACCCCTGTCCCTACAAAAGATACAAAAAAATTAGCCAGGCATGGTGGCTTGCATCTCTCGTCCCAGCTACTTGGGAAGCTGAGGCAGGAGGATAGCTTGAGCCCGGAGTCAGGGGCTGCAGTGAGCTTTGATTGTACCACTCTACTCTAACCTGGGCAACCGAGTGAGATCTGGTCTCAAAAACCAGAATGACAAAAAAGAAGCAGTAGTTTTCTTTTTTCCTTTTAATCACTTTGGTTATACAGCATGACTTCAACCCCCTCATTGTTACAAAGAGTTTGATATCGTAGTTTTAGGTTGCTTTTGTGTTTGTTTTATTGCTTATAAACAGTAATATCTGTAAAAACATTGTAAGGAGAGAAATAAGAAAGGAGCCAAACAATGCGCTGTTTTGTCTCAAACAAAATTGATGGAGTAAACTAAAAAATGATTTTCAGAATACAGAAGGATAAAGCCAAAGAATGATGGTAACAATTACAAGAGTGTTATGAAAAATTAGCTCTCAACTCCTGAAACAGGTGTTGAAAATTGCTGAAAAAACTTTGAAAAAATATAACCAATGCACTTTTAAAGAATTATTCAAGTCTAAAGCCCATCACCCAAAAGTATTATACAGTTTGCTCATGTATGTATTACTCAGTTTATATTTCCCAATGAAAGATTAAAACTGAATAGGATTGTAAGCTATTAAATTAAAACTTAATGTTTAAGAATTAACTATTCTGGCTCAAATCAGTTTCAACTACCAACATACAATGCAACTCACATGTTAATAGTAAAGATGTAATAACCCATCAGGATACATAAAAATACATAAACTCTTCTCGTAATTTGATATTCATATAAGTACTTAGTATCATGTTTCCTGTGTTAATTGTAGGCCAAAACAGCTAACAGAGATTCTAGTCTCCTCTGATAGAAACTTACACAAACCTTTTCCTAGAAAATTATCATGAAAGACATTTTAAAAATTACACCAAATAGACTGGAGAAAGTATTTTGAAAATGTTTAAATTTTCAGAGATATAAGAATTACTTGTAGAATATTTAAGATGTTAAAAGTCAGGTCTGTCTTCTTGGGTCAACCACTAATGAACTGAGTGAATTGGGAAAATTTAGTTAAGCTCTAAAAATCAAATTTTCTTCATTTCTAAAATAGGATTATCTCCTAGGTCAGTGAAAGAATGAAAATGATATACTACTTTCCCAAAGTGAATCACAGAATCTAGAACCCCTCTTCTCTAAAGCAAGCCATAAAATCTAGAAAGTCACTCCCTCCCCTGTCCCTTCTTTCTTGAAGATTCTCATTCCAGAAAGATCTTGCCCCTTCCTGGGAGAAAAGAATGCTACACAAAGAGTCCAAAAAGCATCTGAACAGACAGGTTTTGCTGGGTTTTCCTCCTTCAGCCTATTACCATTTCATTTTACCCATACTTTTATCCAGTTACATTTCAACACAGCTGTCTATTCTTTATCGAATAGACAGCTTACAAAATGAATCTTAGCTCATTTTGTACTGCTATAACAGAAAACCACAGGGTGGGTAATTTCTAAGCAATAGAAGTTTATCTGGCTCACAGTTCTGGAAATGGGGAGCCCAAGAGCATGGTGCTGGCATCTGGACAAGGCCTTCCTGCTGCATCATTTCATGGCAGAAGGCAGAAAAGCAAAAGAGCATGAAAGAGCAAGAGGGAACCAAACTTGCTTTTATAGCAAGCCAACTTTCACAGGAACTTATCAACTCACATGATAAAGGCATTAATCCACTTATGAAGGCAGAGCCCTTATGACCTAATCACCTCATTAGGCCCCACCTCTTAACAGTGTTGCATTGGGAACTAACTTTCCAACACATGAACTTTGGAGAACACAGTCAAATCACAAGAGAACGTAAACATAAAACAGACGGTTTTCCCTGGGTCTTTGGTCTTCATTTCTGAAGGCTCCCATATCACATAAAACTTTGATTAAATAAATTTGCCATGCTTTTTTCATTAACCTGTCTTTTGCTATAGGAGTGTCAACCTATTATGTAAGTCTAATGCCTCTGACTGATGTATGAGAAAAGGTCTCACACCTTTCTAACCCTACAAAGGTGAATGCTAAAACAGAAAGAAGAGAAAAAAAAAAACAGAAAGAGAATGATAAATGAGCAGGAAAGCCTCAACGAGACCGAGGTGAAAATAACTAGTCACTCTAAAATATCAGATTATTAGATTTAAAATATTTAGCAGAAAAAATCCTTTTGTCCCAAAATGCATTTTACCAGTTTCTTTTGAGCTCTGGGCATGTAGGCAGCACACGACAGATTTGAGAATAACACTTTGTGGTATCTTAAATTTAGGTACTTTTTAAAAATTTAAATATGTGTGACATGTTGGTTTCTTTCCCTTTCAATGTGCACACAAAAGGGGCAGTGAAGGGACTGCTTCTTTTACTAAAAGCAGTCAGAGGCTAAAGCAAAGATAATCTTTCTACTAAGCCAGAGCAGAAAGCTAGATTTACATTTGAATCATGTGACATGGTGACAGTTTCTTTTTTAATACTCAAAGGGTAGAAGCTGATTATTCTTAACTATTTTCTGTTCAAAGAAATGAGCTGAAAGGTCAGAGGTACTTGACTTCTACAGGCCCATAATGGAAATAAAAACAAAATTTTCTAAGTTATGGGAAATCAGGAATTATTTTCTCATAATCTACATACTACATGAAAAGTAACAACATATCAAGTAGATGTGCTTAAGGATTAGCATCTGGATTATCACAGTGTGCCCAGCACTACATAAAACTAGTATAACATTGGAATTTCTAATCTTAAATTCATGTAATCAAATTCATCATATATCTCCAAATGTATGTACTACTTATTGTCTCTCCAGCTGAATTTGTCCACCACCCTTATAATTCTGCAAATTGCAATATCTGATAATAAATTCCTACTTTAAAACATATTAGCTAGGTGTGGTGGTGCACACCTGTAGTCCCAGCTACTTGGGAGACAGAGGCAGAGGACTGCTTGAGCCTGAATAGTCAAGGTTGCAGTGAGCTGTGATTGTGCCATTGCACTACAACCTGGGCAACACAGTGAGAATTTGTCCCAAAATAAATAAATAAATAAATTCCTATTTTGTGCATCTATTTTTGTCACCAGATGTAAAAAAAAGTATGTTGCCTGAACATTCTGTAGAATAACTTAATCAGAAAAGGCCTAAAATACTTTTGTTCCATACATTAGAAAAAAAGAGAATAATAATTTAACTTCAATTTTCAATGATGAAAATTTTCTACATTAATGTTTTCCTCTTTGATTGTTTCTTGACATTAATGCTGGGAAAAATAAGTTCATCTGAGGGAAACAGAAAGTGTTCTTATTTAATTTCTTCAAATATCGTAAGTGTAAACAGGTATTAATTTAGAACCTACACAGTTTTGATCATTTTATCTCACGAGTTCATGAAGCCTAAGTTTGCTTTATTTGAAGATTGGTTAGTCAGTTTCTAATAGAAAAAAATAAATAAAAATGTAAGGAAAACAAAATTCACATTCAGCATACCCTACACAGTTTTTTTTTTTTTTTTTACAGAAGTGCATTTAATAGAAATTGGTGAAATAACTGTTTAAATATTTAAATATGTACTAAAACATTGATACTTCTAAGTATGCACTTAAGATGAATCTTTCTGAATACTACTGATTTCTAGCATGTCATTATTAACATACATAAAGAACCGAGAACAGGGATTTTTGAGTGTTTAAGAGTTTTAAGTGCAGTATACAGTCTACCTTCCTCTGAAGAAGAAGGAATATTTTTTTCTGATGGACAGATAAATCAAGTCAGAAATATCCCCTCTGCCACCTCTGGGCTACACAGGAGTCTTGTCAAAATAGAATCCATCTGAAGTATAGATAGGTTTTAGGAAATTATAACATAACTCCTTACAAAACCTTCATGGAAAATACTATTGTATAACTGATACATGGATTTTCAAACAGATAAAAATAAGTTTCAAACTGCTGGAAAATTCATGAATTTGTTTCTAGATTATTAAGTGGAAGAAATGGTGTTCAAGTAATTAGTAAAGTAAAGGATATTTTAATATTCTTTAATGGCAAAAGCATTGGATTGTGTCATTTATTGCATTGCATGATTTGTAATGTGTTCTATCATAAGCTCACTTTGTATATAAAACTGAGGAATTTGTTTCAGCCAGATTTCCAATGGAAAGAGAATTGAGGAAATAAGTCAACCAGGCAATCAATGTTAATAAGGGGCAGAAATTCAAGCTCCAATAGTACATTTTGTACCTGTATATAGCAGAGAACTTTCCAATTAGGGCCAACAAGTAGAAAGCTGATAACTCCAAGCTGAGATTTATAGGGAGAGGTCAGCAGCATGTAATGAGAATTTAGAGCACATACATCCAGCTGTAACACCTTTAGTATAAGCATAGTTTCTAATGGCAAAAGCTAATGGCTGCATGACAATAATAAATAATGGGGAGAGAATATTCTAGCCTTAGGCCTCAGAAAAAGAACTGTGGTGGCATTATACAATTTTCACTAACACTAGATGAAAGAATAGTTCTAAAGGGGTAGTTGCATTCTCAAGTGCATCAGCTGAACTAGAATGTGGAAACCATAACAGGCAAGAAACAACATTTCCTTGCATTCTACCCTTCCATCCTTTTTTCAATATAATTTATATCTAGGAATATCCTTGCAGGGAAAACAAAAGAAATAAATCATTTCCCTCTTTCCTATCACCCACTGTAGAGCATTCAAGATAAAATTGTTTTAATTTACAAAAATTCTCTACTTGGTCAAACTTTATTCAGACTCTTAAGCCTTCTTCAAGGCCCATCTGTGCACTTTCTTATAAAATCCAGTTTTAGCAAAGAGCCCTGCTATGTTGCTTTAGCAAAAACCTTACACCTTTGATATAGCATTGCCCTGGATATCTACTCAGGCTCTTCATCCTCCACCATCCCTCAGGTGATATCTGACCACCCTGGCCTATCTTCAGTAAGAATCTCGTTAAGGTTGGTTTGGCTGGAATCCCCCTTATCCCCAAAGTTTCCTCTTAGTAATTTTCCACCTACTAACCCCTACCCTGCTCCTTGGCTATGAATTCTCACTTGCTCAATCTCTCTCACCAACTATAACATGCAGTTGCAGTGGTTTCCCATACCTATGGTGATGATATTAAATAAAGTCTTTCTTACCAAGCTTTAACAAGTAATATTGAATAATTTTTTTTCTTTAACAAAATAAACAACATTTAAAAGCACTGGAATTCATCTGGCACTTATCATGTACCTCCCAGTATAATCTCAGTGTGCTCATAATGCACACAGTGTGCATGCTGCTACCACCTGGAGGTACTCTGCACAATCTACAAGGCCATCTACAGGCAGACCTGATGTAGTATGTAAGAACGGATTCCAGAGTTGGCAGATTTGGAATCAAGTGATCCTAACCATGTGACTACGGACAAGATAATGAACCCGGCTGTTTCAGTTTCCATATCCATAAAATAGGGATAATGTTAGTAATCATCAGTAAGGGTTACTAAGCATTAAATGCAAATACAATATACAGCACAATGCCTGCCTGGCAGAAGTTAGTGAGTGATATGGTTTGGCTCTGTGTCCCCACCCAAATCTCATCTCCAGTTGTAATCCTTGTGTTGAAGGAGGGAGCTGGTGGGAGGTGATTTGATGGATCATGGGGTGGTTGGCCCCATGCCATTCTCGTGATAGTAAGTGACTTTTCAGGAGATCTGATGGTTTTAAAGTGTAGCACCTCCCCTGACTCTCTCTCCTGTTGACATGGAATATGTGCTTTGCTTCCCCTTCACCTTCCACCATGACCGTAAGTTTCCTGGGGCCTCCCCATCCATGCAAAACTGTGAGTCAATTAAATCTCTTTTTTTTTTTTCATAAATTACCCCAGTCTCTGGTAGTTACTTATAGCAGTGTAAAAATGGACTAATACAGTGAGCTATGAAGCTGAATGATTTAATTTGTCATTATTATTATTTATCAACTTTTGTAGTAAGTGTGGCAAAAAAATGAAGCACCACACTAGGTGTCACATCACCGAATGTGAAACACCTGGAACTGTAGGGATTGAACTCTACTGCTAAATGTTAAGTAACAATATCTCTCTTATTTAAACTGTAGACTACATACAATACAATGTGGCTTTGTGATCTCATATGAACTGATATGATTAGTAGTCCATTAGTATCTGATGTATCTGTTACTTTGGCAGCCATAATGCACAAATTGCAGTTTCTGAAGTATCATAGCTTCCCTCAAAACCCAAGAAAATAGAATAGAGTAGGGTTGGGTAGAACTGATATTAGCAAATACAAATAGTACAAAGGAACCTTAACCAAAAAGACTGCCTAACTTTGTATAATGTAAAGAAAATAAAGTACAAGCACATGGCAGATTTTTGAAGAATTTTTACAAGGATCAGAAAAATGTAACTCAAAATCTTGTCATATCCACCCCCGGATGAACATCAGAATTATTATTCTTCAATGCAACCAAGGCCTGGAAGTCGGGTATATTATTAAGAGCAGAATAGATACCTCACCTTTTGGTAACTTTCACACAATCCTCAATTCTCCCTAACGCAACACTCATCAGCCCATTAATTCACAACAGTTTCTTTCCATAGCTCTCTTCAATCCCTTCTTCCCCAAGTGTGTCTCAGCCACTCATACACTGCCCAAAGTACACCTGTATTTAATTGCTACTTTGAATACAAAAAAGGCCACACTGCTGGCTGCTCCTTTTGGCATTTTACAAATAAAAAAATATGCTAAGTTATTCCAGTTGGATTGCATTTCACCTTAACCGGGGGTGATACTGTTCCTCAGAGGATATTTGGCAATGCTTGGAAACATGTGGCTTTCACAACTGGGAGTGTGCCACTGGCTTCTAGAGGACAGAGGTAGTGTCAGGACTAGGGCAAGGCACAGAAGGTGCCCAGGGCTCAAGATTTAAGGAGGAATTCAGGGTTGTGCAAGTACAGGATTAAAATTTATGAGCCCCAAAGAATGAATGCCTCCTTAAATATTGTGCCCCAGCTGCCTCCCTTACCCAACCCTAGTCCCAGAACTGGGTAGATGCCAGGGATGGGGCTAAACCTCCCCCATAAAAGGAATTATCCCATCTGAAATATTAATAGTGCTGAGGTTGAGAAACACAGACAAGTTTTAAAAATCTAAAGAAAATCAAGGTTAGAAACTTTCAATTCCCTTTCTTTTCCACCACTTTAAGTAACAAATCTAAAATCATACTTTGTTAAAAGTGCATAAAAGTCAAAGCAGATGAAATTCTAGCATTTAAGTTTAATCTTCTTTATTCCTATTTACATTGTATACAATGAAGTTAAATTAATTCTACCCTTTCCTTTCTGTTCCATCTTCCCTCTGCTAGCATGTCTTTTACTCATTCCGTCTACTTTTAAGCTATAGATGTAAAGATGTCTTCTAATTGACATCTTCCCATAAAAATGTGACCTCTCACTTCTCAGGACAAACAAATTCTCATCTTTGATTCTACTGTCTTAGGGTTTTTATACTCTGTCTTATAGTAATTTATTTGCTTATTTATTTCTTCCCACCCCACTTCCCACACACAAACAAACATACACACAAATACACACACACTAATTTAAGCTACTTATGGGCATGAACCATGCTTTTATATTTACTTTCCCAACCATCTCTACATGGAACGGTGCTTTAAACAAGTAGGGCTCTCAAACTAACGCAGGAACAGAAAACCAAAGACTGCATGTTCTCACTTACAAGTGGGAGCTGAACAATGAGAACACATGGACATAAGGAGGGGAACAATACACACTGGGGCCAGGGTGGGAAAGAACATCAGGAAAAATATCCAATACATGCTGGACTATTGGTAATGGGTTCATCTGTGCAGCAAACCACCATGGCACATGTTTACCTATGTAACAAATTTGCACATCCTGCACATGTACCCTGGAACTTAAAATGAAATAAAAATTTACAAAACCAAGTTGTATACTCAATGCGTTATAAATGGACTGATGAGGCAAGTATATATAATAATAGCTAACAGACAACATGAACCATAATATTTCCTGGAGGCTATATAAACATAATAGTGCATTACTAGGCCTTGTTGAGTCCAGTACCAATGCTCTTTTCCTAGCAGATATCTCCATCTGTTCCAAGTTTGATGTCCCAGAATGTTTGAGGTTTGTCTTCTGTAGATAACTGACTTGAATTCTGCTACAAGCGAAAGTACAGAAGGGAAACTATTTTCTTCCCAAAGGCCTATTCTAGCAGCAGAAGACCCAATGTCTTTGCCTGAGCTATGAGCTCCAATTCAGAAAGAAAATAAATCCATTTATTAGTAACAGTTGGAGAAAGAACCTTGTAGTATATGTAAAACTCTTCAGGATACCAAATTGATGCAGCTTGAAAGCACATTTCCATCAATCTCTACCTCACCCTTGCCACCGTAACTATTCTAAAACATTTCTAATTTTGAATTTTAGCCAAAAATAAGCTAAGACTACCTAAGAGGTTAATATGTAGCTATAAATATCCCCTTTGAAAAAGAATACAATACATATGCAGCAAATTTTTCAGTTACTTGTCCTTGAAACAAATCTAATGTATTTTATGTTTCTAAATATGCAATTTGACAAAAAGCAAATTGAAGGCCTTCTCCTTGTGAATACCATGAAACCACTGATTTTAATCATTTAATCTTATCAAGGAATTAGCTTACACCTTAGCACCTGGAAAGATTAAACTCTACAAACTTATTATGAAATAGTTATTGTGTAAAAAAACTCTATTAGAAATTTGATGCATATATATTCCATTGACATAATAATTTTCAAAATTTGAAGTCTCAGAGCTACTACGATAGGTTTTCTCATAGTGCAATTTGACTCTGTGCTAAATACAAATCATCTTGTTTAGTTCATAGCCATTAGTTGGAAGAAGAAAGCTGACTTGTTTTGAGCACTCTGAGGATGAGCCAAGTAATTTCTGTATGTGTTTCATTCAATACTTGTAACAACCCTGATGAAAGATATTTCACCAGACACATTTTACTGATGAGGAAACAGCCTCAAAGAGGTTTATTAAGCTGTCAATTTTCACACCACTGGTAAATAGCCAGTGCTTCTAAAGCATGATCTTCCAACTGTGTCTAACTACTACCATTTGCAAAATGTACTGGATTACATTTTGTCCCATGAAAGACAGGAAATCTGTTCATATTTTAAGAGTATTCCACAAGTGAACCAATATATGCAACTTAATGTTAAGCTGTAATAATGCTCAAGATGAGACTATAAACTTCCCAAAGAGAAAACATACCACACCAAGGAAAGTGACCACAACAGAGAGCCATCATTCTGCCGAATTTTCAGTGGTGTATTCAGAAAGAAAGAAGGAGAGTCAGGGTGTATCGCAATTACCACAATGCCAATCCAGTTCTCACTCCTTTGTTCTTCGTTTCAATAATTGTTGACTTGTGACTACTATGTATAAGACAATTTGTACCTACTGCATAGAATACAAAGATTTAAAAATGGTGTCTTTCTTCAAAAAGTTTACATGCAATGAATACAAAATTTAAAGGGCAAGATAATACACAATGAGTTCCAGAAGCATGTTTCTATCAGTGAGAAAAAATTCAAAAGAGAAAACAGATTCTTCCAGCTGGAGTCATCATGATAGCATCATTAGAAAGGGTGGACTCTGAGTTGTCCTTCTTCAAGGACAGGCTAAATATCAATAGGTACCCACAGTGAAAAAAAAAGTATACTAAATTGGGAAATCAAATGTTTAGACACAGAAAGTCATACAGCATATGTGGCAATGACAATAAAATCTGAAGGATAAGAATTCCTATTAGGCACATCCTCTTAAGTGCTTTATAGTGGAAGGCTTTTATAGCAATGGCTTATAATAGAGTCTACCACTTCCATTTAAATGCTGCTTGTAAAAGAGTTTATTTTCGTTCATTTTATTACTTATTAGTAGATAATTTTAATAGTTTAATGTACAACATGTATATATGGATACTGGTTATAACATAATAGCTAAACAAATATGAGAAGACAGTATCATTTTAATAGGCACATAGCTTCTGAATAGAAGATTTTATTATAATTATTTGAGAAAACATTGAATGATTCCTGGATTCTCCAAGTACTGTTCTACCACTGTATATGGCAGAAATTGAGACAGATAGATACAGTTGGATGAATAATTTTATGGACTGAATGTGTGTGTTCCCCCAAAATTCATATTTTTAAGGCCTAATTCCCAATGTGATTGTATTAGAAGGTGGGGCCTTTGGAAGGGGATTAGGTTTAGATGAGGTTGTGATGAGAGGGGTCTTCATAATGAGATTAATGTCCTTATAAGAAGAGATCAGAGAACTTGCTGGCTTCTCCCAGGCCTATGATGTGAGGACAGCAAGAAGATGGCCATCTCTACGTCAGAACAAAAGGGCCCTCACCAGGAACTGAATTGGCTAGCACCTTGATCTTGAACTTTCCAATCCCAGAATTGTTAGCAGTAACTGTCTCTTGTGTAACCTCCCCAGTTTACATTATTTCATTATAGCAGCCCACGCCGACCAGATAAATGGACAGACAAACTGACCTCCAAGCAATGTAAATGAAGATTTTAAAAAGTCTTTTGAGAATCTAATGTAGTCTTAAGGGATTATTTCTAGCTATATCCTAAGGATTGGAAAATTCAATTCAAAGGCTAGATGGGCCATTAATTAATTGATTCACTTATTTAGTCAGTAATTAAGAACCTTTCATATGCCAGGCCCTGAACTAGGTACTGGACAAAATACGCGCACACACACACGCACATGCACACACACACGCACACTTACACACACACAAAGAATATGATGTGTTTTTTCCCTCACCACATAGCAGGGGAGGCAGACATATAAGTATATAATTGTATTCAAATGTGCTAAAAGCTACCAGAGGGTTTGTTTACGGCTCTATGAAAGCAATGAATTATTCCTATGGGACTCCGGCGTAATTTCCTACAGAAAGGGACAATTGAATTGAGTCATGAAAGTCAAGAACTTAGAGAAGAAGATTGGATAAATCATTTCAGATATAAAGAACAGAGTATTCAAAGACATAATTCTTGATGGAGGCTAGTACATGATTGCCCTAAGGAACTGAGTGAGTGTTCAGAAGGGACAAAAATTTACACTAAAAATATATGATAGTGTAAGATGCAAGATAATTTAAGACTTTAAAAGAGCTAAGGATGAAAACAACAAATAGAGGTCAATATGGGGTTTTAAGCATGGGAGGAATAAGATTAAATTTGTCTTTTAGTAAAACTGCTTTGAGGTCAATGTGAAGAATTATAAAAAAGTAAAGAGAGGAGCTATGGAATAGTTCAGGTGGACAATATTAAAGATCTCACCTAAAGTAGTGGCAACAACAGTGGAAAGATGTTGGATTCAAGGAGATACCCAGAGTCTTAAGGGTTTAGTGAAAATTTACATGTGATAGTAAGAAATGTCAAGAATGACCCTAGTGTTTCCAACATGGAAGATTGGGTGGATATTAATTAATAAGTTTGTAAAACTGGTACACTGAATAAAATATATATATATATTTATATAGTCTATATATAGTATAGTATAGACAATGGTCACACAGGACTGCTGGTAAAGAGATGAGTTAGGGCAACAAGTTGTAGGCCTAGAAATCATCAGCTTAGAAGGCCTGAGCTGAAACTGAAGAGACTTGTCACTGAAAAAAATGAGTAAGAAAGGGAAAAAGAAGGGGTTTCAATAATAGTGTTGGGTAATAGAAAGAAAAACATGAATCTGTGAAGGAGACAAAGGAGAAAGATAGATAGTCAAATGTATAAAAAAGAATGGGAACTGAGTAAATATGATGGATTTATCCAGAGAAAATTTCCACATTTCATTTGTCTTCCTCTGAAGCTTTGTGGGCAAAAGGATGTCATTATTTAACAGTAAAAAATCTTTCCTCAGCAGGCTAAAGCCTGTTTTTAGCAAAATTAATAACAAATAGCAGACAGGAAAAGACTAATAAATAAAAATCAAAAGACAAGTACATACACACACATATATAGATAACCGTATGATAACCTTATTTACATAAGAAATTGATGTATACTTTATACAGCACAAGAAATGCAAATACTGGTCTATCAAACTTTATGTACTTATGAAATAATTCATTTACTTTTTCTAAATAAGTGCAAAAAAATTAATGGATTTTTTTCATCATTGAGGATGTGACATAATGCCACAGGAAATTATTTCTGGCTTAATTCACCAATTGTGCATAAACTCTCTTGGGTTCCAGGTCAATGTATAAAGCGTAGCACATTGTAAGTGATATGAGTCCTGTGGGGAACTGCAAGATTGGCTTCATTTCTAATGAGGGAAAAGTTTTATTTACAAGACAACTCAACTGTGAAACTGAAGTAATAACAAGAATTAATTTAAACACACTGCATTTAAAGGTCGAGTACTTTTAACAACCTCTCTCCATGTTCTGGAGACTAGGAAAAAAACTATGTCAAATAATATTCACAAATATTTACAAATGTCTCTTGTTGCTAAATTTTGAACTCCCACATGCAATATATTCTGTTGAAAAGTTTACATCTATTTTACTCAGTGGCAAAAAATTAAAACTGTCCTGGTCACAATCTATATGTTTTTACCAGACTTGCTTTCCCTCTTACACAATCTGACCAATTTGTCATCTGCTGTGAGCCTGACAGTCCAAAAGCTAAATAATCAAAGGAAAAATGAGTAGAAATCTGCATCTTAGAGTTACTCTGAGCTCAGGCCTGTATTTTAATATGATGATAGTCATATGTTCATTTCTGTGCCAGGATGGGTGGCTGGCAAATGTGGGAAGAATTTTGAGCTTAGATCAGCACTCCTGTGTTTGAGTCAGGATCTACTGTATTTACTATGTGACTTCAAGTGAGTCACTTAAAGTGCCTGAGGCTCAGTTGTACTCATCTGTCAAATGGAGAGAATTATAGCATTAGTCCACCTCACTGGATTAATGAGATGAATCAATGAAAGCACTGGTTCATTGTAAAGGACCATACAAATTTGTAAATAATTAGTCGTTTTATTTATACATTTTTGAGTTATCAGAGGCCTAGAAATAACCCAGAACATAACTAGATATACTCATTTGTGGAGAATTAAGGTGGGTCCAGATAACTGCTTTTAAGTCATAAGTTCTTCTCTTTAAAAAACAAAAGCAAACAAAAAAACCTCAGGGACTTAAAAGGAGGACATAAAAAATTATCCCTTAAAATGCTTAACATTTTCTTAGAATTATTTACATAAAAAAATTAAGATTATTTTCTATAATATGATGATTTTACTTTTATAATCTGTAATTGTACCTACTGATATATTCTTTTTTGCCTTTATGCTCTGCCCACATAATATGGCGTTTCATAGACAATGAATTTGCAATAACTATAGAACATATTGGAAAAGCAAAAATTTTAGATGTTACACACAATATAACTCAGTCAATGTAACTTTTTGGAAAAAATCTGCTCCTTTAAGTAACAATTCTATCATTTAAGTATTTTTATATAAAGGGAATTATATGGTAATTTTTTCCCCAAACTGACAAGTTGTTCTGTTTTTATTTCCTCCATGTGTATTAGGCATATTTGCTATTGTCTTCCTTTCCCTCAATTTGCTTCTCAATGGTGCTGAATGCACATACCTAGGTAGACATGCTTATACCACACGATCCTTACCCAAGGCCACAGCTAAGTAGACCACAGGTCAAATAAAGTGAAAGGGAAAAATAACTAATATTTCTTGAGTTGCTACCATATCCAAATTGTTACTCTTATTTTCAACTTTTCCCATGTAGTAACTCATTTATTCCTCACTACAACTATGTGGTAGGTAGTATTACCCAGCATTCTCATTCACAGATGAAGAAATTGAGTCACACAATCATTAAGGAAGTTTCCCAAAATTACAGAGCTAGGAAGATTTGAATCTGAGATTCAAACCCAGCCAGTCTGGCTATAGAGCTTGAGCTTTAACCATTGTAATATATACTATTCTTAAATAGTATCCCTTGTTACCATCTATAATTGAGGCTAAGCCAATTTAATTTTATTTTCTGTGTTAAGAATGTGAACTAATACACAGAGAGACTGCATCAGTTGAATTGTGCTGGGCACTAGAAGTGTGAGGTCATTTTGCATTGCAACAGAATGGAAAATTGGTAGTCCATGAAGAAAATCAGCACTGCATTATCATTCCTGTAAGGCCTCATAAAATCAGGCTTCAGAAAACTCCTCCATATTTCAAATTTCTGAGTTCATTATTGGAGTTAATTTGTGCAAGTCTCTGTCCTTTGTAATATAAAAATCCTTCCATTGAAAGCATCTAAAAAGTGTACATACAGTAGGAAAAACAAATAGCAAGAAAGTACAATATATCCAGAGAATAAAACTAACTGAAAGGGGAAACCAGATGGCTAAGACTAGTACTTGCTCCAGATATCCTCTTGGGACATTTGATGCACTGGTGGACTTGAACTTGGGGTTTTACAACCCAAAAGGGTACATGTAACAAGCCACAAAGCCCAGGGCCAGACGGAGGTAGAAAGTGTAAAAGGTGATATGCCCTGCTGTCACTCAATAAAACTGCATTGTCACTATACCAGAAATATGCTTGCAGTAGTACACACACATATAGATAGACACACACACACACACACACACACACACACACACAACTAACAATGCAAAGAAACAAGTCTGCCTCTAAATTTGGTGCTAATAGTGGGGAACAAAAAATATCACCTGCAGATTAATGACCAATAGTTATTCCAATTTCATATTACCAATTTTATATTACAAAGGTGATTCAAAACATGTTGACAATGTTTGGGAGTTTACAATGTTGTGTGATGCCCCAGACCCCAGCAAAGAGAAAAGCAAACTTTCTCAACTAGGAATTCAGCTTAATCCAAGTTTCAAATAATTCCCACATGATAAAGATCAAAGTCATGCTCATTTATATAGCACTATGAACAAAACCAGGAGAAAACAGATACAGAATCAGGCTCATAACACCATTAAGTAGCAAGATTATCAAAAAGAAGACATAAATTAGAGAACATGAAGAATTGTATGAGAACTATTTTAAAAACTGCTCATATGTAAGTTATTATTAAAAGAAAAAAACGAGAGCAAATGAATGACAAATACAAAATTAACAATGGTGATTATCTCAAAAAAAGAGATATGAGTAAAAAAAATGAGACTATGGAGATTCATGTAGGTAAGTTTAGAGTTTTGTTAATATTTTAATTATTGAGTTGGCTGGTAGGTTCAATGATTTTCACTATATTAATAATTAATTAAGACAGAGATATCTATGACAGGAATATATCACAACCTAAAGATGATGATTAGTCTAATCCAGTTCTGAATACTTGAGGGTCAAAAAACAATAAATAAATAAATATTTTAAACTCTATTACTGTAATTTACTACATTTATATAATACAGAAAAAAACTATAAAATAATCTCAAAACCCTACCAACCTAAAAATAGAAGAAAAATTCCTTAATCTGATGAATGAAATCTATAATAAATCACAAATAAAAACAAAAAACAACCAAAATCTGTAACATCATACTTAGTGCTATCCCTTTAAGAGATCAAAACAAGACTCTGTTATTTTCTTAAACATCCTTCGCAAAATAGTAAGACAAAACAATAGAAATGGAATGTAAGAGGTTAGAAACAAAATTCTCTTTGCATACATTACAGATAAACTATCAGAATAGGGTGGAAAATCTACAAATAAAACAGAATTAATTAGATAGTCTAGCAAGTTTGATAGATAAAACATCATCACATGAAAATAAATTGCATTTAGCCACAAAATACAGAACATGTAATTTTTAAAAGACAACATATATGGTATCTCAATATATAGGTTTTCCTTAAAAATATAACAAAATATATCAAATTTATATAGATAAAATAACTTTTAAAAACATAAGACATAAAAGACCAGAATAGGGAGATAGGCCATTCTCATGAATTGAAAGCTTCAATACCATAAAAATGCCAATTCTCCCCAAATTTGAAATTGATGTATTGATTTAAATGCAGAGAAAACTCCTATTATTATGATTTTCTATTTGAAAGCCCTAATCTATAATTTATATGAAAGATCAAATGGCCAAGAATGACAAAGTCATTTCTAAAGTAGAATAAAGGTGAGGATATGGGGGATTTGCACAATGATGAAAGCTTATTAAAAAGCTTTGGTGATTTCGACCATGAGAGATGCTAATGCCATGACAGATGAATTTAACAAGGAACAGAATAAAAAGTCCCAAAATATATACATATGCACATACAGACACACACACACACACACACACACACACACACACACACACACACACAGCATTCAGTAGGGAAATGCTATTTATTGCTCTAGGCTAACTGGTCATCCACAGGGGAAAATATGACACTACCTTTTCCCCTCCCACCATGCAGAAAAAACAAAAACAAAAAAGAACACCAGATGGATCACCATAGATGAAAAAACAAAGCTGGAGCTGAATTATCCAATTCAGTAGTCCATAGCGACATGATGCAAATTAAAACCTACGTTAATTAAAATTAAATTTAAAAATTCGGCTACTCAGTCACACTATCCATAATTCCAGTGTTCAATGGCTACATATAGCTAGCAGTTATTGTTTTGGATATTGTCAAATATAAAATATTTCTACCAGTGCAGAAAAATGTTTCGAACAGTGCTGGGAGATATTTAGGATAGAATCTTTATGACCTTGATGTTGGGAAGCATGTACTAAACAAAAAACCACAAAGTAAACAAACAAAAAATCACAATGGAAATATAGCTAATAAGTTTAGCTAATTCATAATCACATATCAAAAAAGACTGTGTAGAAAATGAAAACGAAGGCTTTAATCTGAAAGGTTTCTGAAATACATGCAGAATATACAGAATATATAACACATATAAAACAATTAGAAGATAAAACAATCACAGAAAAATAGACAAAAGATTCATGAGGTGCTTCATTCTCGTTGATGAAATAAAAGATAATTGAAGTCAAACATTTTATCAATATATGTAGGACTGAAATGTTTGACCAAGTTCTGTGTTCTATTTTAAATTACCAAGAGTACTCGGGGAACAACAACCTACGTTTTTTCAGCCTGGAAGAAAGACTACAGTGGCTTACACAGAAGCCCAGCAACATATAAGTAGGTTGAGAATAATGTTTGAACATGTTATTAAATAGATACTTCTAATGTTAGCTTATCCTTCATTAAAAGATAGTTTTTCTAGCTCACTTAATAATTTACCTTTACCTTATTTTGAGCACACAGCAGAATACTTGGGAGGCCCACAGTGCATTCACACCACGTTTCACTCTGAGTGTAGAAGTTGACAGTAACTAAGGCATTAATTTTATATTTACTTCAATTAGAAGAATCAGAGACCACAAAAGTGTGCGTGATTGGAGGGTGGAATGGAAAAAGTAGACAGAATTATAAACATATGAGGAAATACTGTAAATATAACTAAAATGCATAATTTCCTCAAAACAAAGATAGATTTCCATCACTGGAATTCATGAATAAGTATTACTCAGCACCATCCCACATCCCCACCCCAACCCCCCTACCTAAATAAAACCGTAGACATGATTTTTTAAAATCATACTTTCTTAGCATATAAAATTTGAAGTCCTTGAAGTGTTTATAAAGACTTTATATTTTAATAATTGTTAAATGTTAAAAAATAATGTTTGTATGCCTTAAAATTCAAAACAAAACTATGTTCATACCACATAATCTAAGTGTTTTGCCTCTGAAGTTCCTTGTAATCTAAGAATGACAGGAAAACAATTAGTAGCCTGGCAATTCTGGTACAAATTGAAGGGCATTAAATGGTGCACAGAGAAGTAAGGCATTCAAATCAGATTAAATATTAGGAAACATATGACAATGACTACTAATAATTAGGAAGAATCCACACCATAAACAAGGATCCTTGCTCAATGGATGGAGAGTGAATGATGGGTGGTAGCCTATAGTCCAGGGAATCCAGAAATCATCACAGCCATGATCACTTTACAGTAGTCAGACTTCAGCTTTCGGATGGGGTTCAAGGACTGCTCTATCCAGGAAAGAAGACTATAAACAACATGGCAGTGCTACAATACTCACAGGGATTGGGAGACAGATTTCTACAATCAATAATCAGTGTGAGGAGCAGTCATGAGTTAACCCTAATAACAGAGGAACATGAAATTCAAGCTCATGAATGCAGGCATTTAACTTACCAAAAAAATAGCAGTCTAGAGAACAGTGGTGGAGACCCATGGATAAACCATAGTGCACCAAGTCTTGCCTTAGACTTGTTATTTAAAAACACTGCTAAAAATGCAACTGTCCAGTGGGCTGTTTAATTATATATTCTGCCTCAAAAAAAGATTGTATTTGGGCTTGAAAATACAATTGATGGGCCAACTTTGCATAGCTAAGGAAAATAGAAGGCCATAAGCTCGGACATTGGTGTGAAGGATAATTTTTTTAAGTACTACTGTGATTAATAAAAACTATAAATATTTCTCCCAGTTTGGAGTGGGTGAACTCATGTGCCTAATTTTATTGGTTTCTGATTAATACTCCCATATGCTTCCCTTTTGAGCCATGTTCTTATCGTACATTTGATTTCTCTTCCTCACAAATGCTTGCCTCCTACTTCCTCCTCTGCTACACAGGCTCTCAATCATTTCTTTTGCCAATTTCCTATTTTCTGTTCCTTCCAGTGGAGACACACAATGTCTACGCTATCCTGCTGTCTCGAGGATGAAAATACAGGCACCATTCTTTTCACGAAACCAAGAACAGGAGTGACTAGAAAGGCCTTAGTCATCAACTTTCCAGGCTGACAGAAATGCAAAAATAAATACTATGACTTCCAAATACCACTGCATGCCCTGAACACACAAGCAAGGTCAATTGGTTGATACCTACTTCCTTAAAATTAATTCTAATTTTTTTGCTGTCTTCCTCTTTTGTAAACATACCTCACTGTAAATTTTTTTTTCAGAGGAAAGGGTTTTTATATGAAGCAGTAGGTAATTCCCAAGTCAATCAGTTTTGCTTTGCATCTAGAATCTCAACAATGAATCTACAATACTCAGAGTTCTTCACTATGGCAAAACAGAATAACATGAATATCCAAACCTTTTTCATAGGCAGGGAACAATGGTTGCAAAAAGCAAAATCCACACAGTGCAGTTTTTAAGAAAAAGAGGAGAAAAAAAAAACCACACAGTATCAACACAGAACTCAGCTGCAGAGTGTTGTTAGGCAGCTGCCCTCTCTGTCTCTATAAGGAACAATTCAGTTGCTATTAGCATCATCTAAGTGCTAACGTGTGGAATCTGGGGTTAGAATGTCTAGTCTCAAACACCATCTCTATTATTTACTAACTTTGTGAATTTTAGTGAGTCACTTAAAGCCTCAGTGCCTTGGATTGTTTTCTGTAAAAACTGAAGTAATAATGGTCCCTATCTCAGGTGTATGGATTAAAAAAGGTGACACATGTAAAGTGTTTAAGATAGTGCCTGGGACAGTAGATAATCAATGTAAATCATTATTATAATTGCTTATTTAGAACATATGTCCCATTCTTCTCCTTGCCTAGCAATTTATTCCACTTGCACATGCCAACAGAGCCACCAGTTCAGAGTTAACAGTATCTCACAACTGTAGTGCCCATAACCTCTGGCATACTCAGTCCATGTCATGTGAGGTACACATGACCACCTTCACCTGGTCTGTGGGTAGGAACAGATTATCTTAAAATCTGTCAGCAGGAAGTCAAAGACCTGCCTTTCTGGTGTGAATGTTTCTAATTTATAGATTTATAAACATGTAAATGACACAAAGAATTCACATTACATGTATTTTCCCTCTCAAGATAATATTAAAATAACATTATGAACAAATGAAGCCAGATGAGGAAAAATGTTCTGCTTCTAAGGTGATGAGGTCACTGTATGCCTGCAAACCTTTTAATTGAAACCGGATAATCACTTTTCATGGATTCAGTAAGATTAATTCACTGGGTAAAATAATGGGCTAAATAACCTCCAAGATTCTTTGATTGCACGATTCAATTTTACACAGAGATTGTGTAATACAATGCATGATATTAAATTGAAATGAAGTCTTTATTGCAAATCAGGAATGTAAATTTCCCTTTGTTTGACTCCTACAAATCCAAAAAGGAATCTTGTAAATCAGATTAGGTAAAGGCTAAATGTTCATTCGAATAAAAACTATTTGGTAAAATGTTCATGTTAAAGTGTGAAGTCACTCTAAAAGGTTAAATGCTCACATTAGATACATTTAACATTTAGGGCTATTAAAATAGTTGAGAAATAAAATAGAGTCATGGAAATTTTCTTTATAATCAGGTGTTGCAAATGGGAAAATACAGGAGCAGAAAAATCACAAAATTATATCAGCATTAAACTTTATATAGAAAACGCAGCCAATTGCCAAGTAAAACATAATTTCTATTATCAAAGATATCATTTATTATGCCAATATTTTACGGAAAATAGGTGATTTCCACAAAATTCAGAAAAAAAGTGATTTTCAGGCAGGGAGAAGAGGATGATAGTGCTAGTGATACCATTTCTCTTTGAAAGTTCTTGATCATAATATCTATGTGTACTTTATTACCAGAACAACTATTGGAAACGGAAGATCACACACCTTAAGAGTGTGATTAACAAACAATTAAGACTACAAACTATGATGTATTTTGGACTTGGAAGGGAGCATTCTACTTTACAAGAATTAGTTTCCCATAATATTTATTTTAATTACAGTGGTGAGTGCAAAAACTGTGGAAGGAAAATTCCAGCTATTTCAGCAGATTGGCAAACATTAGCCAAAATTTAGGAAACTTACTCCTATGCTTCTTGAATACAGGTGACTTTTACTCATCTTTTTTGCCCCATTATTGAATAGAACGTTATTTGTAATTTCACAGGTCTCTCATGCTAGAAAGAATGAAATGAGATTATATGGAAACATAGATAGAAAAAGTATTACATTTATAATAGTATAGCAATTTATGCTAGCCATGTGGTTTAACAAATGTTTAAGTACGTGGTATGTGGGATAAAGCTTTAGAACAAGGTGAGAAAAATGATTTAGGGATGCTGAGTTGTGTAGCTGATAAGCATATAAATGGTACTGATAAGCAGTGTAGCAATATAAGCTATAATACTATGGCTCTAAAAAGAAAGATAATTTGGGATAAAGATATCAGGAAATGATTTCAATATTCACTATTCCTGCAATATAATCTAAATGTCTTTGCCCCTTATGAGGAAAAAAAAACTCAAGGATACAAAAAAATTGAGTCACAGTTAACAATAGTAAAATATAGCTATATTTCAGTAATTAAAAGCTTTTACCAGGAAATGAGTTCAAAAATTTAAATTGCCTCTATGATGTGGCAATGCACAGAAATAAGGAAAATCAAGATGTCAGTAAAACAAATGCTTTTTCTAATTATTAAAACTCCAAAGTTTGGGAAGAAAGAGTGATTCTATCAATAATAAAACAACAATAGTGATTTCACATTTACTGCCTAATGATGTTCAATTTAAATTATTTGAGTCGATTAGGCCAGACCTTAGGTCTCAACAATTAATTCAGACCTCAATAATTTCAGTTATTATTTTGCTATTATTATATCCATATTAAAATTTTAATAAACCATATAATTCTGATATTTGTGATTTTTATTATGAAAACAAGCGCAGAGCCTACTTCGACATGCATTGTAAATCACCTGAGATCAGGTCACATGTTTAGAACTGTGAGAATAAAATCCAAGTTTAAGTACTCTTCAGGTATGTACAGGGCATTATAAATAATATTTTCAAAATTCTAGTTTGTCTATAAAGACAAAGATCTTTCCTTAAGGCAATGTTTCCTAAATAGTCTTCCATAAAATACCAATGTCCTAAAATCTTCTACAAAAATGGCATCAATAATCACATAAGCTTGAAAATTTCTAAACCTAGCAATTGTCTGAATATAGACTATAGATTGGAGCCTAGTGCCTGTCCAATATCAAGTAGGATTTTATGAGTATATTAATAAAACGGATGAGAAGGGTGCATATATTTAATAAGAAGGAATCATTTTGCCTTTATAATTTTTACAAATGTACTCTAATTTAGGTGATATATTCCCATGACTAAAGACTCACAGAATAGAGCAGGAATACAAGCAGATTAAATTTTTTATTCCCTATTTTGCAAAGAAATGAGGCTAAAAATAATACTAAAATACAGAAGTGATTTTATTCATACACCACAATATTAACTCAAAATATTATTCACTGGAAAAATCTAGATTATGTTATACTGTTAGCCAGCCACCTATCCAAATAATGCATTTACGCTATAACATATAACAAAACCTATAAAACCTCACTTATCTTAAGTAAATTCTCAGGCAGAATATGATTTTTAATGGGGTAATGATGCTAAAAAATATGCTATTAACTGCCATAATAGAAATAAGTTCTAGTAACCTTTTAAATAATGAATGTTGGGAAAAATGTGAAAATAAATTACATGTATCATAGTTCTCCTCATATAATAGGCTCACTCTGGAAATAAAATTCCTTTAATTTCCATGACCTATACTTTTTTCCAGAATAAAAGTTACCCAGTTCTCTTGTGTCATTCTGTTGAACATTCCCTATTTTTACCCTCACAAACAGCTGACTTGAGACACTTGAATAACTAAGGAATTGAGTCAAGCAAAATCCTAAGGCGATGGGCCTATTTTTGCACAACTGAAGGCAAATAAGATAACTTAAAAATCAACTGCACATATTTCTTTTTTGTATTTTAAAAACTAATTCTTTTTTTATTAAAAAAGCTAAAATATTTATCAAATTTAAAATAAATGCAGAAAAACATAAGAACTTACAGAAAATAAATGCAAATTTAGGTATGTTTAATGGCCTACCCAGAATATTGCATGACAAATGATTTTTTAATTGTTATCATTCTTTAATTCTCTTTACTTTTGCTCAAAGTCAATGACAAAATGCTTGGGTAAGAAGTAAAAGAAAATGTTTCCACAAAATGATGTTATTTAGGTACTGTCAGGGTGCTTCCCACCTTCAGTAAATACTTTAATAAATGCCTTCAATTTTTCTGTTATATGCCAAGAAAAATGCTGTACAATAAAACACCTACTCCATGTATTTATAACTAAAGGTTACAGGCCCAAGGTGGTAAAGCAACAAGCCAGTTACCTCAGGCATCATGCTGTTTGTGTGTCCTTTATGCTTTTCTTTGTCAGGCTGGCTTCTGGGAACTGTTAGGTTCCCATGACTATTATCTGTAGTTTCCCCTTCCAGTGAAATTGAAGGGCATTACAGGGAACAGTCACCAGGTCCTGGCCAGAGTTGATGCCAAGATCCAACAGAGTCAAGTGATGGAGCAGGAACCAGGCCAGGGTGCAAGATAGGTAACAAACAGGTTCCAGCAGACTCTCTTTTCAATTTCCTGGCACTTTGGAGTTAGTAAGGATAAATTCACATCTCTCATGAATAAAGTGAAGTCCAGAAAACACTGTCAGCTACACAAGCATCTTTATGCTGTTTAGGACACTATTTCAGCAACAGGCCAATAACAGATTTCTGAGGCAATGGCAACAATATCCAAATACTCCAAGAGTATGAACAGTCACCAAAGGGAAGAATGCCTGGTAACTTTGCTGGTATTATTATTGATGCAGGTGTGTTGCTATACAGTGTGATAGTTTCACAGATGCAGGAAACACTTAGCATCTGAGTGTTTGCCAGTCTTGACACATAGGCCTCTCCATGTGCCTCTTTTTAATCTTATCAGAAAATTCCTCTTACAAGAGATTGTAAAAAAAACAAAAGGTAAAAGTCAATGTCAAATGAAGAGCAAGTTTTTAATAGTAATCACTGCCATAACTGAAATAAAATTATACTGAAAAATTGGTGAACGATGTGTGGTTTTTTTTTCATTTTCAGATTTCTAGGAATTTGAGAGACTTCTCACGGATGTGAAAAGGAGAGACCTGTTCTCTTAGTCTGTTTGTGCTGCTATAAAAACAATACCACAGAATGAGTAATTTATAAAGAATGCAAATTTATTTCTTATATTTATAGAGGCTGGGAAGTCCAAGATCAAGGTGCAGGCAGGTTCAGAATCTGGTGAGAGGCCCTGTCTCTCCTTCCAGGATAGTACTTTGTTGCTGCGTCCTACTGAGAGGAAACATTGCGTCCTGAAATGGCTGAAGACAGAAGAGCAAGAGGCCCAAATGCTGCACGGAGCCTCTTTTATTTATTTATTTATTTATTTTTATTTATTTATTTTTTGAGATGGATCCTTGCTCTGTCGACCAGGCTGGAGTGCAGTGGTGCGATCTCGGCTCACTGCAAACTCCACCTCCCGGGCTCAAGTGATTCTCCTGCCTCAGCCTCCCAAGTAGCTGGGACTACAGGTGCCCACCACCACGCCTGGCTAATTTTTTTTTTTTTTTTTTTTTTTTTTTTTAGTAGGAATGGGGTTTGACCATGTTAGCCAGGATGGTCTCGATCTCCTGACCTCGTGATCCACCCGCTTCGGCCTCCCAAAGTGCTGGGTGGGATTACAGCCTTGAGCCACCATGCCCGGCTGGATCCTCATTTATATAAGGGCCTGACTCCTATTCATAAGGCAGGAACCCTCACAAACTAATCACCTCTTACTGGTCCCGACTCATATTGCTATCACAATGGCCATTAATCATCAACATGTAGATTTTGAAAAAGACACATTCAAATTACGGCAGCTATACAGGCAAAGAATATATAATTTTTCAAAATAAAGTTTGATTATGTAATGAAATAAAGAATCATGGCACTTCAACCATATTATATTATTCTGATGCCTTTAATAGCATAAAGAACACATACAAAACACTTCGTTTGAATCATTAATGATTTGATTACAAGAGATGGTCATTTTCTGGAGCCAATACAGTGCATGTAAAAATGTTTCTTGGCCAGGCACAGTGGCTCATGCCTGTAATCCCAGCACTTTGGGTGGCTGAGGCAGGTGGATCATCTGAGGTCAGGAGTTAGAGACCAGCCTGGCCAACATGGCGAAACTCCATCTCTACTAAAAATACAAAAATTAATAGCACATGTAGCCACAGTTACTCAGGAGGCTGAGGCACACGAATAGCTTGAACCCAGGAGGCGAAGGCTGCAGTGAGTCGAGATCGCACCACTGCACTCCAGCTTGGGTGACAGAGTGAGACTCTGTCAAAAAAAAAAAAAAAAGGCTCTCATTCCAATAGACTATCTGGGAGCACATGCTGCATCAGGATCAGAATGGACCTGTCATTTGTATATCAAATTTGTTTCATTCGGTAAGGGTTTTAACAGTGTTACTGTTCATAATCTTAGCATGTTCTTCATCATCTTGTATCTCTAGTTCTGCTTTTATGAAAGAGACCATATTCATACAGAAATACCTCATTTACATAACTTTTTGTTTGAATTGTTGGTCATAGACTCTTAGCTTTGGTAAATTACAACTTAAATATTGATTGTCTAAAACACAGATGTTCCATGCTCTTGACCAGACCATAAAAGTTCTCAATTAACAATGAAGTATTTCATTTTTTCTTCATCATCTCTCTCCTATAAAATACCATTGAGTGGGTAGTATGTATCTTCTACCTGATAGTCTTCCCACACTTCCTTGATTGTGTATCTTTTCAGAGTCAAGAAAGAGATATTTTGTTGCCAATGCATGGATCAGATTCTCTTGTCAACTGCAAAGAAAAGTTCCACTCATACTGTAATACTATTAGACACTATAAAACTTTGCTGTACACTGAATATATATGTCCCCAAAACTAATATATTGTAACCTAACTCCCAAAGTGATGGTATTTGGAGATGGAGCCCTTGGGAGGTGATATAATTTGGTTGTGTCCCCACCCAAATCTCATCTTGAATTGCAGTTACCATAATCCTCACATGTCATGGAAGGGACCTGGTGGGTGGAATTTAACCATGGGGTGGTTTCCCTCATGCTTTTCTCATGATAGTGAGTGAGTTCTCACAAGATCTGATGGTTTTATAAGGGGCATTTCCCCTTTTGCTCAGCACTTCTCTTTCCTGCCATCATGTGAAGAAGGAAGTGTTTGCTTCCCCTTCCACCATAGTTGTAAGTTTTCTGCGGCCTCGCAGCCATGTGGAACTGTTAGTCAATTAAACCTCTTTCCTTTATAAATTACCCAGTCCAGAATCTGTCCTTATAGCAGCACGAGAACATATTAATACAGTAAATTGGTACCAGGAGTGGGGTGCTGCTGTAAAGATCCCCAAATATGTGGAAGCGACTTTGGAACTGGGTAATAGGCAGAGGTTGGAACAGTTTGGAGGGCTCAGAAGAAGACAGGGAGATGTAGGAAAGTTTGGAACTTCATAAAGACTTGTTGAATGGCCTTGACCAAAATACTGATAGTAATATGTACAATGAAGTCTGGGCTGATGTAGTCTCAGATGGAGATGAGGAACTTTTTGGGAACTGGAGTAAAGGTCACTCTTGCTATGCAAACAGACTGGTAGCATTTGCCCCTGCCCTAAAGATCTGTGGAACTTTGAACTTGAGAGAGATGATTTAGGGTATCTGGTGGAAGAAATGTCTAAGCAGCAAAGCATTCAAGAGGAAGCACAGCATAAAAGTTTGGAAAATATGCAGCCTGATGATGTGATAGAAAAGAAAACTCCATTTTCTGGGGAGAAATTCAGGCAGGCTGTAGAAATTTGCATAAGTAACAAGAAGCCAAATGTTAATCACCAAGACAATGGGGAAAATGTCTCCACAGCATGCCACAGACTTTCATCGCTGCCCCTCCTATCACAGGCCAGGTCCAGGAGGGAAAAATGGTTCTGTGGTCTGGGCCCAGGGTCCCCCACTCTATGCAGCCTCAGAATGTGGTACCCTGTGTGTCAGTTGCTTCAGCTCCAGCCATCGCTAAAAGGGGTCAAGTTACAGCTCAAGCCACTGCTTTAGATAGGGCGAGCCCCAAGCCTTGGCGTCTTACACGTGGTTTTGCACCTGTAACTGCACAGAAGTCAAGAATTGAAGTTTGGGAACCTCTGCCTAGATTTCAAAGGATGTATGGAAATGCCGAGATGTCGAGGCAGAAGTTTGCTGCAGGGGCAAGGCCCTCATGGAGAAACTCTGCTGAGGACAGTGAGGAAGGGAAATGTGGGGATGGAACCTCCACACAGAGTCTCCATCGGGGCACCGCCTGGTGGAACTGTGAGGAGAAGGCCACCATCCTCCAGACCCTAGAATTGTAGATCCACTGACAGCTTGCACCATGTGCCTGGAAAAGCTGCAGACACTTAATGCCAGCCAGTGAAAGCACCTGTGACAGGAGCTGTATCCTGCAAAGCCACAGGTGAGGAGCTGCCCAAGGCCATATGTGACCATGTTTTGCATCAGCATGACCTCTATGTGAGACATGGAGTCAAAGGAAATCATTTTGGAACTTTAAGGTTAAATGAATGAACTATTGGATTCCAGACTTGCATGGGGCCCAGAGCCCCTCTGTTTTAGCCAATTTCTCCCATTTGGAATGGGTGTGTTTACCCTATTGTATCTATTAATAGAAAGTAACTAACTTGCTTTTGATTTTACAGGCTCATAGACAGAAAGGATTGCCTTGTCTCAGTTGAAACTTTGGACTTGGACTTTTGAGTTAAGGTTGAAATGACTTAACACTTTGGGGGACTGTTAGAAGGGCATGATTTTGTTATAAAATGTGAGGATATAAGTTTTGAGATGGGCCAGAGGCAGAATGATATGGTTTGTCTGTGTCCCCATCCAAATCTTCTCTTGAACTGTAGTTCCTAGAATCCCCCACATGTCATGTTAGGGACCTAGTGATAAATAATTAAATCATGAAGCAGTTACCCTCATGCTGTTCTCATGATAGTGATCGAGTTCTCACAAGGTCTGATGATTGCATAAGTGGCTTCCCCCTTCGCTGAGCACTCATTTCTCTCTCCTGCTGCCATGTGAAGAAGGACATGTTTGCTTCCCCCTTCTACCATGACTGTTAAGTTTGCTGAGTCCTCTCCAGCCATGCAGAACTGTGAGTCAATTAAACATCTTTCCTTTATAAATTACCCAGTCTCAGATATGTCCTTATAGCAGCATGAGAACAGATTAATACAGGAGATGATTGAGTCCTAATGGTAGATACCTCATGAATGGAATTAGTGACCTTATAAATGAGACCTAAGAGAGCTCTCTCACCACTTCTGCTATGTAAGCACACAGGTATAACACTGCTATCTGTGAATCAGAAAGCAGGCCACCAGACACTGAATCTGCCACCAGCTTGATCTTGGACTTGCCAGCCTCCAGAACTGTGAAAAAAAAATTGTGTTGTTTATAAGCACTCAGTCTATGGTACTTTGTTATAGCAGCCCAAGCTAGGACAAAACATAAACAAGACATACTGTCATTCAGCTCAACTGCCTCACAGTTAGAAACATATATTATCTCAATTATGTATTTCAGAACAGTGTATTACTATTAAAGAAACACGTTTTTAAACATGTATGCTGGAACATCATTACAGCACTATCTTTATGTTTCCTATCAGAGGGCTAGAGTTAAGAGCTAAACTGTCTATAATGAGGGACTTCCTAACTCTTCTGGAATAGGTTTAAGATGAACCCTTACATTGAATTTCAAGTTATAATGAAGTTCTGGTATTCTAATGAACAAATTATTAAGGTTTTTTTTGAGTAGTCATTCTCATTAAAGTATAATTGGAGCTGAATACACCTCTTTAATAAGGTATAATCAAGCACTCAAAAAAGAAGAAAACAATATTCAAATCCCAATTATTTAAATGTAACCCTAATTCAATAATTATCTGTGTCTATTTGATTTCTTGATACTAGCATCAATCCCAACATACAATTTATAAGGTTAACACTTTTGAAAGAGGAATTGTACATGTGGAAGAGTCACAAAGTAAAGTATTGCCAACATTTTTCTCATTCTTTTAAGTTTGCCTTTTGTTTTTTGAAAAAGATTTCCAGGTGTAATTCTGACATTTAAAAATATGATGATTTTTATTTTTAGCTACCACATTTTAAAAGAACAGAATCCTAAATATTTCTCTTGCTGCCCTGTAATTTCTCTCTTCTATAAATTGTGTGTGCAAAGAGGGAGGATTCCACTCTACCTCGGAAGAAAACATGTAATATAAGGGAAAATATGGATTTTGGAAATAAACCTTTGTTTCCTAACCAGCCAGAGCCATTCTAAATTGGAGATAGCAATGCCCAGGTAATAGAGATGCTGAGGTTGTCAGGGAATGATTAAGGATTGCATGAGGTGATGCTGTAAAAACTCTGTAACTGTATGTTTGGCACACACTTAGCACCAAGTTTGTTACCTGCCTTCTCTCCTTTCTCATTCCAAAAATCTGAGTGTATAAACTGGATTTTGCAAATCCTTCAGACACCAAGAGAGTACCAAAAAATCATATATTTAAATTTAGGTTTTATAGACCACAAGCGGTTATCTGAATGCATAACTGAGCAAGCATTAAGTATTACTGCTTCAAGACAAGAGCTAATAGAATAAGAGGCCTAATAAAATGTAGAACAATTTAAAATAGCTCATAGATTTTTAAAAGTTGGATGGAAATGTTACAAAATTGGCTCAGAAACCAACACCCTAAATATGGCACTTTGACATTCAGAAGGATCCACAAGGTCTCTCTCACTTTCTCCACCCTCCACCATCCTCAACCCTCCAACCCCCTATCTACCTATGCCCCCCGACCCACATCTCTCAATCTTCTATGTCTCCCAAAGCACAGAATGAAGTTGTTCTCTAAGTCGCTTATCTGCCTAAAGTCCAGATATGCCAAAGAATAAAACAACTACTGCAGGTCCCTTCCCTGAGTTTTCATTAACTGAACTCATATTGCAGAAAGGAAGACTGAAGTCTGTCAACAAACCAGGACGGATTTTTGTCAACAACCATTATCGGTTCTTTGGTACAAACGGACTTTGTCCCAGGACACTGTATGTTCTTCAAGCCTATTGAATTCCCTAAAAATCATTTAGTATCTCCCTAAAAGCATCCATCCTTTGCCATCTTCCATTCCCCTAGGAAGTAGGTTATATAAGCATCTGTACCACATAGGGATACCGGGAACTCACTCGGTGATTCTTCCCTGGGCATGACAATAAATTGTATGCCTTTTCTCCAACTAATCTGTCTTTTGTGAATTGATTTTTCAGCAAACCTTCAGAGGGTAAAGGGGAAGCTTCCCTTGGCCCCTACATAATATTCACACTTAAAGTAACTGACCAAATATGCATAATAATTTTGATCATAAATACTGAAGTATCCCAATGAACAGTCATAATTAGGTTTCTAGGCATTTAAAATATTTGTTGGTGACACTTTTTTTAGAAGTGTTTCTTCCCCACCTTTATTTGGAACATTTGAAAATAAATGTAGATAACGGATTCAGGTATCTTAATGAGGTAGAGTAACAAATTTGTGTTATTAACAAAAATAAAATGAAAACAAATAAAAATACACATTTCCTCATACAAGTATTTTTTTCTTAAATTAACAGCATATATTACTTAGAAATTTAATGGTAAAAGGGAAACAATTTTTTATAAGCCTTAGATCTGATGTCTATAAATCCTCCTGTACCAGGACATTACTGTGTTTAATTAATGCTCTCCCCATGGCACAAGAGGCCAGGTTACATTCACACAGATGCTAATGCGGCCTACAGGGAACACAGACTTACATTTTCTTAGATTATCTGTGGCTTCCTCTGAATCATTCACCTTTTCCTATCTACTTATTAGTTTGTCATATCCCTTAGTGATACTCAAACAATTCTGCAGTTTCTGCCCCTTTTTCACTTCAGAACAAGAAGCTGGTATGAAGTTGCATTGATTCTTTCTTTTTCTTCTGGAAGCTGTCACTGCTTTATGAAAATGCTTTCAAGCACTTTATTGTTACATCAAAGACACTGCAACAAGTAATGGGTAATGAGGACCTATATGGATATTAAGAACTGATACTACAGGAAACAGAGAAAATTACAAATGACTGAATATTAAGAGGCAAGGTAAAGAGAAAAAGAGTTGTGGGCAGAAAGTGACAAAGAAACAGAGAGAGGATGCAGAAAGTTATAGTTCCATAAAAAATCAGTATATTCAATAAAAATTTGCAGAACCATTTGTACTAAGAGCTAACTCAACTTTTTAAAAACATGGCACAATGCTTTGAATAGAAAAGAATTAAGCCACATGATAGAACAAATTGGGATGTTCACTTTTATAAACTTCTGAAAGTATATTCCTATCTATGTTCTAGCTCAAAAAGTTTTTCATTTTAAGAGTCCATTTCTGGATATTATTGGATAAAGAGGATCTACTTACTAGTTTTGTAGACTTATGTCAATTATTTGATACATCTGTTTCCTAATGCTGTTACAAAAATGGAAATAATAACATCTACTTCATTTGGCTACTGCAAGTTTTTAATGAGATAAGGTATGAAAAGCTCTGGGGACACTCTTGGTACTTAGTTGTATGCTCAGTATCTAGTATTTATTATAAACAGTGATTAGAAAAAAATATTAGAGTTATATCCAGCATTCCCTCATGTTATGAAAATAGAGACATGGGGGAGAAAACAGTCTCTGCCATCAATGCAAAATACTCAGTTTTATCCAGTGAATAAATATCCTAGATCAGTGATTTTCCACATGGATTATATTTTAGCCTCACAGATTACTGAGTAAAATATAACTTTTAAGTAGTTAATTAGTTGATTCAAATGTTTCATCAAGTTTAAGAATCAGCGTCCCAGATGCTTACAAAAAATATTCATAGACAAATGGTTATAGCATTATATAAATTATATAGAGTAATATGATCCTTATTCTTCAGCAGACTTTTAATTTATCTATTGGTGTACTTTTGATTTTGAGTTCTGTGGCACTTACTACGACTAGCTCCTCTCTTAACTAAAGACTATCCATCTCTCAGCTCCAAAATAAATTTCACTTGTTTCATTAATGTCTTCTTTGATTCCTCCATCAGAAAGCAAAGTATCTTCTGAAATTCTAGAGCAGGATTTAATAATTTTTTTTTTCTCTAAAGTGCGATAGTAAAACTGTCAGGTTTTGCAGGCTAAGTCACAACTACTCAACTTTGCCCTGCAGCAGGAAGGCAGCCACAGAAAACAGGAAAACAAACAGGTGTGGATATATTCCAAAAACACTTTATTTACAAAATCAGGCAGTGGTCTGGATTTGGCCCAAGGGGCTATACTTTGTCAACCTCTATCCTAGAAAATCATGTTCTCTATCATTAATTTTGACACTAATCCTACTCTGGGTTGTGCCTTTAATTAGTGGGTGTGTGTATATATATAATCACACACACACATATATATATATTCACACATACACACACGTACACACACACACAATATCTCTAAAATTTCAGTCTCCTTTGGAGGATGACAGACAGAAAAGATGTCTTATACATATTTGTCCAGGTATTTTTGCAGAGTACTTCATATAGCAATGCTTAATTATTTACTGATTTGAATTGATTTAAGGTATGGGAGCCAAGATCTAGTTGTCATTAGCATCTTACCTGCACTGAAACATCGGCTGAGGCACTGACTCTTGGGGTGCTATAATGGCCAGCCTCACCTTGCTGAGTCCCTATTCTCCCTATCTGTAAATGAATATAATCTATCTTACATGACAATATGAGGATTCAAAATATGTATAAAACAGCAAACACACAGAAGACACTTAAATGACATCAATAATTATGTTGGCATGTGTTTTAATTGGAACAAATATCTCTAAGTCATTATAACAGAATGATTATTGTCTTGCTCTTTGTGGTAGTTTTTACGTGTGTTTATGTGCGCTATCACATCTAAAGGGAATTTCCCTCTTAAAATTCCCTTAGGTTGTATTCCCAACTGGTATTACTAACTTTATAACTAAGTGAAAATTTCACCACTTAAACATTTTTGCAGCATCAATATCAGCACTTGAATCTCCTCATATATGTGCCAGAAACTAGAATTTTATCCATCTTGAAAAGATCCACATTATTTTAATATTTGTTTATTTTCTGACCTTCCTACTTGGGTCATGCTGGGAGTACCAATATTATAACTCATAAATACTTTTGTACAGAATGGAATGCCTCAGGAGTAAAGAAGTTCTGCCTCAATATATGCCAAAAATAAAGGTAGAGATAAAAATGACATGATGATGATTATCATTTATTGACTACCTACATTATTTCTCCAACAACAACTCATAAAATAAATTTTATTATTTCCAAAATGAGAAAACTGGGGCTCTAAAAGTTACATACCTTGACTGTGGTCAAACAGCTTAGAAGTAGCTTAGTCGAAATTTCATTGGGCTATATCTATCTGTCTTCAAAGTCTCTGATCTGACATGTGACACAGATTGAGAAAAAAGGAAAAGAGAATAAAGAGATAACTACAGAATAAGACTGGCTACATAGAGAAGATGGCATGAGAGGTCTACAAAAAAAATTGGCTCAAGGACATAAATTGCTTAACCTTGCTTTGAGAATATATTTGATATCTGTGTAACTCAAGACTAAAAAGGACTTACCTGTTCTATTTACAGCCATCTCTCTAACATCCAAAACAGTGTCTGGAACACAGCAGGGGAATAAATAGTTGTTAAAGTACTGCATTCTATGCCTTAAAATATGTCAGAGGCTTTATTCAAAATCCCTCTTCACTGTAAATTTGATATATACCCATCTATGAGAATTCTCCAGACCCTACTCTGTTCATGCACTCACTGATACCCACAGCACAGGGCTTCCATGGGAGTCTTGCCACCTCCCACGTATTCTATCCCTACCACCTTGCAAACTGAGTTATAGGAATGACATCCTGGACTTACTGTTCCTTCGGTCCCTACTGGTTCTCCAGCCTCCTTGAATCCACAAGGGGTTGTTACTTTCTCTAAGCTTTCTAGCTTGGTTCCAGGTAACTCCTTCAAATAGTAAGGAAGCCTTATCATTCCTGTTGACTTTATGTTGTAACAGACCCAAACTCATTATACCTGACTACTAGTCTCTGTTTGAAAAAATATTTATCAGACTTTGCCTGTAATCCCAGCACTTTGGGAGGCTGAGGTGGGAGGATCAAAAGGTCAGGAGATCAATACCATCCTGGCTAACATGGTGAAACCCCATCTCTACTAAGAATACAAAAACAAAAATTAGCCGGGCGTGGTGGCGGGCGCCTGTAGTCCCAGCTACTTGGGAGGCTGAGGCGAGAGAATGGCATGAACCTAGGACGCAGAGCTGGCAGTGAGCCAAGATTGTGCCACTGCACTCCAGCCTGGGTGACAGAGTGAGACTCCGTCTCAAAAAAGAAAAAAAATAAAATTATCGGACTTTTCCCAAGAATGTCTTAAAATTTACTGCAGCATGAAATACTTGAAATTAATACTATTGAAAAGGTACATTTTGTTCAACAGATTAAAATCCAGACCCTTCCAATGACAAGATGTGTAACCTTGGGCAAAATACTTCACCTCTGTGCTCTACTCTGCCCATCTGTAAAATGAGGATAACAAAAATGCTTCCTCATAAGGTTTTGAGGATTAAATTAGTTAAAACATGTAAGGTATTAAATATAGAAGTGTTCAACAAATGTAAGCTATTCTTACTTAAAGCTTATCTTTATAACTTTACTTAATAGCCACTTATTTGGTCCAATGTCCTTAAATTCACTTATTATACACACACACACACAAGACATGTTTGTTGTTTTACTACTTAGGGCATTAATCTATAAAAGAGTATAATTTTACTGAGTGGCTAATTTCCAATTACAATCAAAAGTTAAAGTGAGCTTTCCTATCATCCTCCAGTGGTTTATTCATTTATTTATTTATTAAACTGTTGGCACAGAAAGGAAAGTTCAGCCCTGAGATAACTATGGGATTCTCCCAGAGGTAGATCGCTATATATACCTTGATTTCCCACCCTGACACCTGAAGAGATATTGACAAGTTACATCATGAAAAACAATTCCAATATTTACATTCAAAACCATTGTTATCCTTGAAGTATTCTATGCATTTGTGGACTTTCCTAAAGTTGAATTACTCCACAATACAGCAGCCTTAAATAAAGAATGTAACCAGGTCACATGCAAAAAACAGGAAGAAAAACTGAATATGTTAAATTGATAGAGAAAACAAAAGACATGTGAGCTGTCACCACATTGGTAGAGTATGTCATTCAAATGAGAAAGGGATTCATTTCATGTGGCCCCAGGAAGCTGAACAAAGACCCTAGGTAGAAACAAGAAAATTTGAGTCACAAGTAGAACTGCCTTTAAAAGAACAGTCTGCCTCAGTGTGTACACTTAAATAATAGATGGTGGTTTATTGAACATAATGAAAACAACACATAAAAGTGGAAACAGATGTCCTCCAAGTTTCTTGCAACTCTATAATCCACCAAAATGCTAAAGATGACATAAATATGAATACATTATTATTCCTGACATCTACAACTTTATAGTATATTAAGAAACTGAATAATTATATAAAATCAAATATAATAGAATGTCAAGACATTCTATTATACAATGTCAAATAAGACATTATAAACATAATGTTCCTGAAATTTTAGAAAAATTATTCTACCTATCCAGAGGTGTCAGAGGAAAATTTGTATGTGGTGTTTAAGCTCAACTTCTTAGAAGGTGAGGTTAGAGCTAGAAATCGTAGGACGTTAGATTCATTTCAAGATAAAAGAACAGCATGGCCAAAGATTTGGCGGTAGGAAGTAGAATGAGAATGAACGAGGCATGAGGACAGTTCCATTTGAGTTGAGTATGATGGTAGTGGGAGATGAACATGGAACAGCTGTTTGGACTTACATCATGCAGGGACTGAAATGTCAGTCCTTGGACCTAGGTGATGGGAGTGTTACTTAACAAAGGTGTGCTTCCATGAGAGTATCTGATACCATGTACAGAATTAACTGGTAGGGTGAGAGACCAGAGGTGGGAATACCCACTAAGAGACTATTACATGACTGTAGGTAGTATGTCAAAAGCACCTGAAACTTCTGGCAACAACAGAATAGAAATAAATAATTAAAAAATTATTTTGGATGTACACAAGTCCAGAGAAAGGGTGGTCTCAAAAGCTTCTAGGCTAGAATACTGCTGATATCAATATGAAGAATGGGGGTGACAGAAAGAAAGAAGACAAAAAGGAAGGAAGAGACCACAGGATACTGGAAGTATCAAAAGCACAGTAAAGAGAAGCTGTCCTGCAAACATCTAGAAATGTCTGGAAATGCCTAAAAGTTGAGGGAAGGTCAGGACTACAGCAAATGGCTTGGGAGTTATTCCTACTGAGGTGAAAGCGGAGGTCCAGAGCAGATGAGCTTTGTCAATCAACAGAATGCAGGCTAAAGAAAAGTCTGGCCAGGCTCAGTGGCTCATGTCTGTAATTCCAGCACTTTTGGGGGCCAAGGTGGGCAGATCACTTGAGGTCAGGAGTTCGAGACCAGCCTGGCCAATATGGTGAAACCCTATTTCTACTAAAAATACAAAAAATTAGCCAGACGTGATGGTGGGCGCCTATAGTCCCAGCTACTCAGGAGGCTGGGGCAGGAGAATCACTTGAACTCAGGAGGTGGTGGTTGCAGTGAGCCAAGTTCATGTCATTGCACCCAAGCCTGGGTGTTGCAGTGAAACCCTGTCTCAAAAAAAAAAAAAAAAAAAAAAGCCCAAAACACAAACTGGGGAAGACATACTTATATTGAATACGAGGTGAAAGGCGAGCTGGAGAAGAAGCAGTAAATGAGCGGTGAGAGAAGTAACAAAATAAAGAGCACATGAAAGCCAAAACAGGAGTTCAAGAAGCATTAGGGATGAATACTGCCAAAGGTTATTAACAGTCCAAAGCAAATAATTTGGAGGCTAGGAGGTCAATGATGCTCTGATTATTAAAGTTAACAGTTGTTATGCCTTACTAATAAAGAACTCATTGTTTCAAAACAAAATATTTTTATACAAGAGTATTATTTTCATCCTTTAATGAAAGGCAAAATAATTTTGAAAGTACTCTGAAAGTACTCTGATCCCAAATAAATTGTTTAAACAATCTCAATTTGATCTTATTGGCTGACAGTTTTCAACCATATGGATCACCATTCCACCACAGGTATATTAAAATGTAGAGAGGCATTTTTGATTGTTACAATGACTAAGGGAAAGCCACTGACTTATAGAAAACAGAGATAGATCATTGTTACGGACTTAATGTGTGCCTCCAAAATTCATGTTGAAGTCCTAATCCCCAAAGGAGTGGTATTAAGACATGGGGACTTTGGGAGTTAAGTAGGTCATAAGGAAGGAACTCTCATGAATGGGATTAGCACCCTTATAAAAGAGAGCTCTCACTCTCATCCCACCATGTGAAGATATAAGAAACCAGCAGTCTACAACCCAGAAGAGGCCTTCACCAACACCTGGACCATGCCAGCACCCTGATCTCAGATTTCCAGCCTCTAGAACTGTGAGAAATAAATTTCTGTTGTTCATAAGCTACCTAATCTGTCTATAGTTTGTTATCGCAGCCCAAATTTACTCAGAAAGGTCACAGACACCCAATGCTCTGCAATGAAAGAGACAGTCCTACACAATGAAAAAGTGTCCCACCCCAAATGCCAATAATCCCACCTGTTGAAAAATACTGTCACCGACTGCCATTTATCACTGAATTTGCCTTTCACATATTTGAGAAGAACTGATGGAACTTCAAATCCTAGAAATTTTGAAAATCATTTTTAAAATAAGATAAATGTTAATATCCCTTAGAAACTTATCAAATGCATGCTTTGTAGTTTTATTTTTTATTCTTATCTAATCTAGTTAAAAAAGATATAGATATTCAAGTTAATTACTTAGTAGGGCAGCTGCTTTGTAAAAAGTACCATTCTTTTACATATTAGCTTCAATAGAAATCTGATTAGAGGTATTGACTAATTAATAATGATACATATTGTATTATGAGGTGGAGAAACAGCAAATGCTTATAATAAAATGCTTTCTACAAAATACCAACACTGTATATGGATCTTTATTTATCTAAACAAATATTTCATTTGTGTTCACCACTTACACAAAATATTTTCTATTGAAAGTTGCTATTTTAATGCCAACTATTACATAAAACTAATCACCAGGCTCTATAATTGAACCATACAGACATTTTTGTGGAACTTAACGAAAGTACCTTTAGGCCAGTATCTTGTAGCTGTCGTTCAGTTGTCCCATAGGATTTTCATGAGGTCCTTTGAGACTTCAATGAGTATTAATGAAAACATTTGCGGGAGTTTTAGTATTAGGTCAGAAAAATTATTTCCAAAAATACTTGCTTCATTTATCAACACTGATATTTGTGAATATGTTGAAATTGTCTATGGTGCACCCAAGTCCCAGTTAGTCCAGCTCCAGCTGGACTAGTTTTATTATAGTCAGCTCCAATTTGTTTAATTTTCTCCCACATTTTTAATGATTACAGTTGATATATAAAGACCCTCCACTTATTTACTAATTACCAAATACGTGTGATAAGTGTTATTTATTCCTCTCGACAATGGTCCATTTTAGGCTAGTCTCTCATATTATGATTTTAAACAGCTGGATCTCTCACATAGGTAGACTCAGCCCCTGGATTCACCATTTATAGCAGCAACTGAGAAAATGAAGCTTTCTCACAAGTTAAAAAAAAAAAAAAGTTCCATTATTCACTGAGAGCTAGTGTGCAGATGTTTCCCAAGATATTTCTTAATCACTTTGATCCAAACAGTTTTGAGAAAGCCTGTGACAAACCAGGATGACTTCTCAAAGGGAGTCCACTTAATGGTTTATTATGCAATTCAACTTTGTTGTGCCATCTAATGGCAAGTTTGGCATTTCAGAGTTCCCAAAAATCTGTTAAAAATAAGCCAGTGATGCTTATGATAAACTAAAAAACATAAAGCCAAATATTTAATACCTAAAAGTAGTTATTGAGTTATTTCTATGTATGTGCTCAGCACAGTGCTATTTCACAGATATTATCTCATTTAATGTTTACAACCAATATACAAAATTGGTTACTATTCTATTTTTACACATGAAGAAACCGAGACTTAAAGAGGTCTAGCAACTTGTCTTTGTTGATAAGTGGCAAAGCTAAAATCAAAACCCAGACAGGCTGGACTTCAGAGCCCCTCGTCTGCCCTGTCCTGTCCCAAGCAGCAGCTCCACAGAGGTTCCAAGATGAATCAGATATACCATCTACTCTCAAAGACCATGTAGCCCAGGAAGAGAGATAGGATGCCTTCCCAAATAATTGTAATTCAAGGTAAAATATAAGAATCAGCCTAAGAGAAGCCCAGATCAAGTTACGAAGTAGTTCAGATGAACACAGATTACTTCAAGATGTGGAAAACAGGAGGGTACTTTTTATTTGGGATGAGTTGAAGGGAGGAGGGGAACAAAGGGCAATAACAGAATGTAATTATTCTTTGCCGCATGCCATTCTATTTATCAGGCACAGTATAAAACAGCTTATATTTGTTATCGTCTTTGGTGTTCAGAACAACAATACAAGTACTACCACAACATTGCATAAGACAAAGCCAGCCAGTGGCTTAACTAAAATTTAAATCCAGTGCCCCTGCATTATGGTCTGCCCTTTTAATTTCTTCCTTCTTTTTTTTTCCTGGTCCACCTTGAGTAGGTCACTCTTTGATGTTTGCACTTCATGGGCACCTTTTGCTAATTTGTCAAACCAAAGAGAATATTTTCCTATTCTGCATAAATGAGCATCATAAACTAGATGATTAGATGCAAGACAAGGAAAAGGAATCCTCAAAAGAGCCTCAACTATTGTGTTCTCAGGGCAGAGTTCATGCTGGATTTCCTGCCAGATTCAGTGTTGAAGGCGGGAGACACTTGGACTTGCTAATTTTTATTTCCTCCTCTTCCTCCTTCCCTCTAGTTCTGCTTCCCTCCCTCTTTCCTTCTTTCTATAATCAGTTGTTCTGAACCATGACATGCCAGACACTGTACTGGGCTATGGAGAAAACAACAGGTAAGGTCTTTGCTCTTATTTAGCTTCATGCAAGGCAGAAGCTATATGACACAGTGGTTAAAGCCAAACAGATCGCATCGGTGCTTGCCCCAGCTCAACCACTTACTAACTGTACCAGCTGAATAAGCTATGAAACTTTCTGGGCATAAATTCTTTTTTCTGTAAATATGGATATGGACAGATCCACCTCAAATGGTTGCTACATGCTATCAGACAGTAGTAGCACAGTGCCTGGAATATGGTGAGCATTACAGAGTTGTCATTATAGTTATTATATACTACAGTTACTTTATACTCTTAGGAGTGAGTGGATTGGTTTGCCCAAGGTGTAGTAGAAACTGCAACTCAAACTCTTCTCTCAAATAATGGAAATCAATTCATTGACAAAGATAATCTTCAGAGAAGGATCATCCTGCCCTCATAACATGAAGAAAAATCCTTCATTACCTGTTTTTATTCATTAAGGATCACTATTAATGGACAAAAAATGGGCTGAATACAGGTTCCTGAGAAAAGACATTCTTCTCAAATTTGCCTTTTAGCAGATCTTACCAACATTTCTTACAACTGTGGAGTTCCTTTCAAGTTACTTGGATATATGTTTCTTCCATCAAGAGGAGAAAAAAAATGGACTAAAAGGCAAATGGGATACAAGAAAGATTAACCTGAATGACTGACTATATGAGAACTTCTTGAAAGCAGAATTACAGCCTCATTCATCTTGGCAACCCTGGTAGGGTGTCTAGACTGATTATAGGGGCTCAAATATAGCCCGTCTGTATTCTAGGTACTTACCACACACTTCATTCTTCCCAATATCACTTCAGAGTGGGTACCACCAATCTCATTTTATAGACAAGAAAAAGGTAAAGCCCAGATTGTTAAACAATTACTCAACCTTACAAAAGTGCAGAACCAATCTGTTCTAAAGTTAATTCCCTTTTTCCATGTGAATGTCTCAAAAATGTTTGGTGGATGAATACAGAATTAAAAGCAAATTCTGGAGATGCCTTTTATTTCAGATCCGTGATCCAGGAATATGACTCCAGACAAGGGAGGTTTATTTAGGTAATGTTGCTCTCCTTCCCTTTAAAAGAGCTCAAAGCCAAAAATATAAGCCAGACATTATCAAAGAGCAAATGAATGTCTAGAAATAAACTGAGCATTTATAGAAGGATACACTAATTTGAACATCGGGAAACAGATGTTAAAATTTCAGATCACTTATTATTCAAACATGCCTTGGGGGGAAAAAAGTAATATGTAACTGCAAACTGTTGTTGTATTTGCAAAAAATAGTTTCTGAGTTTGTAAGTTGTTACACAATACACTGAGTTTCTTACGGTTGTAATCTTTCCTTTCCACTGAGATCATTCAGTCCCTCACTTGGATTGCTTTAAATGTAATCTGCTCAGTCAGAAGTAGAACCTGGAGTTAGGATTGCTTCACCAGAGCTAAATATTAGTCACTTTGCTCAACCCTCATTTGCCCTCTGCTGTCCCCACCCAACTCTCATTTTTCAGCCACACTCCACCAAATGCATACTTAGTGCTTGTGGTTCCAGTAACACAACACATTCAAGCTAACCTGTCTGTGGAAAGTTTGCAACCCTCTGAGTTCAGACTGGGGTTAGCCATGAAGCATGGGGTGACAGGAAATGGCATCCAGTAGTCACTCTTTCCTCTGGGTCCAGTCTTTTTCCCATCACTTTCATCATTGTCCGCTATTTTATTCCTCTGCCGCATCTCCTTTGGGACCCAAGAGGGAAGGAGGACACGAAATAATACAGGAAAGGAAATCAAAAAACAATTGTAGAGAAACCACTCCTCGTTTCCTCTTCTATGTCTCGTGTGTGTGTGTGTGTGTGTGTGTGTGTGTGTGTGTGTGTGTGTGTGTAAAATTTTAATTTCCCTGGAATTGGAACTACAGAAGTCCCTCCTCAGCCCTACCGGGAAAGTGGCACTGGGCACGACCGCCCTTTCCAAGGCAGTCTGCAATCCTTTTCGCGGAAGTAGAGGAGAAAAGGGGGTGGAGAAGGGCGCCGCGATGCAGCATCCGCTGAGAAAACAGGCAGTTCGCACGTGAGCGGGCTCGCAGCCTGTGGCGCCACCTGACCGGGCCTGGCGCCCCCAATGTGGTGCAGTGGCCCAGCAAGACCAGAAGGCTCAGGCCCTCCTGAACCCTTGCCAAGTCAGAGGTCCCTTTCTGCCTGGGCTCAGGCCTCGCCCGCATATAGTTTTCCATCTGCTTCCACCCCTGCCATCCTTCCTGGGGACCAAAAATGAAGAAAGACAACCCCCCCATCCCCCGGTATTTCGTCTTCCCCTCACAGCCTCTTCCTGTCCTGATCATCTGCTCAAAGAGAAGACGTTCTCTCCACACACTCCACCCCCGCCTCCACCTTCTGCGGCAATGAAGCCACGCCACCCTAGGGGGCTCGGGGGCCGGATGCTGGCGGGGCGCGCACTAGAGACACGCCGCACTGGAAGCAGCCCTCGGAGTCCCGTGAGCCAGGGAGACTGGGGTGCACCGCGCCACGCTGAGTCTCGGTGTAAAAGCCGAGAGCGTGAGCACCTCCTGGCCGAAAGCACGCGAGGCGCTCCTTGCCCAGGACCCCGCGCGCCCCCTCAGTTCCCGGGCAGCTGTCGGCGCGCACTGGCTGACGCGAGCTCTGCTCCCGCGGCCGCTTCGGGATTTTTTTGTCTATATAAGGGCTCGCTGGCCAACTCTGCGTTGGCACGTTTGTCACAGGCTGGCCATTATTTGCACACACGCGTGCGGCTCCGCGGGCAGCTCGGGTCGCAGACGCAGGCTCGCCCTCCTCTTAGCCGGCACCTCCTCCTCCTCCTCCTCCTCTCCCCTCCCTCCCCAGCTGTACTTACTTTATCTGGTCTCTGGCGCAGGGTGGGCGCTGCAGCCCTCCGTTCCCAGCAAACCGCAGCCGATTCGCCTCGCTGTCAACGGGTGAATGGAATTATTTATTTATTTATGGCCCCTGACGTGTCCTCGCCCGCCACAGCCAGCGGAGAAGGAGGCGGTGGCGGGAAGGGGAGGCGCGGCTGCTGAACGCCCTTGTGGGTGCGGAGGAGCGCGCGCCAGGGGTGGGGGCCGGACAGGCTGCGGTGGAGGCCGGCCCGGGGGGTGGTGGGGGGGAGCCGCCTCCCGGTGCCTGGAGACCGACTGAGCATGCTCCAAGCGGCTGTCAAAGCTATAGGCACTTTCTCTATCGCTCGGGGCACTCCACTTCGGATTTTAGTTTTGACCAAGGAAGAAAGCCAAAAGGCAGGTAGATCTGTCTTTCCAGATGGGTCGTAACTTGCTGTATCCGAAGTACTCTGTAGCCTGACCTAGAAGACAGATGTGCGGTAGCTCTGTGCAACCCAAGCATGGGAGAGGAAAGCATGCAAAAAAAGAAGAGTCTGGCCGAATGCAGGGAGAATAGGAGATCCTCATTGTGAGCTTGCAGGGAAAGTGTTGAGCCATTTTTCAACTGAGGCCTTTTTGGGAGAAAGAGGTAGGGCACTGTTGGAGATTAGACTCACCAACCAAATCACTTCACGGAAAAAAATATAATTGACACCATAGGAGGAAGGACATAGAAAACAGCACCAAAAAACATTAAAAATAAGAAGGATTTTTTTTCAAATCATTTATAATTCCTTTCATTTTTAATTTCTCAAATTACTTAGTTCTTCAAACCAGCATTTAGTTATTTGACAACGAATAGTGCTAGAGATAATGGTAATTCTGCTGTCATTGGTTTGGTCTCTTCCCCTGTCTAAAATGTGCTTCTTGGTAAAACTGGAAAGAGGAAGGGCTGGAAGAGAACATTTAAGTAACCCCATAGATTGGGTTTCTTTAATATCTTTAAGTTAAATTGCCACTTTAGAGAAAAAGAAACTATCCAAAAGAATAATTGTAGGTTTTGGCTTGACAAGTCCTATTGCAGTTTGTCTACCAGTTTAGCTAGCTTTCTCCTCCTTGATTTCACAATCATTTTAAGGTGTGTTCTATGATTCTTCACATTTTACGAATTTATAAAAAGAGTTAAGTCATTTGGGTAAATTCACATTGTCTTTGCCACAGCTAGTCTGTTGTAATGGACGAAATTTGAATTTCAATTTCTGTAGCTATGAAATAAAAGTAATATCAATCGTGTTGATTTCATAAGATTTAAGTGAAATAATATACATGAAGTGGCTGGTAGGCATAATACAAGATGAAAAAATAATCGTGATTAATAACATCAAAATTACTGGAAGATAATTTTATTGAAAGAATGATATTTGAAAATGAAAAAAAGGCAGAAAATTACAGAAAGGATTTTATATTTTTAAGCTAAAAATGCTTAAATAGACATTTGTATAAGACATAATAGGCCTTTGATAATGATGAAATGTCTAGCAGTGACTATAAACACTTCATTTAATTAAAAAAAGTTAAACATTTAAAAGAAACAACATAAAGGCACATTTCAAGGTCATAGTCTTGAGTGTTTGCTATTGATATTTTTCCTGCTCATTCATCACTTTTATTTCCTGTCAAAGAAGAGGAAGAAGAAAGACCATATGCTTTCTGAATTTTGATCCTATTCTCCCTTTTCCTTCTCTTTGATTTTTCTTTTTTGTTGTTTTTTTCTTATAGTCCCATGTTCTTGACCTGTTTAACCTATTGCTGAATGCCAAACATCACTACTTATAGCATGATATCGTAACCTTCTTTTTAAGTCTTGTTTTTTCAACAATTAAAACTCTGGATCTAATTTACCTACTGTCACAGAGTTAGTATTTGGGAACTCATTTCTAAATTGCTTTGTTGTGATAGCTAGGTATGTTATGTAAAATTTGATTGGACTAGAAAGGTATCTGAAAGGAGGGAGAATCAGCTAAGAATAAATTCAGCCAGTTTATCCTATGACTTACAGTTTAATATTGTTAAGAAATTGAGAAAAAAATACAATTTAGGGAAAAAATAAGCCATATGATTAGAACTTGGAATGCTCTGGTAAAATGTTTGCCTTGATTTATATTCATAAGCTGAAATAACAGTGGGAAAAACAAATAGCAATACACTTAGCATTCTAGCAACTCATATTCCACAGATGAGCAAACTGTGAATACGTACATCACATATATACTCATGAAGTCCACATGTCTTTTACTATATACCCACATCCTTGTGGTTTAGGTTCTTTCTCCCTTCTTCATTCCTCAGTCATACACAATCTTCTCACATTTTTCTGTCTTTTATCATTCACTGCCCTCTTTTCCATATCAAACTTGTCTAAACCTTTTTTCCTCCTTTAATGCCCAGCAAATATATCATCACTTCTATAGCATTTTAAGGATTCTTTGTTAACAAATAAGGGTTAAGTTCATCTTTCTCTGTGATCCTGCCCATAGAAAATGATTTAGGCCTCTATCTGGGGCATTTTGTTTCAGCTTCACATATGACTATATTATAATATGATTTTTGTTTCTGTAGCCCCAATATATTAGGCTATTTGAAAGTAGAGATGACATTTTATTCATCTCTGGGATTGTCACAGGCATTTGAACCAGAGTGACTCCATCTTGAGTAAGGCCTGGGTAAAATGAGGCTGAGACTTATTGGGCTGCATTCCCAGGAGATTAAGGCATTCTTAGTCACAGAATAAGATAGGAGGTTGGCACAAGATACAGGTCATAAAGACCATGCTGATAAAACAGGCGGCAGTAAAGAAGCCAGCTAAAACCCACCAAAACCAAAATGGAGACGAAAGTGACCTCTGGTCCTCCTCACTCCTCATTATGTGCTAATTACAATGCATTAGCATGCTAAAAGACATTCCCACCAGTGCCATGACAGTTTACAAATGCCATGGTAAGGTCAGGAAGTTACCCCATATGGTCTAAAATGGGGAGAAACCCTCAGTTCCCAGAATTTCCCACCCCTTTCCCAGAAAACTCATGAATAATCCATCTCTTGTTAACATATAATCAAGAGGTAATAATAAGTATAAGCAGCGGAGCAGCCCATGCTGCTACTCTGCCTATGGTGTAGCCATTTTTTTGTTCCTTTACTTTCCTAGTACTCCTGCTTTCATTTATAGACTCATCCCAAATTATTTCTTGCATGAAATCCAAGAACCCTCTCTTGGGGTCTGAATCAGTACCCCTTTCGGGTAACAGAATCATCTATCATGCAGCACAAATCGTTGCAGATAGAAAATAGTAACGTTTGCCAAATGAAGAAAAGAGATGACAGTGTGGCTGTAGGCAACAGATATGTGGTAGAAGCTATTGGTGCTCACAATATCTATGATCTGCCTGGCTCCACACTTCCTGGCTTTCCTTACAGTTATATTGGGACCATGCAACTATGTAGTTCTAAAACAGTATGAATGGAAGTGACATGTGTAATTTCTGGTAAAGGGAGTTAAGACCCAGTGTACCTCCTTCATCACTCCCTTTCCCTGCCATAGTACCATGTTTCTGATGAACTAGCTACAAAATGGAATCTCTGAAAAAGAAAGAAAGACTGCTTGAATTGCACTGTACTTTGTGTGAGCAAGAGACCATTGTTTTAAGCCTTGGAAATTTCAGGCTCTATTTGTCATGGGAACAAAACCTAGCCTATTCTGACCAATATAAGATATTACTGAAAAAGACAATAAGTCAGCCAGGCGTGGTGGCTCATGCTTGTAATCCCAGCACTTTGGGAGGCCAAGGCAGGTAGATCACCTGAGGTCAGAAGTTCAAGACTAGCCTAGCCAACATGGTGAAAACCCATCTCAACTAAAAATACAAAAAAAAAAAAAAAAAATTAGCCAGGTGAGGTGGTGGGCACCTGTAATCCCAGGTACTTCGGGAGGCTGAGGCAGAAGAATCGCTTGAATCCGGGAGGCAGAGGTTGCAGTGAGCCAAGATCGCAACACTGCACTCCAGCCTGGGCAGCAAGAGCAAAATTCCGTCTCGAAAAAAGAAATTGTAAATCATAAAGGCATAAAATCCCCAATGAAACATTGAACTTTTGAAAGTGCACTAATGTGTCCTTAAGTCAAAACTAAAAATATAGTCTCATGACCCCAAAATTCATATAATAGCCTTTTCAGAGTAAGACTGTGAGATTAAATTAAGGGTGTGTGTGTTTATAAACTACACACAATAGATTTGTTATAGCTAAGTACAAAAGACCAGATGTCCCAATGCTCCCCTCAACTTGGGTGAAAACAAATGTACACCTGCCTTCAAGTGGCAACATACTATGGTTGAGATTGTAGCTGGCTAGCAGCTGTGAATATGATTGCTGTGACCTGGTTTCACAGATTATACAAACTATAGAAATATATCTCCACTACTTCTAGATTTAAATCTTGCGTATATCTATATAGGCTACTTTGGAAATATCTTCTATGAAAAACTCCCATAGGATTTTGGGGAATGACAATCTAGTCCGATTCAACAAAGCATATAAAAGGGGAATCAATTGCATTGGCATTGCTGTATGGTATGCCTTTAAATAATAGCACACAAGAATCTTTGGTTTAAAACAAAATGGGTTTTTTGGCTCCAAAAATCTCTTAACGGATTATGTATTAAAAAACTTGTTTGTTGGGGTATTTTTCTAAATTTACATTTTATCAATTATTATCTGTAAACTAAACTTAATGGATTCTGGGTGTTTTATAGATGCTTTACCACGTAAATATTCTGATTATTTTGAATGCATATAAGATTAGAAACTTAAATTAAAAGTTATCATCATAGACTGTAAACTTTTCAGGCAGAAATCTTGTAAACGGTGGCTAATGAGTATTAATATATTTTATGAAATGAATCAATGATGACTGAATGTGTTATCAAGAAGCTAAGGCTTTAGTGCCTTTTTCTGTACAGTTGATCTTTGCTGGGTTCCTTAACCTCTCTGAGTCATATGTTTTTACTTTAAGATCTTAATAATTATTAATAGCTTCACTTTCTACAATTCAATGATACTTGCGAGCACTTCAAGGGTGCAAAGATCCACAGAATTTATGCATAATCATAACTAATGAAGAAAATATTTATGTAGTGTTTTTCTATTAAACTAAAAATAAATGTTTACTTCTCAGATTTTGGAGAACAGTGTTAATCAGGATGCTTTATAAAATGTGACCATAAATTTACCCGCTTAATTTTTAATATTTGTATTACTTGCCATGTGCCTGGAATGTCCTTGAAGGGTTAGTCATCGTTTGCATCAACATAATACCTCATAGGTCACAAGAGAGTTTCATACAAAACATTCTCAACTGCAGGAAGGTTTCTCAGTAAACTGGGTTTTCAGCTGCTGTTGCTTTGTTTCATTGCTCAAAGTTAAGGCCATGTTGCCATTCTGTTTTCCATTCAGGAACTTTTCTTCTGCTTTCCATCCGGCAGGAATTTTTGTGCTGTTTTGCTATACAGGCATACCTCAGAGATAATGCATTTTCATTTCCAAACTACCTGAATAAAGCAAATATAGCCATAAAGTGAATCACATGAATTGTTTGGTTTTCCAGTGTATATAATAGTTATGTTTACACTATATCATAGTCTATTCAGTGTGGAATAGCCTATGTCTGAGAAAACAGTATATGTACCTTAATTAAAACTATCATATTTCATTGTTCAATTCCCACCTATGAGTGAGAATATGCGGTGTTTGGTTTTTTGTTCTTGCAATAGTTTACTGAGAATGATGGTTTCCAATTTCATCCATGTCCCTACAAAGGACATGAACTCATCATTTTTTATGGCTGCATAGTATTCCATGGTGTATATGTGCCACATTTTCTTAATCCAGTCTATCATTGTTGGACATTTGGGTTGGTTCCAAGTCTTTGCTATTGTGAATAATGCCGCAATAAACATACATGTGCATGTGTCTTTATAGCAGCATGATTTATAGTCATTTGGGTATATACCCGGTAATGGGATGGCTGGGTCAAATGGTATTTCTAGTTCTAGATCCCTGAGGAATCGCCACACTGACTTCCACAATGGTTGAACTAGTTTACAGTCCCACCAACAGTGTAAAAGTGTTCCTATTTCTCCACATCCTCTCCAGCAGGAAGGGGAATATCACACTCTGGGGACTGTGGTGGGGTGGGGGGAGGGGGGAGGGATAGCATTGGGAGATATACCTAATGCTAGATGACGAGTTAGTGGGTGCAGCGCACCAGCATGGCACATGTATACATATGTAACTAACCTGCACAATGTGCACATGTACCCTAAAACTTAAAGTATAATAAAAAAAAAACTATCGTATTTCTAAAAAATGCTAACCATCATATAAGTCTTCAGAGAGTCATCATCTTTTTGCTGGTGGAAGGTCTTGCTTGAGGTTGATAGCTGCTGACTGATCAGGGTGGTGGTTGCTGAAGTTTCGGGTGGCTGTGGCAATTTCTGAAAATGAATTTTGCCGCATTGATTGAGTCTTCCTTTCAAGAAAGATTTCTCTATAGCATGTGATGTTGTTTGATGGCATTTGATCAATAGACCTTCTTTCAAAATTGGAGTCAACCCTCTCAAACCCTAATGCAGCTTTGTCAACCAAGATTATGTAATATTCTAAATCCTTTATTGTCATTTCACCAATGATGACAGCATCTGCACCAGGAGTAGATTCTATTTCAAGAAACCACTTTCTTTACTTATCCATAAGAAGCAACTCTTCATCTGTTGGCAAGTTTTATCATGAGATTCTTATGATAAAATGAGCAAATTCAGTCACAACTTCAGTCTACACTTTTAATTCTAGTTATCTTGCTGTTTCCACTACATGTGCAGTTACTTCCTCCACTGAAGTCTTGAACCCCTCAACGTCATCCATGAGGGTAAGAATCAACTTCTTCAAAACTACTGTTAATGTTGCTATTTTGACCTCTACCTATGAATCATTTATGTTCTTAATGGCACCTAGAATGGTGAATTTTTTCCAGGTTTTCAATTTAGTTAGCCCATATTCATCAGAGAAGCCACTATCTGTGACAGCTATAGCCCTATGAAATATATGTCTTAATTGATAGGACTTGAAAGTTGAAATGACTCCTTGATCCATGGTCTGTAGAATGGACAGTGTGTTAGCAATTATGAAAACAACATTCATCTCCTTTACATCTCTATCAGAGCTCTCAGGTGACCAGATGCATTGTAAATAAGCAGTAATATTTTGAAAGGCATCTTTTTTTTCTGAGAAGTAGGTCCCAACAGTGGGCACATTTCCATTTAAATTTTCCATGTAAATGGAGTTGTAAATTGTAAAGCTTAATAGGAAATAAAGATGATATTATTATATATAACATATACACATATTTCTAAAATAAATAGTCCTTCAGAAATAAGATAGTAAAAGTTCATCTCAATAGTTTTTTAAAAGAAAAATTGGACAATTGCAAAATCCAGAAATAGTTTTCTATAGAAAAATTAATCACTTCACTGGTGTATTACTCTAAATAAATTCCTTATTCCGTTAATATTAGATGTTTATCTTTGGTTAACTATATGAAGCAGCATTTATCACATAGCAGCTACAGACCCAGTTATAAAATAGTGCACTAAAAAAAGATTTATTTTCCTCTGCAATTCAATCCAATTATACTCTGAGACTGAAATTCTTCCCCATAACTATTCTAGAGAGAATTTTATCTTTATTTCCAATCTAGATATGGGATCTTTGAAAATTATCCTCTTTTGGCTGAGTGTGGTGGCTCACACCTATAATCCCATATTTTGGGAGGCTAAAGCAGGTGGATCCCTTGCACCCAGCAGTTTGGAATCAGCCTGGGCAACCTAGCAAGACCCCATCTCTACAAAAATAAAAAACATTAGTTTCATGTGGTGGTGTGCACCTGTAGTCCCAGCTACTTGGAAGGCTGAGGGAGGATGATCACTGGAACCCAGGAGTTAGAAGCTGCAGTGAGCTATGATTATGCCACTGCACCCCAGCATGGATGACAGAGTGAAATACTGTCTCTAAAAAAATTAATAGATTATCCCTATTTTTATTTGAAAGAGATTTTTTTTCCTTCCTTTCTGCTCTGCTTACTATTTGTTTGTTTTAAAAAGGAGTATAAATCAGCAATAATGTTATGCTCATAGATTTTGTTTCCTGAACGGGTGTTGCTTGTCTCTGATCCACAATGTCTGAAGCCCCAGCTGGCAAGACTGGAACACAAAAACACAAGCCTCTAATGTCACCTAGAGGCTTCTTCAATCATATGTCTGATACTTGGGCAGGAATGACTGTAAGGCCAGGTTCACTTGAGCCTCCTGATTGGGGCACCTAAACATGGCTTCTCTATGTGGCTTGGGATTCTTAGAGCATGATGGCTGTGTTCCAAAATGTAGCATACTGAAAGACAGCCTTGTAAGAATGAGGTAGAAGTTAACCTAGACTCAGAAGTTACTTGAGGCTCAAAATAACACAAATGTATGAATTCACTGTTTTGTAAGTCAAAATTCTGAATGACTTGGTGGTTCCTTTGCTCTGGGTCTCACAATCTGGGGGAAAATCTTCCAAGTTCTTTCAGGTTGCCGGCAGTACTCAGGCCCTTGCAATTGTAGGGCTGAGGTCCCCATGTCCTTGGCAGATGTCAGCTGGGAAACTTTCAGCTCCTTAAGGTCACCGGAGTTCCTTGTCACATTGCCCCTTCATCTTCAAAAAGCAACAGAGCCTGGCATCTTCTCATATTTCAAACTTCTCTGACTTTTTCTTCAGCTGCATCTCTTCTTCTGCCATAACAGAATACGATACACTGGGTGGCTTAAACAACATTTATTTTTCACAGTTCTGGAAACTGGAAGTCAAAGATCAAGGAGCCAGCATGAGCAGGTTCTTGGCAACAGCCTCTGCCTGGTTTACAGGTGACCATCTTGCTGTGTCCTCACATGTCAGGGAGATAGCTTTCTAGCTCTCTTATTTACTTTTATAAAAGGAATTCCATCAGGAGGATTCCACCCTCATGACCTCATCTAAACCTAATTACCATCCAAAGGCCCCATCTCAAAATACCATCACATCATAAGTTAGAGTTTCAACATGTGAATTTTGAGGGGACACAAACATTCGGTTGTTGGCAACTGTAAAGTTGGAGCAACCCCCATACAGAATTCTTGGTCTCTGTGGTAAAAGATATTATAGTACAAAAGCCAAGCCTCTGAACTTAAGTCACCCTGCACAGTAGTAGTATCATAGTCAATGAGGTTTATCCGAGGCACAATTATTGCTAATTGAAGTCTTTTCACAATATCCTGCCATGATGACTTGAAATATAGTCATATATTTCAAGTATTGGTAATTATTGACAGTCTTTAAGGAGACTGAACAAAAACAAAACAAAACAAAACAAAAAAACAAAGTCACATATTAGGGAAAAGGGGGACTCTCAGGAGATTAGTGCCACCCTTAAAGGAAGCAGGAGTGGTAGTCTGATGATATTTTAATTCACAAACTGGCTTCTATAGAAAATAAATAATTTCTGAAAGACAATTGTAAACTACCACAAACTCAACCAAGTAGTAGCTCTGATTGCCACTGCCATGCCAGAAATGGTATCTTTGTTTAAGCAGATAAATATAAACATACCCTCAAGTACGTATCATGGAGTCATTAATTGGGTGAATGCATTCCTTTCTATACCAATGAGAAAGGAAAGATGAGAGCCAGTTTGCTTTCATATGGAATCAACCAAAAATAATAACAATACATTTAGAGTTTTTCTTCAAGGATTTCCTAATTTTCCTTTTCTCTCACATGATATAGTATGAAGAGATCTGACTATATGGACCTCTCACAGAACATCACAGTGACCCATTACACTGGTAGCACGATATTTACTAGACCCATTGAGAGAGAGGTGCCTAACACACTGGAGTTCTTAGAAAGACACATCACTCCTGTGGGTGGGAGGTAAAATAGTGAAGCTTAGAAATCTTCCACTTCTGTACAATTTTTAGGGATTCAATAGTGCAGGGTGTGTCAGAATAGCCCCTCCAAAGTAAAGATACATTATTACACTTTGCACCTCCTACCTTGTAAAAGGAAGTATATTGTCTATTAACCTCTTTGCATTTATTGGTAGCATATTTCAAACCTACAAATACTGCCCTAGCTCATACACTAAGTTAGGTGAAAAGCTGCCATCTTTCAGTGTTGTTCAGAGGAAGAAAAGTCCTTATAATGTAAGCACCCTTGCCTGCTGAGAAACACAATCCAACAGGCCCTATGTTGTCGGTGGTAATCAGTGGTAACTATATATAGAGAGAGAGAGTTTATTATTAGATAATTAGTACATTTTGCAGTGGTAATTATACTTATATACCACTGATTACCACCAACAACATAGGGTCTGTTGGATTGTGTGTGTGTGTGTATATATATATATAAATTGTATCACGTGGGCTTTGTGGAAATACTCAGTGATATATACTAACTTATAGGCAGTAGTAAATGACCAGGCTGCTGGTCAGAGGCCCATTTAACGAGAAACACCTTTACTACTAGAACTTGAACTAAAAATACTCTGAAGAATAAAAAAGTTTATTTTTAGATAATGGAAATTATTTAAATGGCATGTTCCTGAACCTGAGGGAGCATTAATGTGATTACTAGTGAGACAATCACATTAAAACCTCCCTGGGCTTCAAGACCATGCCATTTGCAACATAGTGTCTCATACCTTTTGAAAAACTACTGGCTACTGGGCCCTGGGAAAGAATGAGTGTCTGATATCAAATGAGCATGGCCAGGTTATTGCCAGTTATCAGCTGGATCCTGTCAACCCCACCAAATCACAGGCAGATCCAGCAATGATCCATTATAAAATGGCAATGGTGCATGTGGGATCAAGCATGAGTAGCACCAGCGGGTACAAGAAAGTAACATGAGCATTTAGCTCAGACTCCCATGGCACCCACAACTACTGCACCAGCACACCTCCCCTAGCCACATATACAGCTATATGAGGGATCCCATACAGCCATCAAGGAGGAGATAAAAAGGCAAAATTTGTTTTATGTATGGATCAGTTCAGCATAAACAGCTGCACTGCAGCCTTATCCACGGGTAGCCTTAAAAAACAGAGGTGAAGAAAGATCTTGCTAAGGGGAAGAGCTTCAGATGGTGTACCTTGTAATGCACATTGCGTGAAAAAAGATGTGGTCTCAGGTTAGGATATGAACAAACTCATAGGCAGTAACAAATGATCTGGCTGCTGGTCAGAGGCCTGGAGTGTAAAGGATAGGGAGAATGGGGACAAAGATGTCTGGAATATAGGTATATGGATGAACGTAGGTGAGTGGTCATAAAGTGTGAAGATGTTTATATCACATGTTGGTGCCCACCAGAGAGCATTCACCACAGAATAGTTGCTAAACAAGCAAGCACTCAAAGTGACCACTAGGTTGATGTCAGCCAGCTTCTCCATTGGCCATGCCAGCGCAGTTATGATGGACACATATAAAGCAGCTATGAGGGAAAAAAAAATGGAGGCTATGCATAGACCCAAAAGCATGGACCCTGACTTTTACCAAGGCTTATCTAGGCACTCCTTCTGCCAAGTATTCAATCTGCTGCAATGGAGACCAATGTCGAGGCCAGATATGGGACCATTCCTCCAGGAGGCCAATAGACCACCTTGTAGCAAGTTGTCTACATTGGGGTCCTTCAATCGTGAAAGAGCCAGCATTTCATTCTCATAGGAATAGATGTATTTCACATATGAGTTTGCCTTTTCTGCATATAGAACCTCAGCCAGCACTATTATCTGAGCTTATTTGACCCACTGTCTTGTTATCTCACATAACATCAGATCAGATCAGGGGATGCACTTTTCAGCAAAGGAGATGCTGGAGAGGACCTTATCCATGTTATCTACTGGTCATTACACCAACTGGATTCAGAGGTATCTGGCCTGATAGAGCATTACAGTGGACTCTGAGGGCACAGCTGGAGTGTCAGCCCAGAGCCACCAGTCTGCAAAAATGGGGTACCATTCTCCAGAGTTCAGTGTATGCATTAAATTGATGGCACAACCTTGCTTACTACCCCTTCTCTTCTCTAATGAACACCTTGCCCACTAAATTCAGTGTCATTGTATGCTTCTTGAGAAACCTATCTGTGACGTTATAAATATTTCCTCAGTTTAGAAGTGAGTAAGGAACTGCAGATCAGGCACAATTTCTCTCATCTTTGCCCTTGAAATTCACATTCAAGACACAGAACTATGTGAAATTTCTACACATAAAGAATACATATCATCATTAAGCCAGTAGTTTAAAAAGAGTTCAATATGCAATTTTAAGCCCCTTCTTTCTAAACTCTGGTTATCTCTGGTAATCACATGCAGTAATTTAATTTTGAGTATGTAGATTACATCATACACATAACTGTATTTTTATTTTTTATTTTATTAGCAAGCTCACCTTTCTAAGTGAATCATATTTACTTTTAATACTTTTTACTCAGGCTTTATGAAGTATAATTTACTCCAAGGAAAATTTACATTTTGTAGGTATATAGTCTTATGAATTTTGACAAAAGTATACATCAGTGTAACCACTACTATAATTAAGTGGTCAATTCACTAACTCTACCACCAGCCCATGGAAACCACTGATTGAGGTTTTTGGTTTTGGTTTGTAAATACTTTGTAAATGCTTTTCTTTCTCTTTTTAAAAAAATTCTGCAACATTGTTTCTTTTTGACAGTTTATCACCCTTCACGATCATGCCTGGTATTTTAGAATGACTCCAATTTAGTGATATCAGGACAGCCCTCAGGAATTTCTTTTTTTTTTTTCCTGCATGTTCTGGAACATCTTATATCCACCTGGGGAGAGTTACCACTGCTGCATGACATGATGTGTTAATCCACTTTCCACATTGCCTAGCTCTGGGGCTTTACCTTCTGCCTTTTCTAATCAGTCAAGCTAGCTCCTTCTATCTCAGAGTTCATTGCTTTAAGGTTCTCAAAGATTCTCTGCTTGAACTGAGTAATCACACACAGCCTCCAAGACTCATGAAATGAAATGAATTTATGCTTCAACTCTAGTAATTCTGTCACCTACTTTGTCCCTATAAGTCTTAGGTTTAAATGACTTACTGCTTCATTAAGTTGTAAGCCCATTTAATGAGAAACACCTTTACTACTAGAAGTTGCAGGAAAAATATTATGAAGAATAAAAAAGTTTATTTTAGGTAATGGAAACGAATCTTAATTCAAGCCCTCATTAAGGTTCAAATAGATTATTAAAATGTTCTTCTAAATGATTTCCCTACCGCTAATTTTATTCCACCTTCAGCATTTTATCCTTTGTAAGGACATCTGTATTATCCTTCTCCCTACTAACCCTTCTAATGAAAGTGAAAGATTAAAAAGTGAAGACTAAAAAGAAATCACATGAGAAGCTGATGTAACATTTAAGGTGATGTGCAGATATATTTAAAATAATGCCTCTGTTCCCTATCCAATGTAATACAATGACTGTTCTTCTAGAAAGCACTTTCGAGAAAGAAATATAGATATATAATATTTGCTTTTCCGCTATAGCAACACTGTGTAATTCATATAACATTTTTTGACCAAGCCTGAATTTCATGTTGTAATAGGAGAAAGCAATTTGGAGATTAGGGGAGCCCTATGTTCTTGTACCTTTTTGTAGTCTGAGAAGAGATTCAAGTTTGCAATACTATTTGCCTTATTGAGTCATAAAATCCTTTATTAAACATTTCCTTATGAGAATCCAAGAAGGGTAAATCTATATAAAATCTATAATTCAAGATTGAATGAATGAATCTGCTACCTGTTTCTTAGAAAAAAAATCTGGGCATTTTTATTACTATTTAGAACAACAAACAAACCCATTAGTTCCCATTCCAAATTGTTGTAATTAAAATGATTATTCTTAATATTTCTTATATTTCCTTATAAATATAACCAGCCTTAATCAGGACTTCTGATTTATTATTCATTTTACAGTTGAAAACATTGCAATATTCTGGAAGAATTTTCCACTTAAGTTGTCCTCATGTTTTCCATATCTGATATTATTTGAAAATTATCTAATGAATATTAATTTTATATGCACAAGAATAAAATACTAGTTAATAATTAGCTGTTTCTTACAAGTTAAAACTTGAAATGGATAGTCAATATACATGGAAGTAGAAATATTTGATTGCAATTACATTAGAAGACATTTCTCCTGTAACTTTATGTATGGCCTCTTTCATGCTTGATACCAGCCACAACTACATGTAATCTCAAAAATGGAATCAATGAATTAGCAAATGTTTATTGAGGACTTTTTATTCCGTGCAGCAAAAATGGAAACAATAGGTATTTCGTGAGTACTCACGATGTATTAGGATCTATGTCCAAATTTTGATGTGCATTATGTCCTTTAACTTCATCACAAGCACAAGAAAGATTAGTACATTTTGCAGGTGAGGAGTCTGAAGCACATAAATCTTAAGCTCTATGCTCATGTCACACAGCAAGTCAGAAACATCCAGTCTACTCAAGCCTCTCTGATTCCAGGGTTTTTACTATCTTAGCTACACTTTAGGGCTATGCCTTTTTAGTTATAGGCACAAAGATGAATGAGAAATGGTCCTTGCCTGAAAGAACTTTACCAGCTAGCAGATAATCTAGTTAAAACATATATAAAAATAATGATAACTCAAGATGGAAAGAAATAGCCAACATATGAATTCAGATCAAGCTAGGGTGAATGGAGCAATTTCTTGTTGTTGAAGGGATCATGAACGGCTTTTTATAGGACAGAAAGCTAGCAGAGTGCAATGATTAAAAGCTTGGGCTACTTGAATTTAAACCCCTGTTCTGCTACTTAATAGCTACATAACCTTGGGCCTCTTTTAGAGTCTCAATTTCTTTATCTGTGAAATGTGGATGATGATAATAATAATAGTAATTGCTTAATAGGGCTATTGTGAAAATTCAAAGATCCAATATTTAAAAAGTAGGTAGACTCATGCCTGGCACATACTACTGACTATCTATCCATTAAAAAAAAAGTAAATGACGAGCTAATGCATGCAGCACACCAACATGGCACATGTATACATATGTAACAAATCTGCACATTGTGCACATGTACCCTAGAACTTAAAGTATAATAAAAATAAATAAATAAATAAATAAATAAAACAGGATCTTACAAGACAAGAGTAAAAATTGCTTTTTCCATGGAGAAAAACTAAATTAGAAGAGGGAGGGGTTAGCATTTCTTGGGGATATATTAGATCCTCCAAGTCACTATGGAATTGTTATTATGATATAAATTGTAAAGTAAAGATTCTAGGACTCTGAGAAGTAATAATTGCACCAAAATGTATAGCACATATGTAACAAAATTAGTTGTAAAATACAACATAGGATCAACATAACTAACTCTGAAGTTTCCCATACCTAGCATTATCTTTGATTGAGCCTATTTATTTTTTCATATCTGACCAGTCATTATAGTCTGCCATTTGTACCTCCATAATCTTTCTTGAATCTATCTTCTCCCACTTCAGCTGCTTCTTCCTTATTAAGGAATGCTACTCTCTACTCCCTTTAAATTATTCCCATAACCTTCCAACATACTTGCTCTCTGCCTTCCCCTCTTGTTTTTACTTTAAAGGACAGATTTGAGTCTGTCACTTGACAGATAATATATTTGAAAGCCTCACAATACCAGAATATCCTTTACATAAAAAACAAAACAAAAACAAAAAAACACCTGTTTCTAATTTCTCACAGAATGACACTGGCTCTCTGAAGCAGATCTTTCCACTTTGCACATTCTTGGCTTCCCGAATTTATTCGTTGTGCTTTCTCTTTGTTGTCTGATCAACCTCTTCTCTTGACTATTTTTATAATATGATGTAATGGATCTTTCCAGTAGTCTCAGAATTCTGGCAAAAAGACTGGATACATTCATGCAGCACCTACTACAAAATTGCCAAAAGAACAGAGTGACCACAACCTAGATAAAAGAAGACTAGAAAGTTAATATAGGAAGGTCCTTAAAGGGAATTTGTAAAAATAAAGGACACCTTTGTTTGCCCCTTTCTAACTTTTCAATCAAACACTGTAAGAATTTTTGAAAGTACCCTTGGGAGGACTTGACATGAGTTCTCAAATATTTGGGAATATATATTACCATGGAAACATAGAAATACATGCATCCTTCTTGTCTTCAGGAGTCTGATGGAGGGAGCTGGCTAAGATACTTACAACAGAAGGGAAGAGAGAGAGTGTTAATTTCAGAAGCCACACATCTACCGCTTGGCAAAGCAAAGTTGCATAATTTCCCCACAAGGCAATCAGATGCCAGGGAATGTACCTAGGCTTGAGCTGTCTCGCAGAGACCCACTCAGGATAATCTATGATGTACCTCCAGGAGGCAAGAGCTGAAGAAAGGTAGCAAGAAGTCAGCCTGTACATTTGCTCATATCAGGAATTCAAGAAAGTTAATTCAGGACTGGATTAAATAGCACTAAAAATAAGACCCTTGCCTACTTTCCTCCAGTCCCTACTCTGTTTCTTGCAGTGCAAACAGCAGAGAGAGGAATAAGCGAAGGAAGATCAAACCAATTACTTATTTGCCAGAGCAGATTTCTAGGAACAAAAGAAGGCTTAAATTGGAAAAAGAGAAGAAACTTTAACTTGTATGAGATGGATGTTTAATGGAAGACAGAGCCAGACTTCTTAATTCATAAGATTGATATTGAGGTTGTGGGATCTTCCTGAGAGGTACTTAATTTTGAAGGTAGATCTGAAATGGTATATTTGAAGGCAGAAATAAAAAACATATATAACAATTTCTTATTCATCTCATCACAGTTTCTCATTTAAGAAACTATTTGTATACAGAATCCTTCTTAGCAGTATCTAAACTTCATTAAATCTCTACCATTTAAAAAAAGCATAAGTAAAAGAACCAATTAAAAAGAAAATTTTCCTTAGAGCCTGCACTTTTCTCTACATACTTCACTATCTTCATTATCTCTTTGCAATATACCTTTTTTAAAAAAATTGTTGAGACAAGGTCTTCCTCTGTCACCCAGACTAGAGTGCAGTAGCACAATCATTGCTTACTGCAGCCTCAACCTCCTAGACTCAAGCACCCTCCAGCTTCAGTCCCCTGAGCACCTGGGATTACAGGCACAAGCCATCATGCCTGAATACTTTTTAAATTTTTTTGTACAAGTAGGGTCTCCCTATATAGCCCAGGCTGGTCTCAAACTCCTGAGCTCAAGCAATCCTCCTGCCTTGGGCTCCTGAAGTGTTGGGATTACAGGTGTGAACCACCATACCAGCTTACAGCATAAGTTTTTGAAGTGGTAGGATTTGTACAATCCATCTCCACTACCTCCATCACCTTACTGCCCATTGTCTCTCAGTTTATTGCATACCGACTTATCCAATCTTCCCTTTACTGAAGCAACTCTTCATTTTCTAAATCCAATGGATACTGTTCAGTTATGTTTTACTTGATATCTCACAAGTATGTGACACTTAAAGACTCTCTCTTCTTGAAACTCTCTCTTTTCTTGGCTCCCATGATGCTGCATTCTTCTGTTTTCCCTCCTACTTTTTTACTCAGGCATTTTCAATCTTCTTGCAACCACATCCTCTTCTACAGGAAACTAAATGTTGAAGTTTTTTGTGGCTTGGTTCTAGACTATCTTTTCATCTTATTTTATATGCTTTTCTTCAGTAATCTTACTTATGTCTGCAACTTTAGTTATCTTCTATATGCTGATGATTGCCCAATTTATTTTATGACCACCTATTTAACAACCTACTTGATACGTCCATTAAATATCTTAAATGCATTTGCAACTCAATATGTCTTGAACTGATCCTAAGCTTCTGAGCCTCTAATCTAGATTTCTTCCAATATTCCATAGTTCTTCAAATAACAATGCTATTTATTCATCTAGTCCTAAAAGTCACAATATTTAAGCCTTCCCTGCCATTTGCCTCTCCTTCAACCTCCATATTTATTAAATCATCATATCCAGTGGATGTTTGTTCTTAAATATCTCTTTTGTCTACACGATTTCTTAATGTCCAGTAGAATTTGCCCTGCTTCATATTTCTCCTGCACTATTGCAACTTGAGCCCCCTGACTGATCTCTCTGCTTTTACACTTGCCCTCTGTAATCTATTGTTTATATGGCAGTCAAAAAATTAAAAAAACACACTCACCCAAACTGTAATCAGATTAGGCACTACCCTGCATAAATCTCTTCATGGCTTCCATTTCACTTAGAATAAAGAACATATTAATGCCTTTTGCACAGATTGCTAATTTCCCACCTAATATCTATTCTGTTTTTCTTGTTAATAGAACCCCTATTTTATTTGGTGCAATATCAATATACTTGTCTAAAAACTATAATATCTAACTTTTTTGCAACTAAGTGATACCATATGCCTAAATTTCTGCCAGTGAAATGTAAATGGAAGGTTTTTAGACTGAGTCTTAGGTGAAGGATACTTAATAGGTATAGGCCTTTTTTGTTCTTTCCTCACTCTTCCTTGTTCTTGCCTAGAATGTGGACATGATGACTGGAGCTTCAGAAATCTGGAGCCATGAGATAACCATGAGGATAAGCCATACCTAGTGCTGGGCCTCAGAAAATTATACACCAAAGTATGCCCTTGGCAGGCTGAGTACTTTGAACCGGAGACAACTGGGAGAGCCTCAGAAACAAGGTCTCTCTGATATTCTCCCACCCTCCTTTTTCTCATACCTCTTTCTCCTCCAAAGTGAGTCATAGAAACCAGAATTCCTCTCCGTCAAAACAAGCTATAAAACCTAGAAAGTTTATTCTCTGACCTACCTTCTCTGGAAGTAAATATTAAGACCCCCTTCCAGAGTGTCCTACCACATATGGGGGAAGGAATGCTACACACAGAGGCCTAGAATAGTCTGAACAAACAGACTTTGCCGAGTTCCCGCCTCAGTTTATTACCATTAGATGACGCTCTTTTTGTCTAATCTTATATCTCCACAACTATCCATGTGTCTTATCAGACTTTATGTAAAAACACACAGTTTTCCCTGGGTCTTTAGGTCATTACTTCTGAAGGCTTCCGTGCCAAGTAAAACTTTGGTTAAACATATTTTTAATGCTTTCTCCCTAACCTGTCTTTTTGTATAGGCACATCAGCCATTACCCTTGTGATGGGTGAGGAAAGTGTACTACCTTTTTACCCCTACACTGGGAATGTTGAGAAACCAAGTTAGACTATATCTATGGAGCTGTCAGATCAGGCCAGGACTTTCTACCTCTGTAACTTTTTTTTTCCCTGAGAGAAAATTAATCTTCTATCTTTTTAAAGCTCTTCTTACTTCTGACATATGATATTAATAGCCAAGGGCAATTCCTAATTGATACTATGATCTCCCCTTATTTATTTATAGAATTAGAATAATAATATGTCACCAACCTGGGAAGCTTCTGAGAGTGCAAATGGCAATATTAATTATTATTGATTATTACTTATCTTAAACCCTAACTGCCCTAAGGAATTGGGATGTGTGGTCACCCTCCCTATAAAGCCCTTTGCAATCTATCTGCTTTACCTCTTGCCTCCTCCCTCATGCTCAGTACACATAATTGATTACCTTTCATTTCCTAGACCATATCAAGTTCTCTCCCTTCTTGACCCTGTGTTTCCCCTTCCTCTAGTTTTCTTCCCTCATCCCCTACACAAGTCATCATTTGGATCTCAGCTTAATTATCATTTCCTTAGGAATCCAGACTAAGATAGTTATCTCTGTTATATGCTAAGTATCTTTGCTTTTTTAATGTTTGACGCTTGCTATATTTAATTATAATTTTGTGTTGATTTGATTAAAATCTGCCTTCTACCTAGACGGTACATTCATGAAGGCACTGATGGTGTCTGCTTTTTAAAAAAATCATCAGTAACTAACACAGGGCCTGACACAGTAATACTTACATCTTGCATGCATGAATAAATGATATTTAAAGAATTGGATGTGGCATCATTCTATTTGCATAATAACTTTGCACAGTTTCTTAAATTTTTCTCAATGTTTTTGAAAATAGCCTGTGTTTTATTATGTAAGTTCATGTTTCCCTTTTTTTTTTTTTTTTTTTTTTTTTTGAGATTGAGTCTCTATCTGTCGCCCAGGCTGGAGTGCAATGCAGTGGTGCAATCTCTGCTCAATGCAACCTCTGCCTCCTGGGTTCAAGTGATTCTGCTGCCTCAGCTTCCTGAGTAGCTGGGATTACAGGCACGTGCCACCACGCCAGGCTACTTTTTGTATTTTTAGTAGAGATGAGGTTTCACCATGTTGGTCAGGCTGGTCTCGAACTCTTGACCTTGTGATCTGCCCGCCTCGGCTTCCCAAAGTGCTGGGATTACAGACGTGAGCCACTGCACCCAGCCTCATGTTTCCCTTTCTTCTCCATTCTCCATTCTCTGTTCTACTTTGTAGTAACAGGTGCAGGTAAAAATATTCAAGAAACATCTCAGCATTGGACTCTGATTAACAAGGTAGATACCAAATACTTAGTGAAATTGATCTAACGTTTAAATGTAAGTAGAACCTGATAAAGATTAAAACAGGAAATTTGTATATAACTCTATAGCATGTATACAATAACATTGATGTTGAGTTTACTAAGCAGATTGGTTAAATGTATAAAACTAGTAACAGTTTTGTAGTCCATTGTTTTAAACTGAGATCCTGCACTAGGCCCCAATACACCAAACCAAAATGGAGTCACTCACCCCAAATAGCATATAATCCAACTGAAACTGTAAGGAAGCGGAACAGATAGGTTTTTCCTAAAAAGAGGAGATTCACAGCAACCAATCAGAAAGGGCTCAGTCAACCTGAGCTGGCATAATAAGGAAGTCACCTTCATTTTAAACTTTACAAGAAAAATAAACTGAGGTAACCTAATGTTAACCAATCTGCTTTTTGTGTTATTCTATTTCCTTGTTCCTGGTCAAAACCAACTGTTTTGTGATACCCAATGGAGCTCCTTCTATTTTTAGACAGAATGATTTCATATTTCATGAATTGCTAATAAAAGCCAAGTAGATCTTCAAAATGTGGGCTTTTTAAAACAGTTTTATTTCAGGAAACTATGTATAATTACGACTTGTTTTTGGCAACTAATTTATCTTCCATGAGGAATTTATAATAGTTTACTAAATTATAAGTTATATACGTGTTTATTTTTTTAATTTTGTTTGTTTTTTGGTCTTTGCTTGTACTCTTAAGTGCCAGAAATTTTCTTTATCCATCTGAGCAAGTCATTATCTTTGGTGATACTTCTGTCTTTCACTGTGTATTTTCAAGGAGACTAAGAGATTCTTATCAAATGGCTCAATGTTATCTCATTTCTACTACACAAGGGTTTTCAGCCCTTGCTGTACATTCTCATATTTTAACTTTACTTCTATGTTTGACCTTTATTTCTACTTATGCCTCTGTTTATCTCCTTGTTCAATCACTGACACTAAATCCCTTTCTAATTGTACTGACAGCTTTCATATTCTCTTAGCTGATTCATCTTCACTGATTTCTTGCAAAGCAGGAAGATCTGCTTATCTAACACAAAAATCACAGTAATTCTCTTAATGGTGTGTTGTGTTCATTTCATAGGAAAGGAGCTTCTAAAATGTGTTTGTCATGGATCATTTAGCCACCTGTTGAAGCTTCCTTCTCAGATTTAAATGAATACTATGAAAGGCATAGGATTATCAAGGAAAACAATTATATATATATGTATGTGTATACATATATGTGTGTGTGTGTGTGTGTGTGTGTGTGTATATATACTTTTTTTTTTTTCGAGACAGAGTCTTGCTCTGTTTCCCAGGCTGGAGTGCAGTGGCATGATCTCGACTCATTGCAACCTCCGCCTCCCTGGTTCAAGCGATTGTCCTGCCTCAGCCTCCCAAGTAGCTGGGATTACAGGCATGTGCCGCCACACCTGGCTAATTTTGTATTTGTAGTAGAGATGAGGTTTCACTATTTTGGATAGGCTGATCTCAAATTCCTGACCTCAAACGATCCACCCAACTCAGCCTCCCAAAGTGCTGGGATTACAGGCATAAGCCACTGCACCCAGCCATAAATGTGTCTTTAATTACATGTTGCATAGAATGGTCTAGCAGTGTATCTAATAATTACCATATTCCAAACAGTTATGGGCTTAAAAATATTTCATATATCTACAATAACTCAAACTTAATATGAGCAAATTTGTGATTTTCTTAGTGACAAAGTTATAGGTACTATTGTCATTTATTGGCTTAAAAACAATGCTAACTTTAGTCAGAGGTTAGTGAAAAGTAAGATAATTTCTTTTTATTACTGACCTATGAATTCTATCCACGGATCCCAGGTTAATAGTTCCTACTTTTAAACATGATCAATCTACAGCAAACAGCCATGCAAAGAATGCATTCATTCCATAAAAATTTAGTGTACTTCATACTGTTCTAAGGATTGAAGCCTACAATTTGTCCTTGAGGAATTTATATTCTGGTGGATATAGACATGTGTGAAGGCTAATACTGACTGTCAACTTGATTGGATTGAAGGATACAAAGTATTGATCCTGGGTGTGTCTGTCAGTGTGTTGCCAAAGGAGATTAACATTTGAGTCAGTGGGCTGGGAAAAGCAGATCCAACCTAATTTGGGTGGGCACAATCTAATCAGCCGCCAGTGTAGCTAGAATATAAGCAAGCAGAAAAATGTGAAAAGAGAGACTGGCCTAGCCTCCCAGCCTACATCTTTCTCCCGTGCTGGATGCTTCCTGCCCTCAAACTTCGGCTTCGGACTCCAAGTTCTTCAGATTTGGAATTCAAACTGGCTCTCCTTTCTCCCCAGCCTACAGACAGTCTATTGTGGGACACTGTGATCGTGTAAAGTTAATACTTAAACTCCCATACTCATATATATATGAGTATATATATGAATATATGAGTATATATATGAATATATGAGTATATATGAATATATATGAGTATATATATGAATATATATATGAGTATATATATGAATATATATATGAGTATATATATGAATATATATATGAGTATATATATGAATATATATATGAGTATATATATGAATATATATATGAGTATATATATGAATATATATATGAGTATATATATGAATATATGAGTATATATGAATATATATATGAGTATATATATGAATATGAGTATATATGAATATATATGAGTATATATACGAATATATATGAGTATATATACGAATACATATATGAGTATATATACAAATACATATGAGTATATATATGAATATATATGAGTATATATGAATATATATGAGTATATATGAGTATATACTCATATATATATAATATATATAAACTCCCATACTCATACATATATGAGATATATAAATATAGATTCCGCTATATGGTAGCCCTCCCCCTACCAGTCAGGGAGGCAATGCGGGGGTTATGCCAGCTGCTAGGTATGTCTATGCCAATCATGCATTCTGGCACTCGGGAAATTGCCACAGATGAGTCTAGGCCCATTTATCAAGTGACCTGAAAGGCTGCCAGTTTTGAGTGGGATCCAGAACAGGAGAAGCTCTGCAACAGGTCCAGGCTGCTGTGCAAGCTGCTCTGCCACTTGGGCCATGTGACCTAGAAGATCCAATGGTGCTTGAGGAGTCAGTGGCAGATAGGGATGCTGTTTGGAGCCTTTGGCAGGCCCCCATAGGTGAATCATAGTGGGGGCCTCTAGGATTTTGAGCAAGGCCCTGCCATCTTCTGCAGATAACTACCCTCCTTTTGAGAGACAGCTCTTGGCCTGTTACTGGGCTTTGGTGGAAACTGAATGTTTGACTGTAGGTCATCAAGTCACCATGTGACCTGAACTGCCTGTCATGAACTGGGTGCTTTCTGACCCATCTAGCCATAAAGTGGGTCATGCACAGCAGCATTCCATCATCAAGTGGAAGTGTTGTATACGTGATCGGGCTCAAGCAGGTCCTGAAGGCACATATAAGTTACATGAGGAAGTGACTCAAATGCCCATGCTCCCCACTCCTGCCACCCTTCCTACACTCCCCTAGCCTGCACTGATGGCCTCATGGGGAGTCCCCTATGACCAGTTGCCAGAGGAACAGAAGACAAGGGTCTGGTTTATAGATGGCTCTACACGACATGTAGGCACCACCTGAAAGTGGACAGCTACAGCACTACAGCCCCTTTCTAGGACATCCCTGGAGGACAGTGGTGAAGGGAATCCTTCCCAGTGGGCAGAATTTCAAGCAGTGCACCTGGTTGTGCACTTTGCATGGAAGGAGAAATGTCCAGATGTGTGATTATATACTGATTCATGGACTGTAGCCAAGGGTTTGGCTGGATGGTCAGGGACTTGCAAGAAATATGATTGGAAAATTGGTGACAAAGAAAGTTGAGGAAGAGCTATGTGGAAGAACCTCTCTGAGTGGTCAAAAACTGAAGAATTTGTATCCCATGTGAGTGCTCACCAATGGGTGACCTCAGCAGAAAAGTAGTTTAATAATCAAGTGGACAGGATGACCCGTTCTGTGGACACCACTCAGCCTCTTTCCCCAGCCACCCCTGTCATTGCCCAGTGGGCCCATGAACAAAGCAGCCATGGTGGTGGGGGTGGAAGTTATGCATGGGCTCAGCAACATGGACTTCCACTCACCAAGGCCGACCTGGCTACAGCTGCTGCTCTGCCTAATTTCGCAGAGACCAACACTGAACCCTTGATATGGCACCATTCCTCGGGGTGATCAGCCAGCTACCTGGTGGCAGGTTGATTATATTGAACCTCTTCCATCATGGGAAGGGCAGAGGTTTGTCCTCACTGGAATAAACACTTACTCCGGATATGGGTTTGCCTATCCTGCATGCAATGCTTCTGCCAACACTACCATCTGTGGGCTCACGGAATGCCTTATGCACCGTCATGGTATTCCACACAGCATTGCCTCTGACCAAGACACTCACTTTATGTCTAAAGAAGTGCGGCAGTGGGCTCATGCTCATGGAATTCATGGGTCTTACCACGTTCCCATCATCCTGAAGCAGCTGGATTGATAGAATGGTGGCATGGCCTTTTGAAGTCACAATTACAATGCCAACTAGCTGACAATGCTTGGCTAGGGCTGGGGCAAAGTTCTCCAGATGGCCGTGTGTGCTCTGATTCAGCATCCAGTATATGGTACTGTTTCTTCCATAGCCAGGATTCACGGGTCCAGGAATCAAGGGGTGGAAGTGGAAGTGGCACCACTCACCATCAACCCTAATGATCCACTAGCAAAATTTTTACTTCCTGTTACTGCGACATTATGTTCTGCTGGCCTAGAGGTCTTAGTTCCAGAGGGAGGAACACTGCCACCGGGAGACAACAATGGTTCCATTAAACTTGGAGTTAAGATTGCCACCTGGATACTTTGGGCTTCTCCTGCCTTTAAGTCAACCTGCTAATAAGGGAATTACAGTGTTGGCTGGCGTGATTGACCTGGACTATCAAGATGAAATCAGTCTACTGCTCCACAATGGAGATAAGGAAGAGTATGCATAGAATACAGGAGATCCATGAGGGTGTCTCTTACTATTACCATGCCCTGTGATTAAGGTCAATGGGAAAGTACAGCAGCCCAATCCAGGCAGGACTACGAATGACTCAGACCATTCAGGAATGAAGGTTTGCGTCACTCCACGAGGAAAAAAAACACAACCTGCTGAGGTGCTTGCTGAAGGCAAAGGGAATACAGTATGAGTAGTAGAAGAAGGTAGTCATCAGTACCAGCTATGACCACGTGACTGGCTGCAGAAACAAGGACTATAATTGCTATGAGTATTTCCTCCTTCTTTTGTTAAAAACATATTTGTGTAGGTATACGCTTGTACTAAGAAAATATCTTCATTTTATTTCCTTTCTCCTTTATCATGTGACATAAGATTTATTGACTTCACATCAGCATTTAAGTATTGTTAACTTTATGTAATAGTATTTGGGTTGGGAATTGGTGAATTTCTGGTTGTATGAAGGATAATTGTATTTTGTTAGGTGTAACTATTACCTTATTATTTTCTTTATTTGAATATTGTATATGATCTCCCCAGATGTGTATGGGCTCAAGTTGACAAGGCGTGGACTTGTGGTGGTTAATACTGAGCTTCAACTTGATTGGATTGAGGGATACAAAGTTTTGATCCTGGGTGTGTCTGTGAGGGTGTTGCCAAAGGAGATTAACATTTGAGTCAATGGGCTGGGAAAGGCAGATCCACCCTTAGTCTGGTTGGGCACAATCTAATCAGCTTCTAGCTCAGCTAGAATATAAGCAGGCAGAAAAATGTGAAAAGAGAGACTGACCTAGCCGCCCAGCCTACATCTTTCTCCCATGCTGGATACTTCCTGCCTTCGAACACGGAACTTCAAGTTCTTCCGTTTTGGAACTTGGACTGTCTCTCCTTGCTCCTCAGTCTTTAGACAGCCTACTGTGGGACCTTGTGATCATGTGAGTTAACACTTAATAAACTCTCTCTCTATATATGTATGAATGTATTCCATTAGTTCTGCCCTTCTAGAGAACCCTGACTAATATGACATGTAAACAAAGTATAAACTAGATATTCAAACTAGGTTGTTATATGCTATAATTATAAAAAAATTCTGTAAATGAGAAGTGGAAAAATTATGGAGTAGTAGAGAATGTTAAATAACCATCTATATTATACATCCAGGATTGCTTTTAAAACAGGATTTTTGGCAGCATTGTATAAAGAAAAAAATTATTTGAAAACGTATCTTGATAATCATAATGGTAATGATGATGATGATAATGTATGCATATATAGAAGAGGGAGGTTGAAGGTGTTGCTAAAAAATAAAGAAGTAAGGATATTTTCAAGATTTCTACTTGGATTACTTCATGGATAATGATGCTGTTTGTCAAAATCAGGCTTGCAAGAAATTTTGGTTTAATAAAAATGTTGCACTTTTTCTTTTTTTTGTTTTTTGTAAACGTAAAGTTGAGACATTAGATGGAAATGTCCAGCAGGCAACTGAAACAACAGAAGAAAGTAAAAACTGCTTATGGGAACCTGTGATATGTAGGTGGTTTTAATCACTAGAAAGGATGAAGTTACCAAGGGAAACAGAGAAAATAGAAGAGTCGAGGATGGAACCATGGAATAGATTAACATTTAAGGGTAGCAGAGGAGCAGAGACCCCTTAAATAAGTAACTCTCATGAAAGTAGGAGGAAATAGAGATTGATGCCTTGGAAGATAAGAAAAATGTTAACTTAGTCTTTTACTGTTCATTCCACTATGTCATCTCTTTCATTCTCATGCAGTGTTCACATTTTTCATTGTAAAATAAGATTTAATATTGTGTACATTTACAGTTAATTTCTCATTTTTGAAGAAACTGACAAAGATTCCACACACTGTATTAATTCCATATTTCCGTCTCTTGAAGATATGACATGCAGATATTCATTGTTCTTTTATAGCACCATCTTTTTGCCAATGTGTTTTACCTTCTCTGGTCGGTTTGGATGGCTAGCTTTTCCAGTTATGATCTAAGGATTTCCCTTCCAGATGCTATTTAATCACCAAATCATGATTCTTTCTTACTCCTCAATTGCATTCATCTTTAAAAATAATTAGTGTCATAAACTTTTTTTCTAGTTATTGTTTATATTTTCCCCTCTCATTCTGCTTCTCAGTAATTCTTTTTCATAATGGAAGACAAATTAATTTTCTTTGGTACATTCAGAAATAGGTGTTGCAGGGTCTTCTCACATGCTTCTTATTACAGGGAGGTTAATATTGGCATAAATCAGATTGAGATTTGAAAAACAAAACAATGAATCCATTTTCCAGCCTTGTTGGGACTTTTAAAATTTTCTTATGTTATATTAAGAATATTTTAAATGTTATATTTAGATAAAATATTAATTCATCTTTTCAAATCTATCAATCTCTTGTTTGAAATATTTTGCATATAATATCTTGATTTCTTATTTTCTTAATTGTTATACCAGCCTTCAACTGCTTGTTTAACCATATGACTTCCAGAGCTTAGCCATTTACATTAAAATTTTTACTTCTTTAAATGTGATAAAGTTGCATATTCAGAAAAGTACATACAACATAAATGTATACAATATCACATTATTAGAAAGTGAACAGTAATTAAACTACCCAGGTCAGGAGAACATTGTGACTACACAGGAGTTTCCTATTTGCCGCTTTCCGTTCTTCACCCACCTTTTTCAACTTTTATGTAATTTTCCCCTTGTTTTGCCTTATATTTCTACACCCCAAAAATGTATACCTAAGCAATATAATTTAACTATTGCTATTTAAAAATTGTGTATAAATTAAATCATGCAGTCTGTATTTCTTCTCTGTTCTATTTCTCTTGCCCAGCATTGCTTTAACCATTTCTCCAATAATGGTCCAGGTCCATTTAGTTTTCTCAAGTTATTTTATACCATTCTAGAATGAATCAAAATGTGTTAACTTATTGTATTCTTGATGGACTTTAAATTTACTTCCACAATATTGTTATTAGATTTGTGAGCTTATTTCCTAGCGCACATATACACTATACGCCCACAATTTCCATGGCTAAACACAAGGAATAAATTTGCTGTTTGAAGTTTTGCACGTTGATGGCTTTATTAGATAATTTCTGGATTTTTTTCCAATGTAGTTGTACAAGTTTGCATTCCTAGGAGCATTGGAGTAATTTCTGTTGCTCCATATTTTTTCTAATATCTGATATTATCAGACATTTAAAAAATATATTTTGTTACCTTCATAGTGCTATTTCATTATAGATTTAATTTAAATTTTTCTGATATAAATGAGGTTGTTCCTTTTCATGTGCACATTGGCCAATTACATATTCCCTTTTGTGAAGTTATAGTTCCTCATTTTTTCTATTTTTCCATTGGATTGACTTTTCCTATTGATTTCTGGTACTCTTTATATGTCCTGGATATAAGCCCTTTGTTAATTTCATATACTGTAATAATAGTCTCCTATTATGTTATTTGCATTTTTATACCCCAAATGGTGCTTTTGATAAAAGGAAGATCTTAATTTTAATGTAACTCAATTAATACACATTTCTATTATAAATATTTATTTTTATGTCTTGTTTACTAAACATTTCCTTGCCCTGAGATCATGAAAATATTTTTTATTATCTTCTAAAAGCTCTACTGTCTACTATTTTCCCTTTCACATTTAATTCTATAAATATTAGTAGTGTGAAGTAGCATCCAATTTTAGTTTTCCACATGAATGAATACTCAATTGCCCCAAGACCATTTATTGTTGCACTGTTATGCAAAGCCATATGTGTCTTATGCCAAGTGTCTCTACATCACTGAGTGTGTTATTGGGTTTTCTATCTATATTTATTTCATACTCCTAGGACGATACCATACTATATACTGTTAAATGACATAAAGCAGTATTATTATTATATTTATTATTAGTTTATAGATGTTCATCTGGATTTTTTACAGATTTGCTAATTTCTATTCCTTTTTGTTGTGTTTTTCCCCCTGTATTATTAACATCATCTAGTAGAAATTCCTTTACCACCAGTCTGCTTGTGGTGAATTGTTTCATTTTTGGTTTGCTTGAAAATGTCTTTGTTGCAGTTATATTTTTGAAGGAGATTCTTTTAGATAGCAAATGGTTGATTCTAGCACATTGATAAATCATTGCACAGTCGTTTGACTTCCTTTTTGCTGTTGAGGAGACAGCTGTCAGTCTATTGATATGTGTTGCCAAATTCTTGGCTCTTTCTTGCTCTTAAAAAACATACTTGATATATTTTGTCTAGTTTGAAAAATTGTTTTATGTGGAGGTTGTGGTCCAAAATACACAGTATGCCATCAAATGGAACTGGAATCTATCTATTCTTTTCCAATAAAACACACACACTTGTGAAAATACACACAGCCATCATTTTTATCTCCTTTAATATAAACAGGTAAAATTTGAAACTATATCTCCAAGATTGTGTTTTTTTAAAATCATTGAAACAAGCAACAAATTCTCATGAAATACGCCTATGCCTCTTTGAATTGATAGTACATACAGTAATTTTATCACTTTTAAAAGTGTCTATGAGTTAAGAAGGACTGATATGGCTATCACTATTTTATAGATAAGAAGAGGAAAACAACTAAAGTTACCTTTTTTTTTGAGACAGGGTCTGGCTCTGTCGCCCATGCTGGAGTGCAGTGGTGCCATTTCAGCTCACTGCAACCTATGCCTCCTGGGTTCAAGTGATTTTCCTGCTTCAGCCTCCATAGTAGCTGGGAATACGGGTGCGTGCCACCACGCCTGACTAGTTTTTGTATTTCTGGTAGAGACAGGGTTTCACCATGTTGCCCAGGCTGGTCTTGAATTCCTGAGCTCAAGAGATCTGGCTGCCTCAGCCTCCCAAAGAGCTGGGATTAAAGATGTGAGTCACCATGCCCAGCTACAGTTACTTTTTCAGAGTATTCTCTTAAAAGATAATTCTGGATTCAGAGTTCAAACCTTCTAAACTTCTAGTCTGTGAATTTTATTATACTTTGAAGAGAATGAACTATAGAACACAAACATTTTGTTAGTTGTTTACTCAATATATAATTTTGAGATTTTCCCCTAATGACAATTAAGAAGATAAGAACCACTATTTTCCAGTACGTGAACAAACCAGGGCATCCCCAAATACATTGTCTATCTGTCTGTAGTCATCAGTATTTTATTGTTTGATGAGGAGGCAAAAGAAACACCCCTTACGCATTTAAATTTTGTAAAATAACTTTAGTTGCTTTTATCAAAATTTAATTAAGTTAGTAGTTATTTAACATGTATAGCCATAATTTTTATTAAACCATATCTCATCAGAATTGGATTTTAGGAAACATGAATATGAGAAGTAGAACATTAAAAATATAGTATTAAAAGGTGCTATAAATAGCCTTCTCTGAAAATTTATATCTCTTCTCATGCAACTGACACAAACTGACAACTTTATGAATATTTCTACTGAAAAGTGTAATTCAATTTGAACTTTTTGAATTAGGGAAACTGAATTTTCAAGGCAATTTCTCACATTGCATCAAATTTTCATGGAAAGTTATATTTTTATTACATAAAATAAATAATTCTGAACTCCTGAGTGTCAATATGAATCACTTTATAAGTAAGTCTCTAATAATGCCTAGCATAATATTCAAAGTGGTCTAAATTGATCTTTTATAGCCTAGGCTCTGTTAATGTCTACTTATTTCCCAGTAAGTATTCCTCAATAAAAGTTCATTTGAAGACATTAATATAGCCCTACATTGAAAACCTATTAAAATGAATTCCTTGTGAAATAATATTTCTATTTCTGTCAGCCTGGGACAATTTTAAATTAGTAATACATATAACAATTCATGTTTTCTGTGATTATATGGGTATAGCCATTTCTTAAAATGCAATATATGGTATTGATTGCCCTTCTTTTGAGAAAACTTAATATATAAAAGCAATCTTAAGTAAATATTTGTGAAACATACTACCATAGTTTCTGCTGAGAAATTATTGCTTCTTCCACTTAACAAAATTATTAAAGTAAGTTAAAATAGAATTATACATTTAAATATTTTTATGTAATTAACTTCTTAACATAGTGTGGAGAAAATCCTTATCTGTTAGTTATCAGAAATTGCTGTCAAATTTATAACATATATAAATCTTAAAGTTAATTTATAGCATACACAAATGAGAAACTAAGCCAATTTTCAAACATTTGGCTGAAATAATTTGCATAAAATAGCTTATTTTTATATAGGGTGAAATGTTATATTCAAAAGGTGTTCAAGTAATGGATACCATATCACATAGTAAATTACTATTAGGCCTTACCAATTGCCTTTAACAATGATCGTTTCTGCTACTACAGTGTTACAATTATTGCTTTACCCTCTTTTTAAAGGCTTAATTTTTTAGAGGGTTTAGGTTCATAGCAAAAGAAGAAGAAGGTATAGAGATTTCCAAGATACCCCTGCCCCTGCGCAGGGTTAGCCTCCCCCATTATCAACAGCTTCCACCATAGTGATAGATTTGTTTCAACTATTGAGCCTACATCGACACATCATAATCAAACAATGTCCATAGGTCACACTAGGGCTCCCTCTTAGTGTTGTACATTCTATGGGTTTAGACAAAAGTATAATGACATATATCCAGCATTATAGTATCATACAGAATATTTTCACTGCCCTAAAAATCCTTAGTGTTCCAACTATTCATTCCACCTCCCAACTCTCACCCTCAACCTTCCCCTGGAAACTACTGATATTTTTACTGTATCTGTAGTTTTGACTTTTCCAGATGTCATATAGGTGGAATCCTATCGTATGTAGCTTTTTCCAATGGGCTTCTTTCACTTAGTAATATGCCTTACTTCTTCTTTTAAAATAAATGTTAACATTGCAATAAGTCTTTCTTAATGTTCAAAATTAGATTTAGTCAATTTGTTTGTATTTTTTAAACCTACCTTTGCCTTTTCTAGCCTTTCCACATACATTTACTGACCACCTACCACCGATTATCTAGATTTTGGGGGTCTAGTGTAGAACAAGATTTAGAAGATCTCCTTGCCCCTGAGGCCTGCATTCTAGAAGCGGAATTCAAAAGCTCACTAGTTAACACAGAAATAAACAATGTTAAGATGAGAAAAAGGCAATATAATAGAAATTGAGGGGGTGAGTATTAAATGTGAGAGAGGAGATAGCTCAGATTAGATTACTAGAGAGCATTTTCTGAGAAAGAAGTAACATATGATGTAGAATTAAATAACAAGGCAAAGAAAACTATTCAGAGTGGAAGGAAAAGTAATTCCAGCAGTTAGAACAGACTGAGGAAATGTTACAAGTTAAGGATGTGTTTGCACTAATAAAAAGGCTGGAAAAAGCCCAGGTCCAGTGTGAGAAATATATATACTGTGGCTGGAATGTAGCTGACAAAGCAGGTGGGGATTGGAAATGGTTTGAGAAGACATTAAAAAAGAAGGCAGAGGCTAGGCGCAGTGGTTCATGCCTGTAGTACTAGTATTTTGGGAGGCCGAAGCAGGAGGATCACCTGAGCTCAGGAGTTCAAAACCAGCCTGGGAAGCATAGGGAGACCCCCATCTCTACAAAAAATACAAAAATAGCCAAGTGTGATGGCGCATGCCTGTGGTCCCAGCTACTTAGAAGGCTGAGGTGGGAGGATCACTTGAGCCAGGGAGGTCAAGGCTGCAGTGAGCCATAATCGTGGCACTGCAATCCAGCCTGGGTAGCAAAGCTAGATCCTGTCTCAAAACAAACAAACAAACAAACAAACAACAACAAAAATAAAGTAGAACTTAAGCATGTCAAGTGGTAGCTGCAGTTTGGGAACTGTTAAACACCATGCACAAATCTCTCTCCTCATTCAAATAAATATACAATCTGAGTGAAAATATGTGCTTGCAATGCCAGTGTATGTAAAATCTCCCAAACCTTCTAGCCAAGCAGATTATTGCTCCAAGGTATGCTTGTATAGAAATTATAGGGTGGCAGAGCCAGGCACTATCTCAAATGAAAGAAAGAAAGAAAGAAAGAAAGAAAGAAAGAAAGAAAGAAAGAAAGAAAGAAAGACTGACTTGAGAAATTATAAAACTACCACTAATACAAAGCCATAGAGAGCATTTTATAGGGAAAAACATTGCTGTCATTTGAATTAATGTAAATTTCCTGGGACTATTGTGGATAATGGTTACGATGATGCTCAAATGGAAGCTTTAAGACCAATAATGCAGAAACAAGAAAAGGAGATGGATTTGTGACATATTTTGCAATAGAGATAATAGAAATTTCTAAAATAAATAGATATTGGCAATGAGGAAAAGAAAAGAACCAAGGATGATTTCCAGATTGAGAAAAAGAGTGGGTAGTGATGTCATTTGCTGAGATGAGAACAGCTGTGGGACAAATGTTGAAGAATGGAAATCAGAAGTTTTCAACATATTAAGATATAAATATATATATATATATCATATCTATCTATCTATCTATATCTCTCTGTCTAGGTATATTTAGACAGAGAGGGAGAGAGAGAAAGAGTTTAAGGGGATTCTGAAGCTAAGATAACATGTAAGTTATGCCTGTAATCCCAGTGGCTCATGCCTGTAATCCCAGCACTTTGGGAGGCCAAGGCTGGTGGATCACTTGAGGCTAGGACCAGCTTGGCCAACATGGCAAAACCCTGTCTCTACTAAACACACAAAAATTAGCCAGCCACAGTGGTGCACACTTGTAATCCCAGCTACTTGGGAGGCTGAGGCATGAGAATCACTTGAACCCAGGAGGCAAAGATTCCATTGAGCTGAGATGGCACCACTGCATTTCAGCCTGGGTGGCAGAGCAAGACCCTGTCTCAAAAAACGAAAACAAAAACAAACAAACCAACAACAAACAAACAAAAAACATGTAAGCTTTTAAGATACATTCATAGCCATAACCACAGGAATGGTATTTAAATCATGGAACTGAATGAGTTCATATTTAAATCGTGGAACTGAATGAGTTCATCAAGGGAGTGCATGAGTACAGAGAAGAAATTTGGACTCATTGCTGAAAGTACCAATGCCTGTGGCTCTGGAGGTTTATCTCATCACCACTCGTTTTTTCTTAAGTTCATAATAATTAAACGTAGTTTCAAACCTCTGATTTTCCCATTTATCTCAGACCATTTGTGCTGCTATAACAGAATCCCTAATACTGAGTAATTTATAAAGGACAGAGATTTATTGGCTCACAGTTCTGAAGGCTGGAAAGTTCAAGATCAAGGTGCCAGCATTTGGAGAGGGCCTTCTTGCTTGTCATCTCATGGCAGAAGGTGAGATGGGGAGGGGGAACAAGAGTTAACCTGAATGAATCCTTGTATAAGAAACACACCCCCACAATAAAAGGAAAAAATTACCAAGTTAATGGCATTAATCCCTTCATAAGGGCAAAGTCCTCATGGCCTAATCACCTCTTAAAGATACCACTGTTTAATACTGTTAAAATGGCAATCAAATTTCAACATGAGCTGGGGAGGGGACAAGCATTCAAACCATAGCATCATGAGTTGGGATTTTTCACATGCCCAGATGATAGAATTCTGATGATGACATTTGAAGTCCCATGTTACCCTTTAATTGACAAGCAGATCTGACCATTTGGTATCTCAAGCGCTGCTGGTGTCCCATTTTAGCCCTTGACATACTGCCCTCATTATTTTTCCCACTTTCCACTCTTAGATTTCAGTTTTGCAAGCCACTGAGCCATACCCTTGCAGGTGCTGTTTCCATTGGCTGGAGCCCTATTACTCTTGAATTCTGCCCATCACTTTACATACAATGACACTGCCTCCTCCGATGAAATCTCATGCATCATCCACTTATAGCTTCCAGAAATGTACTATATATAAGTATTTCAGACACTCTTTATCTCTTCCTGAAACCTCAGGATGGTCTACGTGGACTGAACTTGTCATTTTGCAGGGACAATGGCTGATTATGAGACATTTCTCCTACTTTCAGCACTACTATGGTGGAAATAATTTACAAACTTATTTTTTATTTCCAGTGTTGTGGCAAGAACCTCTAACTATAAAACATATGATATAATATTTTCTGATGAAATAGACAAAGTAGACAAAATACATAGACAATATTAGATTTGGGGTTTATATGGTAGATCAAGAAATCCTATGACAATAAAAATTTGAGTTTTACTTTCTCTATTAAATATTATATTTAAAATCATTAGAGGTTCAATATTCTCGAGTTTTTATTGTGTTTTGAGTTTTATTTTCTCTATTAAACATTATATTTAAATATCATTAGAGATTCAATATTCTGGATCTGATAGAATATCCATATTAATAGCACTATTTGAGCATTGCTGTCTTGGGCAAGGCACAACACTCAATCCACTAATATATCTATTCATATAAAAACTTATTTAATATCTGAATTAAGTGTCTGTGAGCTACATGAGGGTTAGAAGGATGAATTGGCTTCATTCCTGTCCTTGAAGTGTTTTCCTTTGCTGTTTTGTAATTCCTACCCACACTACCCTCTATTTAAATCTTCAGACTTTCAGTAAAGGTTGTGAAACATTGCAGCGTGGTGGAACTGTGCTTTGGGGCAATTAAGAAATGACCAAAAGGTCTTTCAAAATATAAAAATGTGGAGACATTAGTAGTAGAAGAAACATAATAGTGGGGTAGGAAGAGATGACCAGAAAGAAACCTGGATACATCAGGTCACTGAGAGTGATCAAAACGTATCTGTTAGAAATACACAACTCACTGGCCGGGCACTGTGGCTCACGCCTGTAATCCCAGCACTTTGGGAGGCCCAGAAGGGCGGGTAACGAGGTCAGGAGATCGAGACCATCCTGGCTAACACGGTGAAACCCCATCTCTACTAAAAATACAAAAAATTAGCCGGGCATGGTGGTGGGCACCTGTAGTCCCAGCTACTCGGGAGGCTGAGGCAGGAGAATGGCGTGAACCCGGGAGGCAGGGCTTGCAGTGAGCCGAGATCGTGCCACTGCACTCCAGCCTGGGCGACAGAGCGAGACTCCGTCTCAAAAAAAAGAAAAAAAAGAAATACAACTTACCTAACATTTCTCAGACAGAGTTGGAAAAGATAAACAATAAAAACTGGACTTACCATGTCGCTGATAAAGTGACTCAGGCTCTGCCTTATAAAGGAATGAATGATCTTTTGCAAACTTCACGGTGTGGAGACATTAGGGTTATACCATATTTTAGGTTGTTTGAAAAAAAATAATACAATACGAGCTTCACAGCCAGACTAGTCCTGAGTGAAATCTCAAAACAAACAAACAAAACAAAACAAAGAGCAAGGAAAATCCCAGGCAAAAGAGAAATCAAGTCCTCTCAAATTGACCATTCAATCTAATTCCATTTGTCACTATTCTGAAACTATTAATAATTATATGTGGGTGTGCCTTACTTTACATTGTTGATAAATTCTAACTTATCTAGAAAATCTAATCGAGTATTTCTCCTCTCATTTAGTTGTTTAAAAAAATCCGATCTCTGCTTGACTGCCATAGAAGTTATAACCAGATTTCTATCATGTGCCTTGTTAGGTATCTTTCTCAGAGTCATAGACTGAATTTTCAAAATCAAAAGTAAATAGTGCTTTTGATTTTTAAATCTTAGTGTTGTAACTAAAACAGCACTTGCTTTTCATATTTTTAGTCTCTAAGTGAAATAAAGCATGTTTATTCCATTCTTTGCTTCTGATTTCTCATCACTAAGTAGAACACATGCCCAACTCGGGAAAGCTTTAGGCAATCCATCTCAAAAGGATCACACTACACTACAGTATTTGTCTGTTTTCAGTAAATCACATAGGTGTTCTTTCATTGTCTTGTGTTTATGAAATTCCAATTCCACTGTGAAATATTCCCGAACTCATTTTATCAGCTCCAGCTTTTATCTGATGGAGAGAATTTGACTTGATACTGGGAGTTGAGAGGGGAAATTTTAATGCCTAGATGAATATGTCACTCAGTTTCTTTCCTTGGTCTTTAAGGTTTTCTAGAAAGCTGAGTAGGAAATTATGTATTGTGCACTAAAATTGATGTGAGATCATCCTAGCATATATGTATACATATATTATATAATATATATAATATATATTTTATATGTATAAAGTTATACCAAGGATCTCCCATCTGATACTCTAGAAATGTCCTTTGAACATACTGAGAAGTTGTTAGCCTCTATTGAATGCCATTATTTATCTATTTATTTATTTATTTATCTATTTATTTTGAGACAGATTCTCTCTCTGTCAGCCAAGCTGGAGTGCAGTGACACAATTTTGGCTTACTGCCACCTCCGCCTCCTGGGTTCAAGTGATTCTCGTGCCTCAGTCTCCTGAGTAGCTGGGACTACAGGCACATGCCACCACACCCAGATAATTTTTTAAAATATTTTTAGTAGAGATGGGGTTTCCCCATATTGGCCAGGCTGGTCTCGAACTCCTGACCTCAGGTAATCCTCGGCCTCCCAAAGTGCTGGGATTACAGGTGTGAGCGACGCCACACAGCCTATTTCTTTCTTTATGTAGCTTTAATTGTTAAGTAAATCTCACAATAAATTAAATATCCCATGAAAATTCTGTCCAGTGTTACACATATATTTTTCTATAGGAAAATGTTTGGTTTATTAACAGATGGTGTCCATATTTCCTTCAAAAAATCACCTCTTTAAGCTGGCAAATATCTGTTTGATTTCACATTTCTTCTGATCTAACTTTCAAGGTTTCTTCTGGAAATACTCATTTATAAAGGTTTCTTTAAAATGTGGGGCCTAGAGCTGAAGACTTTACACCAGGTGTCAATGGACCAATGCAGAGTTATAGAATCAGTTATATCATTTTTTTTCATGTCCTGAACTCTATCCTATCAATGCTACTCATCTACCCAAGTGCATATGAGTGATTTGGGCAAACACATAGTATTGTTGACTTACATTAAGCCAGAATCAACTATGCCTATTTGATTTTTCTTTGCATTAACTGCTATAAAGACTTATTTCCCCTATTTGATATTTCAGTTGATTTTTTAAACCCAAAATCCCCATGTAAGGGTTCTTAGATGTAAAAAACAAAACCAACTCATTTCTGTTTTATTAAGCAAAAACAGAAATATACTAAAAAGCTATTGGGAGGTTCAAAGGGTCTCATGGGGCCAAAGAACCGAGCTTGGAGGCCATGTGGGCAGGAATGCAATTTCCCATATTTGTGTCCCCAGATTTGAGTGAAGCCTTGTTGCAACTGTAGATAATGTTTTAAAAAGAGAGTATCTCGCTCCTGTATTAAAAGATAGTTCCTACCTCTAAAGAAAACTCATAAAGTGGGGAATTTTCCTAACATAGAAATGAGGTTCAGAAGATAGGCCAGCACAAAAATTAACAATGCTCACTACTCCACTTTAAAAGTTTGAAATTTATGTTGTCACTGGTATAAAGCTTGTGATGGTTAATTTTACATGTCAACTTGACTGGACTATGGGATGCCCAGATGGCTGGTAAAACATTGTTTCTTGGTGTTCTGTGTCTTGGTGTTCTGTGAGGATGTTTCTGGAAGAGATTAGCATATGAATCAGTAGACTAAGTATAACAGATCCATCCACCTATGTGGGTGGGTGGATGTTATCTAATCCATTGAGGGCCTGAATAGAACTAAAGGCAGAGGAAGAGTGAATTCTCTCTCTCCCTCTTCTTGAGCTGGGATATGCATCTTCTCTTGCCTTCAGACATGGGTGCTCCTGGTTCTCCGACCTCGAGGCTTGCATCATTTGCTCTCTCCCATTCCTCACTCACCGCCTTGGTTCTCAGGCCTTCAGACACAGACTAAATAACACCAGTCGATTCTTGGTTCTCTAGCTTGCAGAAGGCATACCATGGGACTTCTTGGACTCCAAAATCAAGTGAGCCAATTCCCATAATGCATCTCTTATGTCCTATTGGTTCTGTTTCTCTGGGGAATGCTCAGTAATACAGAGCCTTTCCTTTTTACTGAAATATTAACCCTGCAATGTTCTTTACTCTCTTCTTATGGTTTATTATATAACATTACCTATTAGTGTTAGATATAAAGATTTGGGTTTGCAAACATTAACTTTCTAAATTAATCAATGCAATGAATTCATGTCAAATTTGAAAACAAGGAAAACTATTCCTGTTAGAAATGATGTTTTCAGGCATTAAAGGAATGATTTGTTTGCTATCTTTGAGAATCTGTTAATATTGCAACAGCACAAAAATTTTAATATATTTGGTTCCCAGAAATTAAGCCAAGATTACTGAAAGTAGAGTCAATAAACTTCTGAATGAAAATTACCAAGGGTTCTTGTTAAAATGCATATTTTTAACCCCATTTCAAACCTATTAATCCATAATCTGGGTTACACCCTAAGAATATAGATTTTTAGCAAATCACCTGGGTTATTTTGTGCACCATAAAATTTGAGAATCACTGCATTAAATACCAGTTATCTTGTTACCTAACATTTTGAGCAAATTTCTTTCCTAAATTGCTGCTATGATTAAAATCAGGCATCTCTGTAACAGCTGTACTCTTATATTGAAAACAATAAAATGGCAAATTGGTGCCTATTTGTATCTCTTTCACATTTAATTTAATTTAATTTTGGAATAGGTAGTACATTCATATGATTTGAACATTAAAACACTATAAAAAGGTATACAGTTACTCTTGCTCCAACTCCTGTCTTCATTCTTTAAAATCACTTTTATTAGTTTATAGTGTATCCTGTTAGTGTTTCTATTGAGATATTTTCATTTTCCCTTCGTTCTTTTACAAAATGTATCAAACCATACACTGTTCTGTGCCTTGCTTTTGTAACTTAAAAATATACCCTGAACATTCTTTCATACTATGATGTATATATACATTACCACCCATTAAATATTTTTAACTTTATTTTTATTCAAAAGCTTTTCTAAAAGGTTAAATAAAACCACCTTATTGTTATTTGATAATGCTTCACGTTATATTCCAGTCTTAAAGACATATAATTAAGGAGTGGATGATCCAGGTAGGAAAGTTGATGTTCCCATGATATTAGTCACTTTTCTTTTTTAAGGAAACTGGTATCTTTATTTTGTGAAGAAAGGGGTAGTAATCTATAAGACAAATAAAACAGGACTTAGAGCATGTCTGAATGTTTTCTATTTTAATTATAAAATTTTAAAACAGAAATCCATTTAAATCATCTGTGTTACATGACAATAAAACTTTGAATTTTTTTTTTTTTTTTTTTTTTGAAACGGAGTCTCCTTCTGTCACCCAGGCTGGAGTGCAGTGGCGCAATCTCGGCTTACTGCAAGCTCCGCCTCCTGGGTTCACGCCATTCTCCTGCCTCCGTCTTCTGAGTAGCTGGGACTACAGGCGCCCGCCACCACACTCAGCTAAGTTTTTTGTATTTTTAGTAGAGACAGGGTTTCACCGTGTTAGCCAGGATGGTCTCTGTCTCCTGACCTGAACTGTTTTTACTTCAATATACTATTTGTCTTGATCCCTTCAGGCTGCTAGAACTGTAACATAATATGGGCAGTGAATAAAAAACGAACATTTATTTCTCATAGTTCTGGAGGGTGGGAAGATTACCCTGGATTATCCAGCTGGACCTAGTGTAATCACAAGGGTGCTTAGAAGTGAAAGAAAGAGGTAGGAAGTAGATGACTGGAGAGATGGCAGCATGGAAAGGACTTGGCCTGATGTTGCTGGCTTTGAAGATGAAGGAAGTAGGACTATGAGCTAAGGGATATAAGCAGCCTCTAAGAAGATTAAAGGGGTAAGGAAATGAATTCTCTCACCAAGGCCCCCAGGAAGGAACATAGTGCTATCTACCCTTGAGTTTAGCTTGGTGAGGTCCATGTCAGACTTCTGTCCTAAAGAACTGTATGATAATACATTTGTGTTGCTTATATTGCTAAACTTGTGCTAATTTAGCAACTTAAACAACACAAATGTTTTGCTTGGGATAATACGTAGCAGCAAAAAAACAATGACCCAAAGCCACTCATATCAACATGGATGATTATTATATGATGCAAAAAATATTTACAGTATAATGCCATATACATAAACATTTAATATGCTCTGAAAGTATAAAGAAATGGAAATTACCTTCACCAAATTTAGAATAATAGTTACAAGTGTTTGAGAATAATGGAATAGAAAGATGACAATCAAAAAAAAGCATACAGGACAAATCAACTATATTGCTCATTTATTCCTTGAACAATATAAGACGATTATTGTATAATTCTTTGTACATAATTTTTAAGTCTGAAATATCACCCAACTTCAATATTGAGAGCAATATCACCCTCTCTCCCTCTAAATATTAGGGACACTCTCACAAGGGGGGTGCACACCCCGTGCAATATAGGGAGTAGTATCACCTTCTCCCCCTTTGGATATTAGAAACAATATCACAAGGGGGATGTACACCTGCGGCGACATTGGGAGTAATATTATCCTCTACCCCCATGGATATTAGGAACAATATCACAAGGTCGGTGTACACCCCCTGTGATTCTGGGAGTAATATCTTCTCCTCCCTTGGATATTAGGAACAATATCACGGCGGGGGTGGGGGTTGTGTACAGCCTCTGCAATATTGGGAGTAATATCATCCTTTCTCCCCACTGGATATTAGGAACAATATCACAGGAGGTCTGTACACCCCCTGCGATATTGGGAGTAATATCATTGTCTTTCCCAGTGGATATTAGGAACAATATTGCATTGGGGTGTACACCCCTTCCGACATTAGGAGTAATATCATCCTCTCCCACAGTGGATATTAGGAACAATATCTCAGAAGGAGTGTAGAACCCCTGCGGTATTAGGAGTAATATCATCCTCTCCCTCCCTGGATATTAGGAACAATAACACAGGGAGAGTATACAGCCCCTGTGATATTGAGAGTAATATAATCCTCTCCCCGTCTGAATATTAGGAACAATATCAGGGGGGTGGGGTACACCATTTGCGATAGTGGGAGGAATATCATCCTCTCCCCACCTGGATATTAGGAACAATATCACAAGTGGAGTATACACCCCCTGCGATATTGGGAGTAATATCTTCTTCCCCCCTGGATATTAGGAACAATATCACAGGAGGGCTGTACACCTTCTGTGATATTAGGAGTAATATTATTCTCTCCCTTTCTGGATATTAGGAACAATACCACAGAATAGGTGTACACATGCTGTGACATTAGGAGTAAAATCATTCTCTCCCCCCCAGATATTACTTCCAATATCATGGGGGACACCCCCCCCGTGATATTGGGAGTAATATCATCTTCTCCCCCAACTGGGTATTAAGAACAATATCAATGAAGGGGTGTACACCCCCGTGATAATGAGAATAATATCCTGTCCCCCCCTGAATATTGGCAACAATATCACAGGAAGGTGTACACTCCCTGGATTTTGGGAGTAGTATTATCTTCTTGTTTCCTGGATATAACCAACAATATCACTGGTGAAGTGTACACCCCCTGCGATATTGGGAGTAAAATCACCCTCTCTCCCCCTAGATATTATGAACAAGTTCACCTCGGGGATGTACACACCCTGCGATATTGAATGTAATATCCTTTTTGCCTTTGGATATTATGAACAATATCACAGTGGAAATGTACATCCTCTGCGATATTGGGAGTAATATCAATCTCTCCCCACTTGGATATTTTGAATAATATTACAAGTGGGGTGTATACCCCCTGTGATATTGGAAGTAATATCATCCTCTCCCCCCTGGCTATTACGAACAATATTACAGGGAGAGTGTATACCCCTTGCGATATTGGGAGTAATATCCTCTCCCCCACTTAGTATCACAGACAATATCACAGGGGAGTGTACAGCCCCTGCGATATTGGGAGTAATATTATCCTCTTTCCTTTTGGATATTATGAACAATATTACAGGGATAATTTACACCTTTTGCGATATTGGAAGTAATATCATCTTCTCCCCTGCTGAATACTATGAACAATATCACAGAGTCATGTACACCTCCTGTGATATTGGGAGTAATATCATCCTCTTTCCCCCTAGATATTACCAACAATATCACAGGGGCTATATGCCCTCCACGATATTAGGAGTAATATTATCCTCTCCCCTTCTGGATATTAGGAACAATATCACAGAAGAGGTGTATACTTGCTGCTATATTGGGAGTAGTGTCATTCTCTCCCCCACGGGATATTAGGGCTATCACAGGTGGGGGTGTACATTCCCTGTGATACTGGGAGTAATATCACCCTCTCCACACCCCCCACCGGATATTATGAATAATATCACAGGTGGGTGTACACCCCCAGCGATATTTGGAGTGTACACCCCCCACGATATTGGGAATAATATTACTCTCTCTCCTTCTGGATATTACGAACAACATCACAAGTGGGTGTACACCCCCAGTGATATTTGGAGTGTACATCCCCCATGATATTGGGAATAATATTACTTTGTCTCCTTCTGGATATTACAAACAATACCACGGAAGGGTGTACACCTCCTTTGATATTTGGAATAATTTCATCCTCTTTCCCCCTGGATATTACGAACAATATCACATGGAAATGTACACCCCCTGTGATATTGTTCATAATATTGTCTTCTTTCCCCCTGGATATTACAAAAAATATCAAAGGGGGGCGTACATCCTCTTCGATGTTAGGAGTAATATCATCCTTTCGGTCCCTGGATATTACCAAAAATACCATAAGGTGATATTGGGAATAATATAATCCTCTCTTTCTTTGGATATTACGAACAATATCAAAGGGGCATGTATACCCCCTGTGATGTTTGGAGTAATATCGTCTTTTCCGTCTCTGGATATTATGAAGAATATCACAGAAGGATGTACACCTCCTGTGATATTGGGAGTAATATCATACTCGTTCCCCCTGAATATTATGAACAATATCACATGGGGGTTTACACTTCCTGTGAAAATGAAAGTAATATCATCCTCTCCCACCCTGGATATTACAAGCACTATCACAGGGGGGTATACAACCCCTGCCACATTGGGAGTAATATTATCCTGTCTTCCCCTGAATATTAGGAAAAATATCACACGGGAATGTACACCCGCTGAAATATTAAGAGTATCATCATCTCCCCACTTGGATATTATGAACAACATTACAGGGAGGTGATATTGATACAGCCTCTGTGAGATTGGGAGTAATATCATTTCCTCCACTTTGGGATATTATGAACTAGATCACTGTGTGATGTACATCCCTTGTGATATGGGAAGTAATATCACTGTCTCCCACTCTGGATATTACAAACCATATCATGGAAGGTGTTCAGCCCCCGTGATATGGGGAGTGATATATTAGGGCGGGTGTACAACCCCTGAAAAATTGGGAATAATATTATCCTCTCCTCACCATGATATTAGGAACAATATTACAAGAGGGTGTACACTCCCTGTGATATTGATTGTAAGATCATCCTCTCCCCCCTGGATATTAGAAAACATATCACAAAGGGGCTGTACACCTTCTGCAATATTGAATGTAATATCACCCTCTGCAGCCCTGCATATTAGGAAAAATATCATGGGGGAAGAATGTCCACCCCTGCGATATTGAGAGTAATGTCATCCTGTCCCTCCAGGGATATTACAAACAATAACACAGAAAGTGTGTACACCCCGTGAGGTATTTGGAGTAATATCATTCTCTTCCCCATTGGATATTACAAAATGTATCACATGGTGGTGTCCACCCCTGCGATATTGGAAGTAATATTGTCCTCTTTCCCCCTGGATATAAGGAACAATATAACAGAGGGTGTGTACACCCCCTGTGATATTGGGAGTAATATCTTTTTCTCTCCCCGCAGACATTAGGAAAAATATCACATGCGGGGTGGTCACTCACTGTGGTATTAGGAGTACTTTCTCCCTAGCATACTATGAATAAAATCACAGGGTGTACACCCACTGTGATATTAGGACTTATATCTTTCTAGGATATTATAAATAATATCACTGAGTTCACCCACTGTGCTATTAGGAGTCCTATCCTCCTATGATATTACGAATAATATCACAGGATGTACAACCACTGTGATATTAGGAGTAACATCTACCTAGGATATCAGGATGTACATTCACTGTGACATTAGGAGTAACATCTCCTTAAAATATTATGAATAATAGCACAGAGTGTACATCCACTGTAACATTAGTAGTAACATCCTTCTAGGATATTACAAATAATTTCACAGGGTGCACACACACAGTGACATTAAGAGTAACATCTCCCTAGGATATTACTAGTAATATCACAGAGTGTACAACACAGTGACATTAGGAGTAATATCTCCCTAGGATATTACAAATAACATCACAGGGCGTACACACATGGTGTACCTTCACTGTGACATTAGAAGTAACATCCCCATAGGATATTATGAATAATATCACAGAATGTAAACCTTCTGGGACATTAGGAGTAACATCATTCTAAAATATTACAAATAACATCACAGGGTGTACACCCCCTGTGACCTCAGGAATAACATCCTCCTAGGATGTGAGAAATAATATCACAGTGGCTAGCAAGATGGCCGAATAGGAACAGCTCCAGTCTGCAGCTCCCAGTGAGATCGATGCAGAAGGCAGGTGATTTTTGCATTTCCAACTGAAGTACATGGTTCATATCCTTGAGACTAGTTGGACAGTGGGTTCAAGCCCATGGAGGGCGAGCTGAAGCAGTGTGGGGCGTCACCTCACCAGGGAAGCACAAGGGGTTGGGGGATTTTCTCCCCTACCCAAGGGAAGCCATGAGGGACTGAGCCTGAGAAGTCATCCACTCCAGCCCAGATACTGCACTTTTCCCATGGTCTTCGCAACCCACAGACCAGGAGATTTCCTCCAGTGCCCACGCCACCAGGGCTCTGGGTTCCAAGCACAAAACTAGGTGGCCATTCGGGCAGACATTGAATTAGCTGCAGGAGTTTTTTTTTTTCTTTTTCTTTTTTCCATACCCCAGTGGCACCAGAAACACCAGTGAGACAGAACCGTTCACTCCACTGGAAAGGGGGCTGAAGCCAGGGAGCCAAGTTGTTTGGCTCGGTGGGTCCCACCCCCAAGGAGCCCAGCAAACCAAGATCCACTGGCTTGAAATTCTTGGTGCCAGCACAGCAGCAGTCTGAGATCAACCTGGGATGCTTGAGCTTGGTGAGGGGAGGGGCATCTGCCACTGCTGAGGCTTGAGTAGGCAGTTTTGCCCTCACAGTGTAAACAAAGCCGCCCTGGGAAGTTTAAACTGGGTGGAGCCCACCACAGGGCAGGGCATTTCTGAAGAAAAGGCAGCAGCCACAGTCAGGAACTTACGGATAAAAAAACCCCTCATCTCACTGGGACAGAGTACCTGGGGGAAGGGGCAGCTGTGGGCACAGTTTCAGCAGACTTAAAGGTCCCTGCCTGATAGCTCTGAAGAGAGCAGCTGAACTCCTAGCACAGCGTTGGAGCTCTGCTAAGGGTCAGACTGCCTCCTCAAGTGGGTCCCTGACCCCCATGTATACTGACTGGGAGACACCTCCCACAAGAGGCTGACAGACACCTCATACAGGAGAGCTCTGGCTGGCACATGGCAGGTGCCCCTCTGGGATGAAGCTCCCAGAGAAAAGAACAGGCAGCAATCTTTGATGTTTGGCAGCCTACATTGGTAATACCCAGTCAATCAGGGTCTGGAGTGGACCTCCAGCAAACTCCAGCAGACCTGCAGCAGAGGGGCCTGACTGTTAGAAGAAAAACTAACAAACAGAAAGGAATAGCACCTCCACTCAGAGACCCCATCTGAAGGTCACCAACATCAAAGACCAAAGGTAGATAAAGCCACAAAGATGGGAAGAAACCAGCACAAAAAAAGGCTTAAAATTCCAAAAACCAGAACTCCTCCTCTCCTCCAAAGGATCACAATTCCTTGCCAGCAAGGGAACAAAACTGGACAGAGAAAGAGTTTAACAAATTGACAGAAGTAAGCTTCAGAACGCAGGTAATAACAAAGTCCTTCAAGCTAAAGGAGCGTGATCTAACACAATGCAAGGAAGCTAAGAACCTTGAAAAAAGGGTAGACGGATTGCTAATTAGAATAACTAGTTTAGAGAAGAACATAAATGACCTGATGGAGCTGAAAAACCCAGCACAAGAACTTCGCGAAGCATGCACAAGTATCAATAGCTGAATCAATCAAGCAGAAGAAAGGATATCAGAGATTATCAACTTAATAAAATAAAGCAAGATGACAAGATTAGAGAAAAAAGAATGAAAAGGAATGAACAAAGCCTCCAAGAAACACAGGATTATGTGAAAATACCAAACTTACATTTGATTGGCGTACCTGAAAGTGACAGGGAGAATGGAACCAAGTTGGAAAACACTCTTCAGGATATTATGCAGGAGAACTTCTCCAACCTAGAAAGACAGACCAACATTCAAATTCAGGAAATACAGAGAACACCACAAAGATACTCCTCAAGAAGAGCAACCCCAAGACACATAATCATCAGATTCACCAAGGTTGAAATGAAGGAAAAAATGTTAAGGGCAGCCAGAGAGATAGGTCCAGTTACCCACAAAGAAAAGCCCATCAGACTAACAGCGGATCTCTCTGCAGAAATCCTACAAGCCAGAAGAGAGTGGGGGCCAATATTCAACATTCTTGAAAAAAATTTTCAACCCAGAATTTCATGTCCAGTCAAACTAAGCTAAACACCCCGTGATATTGGAAGTACTATCATCCCCTCCCTCCTGGATATTAGAAACAGTATCACAGAAGGGGTGTAAACCCGCTGCGATATTGAGAGTAATATCTATCTCTCCCTGCCTAGATATTAGGACCAATATCGGAGTAGGTGTGTACATCTCCTGCGATATTGGTAGTAATATTATATGTTCCCTCACTAAATATTAGGAACAATAGCACAACCCCTGTGATATTGGTAGTAATATTACTTCTCACCCCTCGGATTTAGAAACAATAGCACACGGCGTTGTACAGCTGCTACGATATTCGGAGTAATATCATGCTCTTCCCCTTTGGATATTAGAAACAATATCACAGGGATGGTGTACACCCCCAGTGATATTGGGAGTAATATTATCCTCTATTACCCTGGATAATACAAAAAATATCACAGCGAGGCTGTACATCCCTTGCAATATTGGAAGTAATATCATCCTGGTCTCCACTGGATATTAGAAACAATATCACAGGAGGGGTATACAGCCCCTAGGATATTGGCAGTAATATCTTTTTCACCTCAAAATGTTAGAAACAATATCATGGGGGCGGTGTACATCCACTGCGATATTGAGAGTAATATCATTCCCTCACCCCTGGATATTAGGAACAATATCACAGGGGAAGTGAACACCTCCTGCAATATTAGGAGTCATATCATCCTCTCCCCACCCCCCCCACCCCCGGATATTACGAATAATATCACAAGGGTGTTGTACACGCCCTGCAATATTGGGAGTAATATCATCTTTTCCCCGCTTGGATATTAGAAACAATATCACAGAAGGGGTGTACCCCCACTGCGATATTGAGAGTGATATGATCCTCTCCCACTCTGGATATTCGGAACCATATCGTAAGGGTGTGTACAACCCGTGCAATATTAAAAATAATATTATTTTCTACCTGCCTTGATATTAAAAACAATGTGATAGAAGGGGTGTGCACTCCCTCAGATATAGGGAGCAATGTCATCCTCTCTCTCCCTGGCTATTAGGAACAATATCACAAGAACGGTGGACACTTGCTGCGATATTGGGAATAATATCCTCTCCTTTCATTGATATTAGGAACAATATCACAAGGGAGGTGTTCGCCCCCTGCGATATTGGGTGTAATATTATAATCTCCTTCCTGGATATTAAAAACAATATCACAGAAGTGGTGTAGACCCCCTGCAATATCAGGAGTAACATCATACTTTTCTGACCTGGATATTAGGAACAATAGCATGGGGCACGTGTACACCCCCTGCGGTATTGGGAGTAATATCATTCCACCTGCCCCCTGGATATTAGAAACAATATCACATGCGAGGTGAACACCCCTGTGATAATGGGAATTATACTCTCCCCCTTTCCAATTATTAGGAACAATATCACAGAGAAGGTGTACATTTCCTGTGATATTGAAAGGAATATCGTCCTCTTTCACATTGATGTTAGATGAAATATCACGTGGGTAGTGTACAGCACCTGCGATATTGGGAGTAATATCCTCTTTTTCACTAGATATTAAGAACAATATCACAAGGGAGGTGTACACCCACTGAGATATTGAACGTAATATTATCAACTCCCAACGTGGATAATTAGGAATAATATATCAGGGTGTTGTACAACTCCTGTGATATTGGGAGTAATATTATACTTCCCCCCCTTTGATATCAGGAACAATATCACAGAAGGGGTGTATATTTCCTGCATCATTGGGAATAATATCCTCTTCCTTTTTAGATTTTATGAACAATATTACAAAAGAGGTCTGCACCCCTTGCGATATTGGGTGTCATATCATTCCCTCCCCCATGATATAACAAAGCAAATCACAGGGGGTTGTGCACACTCCGCTATATGGGTGATAGGGGAATACCGCCACCCCCTCCCCTTCCGCATATTACAAACCAGATAACAGGGGGTTGTACACTTTTGATGAGATGAGGAGTAATATTAACCTCTCCCTCCCTGGATATTAGTAACAATATCACAGTGGGAGCGTACATCCCCTGTGATATTGGGAGTAATATCATCCTCTTCCACACTGAATATTAGGAACAATATCACAGGGGGATGTACACTCCCTGCGATATTGCAAGGATTATCATACTTTCCCTTCCTGAATATTAGAAACAATATCACAGAGCAGGTGAACACCCCCTGTGATATTGGAAATAACAGCTTCCTCTTCTCCATGGATATTAGGAACAATATACGTGGGGGGTGTACACCACCTGAGATAATTGGAGTAGTATCCTCTCTTCACCTGGATATTGAAAACAATATTACAGATGGGTGTGCAATCCCTGGGATATTGGGAGTAATATCATTCTGTCTCCTATTCGATATTAGAAATATTGTTAGAGGGGAGGCCTACACCTATTGAGATATTGGGAGTAATATCATCCTCTTGCCTCCTGGATATTAGGAAAATATCACAGAGGGTGTGTACACTCCCTGTGATTTGGGGAGTAATATCAACCTCTCACACCCTGAATATTAGGCACAATATCAAAGGGGATTGGTGTACACCCTTTTAGACATTGGGAGTAATATTATCTTCTCCAACCCTGGATGTTAGGAACAATATCATAGAGGGGGTATAAACCACTGTGATATTGAGAGTAATGTCATCCTCTCCATTCTGGATATTAGGAACAATATCACAGAAAAGGTGTTCACCCCCTGGAATATTGGGAGTAATCTCATTCTCTTCCCTCCTGAATATTAGGAAAAATATCACAGGGGGTGTGTACACTTCCTGTGATATTGGCAGTAATATCATTCTCTCCCTGCCTGGAAATAAGAAACAATATCACAGGCGGGTTTTACACCACCTGAGATATTGCAAGCAATATCATCCCCTTTCCCGCTGTATATTAGGAACAATGTCACAGGGGGTGTGCACACTATCTGGGATATTTGGAATAATATTATACCTACCTACGAGGATATTAGAAACAATATCATGGGAGGGCGTACACCTCTTGAGAATTTGGGAGTAATATCAGCATTTTCCCCACCTGGATATTAGGAACAATATCACAGGGAAGGTGTACACAGCTTTTGATATTGGGGTCAATATTATGCTCTCCCCAGTTGGATATTAGGAACAATATTTCAGGGGGGATGTCTCCCCCAAGACTGGAAGTAATATCATTCTTTCAACCCCTAGATATCAAAACAATATTACAGGGTGGGTGTACACCCCCTGCAATATTAGGAGTAATATCATCCTCTCCCCTTCTGGATATTTGGAGCAATATCACGCAGGGCGTGTACACTCCCAAGATATTTGGAGTAATATCATGCCCTCCCCACTGGAATATTAGAAACAATATCACAAGGTGGATGTACACCCCCTGCGATACTGGGAGTAATATCATTCTCTCCTCACTTGGATATTAGAAACAATATCACAGGTGGGGTGTACAGTCCCTGCGATATTGGGAATAATGTCATCCTGACCCCACTGCATATTAGGAAAAATATCACACGGAGGGTGTTCACCCCCGGAGATATTAAATTTAGCAAAATCCACCCCCTTCCTGCATATTAGAAACAATAGCTCAGAGGGCGGGTACAACGCCTGTGAAATTAGGAGTAATATCATCCCCTCTCACCTTGGATATTAGGAACAATACCACAAGGGGTGTACACCTCCTGCGATATTAAGAGTAATATCATCCTCTCAGGCTCTCAATATTAGGAACAATGTCACAGAGGGGGTATACACTTTGAGCGATATTGGGAGTAATATCATCCTCTTCATCCTTGGATATTAGGAAAAACTCACAGGGGGTTGTACACCTGCTGCAATATTGGGAGTAATATCATACTCTGAGCCTCTGGATAGTAAAAACTGTATAACTGGGGGGTGTACACCCCTGAGATATTGAGAGTGATATCATTCTCTCCCCCTTTTGAAATTAAAAAGAATCACAGCAGGGGTGTACACCTCTTGCGATATTGGGAGTGATATCATCCTGCACCCACCTGGATATTAAGAACAATATCACGGGAGGGGGGTTGTACACCCCCGGCGATATTGGGTGTGATATTATCCTCTTTATTTCTGGATATTAGAAATAATATCACAGGGTGGGTGTACACCCATTGCGATATTGGGAGTAATATTCTCTCCCCCCATGAGTATTAGGAACAATATCGCAGGGTGGGTGTAAACCCCATGCAATATTGAAAGTAATATCATCCTCTCTCCACTGGAGATTAGGAACAATATTACTGTGAGGGTGTACATTTCTTGTGAAATTGGGTGTAATATCATCTCCCCCCCCCCGCATGTTAGGAACAATATCACAGGGGAGGTGTACACCCCATGAGATATTGGTGGTAATATAATTTTCTTCCCCCAGGATATTAGGAACAATATCAAAGGGGGGGTGTACACTCCCTGATATATTGGGAGTAATATCTTCTCCTCCCTGGATGTTAGAAACAATATCACAGGGGGGTGTCTACCGAGTGCGATATTGGGAGTAATATCATCTTCCCTCAACCTGGATATTAGGAACAATATTACAGGATTGGTGTACACCCCCTGTGATATTTTGAGTAATATGATTCTCTCCCCACCTGGACATTGGAAACAATACCCAGCAGGGGTTGTACACCCCCTGTGATATTGGGAGTAATATCATCCTCTCCATCTTTGAATATTAAGAAAAATATTACAGAAGGGTGTGCAACCCCTGCAATAGTGCAATAGTGGGAGTAATATCACCCTCTTCCCCACTGGAAATTAAGAACAATATCATGGAAAAGGTGTACACCCTCTGAAATATTGGGGGTCATATGATCGTCTCTTCTTCTAAATATTAAAAACAGTATTACAGGAGGGTGTAAACCTTCTGTGATAATGGGAGTAATATCACCTTCATCCTCCCTGGATATTAGAAACCATATCACAGCTGGGGTGTACACTCCCTGTGATATTAGAAGTAATATTATCCTCTTATCCCTGAATATTAGGAATGATACCACAAGTGGGGTGTCCATCCTCTGCAATATTGGGTGTAATATCATTTTCTCCCTCCCTGGATATTAGGAACAATGTCATGAAGGATGTATACCCTGTTCAATATTGAAAGTAATAGCATCCTTTTGTCCCTGAATATTTTTTAAAAATCACATGGGGATGTAAACCCTCTGTGATATTGGGAGCAATATCCTCCTCTCACCCCTGGATATTAGAAACCATATCACAGGGCCAGTGTACACTCCCTGCAATATTGGGAGTAATATTATCCTCTTTCCCCTTGAACATTAGGAACAACATCACAGGGGTGGTATACACCCCCTGAGATATTGGGAGTAATATCAGCCTCCCTGCATTTGAATGTTAAGAACAATATCACCGGGGTGGGGGGGGGGTGGTTGTACACCATCTGAGATATTGGCAGTAATAACATCCTCTCCCTCCCTGGATTTTATAAACTATATCACCTGGTGGGTGTACACCTTCTGCGATATTGGGAGTAATATCAAACTGACCCACTTGGATATACGAACAATATTACAGGGGTGCTGTACACCCCCTGTGATTTTAGAAGTAATATTATCCTCTCCCCCACTACAATATCACAGAAAATGTGTACACCTTCTGCGATATTGGGAGTAATACCATCCTCTTCCTCATGGATATTCGGAACGATATCACAGGAGGGATGTACAGCCTATGAGATATTGGAAGTAATATCATTCTCTCCCTTCCTGGATATTAGGAACAATATTACAGGTGAAGTGTACAGTCTCTGCGATATTGGGAGTAATGTCATCCTGTCACCCCCTGGATATTAGAAACAATATCGCTGCAGGGGTAGGGGGCTGTCGACCACCAGCGATGTTGGATGTAACAAAATCCTCTCCCCCCACCCCCACATATTAGAAACAATATCTCAGGGAGGAGTACACCCCTTGCGATTTTGGGAGTATCATTCTATCCAGCCCTGGATATTAGAAACAATATGACAGGGGGAGGTGTACACCTTCTGCGATATTGGGAGTAATGTCACTCTCTTGCATTCAGGATATTAGGAACAATATAAAAGAGAGGGTGTACATCGTTAGTGATATTGGGAGCAACATCATCCTCTCCCTAGTTTCATTAAAAAAAAACAGGGGGGTTTACACTTGAAGCGATATTGGGAGTAATATCATTCTCTTACCCCCTGGATATTAAGAATTATTTCAGTGGGGAGTGTACACCCCCTGCGATATTGTAAGTAATATTATAATCTTCCCCTTGGATATTAGGAAAAAATATCACAGAGAGGTTGCACACCCCCTGTAATATTGGGGGTAATATAATCCTCACCCCCACCCCGGATATTAGGAACAATATCACAGAAGGGGTGTACACCCTCGGCGATATTGGATGTAATATTATCCTCTCCCCCACTGGATATTAGGAGCCACATCACAGGGTGGTCGTACACTTCATGTTATATTGGAAGTAATATTTTCTTTCCCCGTGATATTAGTACCAATATCACAAGGTGGATGTACAACCCCTGCGATATTGGCAGAAATATCATCCTCTCCACCCCTGGATATTAGGAACAATATGAAATGGGGGCTGTACAACCCCTACCATATTTTGAATAATATCATTTTCTCCCCCCATGGATATTAGGAACAATATCACTGGAAGGTGTACAACTCCTGTGATATTGGGAATAAGGTCATGGTCTCCCCCTTGGATATTAGGAATAATATCACAGAAAGAGTGTACAGCACCAGCGATATTGAAAGTAACATCATCCTCTCTTACCATAGATATTAGGAACAATATCATGGGGAGGGGGCGGTATACACCGCCTGCGATATTGAATGTAATATCATCCTCTCCCCCGCTAGGTATTAGGAACAATATCACAGGGGAGGTGTACAACTCCTGCAATATTGGGAGTAATATCATCCTCTGCCCCAGGATATTAGGCACAATATCCCAGAAAAGGTGTACATTCACTGCTATATTGGAAGTAATGTCATTCTCTCACCCTCTGGATATTAGGAACAATATCACTTGGAGGGGGGGATTGTACACACCCTGTGATATTGAAAGTAATATCATTTTCTCCCCCCCCACCCGGATGTTAGGAACAATATCACAGGGTGGGTGTACACACCCTGTGATAGTGGCAGTAATACCATCCTCTCCCACTTCGGATACTAGGAACTATATCACAGGGGGGTGTACACTTCTTGTGATATAGGGAATAATGTTATCCTCTCCTCCCTTGGATATTAGAAACAGTATCACAGAGGGTATACACCCACTGCAATATTGAGGGTAATATCATTCTCTTTTCCTTCGGATATTAGAAAAAAAATCACAGGGGGTATACACACTCTGCAATATTGGGAATAATATCATCCTGTTTCCCCCTGGAAATTAGGAACAGTATCACGGGGGGGTGTACACCCACTGCGATATTGGGATCATTCTCTTTCCCCCTAAATATTAGAAGCAATATCACAGAGGGCATACACACCCTGCGATATTCTGAGTAACATCATACTCTCCTTCCCTGGATATTTTGAACAATATTATAGGGGTGGTGTACACTTCCTGTGATATAGGAAGTAATACCATCCACTCTCTCCATGGCTATTAGGAACAATAGCACAGGGGGTGTGTACACCCCATAGGATATTGGGAGTAATATCATTCTGTTCTTCCCTGTATATTAGGAACAATATCAAAGGAAGGGTGTACACCCCCTGCGATATTGGTACTAATATTATTTTCTTCCCCAACGGATATTAGGGACAATATCACAGTGGGGATGTAAACCCCCTGCAATATTGAGAGTAATGTCATCCTCTGCCCCACTGGATATTAAGAACTATATCACGGGTGTGTGTGTGTACCTTCTGTAATGTTGGAAGTAACATCATCCTCTCCTCCACTGGATATTAGGAACAATATCACAGGGTGAGTGTACACCCCCTGTGACATTGGGAGTAATAACATCCTCTCCCACCCAGGATATTAGGAACAATATCACAGGAGTGGTGTACAGCCCCTGTGATACTAAGAGTAAGATCATGCTCTACCCCCTGGAGATTATAAACAATATCACTGTGGGTGTGTACACCCCCTGCGAAATTGAGTGTAATATTTTCTCCCCACCTGGATATTAGGAAGAATATCACAGGGGTTGGGTATACCCCACGCAACTTTGGGAGTAATATCATTTTCTTTCCTACAGGGTATTAGGAACAATATCAAAGGGGGTGTGTACACTACCTGATATATTGGGAGTAATATTATACTTTCACCCCCTATATCTTAGAAACAATATCACGGGGGGGGTCTACCCCCTGAGATGTTGGTAGTAATGTCATCTCTCCACCTGGATATTAGGAACAATATCACAGGAGGGGTGTACTCGCCCTGTGATGCTTTGAGTAATATCATTTTCACCCCACCTGGATATTAGATACAATATCACAAGGGTTGTATGCCCTCTGTGATCTTCGGAGTAATATTATTATCTCTCCCTCTAAATATTAGAAACAATATCACAGGGTGAGTGTACATTTTCTATGATATTGACGTAATATCATTGTCTCCTCCCCTGGATATTAGGAACAATATCACAAGAAAGGTGTAAACCCACTGCAATACTGAAAGTAATCTTATCCTAACCTCTCGTAGATATTAGGAACAATATCACAGAAGGGGTGTACACCAACTGCGATATTGGGAGTAATATCATCCTCTCCCCTCATGGATATAAGAAACAATATCACAAGGGGGGGTGTACACCCCTTACGATATTGGGAGTAATATCATCCTCTCACCCCCTGGATATTTGGAACCATATCACAAGAGGGGTGTATATCCTCTGCGATATAGGAAATAATATCATCCACTCCCCCCACCCCGGACATTAGGAACAATATCACAGAAAGGGTGCACACCACCTGTGATATTGGGAATAATGTCATCCTCTGCCTCTGGATATTAGGAACAATATCACTGGGAGATGTACACCCCCTGAGGTATCTTGTGTAATATCATTCTCTCTTCCCCTAGATATTAGAAACAATATTACAAGGGGAGTGTACAACCCCTGCAATATTAGGATTAATATTATTTTCTTCCCCCCTGGATATTAGGAACGATATCAAAGAAAGAGTGTACACCCTCTGGATATTGGGTGTAATATCGCACACTGTGATATTAAGAGGGTAATATGTCTTCAGAATATTACGAATAATATCCCAGGGTGTACACACATGGTATGCATACACTGTGATATTAGGAGACTAATATCTCCCCAAGATATTTTGAATAATATCCCCGGTTGTACACAAATGGTGTTCACTCACTTTTATATTAGGAGAGTAATATCTTCCCATGATCTTACGAATAATATCCCTGAGTGTACACACATGTAAGCCTGCTGTGATATTAGCAGAGTAATATCTCCCCAGGATATTATGAATAATATTCCAGGGTGTACAAATATGGTGAACACCTACTTTGATATTAGGAGAGCAATATCTCCCCAGGATATTACGAATAATATCCCAGGATGTACAAACAAGTTCTACATGCACTGTGACATTAGGAGAGCAAGATCTCCCCAAAATATTATGAATAATATTCCAGATATTATTCACACCATGTGTGTACACCCTCTGTGATATCAGAAGAGTAATATTTCTGCAAGATATTACCAATAATATCCCAGATTGTACACAAATGTTGTACCCCACTGTGGTATTAGGAAAGTAATATCTCCCCAGGATATTACAAATAATATCCAGGGTGTACGTACATGCTGTACACCCAATGTAATATTACGAGAATAATATCTCCCCTAGATATTATGAACGACTTCCCCGTGTGTACACATATGATGTACACTTATTGTGATATTAGACTAATATCTCCTCAAAATATTACTAATAATATCCCAGGGTGTACCCACAGTGTGTACACCCACTGTGATATAAGCAGTAATAACTCCCCAGGATATTATGAACAATATCCCAGGGTGTACACCTGCTGTGGTATTAGGAGTAATATCTCCCCAGGATATTATCAATAATATATTTGGGTATACACTCACTGTGAAATTAGGAGTAATATCTCCCCAGGATATTACAAATAACATCTCAGAGTGTACACCCACTGTGATATTAGGAGTAATATCTCCCCAAGATATTACAAATAATATTTCAGGGTGTCCATTCATCGTGATATCAGTATTAATATCTCTGCAAGATATTACAAATAATATCCCAAGGTGTACATTCACTGTAACATTAAGAGTAATGTCTCCCCAGAATATTACAAATAATATCCCACAGTTGACATCCACTGTGATATTAGGAGTAATATCTGCCAAGATATTGTGAATAATATTTCAGAGTGTGTACACAGCATGTACACCCACTGTGATATTAGGAGTAATATCCCCCTAGAATATTACAAATAATATCACACGGTGTAAACCCACTGTGACATTAGAAGTAACATCCCCCTATTATAATACGAATAATATCACAGGCTGTAGACACACAGTGTACACCCATTTTCACATTAGAACTAACATTTCCATAGAATATTACAATAATATTACAGGGTGTATACACATGTTATACACTCACGGTGACATTAGAAGTAATATCCCCCTAGGATATTATGAATTATATCACAGTGTGTACACACATTGTGTAACCCACTGTGAAATTAACAGTAACATTTCCCTAGGATATTACAAATAATATCACTGGTGGTACACACATGGAGTACACCTCCTGTGACATTAGCAGTAATGTCACGTTAGGATATTACAAATAATATCTCAGGAGGTGTGCACATGTCGTGGACATTCCCTGTGATATTAGGAATAACATCCCCCTAGGATGTTACAAATAATATGACAGGGGGAGTACACACATGGTGTACAACCCCTGTTTTATAGGAGTAACATCCACTAAAATGTTAGGGATAATATCCTCCTAGCATAATAGGAACAATATAACAGGGGTTGTACAGTCATGGTATACAACCACTGTGACATTAAAGGTATAATCCCCACACGTTATTAAGCATGATATCACAGGGGGTGTACAAACATGGTGACACCCCTAGTGACATTATAAGTAACAGCCACTTAGGACATTACAAATAATATCACAGCGTGTGTACACACATGGTGTACACCCCCATGATATTAGGAGTGACATCCCCTTAGGATATTACGAATAACATCATAGAAGGTGTACACATAAGGCGTACACTCCTTGTGATATTAAAAGTAACATCCCACTAGGATATTACTAAGAATGTCACAGGGGTGTACACACATGCTGTACTACCCCTGTGACATTAGGAATAACATTCCCCTAGGATATTACGAATAATATCACAAGGTGTGCACCCCCTGTGATATCAGGTGTAACATCCCCATAGGATATTAGGAAGAACATCAAGGAGGGTACACCCTCTGTGAGATTAGGAGTAAAATCCCTTTAAAATATTAGGAATAATATCACAGGGTGTACACCCTCTGTAACATTAGAAGTAACATCTTCCTAGGATATTGGGAATAACATCATAGGGCGTAAACTCCTTCTGACAGTAGTAACACCCCCCTATAATATTACAAATAATATCACAGGGTGTACAACCTCTGTTATATTACGAGTAAAATTCCCCTAGGATATTATAAATAATATCACAGTGTGTACACACCTTGTGACATTAGAAGTAACATCCCTCCAAAATATTATGAATAATATCTCAGGGTGTACACCCTCTGTGGCATTCGCAGTAACATCTTCCTAAGGTATTATGAATAATATCAGTGTGTACACCCCCTGTGACATGAGGAGTAACATCTTTTAAGGATATTACGAATAATTTCACAAGGTTTACACCCTCTGTGACATTAGGAGAAACATCCTGGTAACATATTATGAATAATACCACAGGGAGTACAACCCCCATGACATTAAGAGTAACATCCCTATAGAATACTATAACAGGGTATACATCCATTGTGACATTGGTGGTAATATTCTCCTAGGATATTACTGCTAATATCACAGGTTGTACACCCACTGTGATATTAAGAGTAATATCTCCCTAGGACATTATGAATAATATCACAGGGTGTACACTCATTGTGATGTTAGGAGGAACATTCCCCTAAAATATTACCAGTAATATCACGGAGTGTACACGTTCTTTGACTTTAGAAGTAATATCCACCTAGAATAGTAAGAATAATATAACAGAAAGGACACCCCTGGTGATATTAGAATTAACATCCCCCTAGGATATTAAGAATAATATCACAGCGTGTATACTCCCTTTGAAATTAAAACTAACATCCCCCTAGAAAACTACGATTAATATCAGAGTGTACATCCCCTGTGAAATTAGGAGTAACATCATCATAGAATATAACGAATAATATCACTGGTTACACATCACCTGTGACATTAGGAGTAACATTTCCCAAGGATATTACAAATAATATCACAGGGTGTACACACACTGTGACATAGGGTGTAATATCCAACTAGGATATTACTGCTAATATCACCCACTGTGATATTAAGAGTTGTACACCCACTGTGATATTAAGAGTAATATCTCCCGAGGATATTACGAATAATATCACAGGGTCTACACCCACTGTGATATTAGAAGGAATATCTCCCTAGGGTATTACAAATAATATCACAGGTTGTATACACAGGCTGTGCAACCACTGTGATATTAGGAGTAAAATCCACCTATAATATAATGAATATTATCACAGGGTGTACACATATGATGTACACCCACTGAGACATTAGAAGTAACATCCCCTTATAATTTCACTAATAATATCACAAGGTGTATACACATGGTGTACACTTACTGTGAAATTAGGAGTAACATTCCCCTAGGATTTTACGAATAATACCACAGGGTGAACACACATGGTGTACACCAACTGTCACATTAGGAGTAATGTCCCCATGGGATATTACAAATAATATCACAGAGTATATACACAGAGTGTAAACCCACTGTGACATTAGGGGTAACATTCCCCTAGGATATTACATACAATATCACACGGTGTACACACAGAATGTACACCCACTGTGACATTAGAAGTAACTTTTTTTAGAATATTATGAATAATATCACAGGGTGTACACACATGGTGTACACTCACTGTGACATTAGGTATGACATCTCCCTAGGATATTACAAATAATACCACAGACTGTACACCCACGGTGACATTAAATATAACATCTCACCAAGATATTACAAATTATATCACAGGGGGTATACACATATGGTGTACACCCACTGTGACCTTAGGAGTAACATCTCCCTAGGATATTACAATTAGTATCACTGGGAGTACACACATTTTGTATTAACACTCACTGTGACATTACAAGTAACATCCCCCATGATATTATGAACAATAACACAGGATATACAAACATCTTATACACCCACTGTGACGTTAAAAGTAACATCCCCGAGGATATTAAAGATAATATCATAGAATGTACACCCATGTAACATCCCCCTAGGATGTTATGCATAATATCACAGACTGTGCACACATGCTGTACACACACTGTGACATTAGGAGTAACATTTTTCTAGGATACTATGAATAATACCACTAGGTGTACACACATGGTATACACACACTGTGACATTAGGAATAACATTCTCCTAGGAAATTATGAATAATATCATATTAATAATTATTATCGTAATTGTTAATTAATATTATTCATAATATCCAAAGAAGATGTTACTCCTAATATCATACAGTGTATACTTCCAGTTATATTATTCGTAATATCCTACGGAGATGTTACACCTAATGTCACAATGAGGGTACAACCATTGATAATATTCATAATATCCTACTGAGATGTTACTCCTAATGTCACGGTGGGTGTACACCTTGTGATATTATTCGTAATTGCATAGGGGAGATGTTACTTCTAATGGCAGAGTAGGTGTACACCCTGTGAAATTATTTAAAATATTCTAGGAAAATGTTACTTCTAATTGCAAGGTAGGTATTACAAAGAACTATACATGCCCCGCAATAGGGGGAGTAATATCACTTTCTCCCCACCCTGGATATTATAAACTCTACCATAGGGGAGTCTACACCCCCCACGATAGGGGGAGTAATATCACCCTCTCGCCCCTCTGGATATTATGAAACCTATCACAGGGGGGTGTGCACCCCCCTCAACAGGGCGAGAAATGTCACCCTCTCCCCCACTGGATATTACGAACCCTATCACAGGGGAGTGTGTAATTACAAAGGGGGGTGTGATATCACGAAGAACTGTGCACGCCCCGCGATAGGGGGAGTAATATCACTTTCTCCCCACCCTGGATATTACAAACCCTACCACAGGGGAGTGTACACCCCCCGCGATAGGGGGAGTATATCACCCTCTCCCCCACTGGATATTGTGAACCCTATCACAGGGGGGTGTGCAACCCTGCGATAGGGGGAGTAATGTCACCCTCTCCCCTCCTGGATATTACAAACCGTATCAAAGAGGGGTGTGCATCCCCGCGATAGGAGGAGAAATATCACTCTCTTCTCCTGGATATTACAAACCCTATCACGGGGGATGTACACACAGTTTATTTTCTCTATAGGGAGTAATATTATCTTTCTTCCTGGATATTATATACAGTATCTCAAGAAGGTATACACCCCCTGTGATAATGGGAGTAATATTCTCCTCTCCCTCCCTGCACAATAGAAACAAATCACAAGCCTGGGTGTACATTCCCAGCAGTATTGCAATTAACATCAAACTTTTTCCTCTTGATATTAGGAACAATATCACAAGGTTGGTATACACCCTCTGTGATAATGGAAGTAATATTATCCTCTCCTTGTCTAAATATTAGGAACAATATCATGGTGGGGGTGTGTACTCGCCTTGCAATATTGTTAGTAATATCATCCTCACCTGGATATTAGGAACAATATCACAAGGTTGGTATACACCCCCTGCGATAATGGGAGTAATATCATCCTCTGCTCCCCTGGAGGTTAAGAATAATATCACTGGAGGGTATACACCTCCAGTGATATTAGAAATAATATTACTCTCTCTCTATCTGGATATTATAAACAGTAACACAGAAGGGTGTACACCTCCTCCAATGTTGGGAGTAATTTCATCCTCTCCCAGCCTGGATATTGTGAACAACGTCACAGGGTGGTGCGTACGTACACTCTCTGCGATGTTGGGAGTAATATCATCCTTTCAGTCCCTGGATATTACCAACAACATCTCAGGGTGGTGTACACCTCCAGCGATATTAGAAATAATATCATCATCTCTTCCTTTGGATATTACGAGCAATATCAAAGGGGTGTGTACACCCCTGCAATGTTTGAAGTAAAATCATCCTTTCTGTCTCTGGATATTGTGAACATTATCACAGAAGGATGTACACCTCCTGTGATATTGGGAGTAATATCATCCTCTCACACCCTGGATATTACGAACACTATCACAGGAGGGTGTACAAACCCTGTGATATTGGGAATAATATCCTCTCTTCCCCTGGATATAAAGAACAATATCACAGGGGGGTGTACACCCCCTTCAATATTAAGAGTAATATTATTCTCTTCCTCCCTGGATATTACGAGCAATATTACACGGGGGGGTACACCCGCTGCAATGTGAAGAGTAATATCATCCTCTCTGCACTTGGATATTACGGCCAATATCACAGGGGGGTATACAACCCCTGCGATATTGGATGTAATATCATTTTCTCCACTTCGTGATATTAGGAACTAGATCACCGTGCAGTGTACATCCCTCGTGATATGGGGAGTAATATCGCTTTCTCCTACTCTGGATATTGCAAACCATATCATGTAGGGTGTACACCCTCTGCGATATGGGGAGTAATATCAACCTCTCCCCATCTGGATATTAGGAACCATTTCACAGGGGGATTAAACCCCCTGCTATATGAGGAGTAATATCACCCTCTCTTACCCTCAATATTACGAACCATATCGCAGGGTCGTGTATACATCCCACAATATGGGGATTAATATCACCTTCTCCCCCCCCTCCCCCCCCAGATATTATGAACCATATCAAAGCAGGGCGTATGCCCACCTCGATGTGCTGAGTAAAATCACACTCTCCCCCCATGGTTATCACGGGGGGTGTATACCCCCCGCGATATGGGGAGTAATATCACCCTCTCCCCCACTGGATATTACAAAGTATATCACAGGAGTGTGTAAACCTCCCGCGATATGGGGAGTAATGTCACCCTCTCCCCCACTGAATATTACGAACCAGATCACAGGGGGTTGTACATGCCCCCGCGATAAGGGGAGTAGTTTCATTCTCTCACCTTCTGGATACTGGGAACCAGAACACATGGGGGTGTACACTCCCCGGGATATGGGCAATAACTTCAACCTCTTCCTCTGTGGATGTTACAAACCAGATCACAGTGGGGTGTACACTCCCCACGGTATGGGGAGTAATGTCACGCCTCCCTCTCTGGATATTATGAACCAGATCACAGGGGGGTGAACAAACCCCGAGGTATAGGGAGTAATTTCACCTTCTCCCCCGCTGGATATTACGAGCCAGATCACAGCAGTATGGCAGTTATGTCACCCTCTCCCCACTGGATATTACGAATCAGTTCACAGAGGGGCATACACACCCCGCGATATGGGGAGTAACATCACCCTCTCCCGCTCTGGATATTATGAACCAGATCACAGAGATAAGGGGAGTAAAGTCATTCTCTGCCCCTCTGGATGTTAGGAACCAAATCATAGGAAGGTGTACACCCACCAGAATATGGGTAGTAATGTCACCCTCTCCTTCTATGGATATTACAAACCAGATCACAGGGGAGTGAACACCCCCCACTATATTGGGTGTAATATCACCCTCTGCGTCCCTGGATATGACGAACTATTTCACATGGGGGTAGACCCCCCAAGAAATGGGGAGTAATATCACCCTCTCCCCCGACCCCCGGATTTTACACAGATCACACGGAAAAGTACACCTTTGGCGATATAGGGAGTAATACCACTCTCTCCTTCCCTGGATATTATGAACCATATCACAGGGGGTATGCACACAGCGTATGTACGATATTGGGATTAATGTTATCTCCCCCACCGGACATTATGAGCAATATCACAGGGAGGCGGACACACACTGCGATTTGGGGAGGGATATCATCCTCTCCTTCCCTGGATATTAGGAACAATATCCCAGAATGGTGAACACCTTCTGCGATATTGGGAGTAATATCATATTTGTCCACCCTGAATATTAGAAATAATATCGCGGGGGGGGGTGTGTGTACACCCCTTGTGATATTGGGAGTAATATTATCCTCTTTCCCTCTTCATATTAGCAACAGTATCACAGGAGGGTGTACTGCCCCTGCGATATTGGGAGTAATGTCATCCTCTCACCCCCTGGCTATTAGGAACAACATCGCAGGGAGGGGTGTACACACCTTGCGATATTGAGAGTAAAATCATCCCCTCTCCTGCCCTGGAGATTAAAAACTGTATCACAGGGGTGATGTGCACCCCATGCGATATTGGGACTAATGTTATCCTCTCCTTTTATGGATATTAAAAATAATATCACATAGGGTGTGTACACCCCTATGCGATATTGGGAGTAATATCATTCTCTCCCTTCAAGGATATTAGGAACAATGTCACAGGGTTGGTGTACACTCCCTGTGATGTAGGGAGTAATATCGTCCTCTTCCCCCTGGATATTAGTAACAATATCACAAGGGTGGTGTACACCCTCTGTAATATTGGGAGTAATATCATCCTCTCCCCTGCTGAATATTAGGAACAATATCATAGAGGAGGTGTACACTCCCTGCCATACTGGGAGTATATCATCCTCTGCCCCTTGATGTTAAAAACAATATCACAGGGGGATGTACACACCCAGCGATATTGGGAATAATATCATCCTCTGCCCCTTGAATATTAAATACAATATCTTAGGGCGGGTGTGCAACTCCTGTGAAATTGGGAGCAATATTGTCCTCTGCTCCTCATGATATTAGGAACAATATCACAGGGGGGTGTACACTCCCCTGTGTTATTGATTGTAAGATCATCCCCTCCCCCCCGGATATTAGGAAACACATCACAAAAGGGCTGTACACCTTCAGCGATGTTGGGCATAATATCTCTCCCCTCTACCCAGATATTAGAAACAATATCACAGGTGTGTGGTATTGGCAGTAATACCATCGTGTTTTCTTCTGGATATTAGGAACAATATCACAAGGAGGTTGTGCACCCCCTGCGATATTGGGAGTAATATCACCCTCTCCTCCGGGGATATTATGAACAATAACACAGAAAGTGTGTACCCGTCATGTGCTATTTGGAGTAATATCATTCTCTCCCCCACTGGATATTAGGAAATATATCACAGAATGGGTGTCCACCCCTGCGATATTGGGAGTAATATCATCCTCTCCCCTCCTGGATATTAGGAACAATATCACAAGGGCGGTGTACACCCTCTGTAATATTGGGAGTAATATCATCCTCTTTCCCTCTGGATATAAGGAACAATATAGCAGAAGGGTTGTACACCCCCTGCGATATTGGGAGTAATGTCATTTTTCCCCCACGGACTTTAGGAACAATATCACATGCGGGGTGTACACTCCCTGTGGTTTTAGAAGTGATTTCTCCCTAGGATATTAGGAATAATACCACAGGGTGTACACCCATTGTGATATTAGAAGTTATATTTTTCTAGAATATTACCAATAATATTACACAGAGCACACCCACTGTGCTATTGGGAGTCCTATTTTCCTATGATATTATGAATAATATCACAGGGGGTACACCCACTGTGACATTAGTAGTAACATCCTTCTAGGATATTATGAATAATTTCACAGGGGGCACATACAGTGAAATTAACATCTCTCTAGGATATTATAAATAATACCACAGTGTGTACACATTAAGAATAACATCCTCCTAGGATGTTATGAAAAATATCAGAGGGCATACATCCCCTGTGACATTAGGTAAAACATCCTTCTAGAATATTACGAATAATATCACGGGAGTATACAACCCCCGTGATATTAGGAGTAAAATCCTCCTTAAGATATTACCAAAAATATTACAGGATGTACAACCATTGTGACATTAGGAGTACCATCCCCCTAGTATAGTATGAATAATATCACAGGGTGTGCACCCACTGTGATGTTAAGAATAATATATTTCCTAGAATATTACAAGTAATATCACAGGGTATACACTTACGGTGATATTAGGAGTAATATCTCCCTTGGATATTATGAACAATATCACAGTGGGTGTACACACATGGTGTACACCCACTGTGATATTAGATGTAATACCTACCTAGGATATTATGAATAATATCACAGTGGGTGTACACGCATGGCGTGTACATGGTGTATTCATTCATTGTGATGTTAGGAGTAATATCCCCCGAGGGTATTACCAGTAATATCACAGGGTGTACACCCTCTTTGACATTAGAAGTAACATCCACCCAGGATGTTAAAAATAATATCACAGAATCTACACCACCTATGACATTAGGAGTAACACCCTTCTAGGATATTACAAATAATATCACAGGGCGTACACGCCCTGTAACATTAGGAGTAACATTCCCCTAAAATACTACAAATAATATCACTAGGTGTACACCATGTGTGTATACCCACTGTGACATTAGGAGAAACATTCCCTAGAATATTATGAATAACATCACAAGGCATACACACATGGTGTACACCCACTGTGACATAAGTTATAACATCCCCCTAGGATATTATGAATAATATCACAGGGTATACACCCACTGGGACATTAAATGTAACATCTTGCCCGGGTATTATAAATAATATCACAGGGGTCTACATACACAGAGTACACCCAACTGTATCGTTTGGAATAATACATAGCAGCAAAAAACAGTGACCCAAAGCTACTCATATCAACATGGATGATTGTTATATGATAAAATACAAAGTAATGTGCACAGTATAATGCCATATACATAAATATTTAATATGCTCTGAAAGTATAAAGTAATGGAAATTACCTCCACCAAATTTAGAATAATAGTTACCAGTGTTTGAGGAAAATGGAATAGAAAGATGATGATCATGATGATCAAGAAAAGTACAGGATACATCAACTATATTGCTCTTTTATTCCTTGAACAATATAAGACAAATATTGTATAATTCTTTGTGCATAATTTTTATGTCTGAAATATTTCAAAATAACAATCTTAAGTACTTATCTTAAAAACAACACATGAGATCACATTATGCCTCAGCTCAAAACACTCAATTGAATTTCAAACCCCTTCCCTGTAGCTCCTGGGTTATACAAATCTAGCTCATGCATTTTTCTCCAAAATTGTCTTCTAACTTCCCTCTTGCTTACTTTGCCCCAGCTACACTGATCTTATTGTTACAAAATTTGCTAACTTTATTCCAGCTTCAAGGCCCTTAACTTGTGTTACCGCTATCTATAATACTTCCATCAGAGTATGATAGTATTAAGGATTATGTATTAATTATTTTCTGAGTATTTGAGGACAGTGGCAGAATATGAAGAAAGAAAAGGACCACTTCTTGCTTACTTCCAAGGTAAATAGAACTTTCCCTACTTTTAATTCTGGATCTTCCTTACTATCAAGAAAGGTTAACTTTCTCTGTGGATAGTGTATTGTCAAAGGAAGGGAGGCAGAAAGAACTCTGTGTTTCAGAGGTTGAAAAGAAAGCAGATTCCTTGGTGATATCTCTGGGAAGGAGGAATGGTGGTTGAAGATGTTATTAGGCCCAAATTTATACGGGCAGAGAATCTCCCAGGCAGTAAGACTTTAGAGGAAAGTGGCTGCCAGTAGTGAAGCCTGTAAAGGATGGCGCATTACAGGTTATGGTAGATGTCAGCATGGGGTGAATGACGCGCAAAAGGAGAGGGCTTCCCTTGTTGACGTATCCTTCTTCTAAGAGAAGAACCCTTTAGCATAAGCTAATAAAATATAAGACTTGACTGCAGTGCAAACAGCATCATTGGAGAGATGGGCGAGAACCAGTTTTTTATAGCAGGGCTATGTGGCAGCAAGGAGCAAAGACAGCCATAGCAGCAGGCACGAGCTGCCAAACTTGAGCACTCCTCACTGCTTAGAAATGGTGGCCTGCGGCCGGGCGCAGTGGCTCACGCTTGTAATCCCAGCACTTTGGGAGGCCGAGGCGGGTGGATCACGACGTCAGGAGATCGAGACCATCCTGGCTAACATGGTGAAACCCAGTCTCTACTAAAAATACAAAAAAAAAAAAAAAAAAAATATTAGCCAGGCTTCGTGGCTGGCGCCTGTAGTCCCAGCTACTCGGGAGGCTGAGGCAGGAGAATGGCGTGAACCCGGGAGGCGGAGCTTGCAGTGAGCCAAGATTGCACCTCTGCATTCCAGCCTGGGCAACAGAGCGAGACTCCATCTCAAAAAAAAAAAAAAAAAGGTTGGCCTGCTGGGCATCCATTTCCCATGATATCAGCTTCTGAATTACTTGTATGATCAAGGAGAGCCAGCATTTGACACTGGCTTTTCTACCAGAAAGGAGTGTGGTGTTCAAGCTGGTTCTAACAGAATTGAGTAGAAGTAAGATATGAGTCTTGCGCCCTATGTGAGAAGCAAATATAAATAATCAATAGCTTGGAACACCTACAGTCCAGCTATGCCAGAGATCTCATTTTCACTAGGATATACTTTACACAACTTTCCTCCTTGCCTGTGTTATTATTTATGTCATACTATTAAATTTGAATTTAGCAAAGAGAGCATTTCCTAAATAAGGGAATGGTTTTTAACCCTTTTGATGAATTTCTGCTGAAATTAGCTTGGAGGTCACATAGAACCAGGGTTTCCTGTAATGAACACGAATACCTACTATGTTCATATTTTCCGTTTTCAGGAAATGATTAGCTTCTTCTGATGAGAAACAGCAATGTCTTTCTACAGAGCGGTTATTATCCTATCAAAAGTCAAAAATTTATGAGTGAGCCAATAAAATATTCAATGCATTTGTTACACAACTTAGTAATATTGATAATCCTTGCTGAAAGATAAGTATTTGGTAGTCTATTTCTCTATTAATAAACCTTGTCAAATTTAGATGAAGAAGCATGTATAAGACTTTTGATACAATTTGCATTTGAATTGAAAGATGTGCACTCTAACAGCTGGAACAATGGACAAAAGTCAGTTTCCTCTAGGGGAAAAAATAGAAAATTGCTTACCAAGAAGATATCAGCATGAATAGATGATAGTTAATGATTTAGCTCACTGATTCTAAGCACTATTTTAGAAGCCTCATTTCTCCACATGACCTAAAGCATTATCAGAATTCATGTTTTTTCATAAACTACACATGTGTGGCTACAGGAAATCCAAAGTAATTTGATGTCCTGCTGTTTCACATTCACTTTTGATATAAATGGGCATATGAAAATTTATAGCAGTAAAGACAATTTACTGATTCTGTCATACCTGTCTTGGTCAGTATGAGTGTTGGTATTAACATTTTCAGTTTACTTAAGATATAAGAAGGTCATTGGAAGATATGACAAAAAAGGTAAAAAATCTTATATGATAAGTGATGAGAATCTGACTCCACAGTTCACTCTTTTTAAAGAATCAAATGGCTGGGCATGGTGGTTCATACATACCTGTAATCCCAGTACTTTGGGAGGCTGAGGTGGGAAGATCACTTGAGTTCAGGAACTCAAGCCTGGGCAACACAGCGAGACCTCGTCTCTACTGGAAAAAAAAATAGCCAGGAGTGGTGGTGCACACCTGTAGTTCCGGCTACTAGGGAGGCTAAGGCAGGAGGATCACTTGAGCCCAGGAGAACAAGGCTTGAGTGACTCATAATTGTGCCACTGAACTCCAGCCAGGGTGACGAGCAAGACCCTGTCTCAAAAAAAAAAAAAAATTACATGGCTTCATCTTAGTTTCTCCGCACATACCACCTACCTATTTCCACCACCTGCATCTACCCTCACCTGCTTGACCAATAGACTTGAACAATTATGTAACCTCCCAACCCTGAAGACAAGAGAAAAACTTGGTGTCTGGATTTTGTGTCTTAACATTTATTTAAAAGTAAAAAGTATATATTATGTTACAACATTTATTAGATGCATAATAATGTTACCAGAGCAACAATAAATATATAAGTTAGAAGTCAATAGGCAACATATAGTCACCATTATGATGTAGGGGTTGTGGTGATAATAAGGTGATTTATTACTCACAGTGCAGGAACAATAGTGAACATAGCAACATTCTGACTTGAAACCTCTCTTCTGATCCAGGAACAACTATCCTGAGCTGCTGTTCATGATTCAGGTTGGCATCAATCAAATTGGAAGCACATGAATTATACATTATTGTTTCTGAGCCACAGGTGGGTATTCTGTTTCTAGCTGCTCAAATGAGTTGCCTCATTCCTTATTGCTTCCTACTAATATTCTCATCTTCCAGTTTTTTGTTTTTATCTGCTAAAGACATGAAGAATGGGAACACTACCATTGCATCTCCCAGCCCCAGAGAAGGATGTTCACTCCCATGTTCTCACCTTTTCTTCATCTTTATTTGATGGCTATAACTTTGTCATTCATATTTTTTAAAAATCGTGGGTGGATGTTTTGGATTTTTTTAAGATATACAGTAAATACCAACTTCTTAAATTTTCCCTCGCTGCTTCCAGAGGAGGCTGGTATATTTTTTCTCTGTTCAACAACGAGAGAAGTATCAAGTTTTAGGTGAGTGTCCAAAGAGTCCACTAATACTTACTGAGTACCTGCTCAATAAATTGCTTCACTCAATAATGAACACCGTGCCTGTACAACTGAAACTGACTCTTGGCTTGTTGCAGCTTGGAGCATGCTTTTTTACATTGTTTAGAAATGTTCAGATTAATGTTTTACTCCTTACTTAACTGGTTACACAGCTAGCTTTACTTAGGTGAGTAATGGGATACAAAAGACCCTGATGTAAAGTTTTGCACAGGCTCCCTTCAAATCAAGACAGTTCGTGTGTATCTTTGTGGTTCATAATCTGAAAACAAAGCAGATTCTGTGTGACTGAGATGGGATCCTAGGGGCTGGAAACCATCACTGATTGCCTGTACTGTCCTTCTCCTGTCGTACCATACCCTTTTCTTTTAATAAAGACTTATGTGAGTATACCTTGGGGAGTCTTGTTTGTCATTATAATTATCCAACCCTGTGTAATCAAAGCAAAGTGACCCTCTGTAGGGTTCCTTTAAGGGAGGAAGGAAAAAAAAAGAGCATACAGAACAATTTTTCCAATCACTGAGGTTTGAAATAGTCACTTGCCAATAAACACTGGCATACAAAGATTTTATTCACTAAAGAAAGGGTGATAACTATTTGAAGACTACATTTACCTCTCACTTTACTTTTTTGCTATTTGTAATGTGACAACAGTATCACAATATTTCAAATTACATATACGCATACTCACACAAAGATATGAATGATTAAAACAGCACATGCATTAAAATAGTATATATACTATTATATACATATATATATATATACACACACACAAATAAATAAATATATGACCAAATATATAAGACTTATGTTACATAGCAGTTTCTGGGGTCAATGTCCTTCCTAGTTCTGACATATAAAAGTTGCAGAATTTTAGTCACTTCGTGTTGTCTATCTGTGCCTCAGTTTCCTCATCCATAAAATGTGAATAGCAGTAGTAGATTATATGAGACCATGCATGGTTCATAAGTGCTCAGTTACTGTTAGCTATTATTATTATCATTATCTTTATGAAAGTCATCAAATGGGCAGAAGTATATTGAAAAGGAATTAGAACTGTTCCCCATGTATTGCAAACTTTGCCAATCAGAAGTAAGATTTAGAACAAATAACTCTCACTTTTTATTATTTTATTCAACAATTTTAAGTTTATTATTGGAATATTAGTATCACAAAAGTAAGCACATAAATATATTCTTTCAATTGTGAATGTCCTTGTTCCTAGATCTTGTGGAATACTATTTGAAAAAGCATGTTGTGAATTCTACAGTATTGTACAAAAGTTGATGTTCCTATTAATTTGAACCTAGTTATTGGTTTCAATGTAAAATGCTGCTCTTGTTAACAGTTATCTTCTACAGCACATCTTTTGAGTAAAGACATGCAAGTAGTACTGAAACGACTGCAATGTGATAATCACGGAGACTGGACTGGTTCAACATCCAGATGTTTCGATTTTTTTGATAAATCAATCTCCAAGGTTCAGCTCATTCACAGTGTGAGGCTACTTACCTGTTCAAAGTACATCACTTTTGTCCTCCAGTTTTCATATTGGCTTCCTGTCAAGGTTTGCATTGATTTTAAAGTTTTATTGTTGACGTTTAAAGCACTTAATGGCCTGATACCTTCTTACATTAATGATTTGCTTATCCCTATGGGACAAGAATAAATTTTGAGATGTACTTTTGCTAGCTGGATGTCAGTCTTAAATGTCACCTTGAGATTCAGAGTGCAAAGGCTTACTGTCTTTTGTTCACATTCTTTTTGAGATCAGATAAGACATCAGAAAGAAAATAACACAACTTTTCTAAAGGTCAGTGGGACATCACAGAAAAATGATGTATCAAGACCTTCGGTTAATCAAATTAATGTAAGTTTTCAAGTTCTCAAATAAGATTTGTAATGGGCAAAGCAAAATGACTAAAGCCTCTATCTAGAAAAGTAACAATACAAACGTTAAATCTATGAAATGCAGAAATTATTAAAATAATACTCTTATTTTGAAAACTTGGAAAATATGCTATGTTCCTGAGTGAAAAAATATTTTGCTTATTCTTCTCTCAAAGTCAATCTCTCAAGGAATTTTAAAAAATTTTTAGATAAGTATGATAAATTGCATGGATGGAAAAATGCTGTAATATATTCTAGAATCAATCACAAATAGTCTTTTTTAATTTGGTGTTTAATTTTGAAGACTAGGTTATGCTGTATTTGTGTCAGATTGCTTTGTTTAATGACACATGATTAATGCCAAGCATAGTCTAGTTTATTTTTTAAGAAAATAACTGTTTTTTGTGAGTGTAAAGTATTAAAAGATAATATAGAAAATCAGCTGTTTATGACCTGGTACACTTTATAAAAGGAATTGTAATTCATGATATAGAGAAAACTATTTTGTATACCCTAGTACCATTATCAATCTATCTTATTTCTAAAATAAGTCTTTATTTCTAAAAGCTATCTAGCTTGCTAGCTAATCTCTCTGATCTACCTACCCACCTATCCAACTACTAGTTTTGTATCTCAGTCCATTGCCTTTTCTGTCACTTGCCATATCGATATTTGATACCTGGTGACTTAGTATAAATCAAATTTTGTGCACATAAAACAAAGTACAAGAAAGTGTTTTTAAAATATTAAGTGCCGAATAAATTACATATTACCATACTTTGTCATTATTTTCTGTTAAAGAGTGTGTTGCAAATGAAAATAACCTGAGTGACTTCTAAAGGTCTCTTTCCCATTCTACCATCTATCTTCCATCCTGTCTATTCCTGTAGCTATGTAACACAATTTCTTCTTGTAGATATGGCCAAAATAAACCCTTTAAACTTCTATGATATGACGAAATGGTGAAAATCAAACAAAATATTTTTTCCAGGTCATTTAGATTTAGAGATATTTTGGGTAAGATTATTTGTTGATAGCTCAAATCAAAACATGAAATGTGAAAGATGAACTGTTTAATTTATTGTTAAAAGGTAAGTTTATTTTCCATCATTATTTTTTCTATTAGAGAATTTAGTATTTGGTACCATGAAAGTTAAAGAAGGAAAAGTTAACAAGTTTATTAGAATAAAAGATCCAAACTACATTGGTAATGTAAGGGAAAAAAAGCCATGTTTAATTACTTATAAGCAATGCAAAATATGTATTGATCCCCCAAACAAATAATTTGGTGGAGGAAGTCATGAAAATAAACATAAGCACTATTAATCTGTACGTAAGCAATGTAAATCTGAAGCTATACTGGATTGATATGCCTTTGTAATTTGGGGACAGTTAAATTTTTTTAAAAATAAAATATTATTTTTTGCCAATCAGTTTTCTTCTCCTGGCATAGGACTTGCTTAGAAACATTGGCAGATGTATTCATTCCTTTTGGTAACTAAGGAAACATTTAATGCATTACTTCTGCTCTGCACTTAACATAACTAGAGGTTTAAACCATGAAAGCATGTTCCTATAGGACTGAATTACTCCCAGGGAATATTTTTTAGACATTATGATAAAAACTTGCTATTAGGTTTGTTTCTTCTGGATTAATGAAAGAACTTTAGAAACATAAGGAAGCCTAGTTCTTGTTGCCCATTTCTTATAACCACAGTACTCTTTAGGTTTCTATGTGTGTATTTCAAAGAACTCAGTGATGATTTCCTGGAAGTCATATGTATGACTGTGATGGTTAATACTGAGTATCAATTTGATTGGATTGAAGGATACAAAGTATTGATCCCGAGTGTGTCTGTGAGGGTGTTGCCAAAGGAGACTGACATTTGAGACAGTGGGCTGGGAAGGGCAGATCCATCATTAATCTGGGTGAGCACAATCTAATCAGCTGCTAGCACTGCTAGAATATAAGCAGACAGAAAAATGTGAAAAGAGAGACTGGCTTAGCATCCCCCGCTGCATGCTTCCTGCCCTTGAACATTGGGCTCCAAGTTCTTCGGTTTTGGAACTTGGACTGGCTCTCCTTGCTCCTCAGCCTGCAGACAGCCTATTGTGGGACTTTGTGATCATGTGAGTTAATACTTAATAAGCTCCCTGTTTTATATACATATATATATATATACTTATATAAAATATATATTACATACATATATATATGTATATAAAATTTATAGTAGTTCTATCCCTCTAGAGAACCCTGACTCATACAGATTTTGGTACCAGGAGTGGTTCTAGAGGAACAGAATATTAAGGATAGAATTATTTCATTGGTTTTGGAGTTTCTGGAGTTGCCTGCTTAATATGATTAGACCAAAAAATTCTAAGAACTCTACTTCTAATACTATGGAGAACACTGATAGTCCTTGGCTTGAACTGTTTAGAGAGTTACGCAAAATAAATGCATTTGACACTCCTGACTCATCGTTCATGAGAGGCAAGGAGTTTAGTGACTCTACAAAATACCTTTTACTATACTTTGAGAACCAAGAAACATAATGAAGCTGGTTGTTTGCTCCTAAGTTTAGTGGACAAAATGATGAAAGAAAATGATGAACTCTGGGATTCTATTTCCCGGCTTCAGTAGCAGATACTGAGCCTGAAGTCTGCTAAGATTGCCCTGAGTGAAAGTCTTATCTCCTGTAGAGAAAGAGCTGAAATTATGGAACAACAGAAACAAGCTCTTATCATGCGAGTGGCTGACCTGCAACGAAAGGCGCATGCACAGCCCCATCAGGTGTCTACTGTTAAAGTGAGGGCATTGATTAGAAAAGAATGGGACCCTGCAACTTGGAATGGTGAAATGTGGGAGGACCCTGATGAAGCTGGAAATACTGAATTTGTAAAGTCTAATGAACCTTTTTTTGCCAGAAGAAACAGTTTCCCCATCCCCAGAAATGGCAACATCCCCTCTCCAACCCATGCTGCCATCAGCCCTTCCAGCTTTGTCTAAGGAGAAAACCCTGTGCTGCCTGAGGCAACAGTGATGGCCTCCCCTGAGACATTTGCCAGGCAAGATAATGTTGATTTTCCTCAGGAGCCACCCCCAACACCCCTGTTTGCTTCTAGACCTATAACTAGACTAAAGTCTCAGCGGGCCCCTAGAGGTGAGGCTGAGAGTGTGACCCATGAGGAGGTAAACTACACTAGAAAAGAGCTGCTTGAGTTTTCTAATTTCTATAAACCAAAAACTGAAGAACAGGCATAGGAATGGATATTAAGGGTGGAAGGAACATAGAGTTGGATCAGGCTGAATTTATTGATTTGGGCCCACTAAGTAGGGATTCTGCATTTAATGTTGCAACTAGGGGAGTTAAAAGAAAGTTTCTAATATATATAATAAATATATATAATAAATACATATATTTCATATATAATATATATATTTCATATATATAATAAATAAATATATATCATATATAATAAATATGTTTCATATATATAATAAATATATATATTCCATTAGTTCTGTCCCTCTAGAGAATCCTGACTAATACAATGACTATTGTATTAAAATAGCTTTATTGAGGCTGTAATTGACATGCAATAAACTGCACATACTTAAAGTGTATAGTTCAATATTTTGATATATGTATACATTCATAAAATTATTAGCAAAGTCAGAAAAATGAGAATATTAACTACACTCAAAAGTTTAGTTTTCTTGGGCCTCTTTATAATCTCTCCTTACTGCTCCCTTTCTTCTTCCCCAAGCAAACACTGATCCGATTTCTGCCACTATAAGTTAGTTTGAATTTTCTAGAATTTTGCAGACCTGGAATCTGGCCTCATCGTAATTATTTTCAGATCCACCCATTTCTTTGTGAGTGACAATAACTCATTACTTTTTATTGCAGAAAGTATTCCATTTTATGGATACACTGCAATTTATTTATTTATTCACCTGTTGATGACATTTGGGTTCCTTCCAGTTTGGGTCTATTAAGAAATAAATGGTATCGGCATTTGTGTATAGTTCTTTGTATGCAAATGCTGCTATTTCTCTTGGGTAAATATCTACGAGTGTAATAGCTATGACATATGGTCTGTACATGTTTGAACTTTTTATGAAAGCTTTTATATTTATTGAATTTTGTTTTATGGCATAGAATATGGTCTTACTTGGTAATTGTTCTTAATGCACTTCCAGCATATTTTACTTTTTCTTGGGTGTAGTATTGAGTAATTATCAAGAAGATAAAGTAGGTTGAGAATGCTTTTAAAGTCTCCTATATTCTTACTTATTTCTTATGTCTACTTATATGAAATAGTCTTATTTCTATGAGTTATTGAGAGAGGAGTGTTGATGTCTTCTACTATAATTATGGATATGCCTATTTTTCTTTACAGGTCTCTCAGTTTTTGTTTCATGCATTTTATTAGATGTATACACGTTTAGAATGGTTATATTCTCTGGATGAATTGACCCACATATCATTTTAAAATACTGCTTGTCTGATACTAATATAGATGCTCCTGATTTCTTTTGATTAATGTTAATATGGTGTATATTTTCTATTTTTTTAACCTTTAATCTAGTTGTGTCTTTAAAAAGTGGACATCTTATAGAAACTGCTTAGATGGCTCTTGACTTTTAAAATCCATTCTGATGATATCTGTTAATTATTAGTGTGTTTAGACCATTTAAATGTAATGTGATTATTGATAATATAGAGTTAAAATCTGATATATTGCTATTTTCTATTTTTATATCTTGTTAAATCTATTTTTCTTCTTTTTGTGTTGTGTTTTGAATTGAGTATTATTTATAAATTCATTTTATATCCTTCTTTGGCCTACTAGTGCTTTCAGTAGTTGCTTCAGTGTTATTGTATATATCTTGACCTTATCACACCCTACGTTTAAGATACACAGTTCACCATAAATACAATGACCTTCAAAATTATGTTTTCATTCTTCCCCCTCTGACATTTGTGTTATACTTGCCATACATTTTATTTCCATATAAGTTGTATTATTTTTGCTTTATATATTTTTAAGAGATGTGAATAATAACAAAAAATCTTTTATATTTACCCATATAGTTATCATTTCTCATGTTCTTTTGTGAACATCCAGCTTTTCAATTGCATCATTTTCCTTCTGCCTGAAGGGTTTCCTTTAACATTTTTTGTACTACAGATGAAGTTTGATTTTCATCTCTATTTTTAAATGTTCACCTGGGGGGTTGGGGGTAAGGGGAGGGAGAACATTAGGACAAATACCTAATGCATGCGGGGCTTAAAACCTAGATGTTGAATTGATAGGTGCAGCAAACCACCATGGCAAATGTATACTTCTGTAACAAACCTGCACATTCTGCACATGTATCCCAGACTTAAAGCAAAATAAAAACAAAACAAAACAAAACACTGTTCCTAAAAGCACTTGACCATAGGTTCTGACTAAAAGCTCAAAATTCAATTCAACATTAATTACGCTCTATGAAATTTCCAACGTCAGGCAAAGTTTGGGCTCATTAACTAGGACAATTCTACAAAAAGCCATATTGCTCTGGTGTGATGGTTAATTCTGCAGACAGCATGGACTTCGTACATATCCATCATCAGTGCCTTGAAAACCAAACAACTTTAAAAGTTAGCAGCAGTTTCTGCAAGTACAAAAATTCATACTTATTACAGAACATATGGTAGTAAAATTTGTCAAAATATATTATACAAACAAAGCATTTTTGATAGGGCATCAGTCTAATGATATATTATAGATTGATGGAGTATAATAAAATAGCATAGTCTGTCTTCAAATTATACAATATAATACTTTACAGCAATATTAACAAACTATTCACATTAAGCACTATAGGAGTATCTCAGGGAATACAGAGAGTAGGAATGATTATAAGCAACCTCAGTAACTATTTTCTTCTATGCTTCAAATTTGGTGGTTGATTTTTTACCTGCCAATATGAAAGACAAGGCTAAAACTATTATTGAAAAAAAGTTCACCTATGATTTCCAGTTATAAGAGATGATTTATTGTCCTTTTCCATTAATTTTATTATCTGAGTCATTTATAGGTCTAATTTCATGAATTCATCTTTCTCTTCATAATAAGTCACATTTTCTTGCTTCTTTGCATATCTGCTACTTTTTAAATTGGAAGCCAGATGTTGTAAATTTCTCCTTATTGTGTAAAGGTATTCCCTATAAATAATATTTGAGCTTATTTTTGGGGATGAGATATCTGGAAGAGTTTAATCCTTTCATTTCTCACTTTTCTCTTTTTTCTTTTTTTTTTCTTAGAGATAGGGTCTCCCTCTTTTGCCCAGGCTGCAGCGCAGTGGCAGGATCTTGGCTCACTGCAGCCTAGACCTCCCAGCTCACATGCCCTTCCCTCCTCTACATTCAGTGAAGCTGGGACCACAGGTGCATGCCACCACTCTCGGCTTTTTATTTTTTTTATTTTTTTTTAAGTTTTATAGAGACAGAATCTCTCCACGTTGCCCAGACTGGTCTCAAATTCCTGGGGTCAAGCAATCCTCATGCCTCAGCCTCACAGGGTGTTAGGATTACAGGTGTAAGGCACTGCACCAGGCCCAGTTCTCACTTTTAAACTTTGTTAGGCAAGGCAAGAATAATATTTAATGTAAACCTAATTTTTCCTACTATTGAGGGAAAACCCTTCTGAATACTTTCCCTAATATTCCATAATTATAAGGTTTGCCATGTTGGCTAGAACTTTTCTACTATATCCTTTCTGGTCATCCTTTTACCAGCCTCAGTAGATTATTCACACATATGCAATGATTAATACACAGCTAAGTCTTGAGGGGCACCTCTGCAGATGGCTAGATTCTCTCTCTCTCTCTCTCTCTCTTTTCTCCTTCCCTCTTTTCTCTTCCTTCTGGCACCCTTCTCTGTTTATTCCAGCTTTCTTGATCTTCCTGAGCTTACAGCTGTATCTCCACTACTTAGAATGACTGCGTTTCTCTACGTAAGTTCTTTCCTGAAATGAAGCCTCAAATCTCTCCTTAGACAATAAAAAGGGGGCAATCATACGGCCCACCTCTATTGTTTCCTGACTCTCAGGAGTCATTGTCTTTTGTTAATTGATGTCTAATGCTACTGTGTTGAAAACCATTGTCTCATGTACTTTGTTCTTTTCATTTTTCTCAGGGGGCAGGACAAAGATAGTCCCTGTTAACCACCTTGTTTGGAAGCAAAATTCCTTCTATTATTACATGTTATTATTGTGATCAAAAGATAATAAATACATGATTCCAAACTTGACTTCAGCACACATTTTAAAAACTACTGACAGAAGCTATACAATATTGACAATGGCTACTTCAGAATTATGGAATTACAAATTATTTTTACTTTTTATTTACTTTAAAAATGTGTTTAATGAACTTATTTCATTTTTAAAACATGTATCAAATATCCTTATTCTGATTCTTTGGAACAGTAAAAGGTGAAGGTCAGGGTTCACAAAAGGTGCAGTAGATTTATGAAAGATAGATCACATATTTTCTCAACATTATGAGAATATTTGCAATTGTAACCACACAGTCAATTTGATTATTTATTGAAGTATTTGCTATGTTTAGGAGACATTCATGTGAGTGTGTTGTGGATATGAAGAATAATATAATACTGTACTGTCCCTAACTCTAAAAGACTTAAAATATAGTAGGTACTATAGCTTGTTTTTCCCTAAAATAGACCCTGGGAAAAGAATTTAAATTTAAGTAATCGGAGGAAGTTAAAGTATGTTCAGTAGTGGTGTGAGATAGTGAGACAGGGAAGGGAAGGAAGCCATCTTCCTTCTTGATAAGATGTAAAAAAACATCTTATCAAGCTAGTCTGTCATTGGGGCAATGGCAGGACTGTCTGGGAAAAGGCGAGTAACAGTTCTTGGAGCTGTCCCACCTGAGAGATGACAGATGACTGATTTTAGATTGTTGTAGCTTGAGGGTTGCTCCAAGTGTATTAATCCCTGGCACTTCAGGTCTGTGGTTAGGGGTTTAAAATTGGCTTTTATGGCTTCTAAGAAAGCTCTGGGGCAACATCATGCAGATAATGGCAATTGAATGTCATCTGGAGCATAATGAAGTATAAAATTCAGAGAACAAATAATGTCTGCGGGAGGACAGTACAATGGTGACAATATTTTTAGCCACAGTAGACTATAACATTATACAAAGAGAGACATTTTTTCTGTGTGGTATAGCAGAAACACACACATACATAATAAATTTTTAAATACGAGTGTGTGAGGAAGCACATAAACTAAGTGTATCATATATCTTTCAGAATCTTTTCTGTTTCAAACCTGAATCAGGACTTTTAAACATAAAGACAAGAATTTCTTGCATTTGTTCTCTAGCTTTTTTGTACTGGGCTAGATGTGGTGAAGTAAGAGTGAGTGGCTGTACAAATAAAGAAAGCTCAAAGTTGGTGAAAATAACCATGTAAAATCTTTACATTTTTGTTACTTAATAAAATAAATTTAAGCTTGAAAACGCAAAGGCTGCTTATCTAAACTGCTAACTTATTCAGAGTCCCCCATGGAACAATTTAAAGTTTTTGGTCATAAAACATGAATTCACTCAAAAATTCTTTTATTTTCCTTAGAGAAGATCTTAGTGTTTTATAAAGTAGATGCTTCCCAAAATTTACAAAAAGTTCATAACTCATAATTCCACATAACTTAGAAATTTAAAAAATACTGAATTTACCCCTGGATTGTATAATTCGGAAACATACTCAGTAAAAAACACACACTTTTTTTGTATGAAACTCCAGGGCAAAACTATGCACCAAGTGAGAATTTATGAAATCCTAATTGAAGATGAAGTAGCTACCATCTGCCAACATAAATAAGTAAAACAAAAATTATTTAAAGACTTTTATTAAAAGAGTAAAAGGATACTAGAACAATGCATTTTATTTTATTTTTATCTTCATTGAGTTATAACAGACAAAGATAGTATATATTTAAGCTGTACAAGTGATGTTTTGATACAACTCTACAATGTAAAATGATTACCACAGGAAAGCTAATTAACCATCTCACATAGTTGGCTTTGCTGTTGGTGGTGTTGTGAAAATACTTGAGGTCTACTTTTAGCAAATTTCAAGTATATGACACATTATTATTACTATAGTGACCATGCTGTACCCTAGATCTCCAGAACTTATTCACTTTATAGCTGCAAGTTTGTACCCTCTGACCAACATCTCCCCCTTTTCCTCACCTAGTGGTACATGGTAACCACAGATCTACTCTTTATTTCTATGAGTTCCATGTTTTACATTCCATATATACATGAGATCATGTATATTTGTCTTTCTTTGTCTATTTTATTTCACTTAGCATGCTATCTTTTAGGTTCATCCATGTCATTGCAAATGGTAGATTTCCCTCTTTTTAAAGGTTGAATATGATTCCTTTGTGTGTATGTACACTTGCATGTGTGAGTGTGTGTAATACAAACTTGATATTTTTTAAAAAAAAACTTTTTGTTTCAGGTGTACATGTGCAGATTTGTAATATAGGTAAGTTGCATGCAATGGGGGTTTGGTGTACAGATTATTTTGTCACTAGGTAATAAGCATGGTACCCAATAGGTAGCTTCTCTATACCCATCCTCTTCCCACCCTCCACCCTCAAGTAGGCCTCGGTGTCTTTTTTTCCCTTCTTTGTGTTCATGTGTACTCAATTTTAGCTCCCAATTATAAGTGAGAACTTGCAGTATTTGGTTTTCTGTTCTTGCATTAGGATAGTGGTCTCCATCTTCATCCATGTTGCTGCAAAGGACAGGATCTTGTTCTTTTTATGGCTATGTAGTATTCCATGGTGTATATGTCACATGTTTTCTTTATCCCATCTGTCATAGCTAGGTTGATTTCATGTCTTTTCTATTGTGAATAGTGCTACAGTGAACATATGTATGTGTGTGTCTTTATGGTAGAGTGATTTATATTCCCTTGGGTATACGTCCAATAGTGGGATTGCTGGGTTGAATAGTAGTTCTGTTTTAAGTTGAGAAATCACCAGACTGCTTCCCACAATGGCTGAACTAATTTACATTCCCACCAACACTGTACAATCATTCCCTTTTCCCCGCAATCTCACCAGGATCTGTTCTTTTTTAATTTTTAATAGTAGCCATTCTGATTGGTGTGAGAAGGTGTCTCATTGTGGTTTGATTTGTATTTCTCTAATGATTAGTGATGTTGAGCATTATTTCATATGCTTGTCAGTCATGTGTATGTCTTCTTTTGAAAGGTGTCTGTTCATATATGTGATATTTCCTGTATTTATTTATTCATTGATGGACAATGAGATTGTTTTCGTACTTTGTTGTGTTTTTCATTTTCAATTTTTATGGGCACATAGTAGTTGTACATATTTATGGGATATATGAGATATTTTGACATAGGCATACAATGCATAATAATCACATCATGGTAAATAGGATATCCATCACCTCAAGCTTTTGTCATCTTTTTGTGTATTACAAAAATTCCAGCTATAATCTTTTAGTTATTTTTAACTATACAGTAAATTATTATTAACTATAATCACCCTGTTGTGCTATCAAATACTAGATCTTATTCATTCTATCTAACTCATATTTTTGTACTCAATAATCACTCCCACTTTCCCCCCACCTGTACTACTCCTCCCAGCCTCTGGTAACCATCCTTCAACTCTCTATCTTCATGAGTTCAATTTTTAGCTCCCACAAATGAGTGAGAATATGTGAAGTTTGCCTTTCTCTATATGGGTTATTTCAGTTAACATAATGTCCTCCATTTCCATCCATGTTGTTGCAAATGAATGGATCTCATTCTTTTTTATGGCTGAATAATACTCCCTTGTGTATATATACCACATTTTCCTTGTCCTTTCATGTGTTGATGGACACTTAAGTTGATTCCAAATCTTGGCTTTTGTGAATAGTACTACAATAAATATGGGAGTGCAGATATCTCTTTGACATACTGATTTCCTGTCTTTTGGGTGTATATCCAGCAGTGGGATTTGCTGGATCATATTGTAGTTCTATTTTTAGTTTTTTGAGGAACCTCCATACTGTTCTCCATAGTAGATGTACTAATTTATACTCTCACCAACAGTGTATGAGAGTTCCCTTTTCTCTACATCCTTGCCAGCATTCATTATTGCCTGTCTTTTGGATAAAAGCCATTTTAACTGGGGAGAGATGACATCTCATTGTAGTTTTGATTTGCATTTCTCTGATGATCAATGATATTGAGCACTTTTTAATGTACCTGTTTGCCATTTGTATGTGTTCTTCTGAGGGTTATCTATTTAGATCTTTTGCCCATTTAAAAATCAGATTATTTGATTTTTTCCTATTGAGTTATTTGAGCTCCTTATGTATTCTGGTCATTAATCCTTTGTCAGATGGGTAGTTTGCAAATATTTTATCTCATTCCATAGGTTATCTCTTCATTGTGTTGATTGTTTTCTTTGCTGTTCAGAAGCTTTTAAATGTGAAGTGATTCCATTTGTCCATTTTTGCTTTGGTTGCCTGTACTTGTAGAGTACTACACAAAAAATCTTCCCACAGATCAATATTCTGGAGAGTTTTCTCAATGTTTTCTTGTAGTAGTTTTATAGTTTGTTGTGTTAAATTTAAGTATTTAATTCATTTTGATTTGATTTTTGTATATGGTGAGAGATGTGGTCTAATTTCATTCATCTGCATATGGATATCCTGTTTTCCCAGCACTGTTTATTGAAGAGACTGTCCTTTCCCAAAAGTATATTCTTGGCACCTCCATCAAAAATTAATTCACTGTAGATGTATGGATTTAGTTCTGGGTTCTCTATTCAGTTCAGTTGTTTGATGTATCTGTTATTCCAAATCTTGGCTTTTGTGAATAGTACTACAATAAATACGGGAGTGAAGATATCTCTTTGGCATACTGATTTCCTGTCTTTTGGGTGTATATCCAGCAGTGGGATTTGCTGGATCATATTGTAGTTCTATTTTTAGTTTTTTGAGGAACCTCCATACTGTTCTCCATAGTAGATGTACTAATTTATACTCCCACCAACAGTATGAGAGTTCCCTTTTCTCTACATCCTTGCCAGCATTCATTATTGCCTGTCTTTTGGATAAAAGCCATTTTAACTGGGGAGAGCATCATGCTATTTTGGTTACAGTAACTAGTATAATATGAAGTCAGGTAATATGATTCCTCCAGTTTTGTTCTTTTTGCTCAGAGTGGCTTTGGCTACTCTGGGTCTTTCGTGGTTTCATATAAATTTTAGGATTGTTTTTATTTCTGTGAAGAATCTCATTGGTATTTTGATAGGAATTGCATTGAATCTGCAAATTGTTTTGGGTAATATGGACATTTTAACAATATTGATTATTCCAATCCATGAACATGGAATATCTTTTTGTTTTTTTGTGTCCTCTTCAATTACTTGCATCAGTGTTTTATAGTTTTCATTGTGGAAATCTTTCACCTCTTTGATTAAGTTTATTCTTAGATGTTGTATTTTAATTTATAACTATTGTAAATGGGATTACTTGTTCTCTTATTGTGGCTATTGTGAATAATGCTGCAATAAATGTGAAAGTGCAGATATCTCTTTGAGATTATTTTATTTTCTTAGTATATATATGCAAAGGTATGATTGCTGAATCATATAGGAGTTCCATTTTTTTTGAAGTATCTCCATACTGTTTTCCATGACAATTGTACCAATTTGCTTTCCTCTCAACAATGTATAAGGGTTCCTTTTTTTCTCCACACTTATCTTTTGACGTTTTGATAGTAGTCATCCTAACTGTTGTGAGGTGATATGTCATTATGGCTTTGATTTGCATTTTTGTAATACTTAGTGATGTAGAGCAACACCTTTTTCATTTGCTATTGTTGTATTGAATAACCAAATTGTCTCCTTTCTGTAGATAAGTTTGGAACCTACTGTGACATTGATGAATAACATAAATTATAATTATTTGTTGATTTCTCCTTTTTCATCACTGACAATCCTCTACGTTTCCTAAAATCTATTCTATGCACAGTATTTATTTATTTATTTTTTAGAAACAGGGTCTCATTATGTCACCCATGTTGGAGCGCAGTGATGCAATCATGGTTCTCTGCAGCTTTGACATCCCAGCCTCAAGGGATCTGCTGCCCCATCCTCCTGAGTCATTGGGATCACAGGCAAGCACCACCATGACCAGCTGTCTATTATTTTTTAGGACAGTGTCTCCCTACATTGCTCAGGCTGTTCTTGAACTCCTGGCCTCAACAATCTCCTTGCCTTAGCCTCTGGAAATGCTAAGATTACAGGTGTGAGCCACTGCACCAGGCCTGCACACAGCATTTACATTAGTCTTTTCATATACAAATCTATCACATTATTAGCTAGCTTTAAATCCTTGAACTCCTTCTTGTTTCCTAGAATAATACACCCATAACTTGGATATTGTAGGTTCAGTTCTAGCTAACTTCAGTAAAGTGAACGCTGCACTAAAGCAAATTACACAAAGTTTGTGGTTTCTCAGTATATATAAAAATTATGTTCACATTATACTTTAATCTATTAAGTGTGCAGTAGCATTGTGTCAAAAAAGTACATACCTTAATTAAAAATATTTTATTATCGAAAAAGGCTAATACAGAGACTTGAGGTGAGGACATACTGTTGGAAAAATGGTGCCAATAGTCTTGCTTGTTGCAGGGTTGCCACAAACCAAGTTGTGAAAAAACAATGTGCAAAGTGCAATAAAATGAAGCAAAGTAAAATGAGGGATGTCTGTAATAATATTCTATACATCAAAAAAATAGTGATTTGCAAAACTATGTATTCAATACTCAGTTACTCCTTCAAATGTCATTTCTGCCCCACTCCTCCTCCCACTCTCACCCATGGTCACTATTATTAAATAGCGTTACCAGCCTTCTTTCTTTACTTTCTTTACTGTTTCAGACTCTTTGCTCCTGCTTTCTCTTATACTGAATTATTCTTTTTTTCTTCCCCTAGTCTGACCCCTTCTCAGCATTTACACTTATACAAAAACCTTCTTTTTCTACAAATAATCCTATTTAAAGTGTATCTCTAGAATACATTTATATAACATCTTTCTTCCTAACTTAGGGAAAATAACGCTATGTTATTTAATTTTTCTATTAGTTTATGTGTTGCTTGTTTCATATTAGTTTATTTGTGACTGATTTTTCTAAAGTCTATTTACTAAAATATAAACTCCATGAAGGGAAAAATTCATCTTGTTTACATAACAGCTTCTGCCACATAATAGAACCCAATAAATAATCATTCAGTGGATAAATTAATAAATGAAGAAAAGTATTTTGAATGCCTGAAAATAAAAGCACTAAAACCTCCCAAGAGAATATAAGATATTAGATTTAAAGTTAGTATCAAAGCCAGGCGCGTTGTCTCATGCTTGTAATCTCAACAGTTTAGGAGGCCGAGACAGGAATATCAATTGAGCTTAGGAGTTGAAGATCAGTTCGGGCAACTTAGTGAGACCTCATCTCTACACACACACACACACACACACACACACACACACACACACACACACACAGACATACACACACACACACACACAGAAATTAGCCAGGTGTGGTGGCATGTACCTGCGGATCCAGCTACTTGAGAGGCTGCAGCAGGATGATTGCTTGAGCCTGGGAGTTGGAGTGGGCAGTGAGATGTGATTGTGACACTGCACTCCAGCCTGGGCAACAGAACAAGACCCCTATCTTAAAAACAACAATAATAACAACCAAGTAAACTTGGGTGCATAGATGTATTCATTTAAATTATGCATATTAAATTTTTTAATAAAGAAGATTTCAATCAACTAGTTTTGACAGACATTTCCTTCATCAGAAGTACACAAGATTATTTTTTAAAAATTAAGTATGACTTTTAAAAAGCTATTTTGGGCCAGGCGCTGTGGCTCACTCCTGTAATCCCAGCACTTTGGGAGGCCAAGGTGGGTGGATCACCTGAGGTCAGGAGCTAGAGATCAGCCTGGCCAACATGGTGAAACACTGTCTCTTCTAAAAAAAAAAAAAAAGAAAGAAAAAAATTAGCCAGGCGTGGTGGTGGGTGCCTGTAGTCCTAGCTGCTGGGGAGGCTGAAGCAGGAGATTTGCTTGAACCCGGGAGGCAGAGGTTGCGGTGAGCCAGGATTGCGCCATTGCACTCCAGCCTGGGCAACAAGAGCAAAACTACGTCTCAAAAAAAAAAAAAAAAAAAAAACTATTTTGAATTCGGGTGTACACTCTATGAAGCAAAACCACACATTTTAAAGAGACTTGTTTAATAATTTATATATGCATGCAAACCACGTGCAACCCAAACAGATATAAATAAAAAACGTTTTCATCCCTTGGCTAGAAAGTTGCCTTATCCACCTGGACTGACAATATAACCCTCTCTGTAACCACTATTCTTCTTGTGCCATGGATTAATTTGTCCATTCCTAAACCTTATTTCAGTTGAACAGTATGTCCAATTATGTCTACTTTCTTTTGCTCAATATACTGTTTATGATGTTTATTCATTTTGTTGAGTATATCACAAGCTCATTCTTTTTATTCTCCCTTCTGCTAAATATTTTATTTTGTGATTATACCATGATTTATTTATCCTTCCTCCTGTTGAGTATTTGGGGTGTTAACAGATTTTATCTGTTATAATTGTTATATTGTTATTAAATTAAACTACTATGGATATTATTATAGAAGCCTTTTTGTAAAAATAAGCACTCATTTCTTTTGGATATATATCTAGAAGAGTAATTCTTAATTTTATTAGAAAGTGCAAAAGGGTTTTCCAAGGAGATAATACTGTTTTTCACATCTATGGCATTGTATGAAAGCCTAACTTGCTCCACAATCTCAACCATATTTGCTATTTTCAGTCTTGTAACTCATTAGGGTTTTAATTTTCAATTTCTGCTGAATAATGATTTTGAGCATCTATTTACATATTAATGACCCATTGAGCTTGGACAGGTTGTCAAAGTCAAACAATGTATAAAGACAAATTTTAAAATTTGAAAGTTGTATTTGTGCAGCAAAGATTCATTTCAGGGCATACATACAAGACTAGGTGGTCTTTGTTATATCTGAAAAATGAAGAGAAGGTTGGAGGTTTTCTAAAAAAGAGGAATGTTATGTATTGCTTTGAAAAAAGTTCATTGACGCTAGCAATGTTTTGGGGAGCTGACAGGCTCTGATTGCTGAGTGACAAAAGTGGGTAAAACTAGTCTTAGAGTTATACCCAAATGCTTTAGTAGCTATTAGATGAAACTGGCTTCAGCTTATAATAAGCAGTTTTAGCAGCTGGGCTTATGGAAAATTTAATTCTTGCAGCAGGTGCTATCTATGTCCCCTAAGTGTTTTTTCCCCTGGCCCCTCAAATCTGATTTAGTTTGGTATGACGAGAATGACCCAAGTTATAAAATCAATTTTCACAATGGTTTTTGCCCATTTTTATGGAGCTCTAAAGTGCTCCAATAAATTCTTAAATATTGCTTTAGTTGTATGTTTATTTTTTGTTAAAATTCCATACATGGTTTATGTTATCCTTCTTTCCATTCATTTTCTTCAGCTTTTCAAATAATTGGTTTCACATATTTATGTTAACTTTAAAGTTTTTTTAATTCTAACTTCTGTTATGTTAATTCTGTTATGTTAATTCATAAAGTGTTAATTCACACTTCTTTATGTGTCTTCTTCTATTGACTGATTTACCTCTGTGACCCTGATGGTCACAGGTCTCTATTTATATAGGAAAACCTTATTCCCATTTGAAATTTAGCTCCTTTAGACCTCATTGTGTCAAGATTCTTTCTTTCTTTTCTTTCTTTCTTTCTTTCTTTCTTTCTTTCTTTCTTTCTTTCTTTCTTTCTTTCTCTTTCCTTCCTTTCTTCCTTTTTCTTTCTCTTTCTCTTTCTTCTTTCTTTCTTTCTTTCTTCTTTCTTTCTTTTTCTTTCCTCTCTTCTCTCTCTCTCTCCATCCATCCAACTATAACCTACCAATCTATATACACAAATGTGTGTATGTCCATATATAATTTTTAGTTTATTATTTTTTAGTGATTTCTGGGGGAACAAGGATGGGTTATGACCCTTTATGCCCTAACCAGCTGCAGAATTAATACGTGTATACTAGTGTTTATTTGTTTTGCACATTATGAGGTAAATTACTTGAACAACAGTGTTAGTTTCTTCTGCGTTGACTTTTCTGGAGGCATCTGAAGTAAGTATTTAAAGCTTAGTTGTAGAGATGATGCAGGATCTTGAATGAGAATGACACCTGTGTGTTGCTTATGTTAAGTGAATGTGTGATCCTTCTGTCAAGCATCCTTTCCCTTCATCACCACAATACATTCAAACACGCAGTTTTTCCTCTGTTTACATTTCATAGATGAAATTCTTCTGTTGTTTTAAATTATTTTATTTCATGATACTATGCATTATTCATTCATATTTAGAACTCCATTACCTAAAATTTTACCAACATCATCTGCACACTGACATGTTCTGTCATATATTCAAAGAAGTATCCATTTTTAGATCTTCACTAGTAACTTCAAATATTTTGCAACTTTTATTAACCAAGATCTATCTTTGAGGTTCACTTTGAGAAACCTAGAGTCAGATTTTCCCATAGCCAGAGTAACAGAGAGTGAGATGAATTTTTTTTAAGTTTCATTTTTTTATTGAGCAAGTTAGCATATTTTAGTTAGCAAGAAGACAAGAATATGAGTTCTGAAGCCAGACTAAGCTCTAATGTTTTAACTTACTAGATTCAGACTCTAGTGTTTTTAACTTACTAGGTATGTGACATTGAAAAAGTTATTTAACCACACTGTACCTTATTTTACCCTCTACAAAACTGGCTAATAAAATTATTTACATCATAGGATTGTACATATCTAAGTTTGCAAATTAAGTAAAACAGTGCCTCACACAATATTATAGAAGTGTTTATTATTATTATTATTGATATTATTATTAATACCATGAGCTACTGCCTAGATAGGTTATGAAGATCGAAAGATGAATCAAATATTGCTCTATCTTTGGAGAATTTAAGGTCTTTTGGGCAAGAAATAGGTAAAGTCTAATATAATGTCATACATGTATAGATATAACTGGTTTATAAGCCTAATTGAACAGTGCCCCTTGACTTCTCTTGGAAGGCATGTGACTAATTTGCCTTGAAATATTACTTGTAACCTCCCAAGGAGTCGGGAGCAGCTGATAAAGAAAATGTAAATAAAAGCATTCCAGGAAGATAAATATAATGTGTAAAGTCATTCATAAAAAATTAAAACAAACAAAACATCTTGTTTTTTTGTGAGACAGGAAGCTCTGCGAGATGACAAAATAGGTTGGTGTATGTGAACACATTAGGAGATGGAAGAAGCAGGGGTTGGATCATAATTCTGTATTTTATGACAATTTTTATATTTTAATAGAAGTTAAACACAACTTTGGAATGTGGAGAACAGAGGAGACAATATGAGAGACCCCAAACCTAGGGATCCTGTAAGAGACTCTTGCAATATTTCAGACTGATGGAAGGGGTTGTTGCCAAAGTCACACCAGTGAGAAGGGGAGAATGAGCTACTGAGATGTTTTTGAGATTTTGAGATTCAATGATCAATTTAATATGGTATGTGAGGGAGGCAGGGTGATTTAGGTTATTTAGGACAACGCGTTGGCATTTGTAAGGTTCAAAATATTGTCAGAGATACTTTGGACTGGATTAATTTCGTAGACGGGAATGATTAAATGGGGTCCTAAAAAACAGATACATTTCTGAAGCCAGACTTTGTGGAAAGGAGCAGACACTTCAACGACTGAGATTCTTTTCAGCTCTACTTTTCAATTTCTTCAATTTAGATAAAAGAAAATTTACCCTAGTTTCAACAGCAAGAAGCAGGACTCTAAGATAACTTCTCAAAGTTTAAATATTTATTGTGACATTTCAAGAACTAAGGACAATGTGTTTTTGAGTCATCTCAGTTACAAATGCAAAACTCAGAACAGTATTTACACAAATTTGGAGGAAAATGCACCAACATAGCAAGACGGAGGATATAAATTTCATCTTTCATGTCTTAGCAAGTAAATTTATATTTATCAATGTAAGTATTATGCATTTATGCATTTTAATGAGTTTTTAAAAAATATTTTATGGAGTATACAAAAATCAATCATATAGTTATTAAAAAGCTGAAGCAACTCTGGGATGCTTGTTGCGTGCATATGGCGCCTGGTGATATTCTGTATAGTCTTTATAGACTTTTATGCCTTGAGTGTCTTAGTAACTTGGTACTCAATTTTCTTTTTCACTTTTGGTTTTAAAAAAAGACAACTAAATGGCTTTTACATAGAAGCCATTGAGATCTAAAATGTTTACTATCAATCATTTTATGAGAAAAAATAAGGTAGTGTATTTTGACACTGATTATTATAAAGAGTTCTTTGTAACTTTCTTAATTTTTCTTTTTAAATTCACAAAAAACCCTGTTTACATCACTCTTTCATTGTTTTACCCCTAATATTTTTCTATCTCATTACTACTACTGTATAGTAATGATTCTTCTAAAGTATGTCCTTTATAAAATGCAAGCCTACCTGTCAGGCTAATGAGTAACAGCAGGTTTTTTTCCTAGAAAATGCATTATTTCCGAAGCATATGTACATCTATAATGCCTGTTATTCTCACTGGTAGAGTTCCTTGCTAGACATAAGACAATTTGCACAGCTTTGAGAGTTAAGATTCATGTACAATTTATTTTATAGTCTGATAAACAGTGCCTTTGTGAAAGCAGTTGCTCTTATATCTCCTAAGTTCAACATTAAGTTTATTTCATAAAGCAGCATGAATAAATCCACAACTCTTAAGGAAATAAATGTGCCCTTCGACTAAACATAGGCTCATTTATCAACTGTGGCTCATGCAAACTTTTGGAGTTTGGAGTTGAAAATATCACCATGTCTCAAACTTGGATACATGAAAATACTGGTCTTCAAGGTGAAGTTAATGGAACACCTGATTCACTTTGTGGGCTTTATCAAAATGCAAATTCCTGGGCTCACTCCAGATCTAGTGAATCAGATGTCAGTGAGTGGGGGCCTAGAATTTGCATTTTGATTAAGCTCCCCAGGTGCTTCATGTGCCTTTAGAAGATAGCAATTTGACACGCTTCTCAGGTTTATTTGCCTTCTAAAACAATATTTTAGCTTAAACCTGTGAAAAACATATGTGATTTTGGATAAAAATATTGAAAAATTATGCTATATATGGTACCTTGGGTATTCAGAGACTGAGAAGTCACATCTATGGAATGTGCACATGCTGGGTGCTTTATACATGTTACTTTATTTAATCCTAGCCACAATCCTATGAGGGTAGATATTATTATATCAGTTTTATAGATGAGAGAACAGGCTCAAAGATGTTAAGCAACTTGACTAGGGTTACACAGGAAATAACTAGAAAGTAAAAAACTAAATTCAGTTACATCAAACTGTAAAGCTTTTTCTGCTCTACCAGGCTGCTGGCGTGGATAGGGTGAAGGGTGGGGCAGAGGAAGCAAATTTTTGTGGTGAATTTATGCTGGGTAGAAGTATTTGCTCTATCAGTTAATAGAACAACCTGGTAAGAAAGAAATTCTTGTATCAACTTCATAGATGGGAGTCAGACAGCTTAGGTAACTTACTGGCAAACACTCATTTATTTAGTTATTGACATATTTATTATTCATTTATTGATATAGTAAATGGCTACAAAGGGTGAAGTCTGAGATTGAACAAAGCGCACCTGGTGTCAGCTCTCATGGAGTTCACAGACTAGTTTAAGAGACAAAGAGATAAATTGATCTACACTATAATTTGTGATAAGTGCTATAAGAGCAAAAATAACAAGAGAAATCTAATTTAGATCTGAGACTCAAAGACAGCCTATGTAGAGAAGTGATATTTGAGCTAAGATGTGAAGTATAAGTAAGATTAGCAAAGTAAAGGGTGGAAATAAAAGCATTCCAGGTGAAGGTACTAACATGTGAAAAGTCTTTGAGGCACAAAAATGCTTGGTACTATTAAGAATTGAAAGAAGACCAATGTGGCCAGCTTAGAAAACAAGTGACGGAGTGATACCACATGATACTGGATTCAGCTGACCAGATTTCTGAGGCCTTTGATGTTAAAATGAAAGACTCTTAGTAATTCTTCTATGTTAAAACAGAGATGAAAGACAAAGACAGAGTCCAATTTGCATTTTAAAAGATCATTGTATAGCTACAGAAGCTTCATTGTGGAGTAGTCCAAATGAGAAAGATGGTTAGAGCTAATTAAAAGTAGCAACAAAAATGTAGAAATGAAGGACAATTTAACAAATAAATTTGGATTCAGAATAGTCTGAGCTTCATATTGGGTGATGCGGAGAGGGGAGGCATCAGGACAAAGCCATAACGAAAATGATTTCAATTTTCTGTCTTTAGCAACTGGGTGAAGAGAGAATAGAGGGTCATATGCTGAGAAAAGGAATGCTATAGAGGAGCAGGTTCAAATTCAGAAGGAAGAACTTGGATGGAAATATATATGTGTGTATGTGTGTGGGCTCTTTGAGCACAAAGATGGTATCCATGGCAATAAAAGTTCTCTCCTAAGGAGAAAGTGTAGAATGAGAAACAATGAAAGCAAGAAATGAGAAAGAAAATGAAACTGAGAACTAGAAGCCAGAGACACAGAAAGAAAATCAGCAGACTGATGGTGTTGTAACTGCCCAACAGGTGCTTTCTGCCCACTGCACAATTAAAGACCATGGCATTACAGTAAAGAAAGACTTAAACTGACTTGAGGCTGGCCACACCATGTGGGAGATGGAGTTAGTACTCAAGTCGATCTTCTCTAAAGCCTATAGGTTAGGGGACTTTCAAAGGCAGTTTAGGGGAAGGGGGGATGGCTAGAAATGGATGCCTGCTGATGATTGGTTGTGGTGGAGATGAAATCATAGGAGGTCAAAGCTGTCCTCTTGAGCTGAGTTGCTTCTGGGGGGGCCATAGGAGTGGAGTTGGTGGGTCCAGGTGGAGCCATGGATTTCAGACATGCAAAAAAACCTGAAAAGTTATCTGAAAAGGCCAATATTAAGTTCTAGAATACTGATTTTATTTGTAGGAATGGCTGGCAATCTTTTATGACTGCACTTTAGCAGAATTCAGATTCCTCTCTTCCCCCTAGCCTGCTGGCCTTTTGTTAGCTTTACAAAGGCAGTTGAGTTTTGGGGAAGGCCTGTAATCATTTTTTTTTCTTGCTCCTTGCTTTTTTTTTTTTTAGTTTTTTATTTTTATTATACTTTAAGTTCTAGGGTACATGTGCACAATGTGCAGGTTTGTTACATATGTATACATGTGCCATGTTGGTGTGCTGCACCCATTAACTCGTCATTTACATTAGGTATATATCCTAATGCTATCCCTCCCCCATCCCCCCACCCCACGACAGGCCCCAGTGTGTGATGTTCCCCTTCCTGTGTCCATGTGTTCTCATTGTTCAATTCCCACCTATGAGTGAGAACATGCGGTGTTTGGTTTTTTGTCCTTGCAATAGTTTGCTGAGAATGATGGTTTCCAGCTTCATCCATGTCCCTACAAAGGACATGAACTCATCATTTTTTATGGCTGCATAGTATTCCATGAATGACTACTGGGTACATAACAAAATGAAGGCAGAAATAAAGATGTTCTTTGAAACCAATGAGAACAAAGACACAACATACCAGAATCTCTGGGAGACATTTAAAGCAGTGTGTAGAGGGAAATTTATAGCACTAAATGCCCACATGAGAAAGCAGGAAATATCTAAAGTTGACACCCTAACATCACAATTAAAAGAACTACAGAAGCCAGAGCAAACACATTCAAAAGCTAGCAGAAGGCAAGAAATAACTAAGATTAGAGTAGAACTGAAGGAGATAGAGACATAAAAAACACTTCAAAAAATCAATAAATCCAGGATCTGGTTTTTTTGAAAAGATCAATAAAATTGATAGACCACTAGCAAGACTAATAAAGAAGAAAAGAGAGAAGAATCAAATAGATGCAATAAAAAATGATAAAGGGGATATCACCACTGATCCCACAGAAATACCAACTACCATCAGAGAATACTATAAACACCTCTAGGCAAATAAACTAGAAAATCTAGAAGAAATGGATACATTCTTGGACACATACACCCTCCCAAGACTAAACCAGGAAGAAGTTGCATCCCTGAATAGACCAATAACAGGCTCTGAAATTGAGGCAATAATTAATAGCTTACCAACCGAAAAAAGTCCAGGACCAGACGGATTCACAGCTGAATTCTACCAGAGGTACAAGGAGGAGCTGGTACCATTCCTTCTGAAATTATTCCAGTCAATAGAAAAAGAGGGAATCCTCCCTAACTCATTTTATGAGGCCAGCATCATCCTGATACAACAGCCTGGCAGAGACACAAAAAAAGAGAATTTTAGACCAATATCCCTGATGAACATTGCATCACTGGCCATTAGAGAAATGCAAATCAAAACCACAATGAGATGCCATCTCACACCAGTTAGAATGGTGATCATTAAAAAGTCAGGAAACAACAGGTGCTGGAGAGGATGTGGAGAAATAGGAACACTTTTACACTGTTGGTGGTACTGTAAAGTAGTTCAACCTTTGTGGAAGACAGTGTGGCGATTCCTCAAGGATCTAGAACTAGAAATGCCATTTGACCCAGCCATCCCATTACTGGGTATATACCCAAAGGATTATAAATCATGCTGCTATAAAGACACATGCACCCGTATGTTTATTGCGGCATTATTCACAATAGCAAAGACTTGAAACGAACCCAAATGCCCATCAATGATAGACTGGATTAAGAAAATGTGGGCTGTAATCATTTAAACTGTAAACTAAATGCTTTCCAAAGTTAGCCTAAGCCCGAGAACGATTAAGGGAAGAGAAGATGCCAGGGGCGGGAGGGTTAGATTAGATGTCATTTACTGCCATAATTTTCTCACCGTTATAATTTTTGCAAAGGTGGTTTTAGTGTTATGGATGCCAAGAAAAGAGAAGGTTTCAAGAATGGGATGGTCGGCTGTCTTGACTGCTTCAGAAAGGGCTGTGAGTGTTCTCCACGTGGTCAAACCCAAGGAACAATTTTCAGGCCTTTTCTACTGTTCAAAATCTTGTCAGAAAAAGTTTGTTGAGAATGAGGGTAAAAATTGAAGACTTGGAATTGAGGGAAACTACTTTTTAGAGAAAGAATATAGAAGAGCCTGTTCATATAATAATGGGAAAGGTACGTGAAGTGGGGAAGGTTGATGATCTGGAAAAATAAATAAAGGAAGCATAAACTTTTGGAAAAGATGGGGACAGGTGGAGAATTTCTGACAAAAGATCACTTTTTCTGTTCTAATGGAAAAGAATAATAAATGATGATGATAACTTACACATTGTTTTTGTTATGTGCTGATCCCTTTTCTGTTATATGTTTTTGTGTATATTAATTTTATTTTAATAATATTTTAATGTAATTTATTAATCTTTCTAATAACTTTTAAGGCTGGTATTGTTATCAGCATTTTATAGAGGGACACAAAAATATAAGCAACTTGCACAGGTCCCATATCTAGTAAGTGATGAATTGGGATTTGACCAAGAGCCTCAGTACAGAGCAAGGGAAAGTGAGCCCCTTTCTGTCTGATTTCTTCTTTTGACAGGATGCATAAGGTAAGGCATCACCTGAAAGGTGCAGCGATGGTGGTGGGTAAGGAGATGAGAGGAGAGTTAAGAATAAGTAAAATAGTGGCCAGGGATAATGAGAGAGTAAAATACAGAAACACAGTGGAATTTTCACGTGGTGGTAAGTACTCATTTGACTTTTGCGAGACAATGTTTATAGTGATACTAGTTAACCTGGTTTTGTGATTGGATCCCTTTCATAATATTCCATATGAATCCAAAAGATAAAAAAAAGTAGATGGTTAGGTTCATTCAGGGCTAGAGTCTTTCTGGCATTATTTTGTTTTGGTAAGAAAGTGGAGGATATCTGCAAACAATAGCAAATCCAGGGTATAAATTTAAATGTATACATTTTATCTACCCCTGTAGCATTGTTCACTAGGAATTTCTGGATTACACGGGTAAGCAAAAAATTAATAGTTCATCAAATTGTGATTCTGTAAGATTAAAATTGGAAGAAAGAAAGTATTTAAAGGGAGGGAACTAAAAAATATGCATCATGGCTAATTACCTGTGCTATAATACTATGTCTTCATTGGAGACTTACTAGAGTTTCTTCTAATTTACAACCATTTGTTCTAAATGTGCTTACATTGGGAGAATCTGCTAGAGATTGCTAGTATTACTATGCCCCAGGCACATTGCTGAGATTTTCTGTATTTTTTCCAAAACATTTAACTTTGAAGCAAAGTGCATTTTTTATTATATCTTTCCTGCATTTTTCCCTAATCTTTGTTTTCTTAAAACTATTTCCCACATATAGTTGATTCTTGTTAATGGACACTAGCAAAGTTACAATTTCATGGAAATTAATGTTGATTAAAATAGATTTTCTATCATTTATATAGGAAAGACCTGATACATAACTGCTCATAAAATTTAAGTAGCAATGGTGTGTAAATTGATTCCTTTAAGAGAAATGTGCTGTTTTAAGGTCACTATTTTATACATGCATCATTCATTACCCATGGTGACACCATATTGCCTATTCAAAGTTATCTCAAAGCCAGAAACAAATAAAGAGCTAGGCCTAAGCTGGGAGAAATGTGGTTTATTAGCATTTTTACAGATTCTTGCAAGTAAAGTTTCACTAAATGGATACACATGGGAACGGACTTGAATAGATAATTTTCTCTACAAATCTTTCATTGTAGGATCACGGATTATGAATTTCACATCCATAGACAGTGTTAAATTTATTTTTATTTCAATCTCAGACACACATTTATTTCTGAGTTTTATGCAAAATCAGCTACCATATATTACATGCAAACATTAGTTTATGCCTATATTATAAAGTGAAATCAAATATCAATATGTAGAATTTGGAAAACAGCTTACCTAATAAATACTAGAATTTACTCACATATCAAAATTCATTGTGGTAAAACAGTATTTTTTCATTGAATTTTATATGTCTTATCAAAAGCAGTGGCCATAATTAATAAATCCCTAAAGTTTGTTGACAATAGAAGTGGTATAAAAAATTAAGATTTTTTTTGTCACTTGACTTTGACAAACATTATTACAATGAGGGCTGGAGCTCAGTCAGTGCTGGGGTGGGCAAACTCAAGGACTCTGCAGCTGAAACCCAGAACTGTATGATGGGATAAAACTTAAGAATGCCCCCTTCCAAGATGATTAGTGGAAGACCAGCAAGCAATGCAAAAAGCAAGATGCCAGGAAGTCAAAGTAGTATGTGATAGCTATGGTAGGGAGTAAAAATCAGTATTCAGTCATTCATTTGTTTAATAAATCTGTGGCACGTACCTACCATGTGCTAGGCACTCTTTTAGATGCTTGAGGTAAAACAATGACAGATCCACAGTCCGAAAGATCTTATATTCATGTGATAGGAAGAAACAGGAAGTAAAAAAAACGTAAAGAATAAGTAAGTGTGGGAAGGTGATCAGTGTTATGGGAAAAATAAAACAAAAAAATTGGGCAAAGCAAGAGGGATCAGAGTAACTGAGTGTGGAGCAAGTTATAATTTTAAGTAGGATGATCAGTAAAGGGCTAAAAGAGCAGTTGGTATGAGGATGATAGCACCTCCCTCAAGGCAAGAGATGAGAGAATTAGCTATGCAGATCATTTGGGGAAAGAGAAGGCTTTCAGTGCAAAGACTCTGCAGTGGAACCATGCTTGACTGGCTCACAAGTAAGGGTCAGTGTGTCTGGAGTAGAGTGAATCAAGGAGAAGATACCTGAATAAAAAGTCAAAGAGATACTGGGAGGGCTAACTTTCCATGGCATTCTTTTTTCCTACACTGTGTTCATGTCCTTTTCTGCATTGCTTTGTTTTCTTTTGTTCTAAAAGGAAAAAGCCAGGATGATAGACTACATTCTCCAAATACATCTAAAAATAGGGAAAAGTAGAAGTCTGATTCTATAGAATGGGTAGATAGCAGGAGGGTCTTGGGTGAAGATGTAGAAAATAAAAAAGGTCGTCAAGACTTGCTAAGTAAGTGGCCTCAGGTCCTCTATGGGGTGCAAAGAAAAAGTGTTGGAGAGATTTGGATTCAATCCTGTCTCTATCACTAGATGTTTGACCTCAGAAGTGGAACTTAACCTCTCTGAGGCCTGATGTTATCAATAATAAAGTGGGTACTATAACATCCTTTTCCTACAATTACCATAAAGATCAGATAATGTATATAAACTGGCACAAAGTAGGCATTTTTGACAAGTTGTCTTCTTCCATTTCTATTTTGCTACCTACCACTAATGTCCAGATTTCAGCTTTGAGGCTTTTATCTTCTCCTGGAAATAACTTTTACATTTGATCACTCATGCTTTGATTTCTGGCCACTTTTTGCACATAGCTATATCAGGGGTACTAACTGCAATGGAAAAGAAAGGCCTAGTAGCCTTTATCATTATTTTCCTGCCTATGGTGTATTTTGCCCCCATTTCGCCCCTCAAATTCCTCTGAGACACAGGAGAGGTGAGTGGCAGGTATATTCCTATTTGACCAAGATTGTTGTGAGCTGTTAGTGCTCTTAGTCTGGCAGAGGTTTAAAACGAACACCTTTTCTTGATTTTGGATTGGATTCGGGAGTTTTCTAGAGACTGTGGAATTCTGGAAATCTGTCTTTTGCAGATCTTGGAAATGCATCGCATTGTCTGTTCTCATTGGTCATGTATATATCTGCTCACCCCCGAGGCACCCAGCAGCTTGCTCCCCTCTGCCTTCTGCCAGGGTCTCCTCAGACCTCTCATGGACATGACCCAAGGTAGCCCGAGATTGCAGTGCTTGCTCAAGTGACCCACTTTTATTCTATGGGAGGTAGTCATGTATCCTTTACTCCAACAAACTCTGAAAATGCGGGCCATCACCAACATGTTGCTCAGTAGCTCGAACTTTCCATTTTTAGATTTCTTAGATTTGAGTCCAACACCAATGAATACATCACTCAATAGCCAGGAAATACTTGTTTTCTTGGGGCAAAGATAAAACAAAGATAGTTGAATGTTACTGGCATTGAAGACTGTATCTTACGGAATTCTCATCTTGGTTTTCAATTTGTCCACTGATTTTAAAAAGAAATACATAGTTCATGTAATCCTTTAGAACTCAAATGCTGTCTATTTCTATCCCTCACTCATAGCATTTGAAAGGCATATAATTAGTAAGTGAAACAGAAATAGACTGCAACCTTACTTCTTTTCTCAAATCTTAAATGTGTATGTTACTTAGAGCTCAGCCTACCAGCATATTTTATGAACTTAAAATCCAGAACTAAAAATGCGACATCCCAGCAATGTTAAATATCTATGCTAGATACCCACTTTTAAAGAGTGAGAATTTAATTACTTTGTTTTTAGACAACACTACTAACATTTTCTTTGATTCTCTTCCAAATCAACAGCAGTGTAGCATTACTTAGAAGCAATCAATGTAGTATTACCTAAAAATATTCACTATTTTTAGTAATGAATATATTTGATGGAAACTAACTCTAATATTTATGAAGAGTGGACTTAAGGAAAATAAGTGAAGTTTCAACTATTTCAATTGGTATGAACTCTAATAAACAACTATAAAAAATGATATACTCTCAGCAAGAAATACAGAAAACTTACTCATTTATACTACAAAACAGCTATATTTCAGGTTTATCAGACTGAATCTAATTAGTTTGCCTTTTGGTCTACACATTAGAAATTAAATGACTTCCCTTACATGAATGTATTTTTCACATAATTCTAATATTTGAAATATATGATATAATTAGTTGAATCTATGACTTCTGCTCACAATAAATTTATGCCTAGATTGCTTCAAATTAATTGGAATTGGAAGACAAAATTTTCCAGGAAGGCTGTAATAAAATAAGACACAAATAAGCTTCTCAAAGAGAACTATTTAATTTTTGCCTATCATGAATAAAAGAGTAATGAAACCCTCTGAACCCTTTTTGTTTCTTCTCTAGGGACTTTGAAAATACAGAAAATATTTTTAATAAGCCATTTAATTAAAACAAACTTTATATTTAAAATGTTTACTATTCACGTTACTGTCAAGCCATTGTAGTGAACTCAGACATATATTCCATCCCAAATTATTTTCCTGAGCTAATCATGACAATTTCTTCTTTTTCCTCACCAATAATTAGTTTAGAATGGAAGTGTGACTAAGTCTTGTAGATCTCTCAAGTAATGAAAAGTCAACTGAGGGATCTGAAAAAAGTTTTCTCTCAAATGACAACAACAAAGAGAAATATTTTGTCTTTTTCCTCTGGAAGAATAGGCACCAGAAACTTCCGTATCCATCTTTCTATTGCCTGAATTCAAAGCCAGCACAAAGGATCACAGAGCAGATTAAGGGAAGTGAAGACATTGCTGACAGCTCAATTAACCAACTCAAGCAATTACTCTACAGTGGATTTCCTGTTACATAATATAGTATTACACTCATTTATCTCATTTATACATTGACTCCCTCCCCACTAGGATGTAAACTCTATGAAGCAAAGACATTGTGTTGTTCACAGCTGTATCTACAAAGCCTGGATTAGTGGTTGGGTGCACGGTAGGTACTCAATTAATATTTGTCATATTAATATGTAAGTAATAAATTTTGTTACTTAAAGACAGCTTGAAGCAGGATTTTCTCTTACTTGTACCTGAAAGCATACTGATTGGTAAAGCCATTTTTTATTGTCTTGAAAAAAGTAACTTAGCTTTGAAGATTGACTTATAGCATGGCAATGGAGAATGTTTCTTTGCCTTTTCAGGGCCATTGGATCCTAAGAAGGACCAATATGGAAGTGTCAAGCGATAGGTTACAGAAGGTGCTGTATTAGTTTTCTATTGCTACCATAACATTATCGCAAATTCTATAGTTCACATGGGTCTAACTGACTAAAATTGAGGTGTTAGTAGGACTGCATTTCTTTCTGAACTCTGTGGGGAGAACCCATTTCCTGGTCTTTTCCACCTTATCTGCATTCATTGGCTCGTGGCCCCCTTCCTCCATCTTCAAAGCCAGTTATTGCAGGTTCTGTCCTTTTCACATTTTCGTCCCTCTGGTTCTCTACTGTAGTCACATCTCCTGATGACTTAAAGTAAGAACGGTCTTCCATTTCTAAGGACTCATGATTAGATTGGTTCCACCTGGATAGTCCAGGCTACTCTCACCATCACAAAGTCTCTTTTGCCATGTAAGGTAACACATTTTGGGGTTCCAAGAATTAGAATAAGAACATGGTTGAAGGGACATTATTCAGTCTACCACAGTAATAAAGCATGTATTTTTCATTTGCAATGATATTGCTGACAATACCCAAGATAAAAATAAAGTGGCCATATATCAACGTATCTCAAACTAAAAATCTTGATATGTGCTTTGCATGTGAAACTTTGTTGGGGGAAAAATAAATCATTGCACATGCTTATTTTGCTCCTCAAAATTTCAGACATCACAATTTTATTATGTATGCATCATTTGTATTAGTGTTTTCTTTTAAATTAGGATTCTAGCTCATGAAACACAGCTATTATTTTGAGCATAGCAAAGCAAGAAAGTTAAGTGCACTCTTAAAAAGCATCATGCATACCTGACAGTTATCTTTCAGGGGTCACACTCAAAATGTGTCCGGTAAGATTCTTCACATCCCAGTATAGAAAAGGAGTAATACAATTCTCTTTAACTCGAATAATTTTCTTCTGTCTATTATAACTCTGCTCATTTCCCCCAATCCTGGTCAAATATTCTCTCCTCCATAAAGGCTCTGTAATCAGTCCAGCTGGTCAAAATATCAACTCTTCCCACTTATCTGGTAATCGTGATCTGTACCATTCTTTTTTTTTTTTTTTTAACGGAGTTTTGCTCTTGTTGCCCAGGCTGAAGTGCAATGGCACAATCTCGGCTCATGGCAATCTCCAACACCCGGGTTCAAGCGATTCTCCTGCCTCAGCCTTCCAAATAGCTGGGATTACAGGCATGTGCCCCCACGTCTGGCTAATTTTGTAGTTTTTAGTAGAGACAGGGTTTCTCCATGTTGGTCAGGCTGGTCTTCAACTCCCGACCTCAGGTGATCAGTCCGCCTTGGCCTCCCAAAGTGCTGGGATTATAGGCATCAGCCACTGTGCCCAGCTGTGATCTGTTCCATTCTTAAGGAACCCATTTTATATGAACTTATAATGCTGTTATTTCTACTTGCAAACATGTCATCTCCAATACTAGAATTTAAGCACTTGGAGAACCATTCTTTTTGAACGTCTTTGAGTAGTAACTATACCCAAAATATGTATTAATCAAATTTGTTTTAAAATATTACCTCCTGTGATAAAGGAAGAAAGGACTATAGGAAATTATCTTTACATTTTTCCAGAACAGAACTGAAATCCACAGAAAGTTAGTATAAAGAAAGAGATTTCATTATTATGATTAAACCTTACTTCAGTCAGAACCCTATATCCCAAGCTCATAGACTAGCTGAAAAAGAAAAAGTAGAAAATGTATCAAATTGGGAGGTAAAAATAGGGAAAAGCAAAACATTTTACAGATTTAATTAATGCAGGGTTCAAAGTACTCTCAAAATAGTTGTAAGGCTAGGAAGAGCCTAACCAATAATGCCTTTCTTAGAAAAGTAAGATCTAGGGTATGCCTGAGCAACAAGAACATCTCTACACCTGATTTCATACCACAGCACATCAGAGTAACTGGGCTGAAGGAGAAGGCATATGAACTTACCCCCTTTTCAATAAAAAGACAAAAAGAGTAGAATGTTAGAGGTGAAAATTTCCTGACGGTTAATATGGTGGCTGCTAAGCAAGTCATTTATAGGAAGATAAAATTTAAATTTCCATATAGAAAATAACATTTTCTATATTTCTATTCCTCAACATAACTTAGATGAGAAATATACCAAATTTCATAAGAAAGTACATATATAATTCTATAACCATATAGCTGCCTTCAAGCACCCCATAACCAAATTCATTGTCTTGGCCCTTGCCATTCCACCATTTTTTTTTTTTTTTTTTGAGACTAAGTCTTGCTCTGTCTTCAGGCTGGAGTGCAGTGGTGCCATCCCAGCTCACTGCAACCTCCACCTCCCAGATTCAAGCTATTCCCCTGCCTCAGCCTCCCAAGTAGCTGGGATTACAGGCATGCACCACCATGCCCGGCTAATTTTTGTATTTTAGTAGAGATGGGTTTTCACCATGTTGGCCAAGATGGTCTCGATCTCCTAACCTCGTGATCCATCCACCTCGACCTCCCAAAGTGCTGGGATTACAGGCATGAGCCACCGTCCCCAGCCTCCACCATACATTTTTTAAAACAATTATTTGGACTAGATAGAACTTCTTCATTAGCAAAAGTAAAAATAGTCAGGAAGCAATGATCATAGATAGCGGAATTGAAAAACAAAAAGAGGGAATATCCAAAAGACCCAGAGAAACAATTATACAGAAAAGCAACAGAAACATTGAGCCAATCATTTGTTTTAAAGCTCTCAGGAATTGAAGATCATAGTGCCGTTGATCAGCCTCATTGAAAAGATACATGAGATTGAATAAAAAACAATAATATTAACTGAATGATGTGATAAAGAAGTTGGTAAATCTCAGAAAAAAAGGAAAAGAAAAGAAAACAAAGTTAAAAATTTTCACATTATCATTATAAATTAAAATAAATCCTTAAGAAACATAGACATAAATGTGAAGACCGGGCTTGAAAAAAATCAAGAAAAGTAAAATAGAAATGGAACTTAGATATAAACACAATTGGCAAGAAATTATAGGTCTAGACTAAAAAACAAATTAAAAATGCATCTAATTATGGTTTCTGAATAAGAAAACTAAACAGTAGAGAAAATACAAACATATATAATAGAAGTAAACTTTAAAACAACTGGTTCTTTGGTTTGCAAAGAAAAGATGACTGTTGTGTATTGACTGAAAATACCAACTAGTTATCTCAATCAACTAGATGGCAATTTCTATTAGAGATATTGCCCTTATATATTTTAAGTGCCTAGAACAATGACTGATAAAAAGAAATCACCTGGAAGAGATTTGTTAAATACATTAACAATAAATTGAATATAAACTTGAATAAATAAGTATCTACTTGGAAAAAATCAACACTGAACTGAGGTCTAATAAAGCTGTTTTAACTTAAGGAAATTTACCAAGAAGTCCATGAAAAGTTAGGATAAACTTGGACATCTTCACAACAGCATTTATCCTAACAAGAACAACAAAATAATACCTAAACAAAGAGTTTCAACTTAGCCACATTGCAATTAAAAGGTAAAAGCAATAGAAAAACTACCCAGCCATATAAGAATATGAGGATTACAATTTATGGCATTTCTTAAAAAAACGTGTTAAATAAATCTATCCAAAGTAGAGATAAAGCAATAATAAGTTCAGAATTTAGGTACTGCTATTAGTATCAAAGGTTTGAAAGTGAACACCAAATTACAAGCATATAAAATTTAGCCAGGTGCGGTGGCTCATGCGTGTAATCCCAGCACTTTGGGAGGCTGAGACACACGGATCACTTGAGGCCAGGAGTTCAAGACCAGCCTGCCAACATGGTGAACCCTCATCTCTACTAAAAATACAAACAATTATTCATGTGTGGTGGTGCATGCCTGTAATCTCAGCTGCTTGGGAGGCTGAGGCATGAGAATTGCTTGAATCTGGGAGGCAGAGGTTGCAGTGAGCAGTGATCATGCCACTGCACTCCAGCCTGGGTGACAGAATGAGATTCTGTCTCAATAATAATAATAATAATAATAAAATTTAGGACTTCTAGTAGCAGTAGACCTCACATTGAGAACTACAACAGAATCTCAACAAAGTATAAAAAGTATAAAAAATCATGAGCATTAAAAAGGTAAGGAGGAATTAAGAGGCAAGGTTTAGCCACTTTTTAACGCCAAGGTAGTAGTCCATGAGTGGCATTATAGTCACAACATAGATTGTGAATACTATAAATTCAATAAGAAAAATTGGGAAAGAACACGAATAAACAATTTATTGAAAGATGGTTGGATAGAATTTTAAACATCTTACTCATAATTGAAACTGAAATTACATTTTCAACACATCAGAGTCACAAAGATTAAAACACTCTAAACTTCATTTTGGCACAAACGTGGGAAAAACAGCCACTCTCATACGCTGTTGATGGAGGCAGAAATTAGGAAAAATACTTTTATAAGGAGAAATATTTGGAGTTGTCAAATATTTAAAAGGTCATATCATTGACTCAGAATTACATTTCTATGTCTGTAGACAGATAGCAAGCATGCAGCTATGTATTAGAATGTTAGATAACATTAAGCCCTCAAGGGTAAAAGCAAGGTTTGGGGTAGAAAATGACTAACTGCTATTTTTTTATTAGATGATTAGGAACATCCTGTCTGATGCACTGACATTTGGGCAGTAAGCCAAATAATGAGGAGAAGTGAGCCATGCTAATACCTAGAAGGACGGCTTTCCAGGAGAAGGGAACACTAAGGGTAAAAGCCTGAGGCAGCACAAAGGAGACCTTGCAGCTGGAGCATTTCAAGGTGTGTATCTGTGTGTTAGTGAGAGTTCTCCAGAGAAAGAGAACCCAATACATACATGCATATATGTGTGTGTGTGTGTACATATGTGTGTGTGTGTATGTATATATTAGTCCATTTTCACGCTGCTGAAAAAAACATACCCAAGACTGGGCAATTTACAAAACAAAAGGATTTAACTGGACTCACTGGACTCACTGAATGTGGCTGGGGAGGCCTCACAATCATGGCAGAAGGCAAGGAGGAGCAAGTCACATCTTACATGGATGGTGGCAGGCAAAAAGAGAGCTTGTTCAGGGAAACTCCTCTTTTTAAAACCATCAGATCTCATGAGACCCAACCACTGTCAGGAGAACAGCATGGGAAAAACAGACTTGCCCATGATTCAATTATCTCCAACTGGGTCACTCCCACAACATGTGGGAATTATGGGATCTACAAGATGAGATTTAGGTGGAGACACAGAGCCAAACCACACACACACACACATGCACACACACACATATATGTATATATATACACATGTGTATATATATATATATACATATATATATATATATACACACATATATACACATATATACACATATATATACACATATATATATATAGAGAGAGAGAGAGAGAAAGAAGGAAAGAAATGAGAAATGAAGACAGTGAGAAAGACAAAGAGAGACATTTATTATGAAGTATTGGCCAATATGATTACGGAACCTGAGGTCCCATGATCTGCCATGTGTGAGCAGAAGGCCCAGAAAAGCCGATGGTGTAGTTCAAGTCCAAGTCCAAAGGCCTGAGAACCAGAAGCACTGATGGAATAAGTGCCAGTCTGAGGGCAGGTGAAGACTCATGTCCCAGGCCACTCAGGCAGAGAAAGCAAATTCTCCTTTCCTCTACCTTTTTGTTCTGTTCAGGCCCTCAGTGGATTGGATGGATAATGCCCATCCACACTGGGAGGGCAATCTACTTTACCAGTCTACTGATTCAAATGCTAATTTCTTCCAGGAACACTTTCACAGACACACCTAAAAATAGTGTTTAACCAGCTATCTGGGCATTATGTGGTCCAATCAAGCTGACATGAAATTAACCATCACGGTCTCCTAGGCATTTGAAGCTCAATATGCCAAAAGTGAACTTGAAATTTCTCCTTCAATTCTACCCTTCTTTTATTATAAATGTAAAACTCAAAACTATGCAAGTACTAGAAAACATAGCTGAGTTCCTCAATAAACTGGGTGTTGGAAAAGATTTTCTAATTTGACTACAAAAATTGGTTTTTAAACTATCTTCATGATCTTCAAAACAAATGAAAATCATAAGTAAAATCAAAAGAAAAGTGATTGGAATAAATAAAGGGCTAATATCTTTACTATAAAATAGCTTTTGAAAAAATTGAGAAATAAAAACAGAAAAATCCTATAGAAAATGGGCCAAAAACACACATAGAAACACCAAAAAGGAATAAAATTTTTTAAAAAAGAAAATATTGTATGCAATTGTAAAATACTGGAAAATACCCTAATGTTCAAACATAAGAGATTATTGTAGAAATAATGGTACTTAAACACAATGGAATAATTATGCAGTTGAAAAAAAACTGAGGAAGCACTTTATAAATTGATACGAAGTTACTTACAGAAAATATTAAGGAGAAAAACCAAAGTGCAAAATAGCATATATAGTATGCTACTTTGGTGTAAAAAAAAAAAGGAGAAATAAAGAAATATACATATCTGCTTATCTCTATAGAAGAAACTTAGGAAACCAGAAGACAATGAAGTTGGTCAATTACAAGGGGTCCAATGGAGAAAGATGAGAATATTCATTCTGCAGTACCTATAGGGGATTGGTTTCAGGACCAATTTACAGGTACCCCTGTGGATACTGAAATCTGCAGATGCTGTAGTCCCTTACATAAAATGGCATAGTATTTGCATATAACATACACACATCTCATACACTTTAAATCATCTTTAGATTATTCATAATACCTAATACAATGTAAATAATATGTAAATAGATGTTGTACTCTGGTTTTGTTTATTATTATTGTAGTTATTTTTATTGTTTTTTGACTTTGAATATTTTCAGTCCATGGTTGCTTGAACTGTGGATGTGAAACCCACAAACAGGAAGACATCTGTAAAGTAAGAGGAAGTGACATTTTTCTAAATCTACTGTTTTTATCTCATTTGAGTTTTGAGAAATGTTAATATTGAATGTATTTTTAAAATGTTAAATCAATAAGAATTGGGAGAAGGATAAAAATAAAAGGAATCTATGAGAAACCCAACTATGTCAAATGAATAATATTCTCATAAAATAATAATTCTGATATTATAATATATGAGCACAGTATTCAACAAGTTTTAGGCAGAGTGCAAAGGTACTAAAAACAAATCCTGAGCTTTTTTTGCTAGGTTGTTTTTGTCATTGTATAGGTAAAGCAATTCAGAATCTGTCTTAGATACATAATAGGAATATGAGCATATGAATAAAGAAATTTATGTTGTTAGGAAATGTAAAGTAGAAAAAGGAAGACATATGAAATCAGGGGAAACAAGGGAAAATCCATGACAATAAATGTAATTGAAAGTATTATTTAAAAATGTATATATGCATGTGTAACTGCATGTATATTTGCACATATATGTATGTGTTTATGCATATATGTATTTATGTGGCTATATTTGGTTATATGCATTACATACATATAGCTCCTACCTGCCTCCACTGAGAGAAATTACAACCAAAGAAACAGAAATGACAATGAACACACCTAGTGCCCAGAATTTGGTTTCTAATACCATTCCTTGCTAAAAGAAACTAGGACATCTCAGAAAAATTAGATCCCAAGGCTGCATCCAGATAAGAGCAAGATGAGCTGGGAACACTTTGTTATGTCAGAAATTAAAGAACTGCCAAGAAAAAAATGACAAGGGAAAATAACAAGAACACAGGAGACCAAAGAATCTTCAACTGGCCAAGCCCAAGATAATCTGGGCAGTAAAATAATGAAAGACTAGAATTAGTTATAAATCGTTGAAGAAATAGAAATTTCTATACTTATGTTAATGTTAAATAGATAAATACTAAAATAAATTGGGAAGAAGTGTTGACTGGAAAATTTGGAGGAAGTGCTGGAGTCTGAAAACTATTTCAAAACCATTATAGTTTTAATTGGGTCCTCCAAGAAACATTAATGGATGCTAAATCTGGGTAGAGGGATTTGATTAGGAGCGAGATATGTTTTGATCTTAAAGTGTCTTCCAACAGACTGCTTATTAATTGCAGAAAACAATAGTAACTATAAATGGAAGATATTTGATAATATCTTGAGCAAGTGATCAAAATTATTGGTACCCAAGTAGCCTCCAGACTTGAAACCTTGAGAAGGACACACCATCATTTTTGTAGTTTTCCAGATAGAAATGTTTTTAGTAAAGCTTAGACTTATGTAGTCTAATTATGAAGCAATATCAAATTAAAAATGAAGAGTGTTCTATTACAAAAATAAAAAAGGGGGTGGCTGTGTTCTTAAAATGTGTCCATGTCATAAAAGACAAAGTCTGAGTAACTGTATCAATTATAAAGAAGCCTGGCAACTAAGTGCAGTACATGACTCTGGACTGGAACTGGAGCTGGAAAAATAAATATTTTAGAAATGACATTATTTGTCAATTGTCAAAATTGGAATATGAATATCATGTTGGCTGAAAGTGTTGCATCAATATGATATGTACTGATGTTGATAACTCTTGTGGCTATGTAAGAGAATATCTTATTCTTTGGAAATACATTGAAGTATTGGGTTGAAAAACAGCGGAAATCTTTAATAGGAGGTTCTCCTCATACTCTCAAGGATAGTTTTCTGTGTCACCTTGACTGGGCTATAATGCTCAGTTGTTTTTGTCAAACACCAGACTAGATGCTATTGTGAAGGTTTTTTACTAAATGTGATTAATATTTCAATTAATATTCTTTGAATAAAGCAGATTACCAACCATCATGCAGATAGGCTTCATCCAATCAGTTGATGGCCTTCAGAGAAAGTACTGAGATATTTTTTTCAGCCTCCAAACTGCCCTCAGATTCAGGATGCAACAATGTTGGCTTCTTCCAAGAAGTGAGATACAAGAGGTGACCAGATTGCACATTGTCTTAATAATGTAAATTCTGACTATAGCTTTTAACAAAAGAAAACAAAAACAAATGATACAAATATCTTGAGAGAATGGGGAAGGTGAAGTTAGAGGAAGTATAGTAGAGAGATATCTTCTTCACTACCCTAAGAAAAAGAAAATAGATAATTTTAAAAAATGGTTAAGAAGAAATAGTATATTTTATTTAGATAAATGGATATTAGTATCAGAAGAAACAGTTAAAAGGCTTGAAAGTGGTTGCCTCTGGGTAACAATACAGGTAAATAGGGAGGAATAGACAGAAAAATAGTTTTTAATATCAATATTCTTATTACTATTATAAATATATCAATAATTCTTGAATTTAAAACTTGGTTATATATAATATTTTCTTTTTCTTTCTTAAAGTTTGATTTTGTTTTTTAATTGTCATATAATTATACATATCATGGGGTACAGAGTAATATTTCAATAAATCAACACATTGTGTAATGATCTAATCAGGTTAATTAGCATATGCATCACCTCTAACACTTTTCATTTGTTTGTGAAAAGATTCAAAATCATAATTTCTGGCTATTTTGAAATATATAATATTGTTAACTCTAATAATTCTACTATTTAATAGAACACCAGAATTTATTCCTTCTATTTTGTTTACCCATTAACCAACTTCTTCCTATCCTCTGTTTCCTCCTACTCTCCCCACACCCTTGTAACCACTATTTTACTCTCTACTTCTTTAAGACTAACTTTTTAAAAATTCAATATATGAATGAGACTAGGTGGTATTTGTCTTACTGTGCTTGGCTTCTTTCACTTAACATAATGTCCTCTAGGTTCATCCATGTTGTCCAAAATGACAGGATTTTATTGTTTTTATGGCTGAATAGTATTCCATTGTATATATATTAATTTTTAAAAAGTAAGAATAATATGCATTGTATAGATATGAAACCAGAAAATTACAATTAATGAAAGAAAGTAAAAACTTCAAGAAGATTTACATTTTATACGGCATTTTTATTCTTGGAATTATTAGTATAAATGTACGCACAACTCTGAAAGACAATGAAGGATTTCAGTATTGTAAAGCAATCATCAGAAAAAAACCACTTTCTTTCATCTTGCATAGAATTTGTCATCTAACAGAATTTAAGACAAGGTATTCTGCCATTTGGGAAGTGAATATTTACTCCTTCCTTAGGTACTTTTGGACAGAAATGTGAGGATATGGGCAGAGTATTTAAAACACTGTCATATGAACAAAAGTAAAGGACTGGTGTACATATGGTACAGACTGCTGGTTTACTTTAATACCCTTTCTTTCCTTCTTGTTAATTAATAAGAAACCAAATTTTATCTGTTTCCCAGAAGAGAGGGTATGATGCTACATACTTCAGCCCTCCCTGAAGGTAGAAGGAGTGAAGTAATTAAATATTGGTCAATGAAATGTATGTAAAAGTGCTTCTGAAACTTCTGCGAGATCTCAGATCTTTGCCCTTTTTTTTAAATCATGCTGCCTGTGATTTTTGCACATTGATTTTGTATCCTGAGTCTTTGCTGAAGTTGCTTATCAGCTTAAGGAGATTTTGGGCTGAGACGATGGGGTTTTCCAGATATACAATCATGTCATCTGCAAACAGGGATAATTTGACTTCCTCTTTTCCAGAACTTCCAACACTATGTTGAATAGGAGTGGTGAGAGAGGGCATCCCTGTCTTATGCCAGTTTTCAAAGGGAATGCTTCCAGTTTTTGCCCATTCAGAATGATATTGGCTGTGGGTTTGTCATAGATAGCTCTTATTATTTTGAGATATGTGCCATCAATACCTAATTTATTGAGAGATTCTAGCATGAAGGGCTGTTGAATTTTGTCAAAGGCCTTTTCTGCATCTATTGAGATAATCATATGGTTTTCGTCATTTGTTCTGTTTATATAGTGGATTACATTTATTGATTTGCATATGTTGAACCAGCCTTGCATGCCAGGGATGAAGCCCACTTGATCATGGTGGATAAGCTTTTTGATGTGCTGCTGGATTTGGTTTGCCAGTATTTTATTGAGGATTTTTGCATCGATGTTCATCAGGGATATTGGTCTAAAATTCTCTTTTTTTGATGTGTCTCTGCCAGGCTTTGGTATCAGGATAATGCTGGCCTCATAAAATGAGTTAGGGAGGATTCCCTCTTTTTCTATTGATTGGAATAGCTTCAGAAGGAATGGTACCAGCTCCTCCTTGTACCTCTAGTAGAATTCATGCACCAATAACAGACAAACAGAGAGCCAAATCATGAATGAACTCCCTTTCACAATTGCTTCAAAGACAATAAAATACCTAGGAATCCAACTGACAAGGGATGTGAAGGACCTCTTCAAGAAGAACTACAAACCACTGCTCAATGAAATAAAAGGGGATACAAACAAATGGAAGAACATTCCATGCTCAGGGGTAGGAAGAATCAATATCGTGAAAATGGCCATACTGCCCAAGGTAATTTATAGATTCAATGCCATCCCTATCAAGCTACCAATGACTTTCTTCACAGAATTGGAAAAAACTACTTTAAAGTTCATATGGAACCAAAAAAGAGCCCACATTGCCAAGTTAATCCTAAGCCAAAAGAACAAAGCTGGAGGCATCACACTACCTGACTTCAAACTATACTACAAGGCTGCAGTCACCAAAACAGCATGGTACTGGTACCAAAACAGAGATATAGACCAATGGAACAGAACAGAGCCCTCAGAAATAATGCCACACATCTACAACTGTCTGATCTTTGACAAACCTGAGAAAAACAAGCAGTGGGGAAAGGATTCCCTATTTAATAAATGGTGCTGGGAAAACTGGCTAGCCATATGCAGAAAGCTGAAACTGGATCCCTTCCTTACACCTTATACAAAAATTAATTCAAGGTGGATTAAAGACTTACATGTTAGACCTAAAACCATAAAAACCCTAGAAGAAAACCTAGGCAATACCATTCAGGACATAGGCATGGGCAAGGACTTCATGTGTAAAACACCAAAAGCAATGGCAACAAAAGCCAAAATTGACAAATGGGATCTAACTAAACCAAAGAGCTTCTGCACAGCAAAAGAAACTACCATCAGAGTGAACAGGCAACCTACAGAATGGGAGAAAATTGTTGCATCCTACTCATCTGACAAAGGGCTAATATCCAGAATCTACAATGAACTCAAACAAATTTACAAGAGAAAAAACAAACAACCCCATCAAAAAGTGGGCAAAGGACATGAACAGACACTTCTCAAAAGAAGACATTTATGCAGCCAAAAGACACATGACAAAATGCTTGTCATCACTGGCCATCAGAGAAATGCAAATCAAAACCACAATGAGATATCATCTCACACCAGTTAGAATGGCGATCATTAAAAAGTCAGGAAACAACAGGTGCTGGAGAGAATGTGGAGAAATAGGAACACTTTTACACTGTTGGTGGGACTGTAAACTAGTTCAACCCTTGTGGAAGTCAGTGTGGTGATTCCTCAGGGATCTAGAACCAGAATACCATTTGACCCAGCCATCCCATTACTGGGTATATACCCAAAGGATTACAAATCATACTGCTATAAAGACACATGCACAGGTATGTTTATTGTGGCACTATTCACAATAGCAAAGACTTGGAACCAACCCAAATGTCCAACAATGATAGACTGGATTAAGAAAATGTGGCACATATACACCATGGAATATTATGCAGCCATAAAAAATGATGAGTTCATGTCTTTTGTAGGGACATGGATGAAGCTGGAAACCATCATTCTCAGCAAACTATCACAAGGACAAAAAACCAAACACCGCATGTTCTCACTCATAGGTGGGAATTGAACACGGAGAACACATGGACACAAGAAGGGGAACATCACACACTGGGGCCTGTTGTGGGGTGGGTGCAGCGGGGAGGGATAGCATTAGGAGATATACCTAATGTTAAATGACGAGTTAATGGGTGCAGCACACCAACATGGCACATGTGTACATATGTAACAAACCTTCATGTTGTGCACATGTACCCTAAAACTTAAAGTATAATTAAAAAAAAATCATGCTTCCTGGAATGTGATGGGAAATGTGATGGTTGGAGGTTAAGCGTCCATTCTAGATCAGGAAGATGAAGGCCTTGTCAGGGATAAAAAGCAGAAAACTGCAAGTGTACCTCATGGGGCCAGTGTACCAGTCATAGACTTCTTTTATGTAAGAGAAGAATATAATTCCATTTTGCTGAAGTTAAGTTTCTATGTCTCACCTGATAGAGTATGAAATAAATATTCTTTCTCCTAAGATTTAGAGTACTTAAAATTTTAATGTATAATTAAAATAAATAGAAATAGTGTAGTATTATAGTAATAGGGTACATAAGGCAAAGTGTATTTTTCATTTCTTCCTAAATAAATCACAACTAACCTTCTAGTAAAATGCACTATAAACAAGTTAGTTTTGAATACGTTATTAGTGTAACTTAAGGAGCAATACAATTATTGCAGAGTATCAATAAATAGCATAATAAAGAAACAAATCGATCAGAATGTGAATTATATTTGTTAGAAGCATTACTGCCTAAGGCTATAATCACCCATAGAAGTAGGAAAATAAAGCTGGCTTTATACTGGAATATATTTAAGTAAAGTCCAGAAGAATCAGTTAACAGATTCATTGAGATTATCACTGTTGTTAATTTCTGTTGGCATTGTAGGCCAAGGAATAAATTTAAGGCTATTGGACTAATAGGAAACACAGATGAAACTTGTAGTTTATTTAAATCCCATCTTAAAATAAGTGCTGTTTTGCTTTCTTAAAAACTCAATCCATTTTTGTTAATGTTGCTTATGCACTGTGTTTCCAGGCTGAGCTATATTGAGAAGGTGTACAATGGTTTTGTAAAGAGCCATAACAAGAGATCTTATTTATTTGTGCCTATGAATTTTAAAAAGTAATAGTTTCATTGAGATATAATTTACATACTATAAAATTCATCCTTATAAAGTACACAATTCAGTGTTTTTTAGTATACTCACAAAGTTGTTCAATCATCACCACTACCTAATTTTGGAACATTTTTATTACCTCACAAAGAAACCTCACATCCATTAACAATCACAGCCCCTTACCCTGACACAGGAGGTGTGATCCATACAGAGAGAAAATAGTTTATTGTTTGCCACAGTTCCTGGCAAACAATAAACTATTTTCTGTCTGTATGGAGTTTTTAATGGTCTTTTTTGTCTGAGCTCTTTCAGTTAGCATAATTTTTCAAGATGCATTCATGTTGCGGTATCAGTACCTTATTAGTTTTTATGTCTGGATAATACTTCATTGTATGGGTACATCATATTTTCTGTATACATTAATCAGTTGAAAGACATTTGAGGTTTTGTCATCTTTTGGCTGTTATTAATATGGCTGCTATAAACATTCGTGTACAATCTTTTATATAGATATATGTTTTCAATTCTCTTGGATACATACCTAAAAGTAGAATTTCTGAGTTATATGTTAATAGAATATTTAATATTTTGAGCCAACTCCTTTTTATAGCAGCTCCACCATTTAAAATTTCCACTAGCAATGTGTAAGTGCTCCAGTTTCTCTACTTTCTTGCTAACACTTACAAATTATCAATCTTTTTGGTTATAGTCATCTTACATGTGTTAGGTGAAATCTCATTGTGGGTATGACTTGCATTTCCATTAAAGCTAATGATGTTGACCATTTTTTATGTGTTTATCAGATATGCGTGTATCATCTTTGAAAAATGTCTATTCAAATGTTTTCCCCATTTTTTAGGTAGATTTATATTTGTGTTTTACTATTGAGTTGTAAGTGTTCTTTATTTCATATTCAAGTCCTTTTTCAGATGCTTTGCAAATATGTTCCCCCATTCTCTGGGTTGTCCATTTATTTTCTTTATGGTGTCTTTTGAAGTACAATATTTTTAGTTATGATAATTCCACATTGTCTATTTTTTAAAAAAATTGGTTGTTTGTGCTTTTGGTGTCATGTCAAAGAACTCATTACCAATAAAAAGTCATGAAGAGAATGATGACTTCCAGCTTCATCCATGTCCCTGCAAATGACATGAACTCATTCTTTTTATGGCTGCATAGTATTCCAAGGCATATATTTGCCACATTTTCTTTATCCAGCCTATCATTGATGGGCATTTGGGTGGGTTCTGAGTCTTTGCTATTATAAATGTGCTGCAATAAACACACATGTGCATGTGTCTTTATATTAGAATAATTTATAATCTTTTGGGTATATACCCAGTAATGGGATTGCTGGGTCAAATGGTATTTCTGGTTCTTGATCCTTGAGAATTCACCACACTGTCTTCCACAATAGTTGAACTAATTTACACACTCCCACCAACAGTGTAAAAGCATTCCTATTTCTCCACAGCCTCACCAGCATCTGTTGTTTCCTGACTTTTTAATAATTGTCATTCTAACTGGTATGAGATGGTATCACATAAACAGAAAACCGAACACCACATGATCTTGTGTCTGAAGTTGGTTACCTCCAATGGGTTCCCGATCTTGCTGGCTTCAAGAATGAAGGCACGGACCCTCATGGTGAGTGTTACAGTTCTTAAAGAAGGTGTGTCTGGAGTTTGCTCCTTCAGATGTTCAGATGTGTCCGGAGTTTCTTCCTTCCGGTGGGTTCGTGGTCTTGCTGACTTCAGGAGTGAAGCTGCAGACCTTCATAGTGAGTGTTACAGCTCTTAAAGGTGGCATATCTGGAGTTCTTTGCTCCACCTGCTGGGTCTGTGGTCTTGCTGACTTCAGGAATGAAGCCTCAGACCCTTGCAGTGAGCTCATAAAGGTAGTGCGGACACAAAGAGTGAGCAGCAGCAAGATTTATCGTGAAGAGCAAAAGAACAAAGCTTCCACAGCATGGAAGGGGACCCAAGAGGGTTGCTGCTACTTGCTTGGGTGGCCAGCTTTTATTCCCTTATTTGGCCCCAACCACATCCTTCTTATTGGTCCATTTTATGAGTGCTGATTGGTGTGTTTACAATCCTTTAGCTAGACACAGAGTGCTGATTGGTGTGTTTTTAGAGAGTGCTGCTTGGTGCATTTACAATCCTTTAGCTAGACACAGAGCACTGATTGGTGCATTTTTACAGAGTGCTGATTGGTGCATATACAATCCTTTAGCTAGACACAGAGTGCTGGTTGGTGCTTTTTTACAGAGTGCTGATTGGTGCATTTATAATCCTTTAGCTAGACACAGAGCATTGATTGGTGTGTTTTTACAGAGTTCTGATTGGTGCATTTACAATCCTTTAGCTAGACAGAAAAGTTATCCAAGTCCCCATCTGACCCAGAAGTCCAACTGGCTTCACCTCTCAATTTCCCCTTTAAACAGGACCCCCCAATTGCTGTTGGAAATTGGGTGATGACCACTCAAGCTACTTCCTACTGGATAGGGGCAAAGACGGGGCCCTGCAGTTGTAGCATCCTCCACAGGGGAACTCTTTAGGCCAGTGAAAGGGCCAGTGGGTCAGTCCAGGGGTCCTTGGTAGAAGTTGTTAGTTGGGATCATTTGGGGTTCCATTTGTAAGACCATCTGTAGCTTGATGGCCTCGATCCTAGAGGAAACAAATTTGACAAGGAGGTTAAAAATACAGGGCCCGAAGGAGAGTAATATTAAGATGGCTGTCATGGGATCTAGAAAGGGGAGAAGCCATGTTGCCCAACTCCAGAGGTTGGTAAAAGAGTTTGAAAGGCTATGTCTGATTTCAGAAGCCTTTTCCTATAAACGCTGGGTGGCATCTCATACTATCCCTGACTGGTTAATGTAAAAACAACACTTTTCCCATAAGAAGGTGCAGAGTCCTCCTTTCTCAGCAGTGAGGCAGTCTAGGCCTTGGCAGTTTTGGAGAGTCACTGCTGCCAAAGTCTATTTGGGATTGTAGAGTAAGGATAGCTTTCATTATTTCTTGCAAACTGTCTGAGAGGCAGGTATAAGTTGCTGTTCCACATAAGAAGAATATGCCTTGACTGGGTAGACAGAAATTTACCCTGGCTTTTAAAGGAATAGGGTACACTGTTTTTTCTTTACTACTTCTATCTCTTTCTCTCTCTTTGAAGACTTTGTCTCTTCCTCTCTTTCCTTCTCTCTTTGACTTTCTGTCTCTATCTCTTCCTCTCTCTGTCTCTCTCTCTCTGACTTTCTGCCTTTTTCTCTCTTTCCTTTCTGCTGGTCTTTCCCTGCCTCTGCCAGCCACTTATGCTGCTGTTCTCCTCTCTCCTTCCCCTTTTTGATGGCTTCAGCAGTCTAAGACTGCCATCTCCTTGGGCTTTTGCACTGCATGCAATAGCTCCATGATTTCCTTGTGGTATTTAATGGGGGTTCCCCCAGAGGTTAGGAACTCCCTTTCTTTCCATATTGCAGCATGGGCATGTAGGATTAGATAAGCATACTTACTATCTGTAGCAAAGTCTCTCAATTACAACTAAGGAGGTGGGAGATATACCTGGTTACAGGTTGTCCCAGGATTCCTCAGATGGTAGCAGACATTGAGGACAGCTGTCCAGGAGAGGAGATTAATACTGAGAAAGCTGTGCCAGTGTCCAGGAGGAAGCAACTTCCTGGCCCTCAATGGTTAAATGTACCCGGGGCTCAGTGAGGGTGATGACACGAATTAGTGCTTGCCCTAGGCACCCTCAGTCCTGTTGTTGGATCATCTGGTTGGGGGCTTCTGGCCCAGAGAATCTTTGTCCTCTGGGACAGTGCACCTTCCAGTGATTGCCTTGGCATAGTGGACATGGGTGAGGGGGCAGCTTCATTGGACAGTCTTTTTTAAAGTGTCCTTGCACCCCACACTGATAACAAGCCCTTCTGGTTGAGTGGCCTGCTCCCCTTTCTGTCTTCTCTGAACCACTAAGGTTTGTTTGTCTGAGGGCCATGACTAAGGCTGTGGCCTTACTCTGATCATGCTTTTCATTTTTGGCCTGTTCCCCTTGGTCCCTAGTATAGAACACCAAGTTTGCCAGGTTTAATAATGTCTCCAGATTTTGTTGAGGGCCCAGGGCTCCCTTTTGGAGCTTTCTCCTGATATCTGCAACTGATTGGGTAATAAGCTTATCTTTAGAATCAACTGACCCTCGAGTGAGTTGGTTGACAGGGGAGTATATTTTCTTAAGGCTCCCCATAGCCACTCGTGGAAGGTGGAAGGATTTTCTTCCTTTCCCTGAGTTATGGTGGACATCATTGAATAATTCATCAGCTTTTTCCTAATTATCCTTAGTCCTTCTAGAACACAGGTCAACAGATGTTTGTGATTCCAGTCCCCATAATCTGAGTCAAGGTCCCAGTGGGGATCCACACTGTCATTGGCTTGCTGACCAGTAGGGAATTTGCCCCTTTCTTCAGCTATCATTCTATCATTTACTTGACTAAGATACCAGGTATCTCCAAACTCGGACTGCAGCTAAAGCCTCATTCTTTTCATTAAAGGCCAGGGTTTTATCTAACAATAGCATAACATCTCTCCAAGCGAGATCGAAAGTTTGTCCTAGACCCTGTAGGACATCTATGTACCTATCAGGATCATCTGAAAACTTCCCGAGGTCTGCCTCAATCTGCTTTAAATCAGAGAGGGAGAAGGGGACATGTACCTGGGTTGGGCCAAATTGCCCTCCCCCTACAGCTTGAAGGGGACATAACTGATAGCCCAGGGGGAGGCTGTGGTCCTTTGGAGATTTCTTTGCTTGTTTCCCTCTGGGCAGGGGAGATTAGAGGAGGCTTATCATTAATAGGAAGGGGAGCTATAGGGAGGCTAGGATATGGGGGTAAGCTGAGAGGTCTTCCTGTGGGATGTAAATTGCAAGCTTTGCATAGTTGTGTATTCTCCTTCAATGAAAAGAAAGTTTGGACATAGGTATTTCACCCCATTTGCCTTCCCTCTTACAGAAAAGGTCAAGCTGCAGGATAGTATTGTAATTTATACTTCCCTCAGGTGGCCATTTTTCCCCATCAGAGAGAGAAAATTGGGACCAAGCCATAGTGCAGAAAAAAATGAGCTGCCTCTTTTTCAGGGTTTGTGGGTCAAATTGGTCCCAATGGCTTAGGATGCATTTTAAGGGTGAGCTGATGATGCCTGAGTGTTTCCCATCTGAAAGACAAAACCACCCATGGTTTTGGTTTGTTTGTTTCTCTCCCACGCAAGAACCCACAACGGTCCCTGGATCTTGCTGATCGGAATAGTTGCACTCACTGACGCAGCAGCAGAAACACTAGTTTTCCCTCCTAGACCACAAAGAGGAACAAGAAAAATCAGATGTAGTGGCCCTTACCAACGCATTCTAGAAAACCTGTTAGAGTCCTAAGCTTTCTCCTGTTAGTACTGGGACCTTACCACTGTCTTATAAAGATGTTATGCCCCAAAAATAAAGTGGAGGGCCATACCCTGAGGGAGGGAAGGGATCTCCAGGGTTGGAAGAGTAACACATTTTGTCCTCACTTGAATAGGAAGGATATCATTTCTGAAGCTACCCATATCCTAGCTTCAGGAATAGCTTTTGTTAGGCCTGCTAGTCTAAGGAGGGATCCTAAAATTCCAGATTAGATAGTTCCCCCCTCTCCCTCCAATGGGGCTTTGGGCAAAAATTTTGTCTTTCTGATTGGTGAGCCCGGGTGCCTAAAGATGGGAATAGAGTCCTGGAGTTTATACTAGAAATCATTCTTATAGGATAAACTAGAAAGGTACCAGAGACAGGGAGTAGTTTTTAGAAGTGGGACTAGCCTCAGAGAAGAGAGGCAAGAGAAAGTTTGTCTGACAGGCATTAGGACCCAGGAGGCAAGGGTCAGGATAGATACGGTAGATAGGCAAGTCTCACTTGGGCGACACAACTTTGAGAGTTCTGCTTATGGCCACAGGGTCAACCAACTTGTTGTCAGGACCCCAGATCTGAATGGCTTTCCTCTCTGTTGACCTTTGGCTCAGTCCAGAAGAAGTAAAAAAGCGGAAGCTGGTTCCAGGCAAACCAACACTCCCAACTCCAAAGAGTCAGGGGTTGTTAGAGAGCCCTTTCCTAGAAAGCCTGACACCCGTGTCTTTAGTCTGGTGGCTGCGCTAGTCACTTTTAACTGGCCGACAGGTGCCCAGTATTTAGCCCCAGAATTCTAAGGAAAAATAGGACAGAATAGCAAGCGAAAGAGGTCCACTGATACTCACCGCTTGGCGATAGTCGATAGTCCCATCATGGTTGCCAAAATGTGTCCAGAATTTATTCCTTCTTGTGGGTTCTTGGTCTTGATGATTTCAAGAATGAAGCCACAGACCCTCACAGTGAGTGTTACAGTTTTTAAAGATGGTGTGTCCAGAGTTTGTTCCTTCAGATGTTCAGATGTGTCCAGAGTTTCTTCCTTCTGGTGGGTTCGTGGTCTCACTGACTTCAGGAGTGAAGCTGCAGACCCTCACAGTGAGTGTTACAGCTCATAAAGGTAGTGCAGACCCAAAGAGTGAGCAGCAGCAAGATTTATTGTGAAGAGCAAAAGAACAAAGCTTCCACAGTGTGGGAGGGGACCTGAGCGGGTTGCCACTGCTGGCTTGGGTGGCCAGCTTTTATTCTCTTATTTAGCCCCACCCACATCCTGCTGATTGGTCCTTTTTATAGAGTGCTGATTGGTGTGTTTACAGTCCTTTAGCTAGACACAGAGTGCTGATTGGTGTGTTTTTACAGAGTGCTGATTGGTGCATTTACAATCCTTTAGCTAGACAGAAAAGTTCTCCAAGTCCCCACCTGACCCAGAAGTCCAGCTGGCTTCACTTCTCAATCTCATTCATAAGTGGGAGTTGAACAATGAGAACACATGGGCACAGGGAGGTGAACAGCACACACTGGGGCCTGACAGGGGACGGGGGGCAAGGAGAGGGAGAGCATTAGGACAAATACCTAATGCATGTGGGCCTTAAAACCTAGATGTTGGGTGGATAGGTGCAGTAAACCACCATGGAACATGTATACCTCTGTAACAAACCTGCACATTCTGCACATGTATCTCACAACTTAAAGTAAAAAAAAAAAGTCATGAAGATTTACACCTATAATTTCTTCTAAGAGTTTTAAATTTTTAGCTCTTAGGCTTATTATCAATTTTGAATTAATTTCCCTACATGGTGTGAGGTTGGGGCAAAACCGTATCTTTTGCATGGAATATTAAGTTATTAAAGCACCATTCCTTGAAAATATTACCCTTTCCACAGTATATTGTCTTGACATCTGCTATGATTTGAATGCCTGCATTCCCTCCAAAATTCATCTGAAACTTAATCTGCAATGCAAAAGTGTTAAGAGCCTTTAGGAGACAATAAGGACATGATGGCTCTTTGTCCTCATGGATGGGATTAACATCTTTTAAAGATACTAGCCAAATCTTTTTTATTCTTCTGATTTTCACCATGTGAGGACATGGCATGCATCTTTTTTGCCATGTGAGGAGTCAGCCTCAACACTCTATCTTAGAGAGCAGCTTTCACCAGATACTAAATGCTGGCACCTTATTCTAGGACTTCCCAGCCTCTAGAACTTAACAAATAAATTTCCATTGTTTATAAATTGCCAAGTCTTGGAAATTATGTTATAGAAGCACAAAAAATACACCCATGTTGAAAAACAATTGAAAAGCAATAAATGTGAGGGTTTATTCCTTGATTCCTAATTCTATTCCTTTGGTCTTGCCATAACACACTGTCTTGAGGACTCCAGCACTGTAAAAAAGTGTTGACATCTGGAAGTATAAGTTCTTTAATTTTGTTTTGTTTTATTTTTCTACAGGGTTTGGCCATTCTAGGTCTTCTGAACTTCCAAATGAATTTTAAGATCAGTTTGTCAATGTCTACAAAAAAAGCCAGCAGAATTTTTGATAGGAATTGTTATAAACATCCAGAACAATTTGGAGAATATTGCCTTCTTAATATTAAGTCCAATGCAGCCCTCTCCATCATTCTGTATTTCAGTGTGCAAGTTTGTACTACCTTTGTTAAGCTTGTCATAGTCTTATTTTTTGATGCTATTGTAAATAGAACTGCTTTTAAAATTAAATTTTAGACTTTTCATGCCAGTATTTAAAAATATAGCTGAATTTCATATTTTGAACTTATGTCCTGAAAACTTGATGAGTTCATTTACAAATCTAATAGTTTTTCATGGATTACTTACGATTTTTTATTTTTGATATTATGTCATCTGCAAATAGGTATAGTTTTATGTCCTTTCTAATCTGTATGTATCTTATTGATTTTCCTTGATTAATTGTCCTGGTTAGAGCCTCCAATATAATGGTTGAATAGACATAAGTTTGAATAGAATGAAAGTAAACATTGTTGTCTTGTTTTCCCTCCTGGGGCAAATATTCCATCTTTTATTATTAAGTATTGTGCTTGCTATGGGTTTTTTGTAGATGTTCTACTTCAAGTTGAGAAAGTTCCATTCTGTCTCTTAGTGTTGAGTAATATTTTCATTAATATATTTTGTATTTCTGTCTGTGATTTTCTTTTTTTGTATTAGGTTGTTGGAAAAGTAACTGTGATTTTCACCATTAAAAGTAATGGTGAAAATCACAATTATATTTGGTATCAAAGTAATATTGGATTCAGAATGAACTGAAGAGTATTCCTTTGTCTTCTACATTGGAAGTGTTTGTGAAGAACTCATGTTACATTTTCTTTAAACATTTGGTAGAATTCATCAGTGAAACTGTCTGAGGCTGTGCTTTTTTTTTTTTTTTTTTGCTTTTTTTTGTTGTTTTTGTTTTTGTTTTTAATTATACTTTAAGTTTTAGGGTACATGTGCACAATGTGCAGGTTGGTTACATGTGTATACAAGTGCCATGCTGGTGCACTGCACCCAGTAACTCATCATCTAGCATTAGGTATATCCCCCAATGCTATCCCTACCCCCTCCCCCAACCCCACAACAGTCCCCAGAGTGTGATATTCCCCTTCCTGTGTCCATGTGATCTCATTGTTCAATTCCCACCTATGAGTGAGAATATGCGGTGTTTGGTTTTTTGTTGTTGCGATAGTTTACTGAGAATGATGTTTTCCAATTTAATCCATGTCCCTACAAAGGACATGAACTCATCATTTTTTATGGCTGCATAGTATTCCATGGTGTATATGTGCCACATTTTCTTAATCCAGTCTATCATTGTTGGACATTTGGGTTGGTTCCAAGTCTTTGCTATTGTGAATAATGCCGCAATAAACATACGGGTGCATGTGTCTTTATAACAGCATGATTTATAGTCCTTTGGGTATATACCCAGTAATGGGATGGCTGGGTCAAATGGTATTTCCAGTTCTAGATCCCTGAGGAATCGCCACACTGACTTCCACAATGGTTGAACTAGTTTACAGTCCCACCAACAGTGTAAAAGTGTTCCTATTTCTCCACATCCTCTCCAGCACCTGTTGTTTCCTGACTTTTTAATGATTGCCATTCTAACTGGTGTGAGATGGTATCTCATTGTGGTTTTGATTTGCATTTCTCTGATGGCCAGTGATGATGAGCATTTTTTCATGTGTTTTTTGGCTGCATAAATGTCTTCTTTTGAGAAGTGTCTGTTCATGCCCTTCGCCCACTTTTTCATGGGGTTGTTTGTTTTTTTCTTGTAAATTTGTTTGAGTTCATTGTAGATTCTGGATATTAGCCCTTTGTCAGATGAGTAGGTTGCGAAAATTTTCTCCCATTTTGTAGGTTGCCTGTTCACTCTGATGGTAGTTTCTTGTGCTGTGCAGAAGCTCTTTAGTTTAATTAGATCCCACTTGTCAATTTTGTCTTTTGTTGCCATTGCTTTTGGTGTTTTAGACATGAAGTCCTTGCCCATGCCTATGTCCTGAATGGTAATGCCTAGGTTTTCTTCTAGGGTTTTTATGGTTTTAGGTCTAACGTTTAAGTCTTTAATTCATCTTGAATTAATTTTTGTATAAGGTGTAAGGAAGGGATCCAGTTTCAGCTTTCTACATATGGCTAGCCAGTTTTCCCAGCACCATTTATTAAATAGGGAATCCTTTCCCCATTGCTTCTTTTTCTCAGGTTTGTCAAAGATCAGATGGTTGTAGATATGTGGCATTATTTCTGAGGGCTCTGTTCTGTTCCATTGATCTATATCTCTGTTTTGGTACCAGTACCATGCTGTTTTGGTGACTGTAGCCTTGTAGTATAGTTTGAAGTCAGGTAGTGTGATGCCTCCAGCTTTGTTCTTTTGGCTTAGGATTGACTTGGCGATGCGGGCTCTTTTTTGGTTCCATATGAACTTTAAAGTAGTTTTTTCCAATTCTGTGAAGAAAGGCATTGGTAGCTTGATAGGGATGGCATTGAATCTGTAAATTACCTTGGGCAGTATGGCCATTTTTGCAATATTGATTCTTCCTACCCATGAGCATGGAATGTTCTTCCATTTGTTTGTATCCTCTTTTATTTCCTTGAGCAGTGGTTTGTAGTTCTTCTTGAAGAGGTCTTTCACATCCCTTGTAAGTTGGATTCCTAGGTATTTTACTCTCTTTGAAGCAATTGTGAATGGGAGTTCACCCATGATTTGGCTCTCTGTTTGTTGTTGGTGTATAAGAATGCTTGTGACTAAAAAAAGAGAGAAGAATCTAATAGATGCAATAAAAAATGATAAAGGGGATATCACCACCGATCCCACAGAAATACAAACTACCATCAGAGAATACTACAAACACCTCTACGCAAATAAACTAGAAAATCTAGAAGAAATGGATAAATTCCTCGACACATACACTCTCCCAAGACTAAACCAGGAAGAAATCGAATCTCTGAATAGACCAATAACAGGATCTGAAATTGTGGCAATAATCAATAGCTTACCAACCAAAAAGAGTCCAGGACCAGATGGATTCACAGCTGAATTCTACCAGAGGTACAAGGAGGAACTGGTACCATTCCTTCTGAAACTATTCCAGTCAATAGAAAAAGAGGGAATCCTCCCTAACTCATTTTATGAGGCCAGCATCATTCTGATACCAAAGCCAGACAGAGACACAACAAAAAAAGAGAATTTTAGATCAATATCCTTGATGAACATTGATGCAAAAATCCTCAATAAAATACTGGCAAAACGAATCCAGCAGCACATCAAAAAGCTTATCCACCATGATCAAGTGGGCTTCATCCCTGGGATGCAAGGCTGGTTTAATATACACAAATCAATAAATGTAATCCAGCATATAAACAGAGCCAAAGACAAAAACCACATGATTATCTCAATAGATGCAGAAAAAGCCTTTGACAAAATTCAACCACGCTTCATGCTAAAAACTCTCAATAAATTAGGTATTGATGGGACGCATTTCAAAATAATAAGAGCTATCTATGACAAACCCACAGCCAATATCATACTGAATGGGCAAAAACTGGAAGCATTCCCTTTGAAAACTGGCACAAGACAGGGATGCCCTCTCTCACCACTCCTATTCAACATAGTGTTGGAAGTTCTGGCCAGGGCAATTAGGCAGGAGAAGGAAATAAAGGGTATTCACTTAGGAAAAGAGGAAGTCAAATTGTCCCTGTTTGTAGACGACATGATTGTATATCTAGAAAACCCCATTGTCTCAGCCCAAAATCTCCTTAAGCTGATAAGCAACTTCAGCGAGGCTGTGCTTTTTTTTGGACAGGGTTGGGGAAGGGAAGTGCATTTATAGTTACTAATTCCATCTCTTTGCCTGTTATTAATTTGTTAGGCTTACCTTTTTCTTTTTGCATTATTTTTTGTAGTTTATTTTTATTTAAAAAATCATCAGTTTCATCTAGTTTCTCTAATTGGTTATTTAAGAGTACATTGCTTAATTTCCACATAATAGTGAATTTCACATATTTCTTTCTGATATTGTAAATATTGATATGTAAGAACATTAAGTATATAATTTGTTCTTCCTATTTTTTATTTCACTGTTTTCTTTTTTCTGCCTTCTTGTATACTACTGAGTATCTTTCAAAATTTCATTTTGATTTGTCTGTAGTGTTATTAAATAGAAATATTATTTGGGAGAATTTTAGCTATTACCTTTTAAAGCACTTTTAGCCCTGTCCCCATTCTCCTTTCCTTTCAGATCCCCAATGATATGAATTGAACATCTTTTGTTGAAATCCTACTTGTGTCAATATTTTTTCAGTCTATGTTATCCTTGTTGTTTGTTTTAAAAGAATAATTTCTATTGTTCTTTCTCTAGTTTACTGATATTTCTATTTGTTCTCCATTTTGCCAGTGAGCTCATCCACTGAGATTTTTAAAATTATAATTATTGTATTTTTATGTTCTAACATATTTATTCTTCTTTATATTTTGTCTTTCTTTAATGAGACTTTCTATTTTTTTCCTGAGGCTTTTTAATTTTTCTTTTGTTTCAAGAATATTTGCAACTGCTGTTGAAGCATTTTTATCATGGCTGCTTTAAAATTTTTGTCAGGTAATTCTAATATCTCTGTATTGTTGGTGTTGACAGCTATTGATTGATCTTTTTCAATTAGTGGAGACCTTTAGGGTTCTTGATCACAAGTGACTTTTAAATTTAAATCTGAACAATTAATAATATGTTAGAGACCATGAATCTTACTTAAATCTTTCATTTTCAGCTTATTTTCTGTGACACCAATAGAGCTTGGGAAGGGGATGTACTCTTTCATCACTTCCAGAAGGAGGTGAAAGAGTAGATTCCCAACTGAGCCTCCATTGACACCCCAAGAGATTGTCATCGTTACTGCTAGGTAGGGATAAGAGTTTTAACTTCTCATAAGATCACCACTGACATTGACACAGGGGTTATTACCACTGGGTAATGGTAAAAGTCATGAATCCCTACTAGGCTTCTTCTGACACCACTCCTTTGAGGAGTGGAAAGAGTAGTTTGTTATGTTGAGTGAATGTTGAAGTTTAATCTCTCCACATTTTTTTCTGTTGACACCTCTGGTGATGAGGTCTTACTGCTGACTATTGGGGATGAAAGTCCCAACTCCTTCCTTGGTTGTCTCTGATACCATTCCAGTAGAAACGCACCATTTCAGGGCACTTCATTGTAGCTTCATAGGAACAGAAGTCTAGGGTCCACACTCATTTTTTCCTTACGTAAATTGGGAGTGTTACCAAGTTTAATTCTATAGTGCTTGGCTGCAGTAGAGCAATGGTTGTTATACATTTCCCGTTTTGCTAGGCTATACTTTCCTATGACTAGAAAAAGCAGACTTTTGTTGTTGTTGTTGTTTTTAATCTCCACTCATTGGCTGGCTTTCTAACCTCCAAATATGAGATATATAAGGCCAAAAGAAAACCTAGGGAAGTCACTACCATACTGTTCTTTGGACCCCAAGGTAGCTGTCTTCCTTTTTATCTTCACTTTTCAGAATTTTCATATGTTTGTTTTACATATACTGTTGAGATTTCTTTGTTGTACTTAATGAGAGGAATAGGAACAAGTTTGTCTACTCTATCTGCCTAGAAGCATAGGTCTTGTTTTTTCGACTGTGTATGTTATGAGTTATTATCACAATAGTTTACCTGGAGATTACAATTAATATTTTAACTTAAAACAATTTAGTTCAGATTGGTATCAATTTTATTTCAATTGTATACAAAAATATTCTTTCTGCATAGCTCTATATGTTCCTTCTCCATTGTGTTATTATCGTATAGATTTGAGTTACTATCTACTGCCCTTTCATTTCAATCTGAAGAATTTCCTATATTTTTTCCTAGGGCAGATCTACAAGCTATGAATGCTCTTAATTTTTGTTTATCTAGGATTGTCTTAATATCTCCTTCATTCTTAAATGGTAGTTTAGCTTTCAGCCTTTTTCTTTTGGTATTTTGGATATGTTGTCCTACTGCCTTCTAGTCTCCATGGTTTCTGCAGCGAAGTCAGGTAGTCATCTTCCTGAAGATCCCTTGTATATGATGACCAGGTTTTCTCTTGATATTTTCAGAATTCTCTTTGGATTTGGCTTTCAGCAGCTTTACTGTAATGTGTCCATGTGTATATCTTTACGATAACACTACTGAAGATTTTTGAGGACGCGTAGGTTAATACTTTTTCTCAAATTATAAACTTTGGGCCATTATTTATTCCAATACTGTCTCTGCTGTCTCTTCTTTCCTTCTGAGACTCCTGATACGCATTTTTAAGTACAATTTGATACACATTTTTGGGTGTTATATATAGGTCTTAGAGACCCAATTCATTCTTCTCATTTTTTTTTCTTTCAGTTCCTTACATTGGACAATTTCAGTTGACCTATCTTCAAGTTCACTGATCTTCTTTCTTCTGCCAGTTCAAAGTTAACTTTGAATGCCACTAATGAATGTTTCATTTCAGTTATTCAGAATTTCCATTTGGTTCTTTAAAAAATAATATTTTATATACTTATTAATAGTATTAATTTGGTAAGACATCATACTTGTACTTTCCTTTAATTCTTTAGACATTTATTTTTAGTTCTTTAAACATACTTAAAATGGCTGATTTGAAGTATTTTTTTAGTAAGTCCAGTATCCAAGTTTTCTTATGGAAAGTTTCTTTTGACTTATTTTTATCCATGTGTGGGTTATATTCGGTGAGTTTTGCATTATTCTCTTTTGTTGAAAACTATATTTTAAGGAGTACAATGTGGCAGCTCTGACAGCCAGCTAACCACCAGGATTTGTTGTGCTTTGTATTACTGGTGCTGTTGCTGTTTGTTTCTTTAGTGACTTTCCTAGACTAATTCTATGACGATGATATTATTTGTTATATGTGGCTACTAAAATCTCTGCTTAGTTATCTTAGTAGTTAGGTAATTATTAAAAACAGATTTTATTCGATATTTTGAAACAATAATTCTCCCAGCCATTACCAAGGGGCTCTGTGTATGCATTGGGGCATGTCTTCAGTGGTCCAGAGGGAAGTTTACAAGTCTTCCTTATCTTTCACTTCCTGCTTACACAGAGCCTCAAAATCAGTTAGTGGTAGGTGAATAGAGTTTTCTTATTCTTCCTTGGATATGTGCATAGTCCTGCACATGTATATGGCCTTCTATATTTTCAGGAATATGTTGGAACTTTTCAAAGCCCTCTATGGGCATCTTATTCCTTAGTTTTTCATATATCTATATCTATATCTAATCTATATATAATTTCTGTTGTTGCCTCCAACTGATATCACTGTCTTGGGAACCTGCAATGACTAACATTGACATTGATTATTTTCAACAAATACCCTAGGGATAGAGTTGTGTGCACCGAGAGAGCTCTGAGAAGGTCAAATAAAGACCAATCCTATGAATTACGCTTTTCTAGAGAGCTTTCAGATAAAATAGTGACAATTCTCTAGAGATAGGGCTTTGGGTATGTTCCAAATACATTCTGCTCCCCTTTAGTAATTGCTTGGCTGCTGATTTTCAGCTACTGTAATTATGAGAATGTTGGTATTTATGCCTACCATAGAGGCAAGGCAAGAGGTAGGAAAGTAGGTCAAGCTCCAAAGATTACTCTTTTATGAAGATTTAGTCATTTTTAAATTCTCCTTGATGGCAATCCTTTGGTTAGTTTCCAGAGTTATGATAAAGTTGATTTTGAAAATTTTTGTTAGTGTTTTTTCTGCTTTTTATAAAGGAACAGAATTTCAGAGGCCCTCCATCATTTGAAAATGCTCTGCCTAAGTATTTTGCACTTGCAATTATTTATGAAAGAAAAATTACACAAAATATTATGCTTGATTGACAGGTAATAATCAGTAAGATAATCTTTATACTTCTCCCTTTTATAAACTAAATCTTAGAATGGAGAAGGTAATTATCAAAAGGAAGAAAGATAAAAAGGAAAATAATGAAACCAGGTGACATGGTAAGAACATGGATCACTGCCACCTTGACCTGACCCCTGTGATCTTTGCTGGTACACTGGAGGCAGATGTGAGAGAAGACAGATGTGAGAATCCTGCATGCTGGAGTCAAAGGATTGCTGCTGAAATCCTCATTCTGCCTGCTCCAAGTCCTGAGAAAAATACTCAATCCTTTCTCCTTCTGACAAAACATAAAAGCATGTGGTATAATATAATTGAAGGCAAAAATGATTATTGAGTAACCTCATTTTTAGAGATAAGGAAACTGATGTGAAGAGGGGTTCAGTTATTTGCCCCAGGTCACCCATGGCTTAGTGGTAGAGTGTTAAAATCCAGACTCTTCCACTCACTATACTTATCTCATTACAGCATTCTATTATGTCAATAGTGAAAATATTTTCTAAAAGTTGTTTTGGTTTAATATCAGATGATTACTTTCTCCAGGTTTTTTCTCACACTATATGTGAGAAAACACACTATGTGTGTTAGTGAACTAAGACTGAAGATTTTCTGTAAGACATAGTTCTATGGTTCTGTATCAAATATAATGAGAAAGACTTTCCAGATATAATGGAGAAATATGTTTTGTAGACGGGTGGCCTGCAGTTTTTATGTTGGTGGCCAAATCACTTGATGTATGGGTATCAAAGTAGGTTAGAAAATGAGTTGTCTCTGCTTTACAACCATGGTACACCATTTTTTATAAATCTAGTGTAAGCTTCTTAAAAATGCCTTCTTTTCTTCAATTGTTTAACACTATACTGTATTTTAATAACATTTCTAAAAAGTATATTAAAAATTAACTTAATTGCCTCTAGTAGTCAAAAACACTATAAAGCAGCTTATGTTAAGGTCTCCTTATCATATTCTTTAAAAAATACATAACTTTTTAAAGACCAGGGAATGTCTGAAATATTGTCGTAGTTATAATTTGATATTTGTCCATAATGAATAAATAAATTCCAAAAGGGAATATTATACCCAGAAACAATTTTCTGATCTGGCTACATTATTATTCATTGGAACTTCCATTTATATTAGCATTTTAAATGAAAAATTAGCCCCAGAATCCAATTTGACTTTAACAATCAAGCCTGGGTGCAGTATATTGATTCAGAATTTTGGAACATCACTTTTCATCATATCATGTTACATCCAAATGTATCATGGCACAATGAGCCTGGCTTGAATCTCAGATATAAATAATTACAAGAAAAAAGAAAAGATAGGGATCAGGGTTATCAAACGAAAATCCAAAAAGTAAAAGATATGTTTAAAGATGTCTACAGAAAAGGCAGCACCTAATAGACTCCATTGTGGATATGTCAAGGTCTCTGCTTCCTAATGATGGAAGCAAGGGGTCTGAGGATGAGAAGATTTAATTCAGAAAGAATGGCTCCCCTAAGCATGACCTCCCCCAAAATCCACAGGAGTCAAACTACTTCAGAAATTGAGTGTTCATTCAGGGACAATAGTGTGATAATAGCTCCCTGAGATAGGCGAGATCAAGGTTATACAGATGGTTCCAAATGATCCAGAGTCCTTTAACATCAGCTGACTGCCATTTCTGGGCTCTGAAGCAGAAGAAAGATGTAAGTGATAATGTGTGGCTGTGAATTACCTCTGCAGTTACAGCGTTTTGATCTAACCTGTTCTTGTTAATACGAAGCCAGGAAGGCAGATAAAAAGGCAGGGAGTTCCCAACTTAGAAACTGGCTAATCCCCACATTTTTCTTACTGAGTCATCCATTACATTGTCAACTTAAAAAATCACTTTAACACTCACATTCCGTACATATTTTCTGATATAATTTTAGATTTTCTGAATAATGATGAGAAAGAGAAAACAAAAATCAGAACCTAGCCCTGATTAAGGGCATATTATCTCCATCAGCTGTTTTTTTTTACAAAACAAAGTAAGATCAGGACTTCTGGGCCCTATGTCTGCCTCGCTTTTTAATTTAAGGATGTCACTGAAAAACTCCTTGATCAGTGTTGACTGCCAAAAAATTTAAAGGTTTTACTAGAATTTTTGTAAAGTACTATCTCAATAATAATAACAATAGCATCAGTAATGTGCCAGTTTCTTTACACACACACACACTGTGATATAATAATCAGAACAGTCAAACTCCATAATCTCCATAATACAGAGGAAGTTATGGAGACCTAGGGAAATTGAATATTTTTCCCCAGTTGAGCTTATAAAAGAAAGAGTAACAGAGAAGTGGTTAGATCTTGGGTCTGTCTGGGCTCAAAGACTGTAAATTTTGCTACACTATGCTATATTACCATGCAAAATAACAGATATTTAGTTAAATGTTGAAATAAGTTTTTCTTGAAAGCATGAAGTGTTACTTTCATAAGACTAAGGGAGTCTCTTGATGTGACAGTTTTGTTAATTTTATCAGTATCTTTCCTGGCAAAGTGTGTGGTTCACAGCAGGCAGTGAATACACTTAATGAATGGAAGAACTGGCTGTGTTATGAACAGGTAACCCACACTCCCCTCTCCAAACAGTTGGATATAGTTGTATTTTACTTCTTCATGAAAGACAATCCTTTATTTCTTTATTCTTTCCTAATGTGACTATTAAAAGAAAGATATATACTAAAACATAACAAGGATAAAAACAGAATATATGTACATTTTCAGAAAAGAAGCACAAATGAGAGACATGAAGCTCATCACCATCACCCAAAAGCGTTCATTAACGCATTTTTCATGTGACCTAGAAGCAGGCCTTACTAAATAAAAGACCGGATACTCAACAATAACAAGCTATCTGCTATGCATTTTAAGTGAATGTTAGAGTGTAAGCCTTGTAGTCCGACAAATTAGGCTTCCATACCTATTAATGTGATCCAAGAAAACCCCTTTGCTTCTTTTTTTTTTTTTTTTTTTTTTGAGTCAGAGTCTGTCTCTGTCACCTAGGCTGGAGTGCAGTGGTGCAATTTCGGCTCACTGCAACCTCCGCCTCCCGGGTTCAAGGTACTCCCAGCCTCAGCCTCCCATGTAGCTGGACTACAGGCATGCACCACCGGGCCCAGCTAATTTTTGTATTTTTAGTAGAGACGGGGTTTCACCATGTAGATCAGGCTGGTCTTGAACCCCCGACCTCAGGTGATCTGCCTGCCTTAGCCTCCCAAAGTACTGGGATTACAGGCGTGAGCCACCGTGCCCAGCACCTTTGCTTCTTAATGGGCAACATTATTGCCACTTACATATTTGTAAAAAGGATTAGAAATAATTCTAGAAAATTTTTGGCAAATAAGTCATTAGTAATTAGCATTTACTCTGATGGGAAACAAAGATGACATCCTCTTTGGCTTGTCGTGTGAAGAAAGTGGTAACCATTACACAGCATATCAGTGAGGTGTTTTTTTTTGTTTTTTGTTTTTTTTTTTGATGCCGACTTTAAGTTTGTTAGAATGATATCATGGATAGCAGTCTGGGGAAGCACATAAATAATATATCATATATTCCATTTTTGTTTATGCTTTCTTTCCCATATATATCTTTCGGGGCCCATATTACTTTGCAAAACTAATATGGATGATTTCTTGAATCTCTTTGCTATGGAATCGGGCTCCAGACAAACTTATCTGTAAAGTAGCAGCTGGAAGGAGGCTCTATGACAGCAATTGCACAGAGGAGAACATAGTTAATTATAATTGCAAGGTGCCATCGAGAAACACATGAATAGGGAGATACCTAGACTGACTTTAGACAAGGAGTATAGAACAAACTCACTCTAAATAACCACACAGTTTGAATCTAACAAAACATTATTATCTTTGCTTTTGATTTCTTTGGGATGCCACCAAAGCCCTGTTGTTGTAACACTACTGCAGCCTCTACTTATTAACTTGGTGCTATAACCTGATCGTTTCATAACTAGCATTAAAATTACTGCATCAAAACCCTGAGTGTGTGCATGCAAATTATTCAGGTTAAAGGAAAACCAACTGGGAAATACAGAGACTCAAATCCCCTTACTAATTTTAACTTCATAGAGCTCACAATTTTGAAATAATAGGAAGATCTCAAGAGCAATAATGGTATACAGTAACCCACAAGTCTAGAGTAATAGCAAAAGTATCTTTGTTCTTCAGTTTAAATTAAATTAGTTTGTAAATAAATAAAGGGATTTTTTTAAATTCAGGCTTTTCTTCTGTGTTTCCATCTTTGCAGTGTGGTTTAATCAATGATAGCTGGTGTTATTCTATATTGTTAAACCCATAACTGTGACTCCAAAACGGGGCCCCATTCATCTTCTCTAATGTCTTTAGCCATGAGAACCTAGGGAAAGACACTGTTACCTGATCACCTTTGGTCTCTTAGGGTGAGGGTATTCAGTAAGACCCTTTCATGGTTCTGTTTCACAGGCAGTATACAATCATTGAGAGTTAGGCACTGGAATCAAATAGGCCTGGGCTCAGATGTAATTTATTTATTTATTCATTCATTTATTTATAATTTATAATTCATTTATTTATCCAGCAGCTATTCAAAAGGTACCCACCAGGGGCCAGATTTTGGATACTGTGGATAAAATAGGAAACAAAACAGATGAATCTCTGACCTTATATATATATTTTTAATATTATGGCAGGAGGACACAGGAAAAAAAAGGAAAAAATAAGAAATGTAAGATAAGAGCAGACATGGTGACAGCTGTCATATGAAGAAGGCATAATTTACTAGCTCTGTTAATCTGAGAAAGTGCTTAAATATTTGAATTACTGTAAAAGGTGGATAGATACTATTGCTTCATAGGGCTGAAGTGCTGAACTCAGTGACGAGTTAGTACACAGTGAGTGCTCAATCTAAGCCATTGTTTTCATTGCTAATTAAAGTTGTTAACTAACCTCAATTTTTATTTTTTTCTACTGACTATGTTTATTCCACAAACTAAACAAAATTTATTATTCCTTATGTTAAAGCACTGTTTTGGATGCTGCTAGGTATATAACAGGAAACAAAAAGTAAAAACAACAAAACACTCTGCCCTCAATGAAGTTGGCATACATGATTTTATTAAGTTGAAATCATATGAAGTTGCTGGTATATAGGCTGAAACAGTTGAATAGTGAATTTATTTAAACAGCAGCTTTCTCATATCTCTGAAGTAGAAGAGTGGGCTCCCAATTTATATTTATAAGAGTCTTTTAAGTCATATAAATTAAAGGGTAAATCAGAGATCTGGATGTTGAGCTATATATCAGCAGCCTTGTCATACTTTTGAGTAGCAGCTTGCCTTTATAATACAAAACATGTGGCTTCTCACATGATAAAATCTGCAGTTTATTTAATCCAATGGACACCTATATTTGAAGACTATCTAATATTTTCAAAAACACTGTAATGGTTTGAAATCATTTGTGGATATATATGTACAATATAACATGTTCTAGCCAACTTGGAATAATTTAAATGCAAAACTCAATTCTTTAGAAAAGATATAAAATAATTAAAATAAAATTATCAGAGTCCTGACACGGTGGCTCATGCTTGTAATCCCAGCACTTTGGGAAGCCAAGGCGGGCGAATCACTTGAGGTCAGGAGTTTGAGACCAGCCTGGGCAAAGTGGCGAAACCCCATCTCTACTAAAAATACAAAAATTAGCAGGGCATCTCTACTAAAAATACAAAAAATACAAAAAATAAAAAATAAAAAAATCCCAGATACTCATGTGTCTGAGGCTCGAGAATCGCTTGAACCCGGGGAGGTGGAGATTGTTGTGAGCTGTTATTGAGCCACTGCACTCCAGCCTGGGGGACAGAGTTCTGTTTCAGAAAATAAAATAAAAAACAAAATGAAATAAAATAACCAGGAAAAAAATTTGGCTTCCTTAAAGTAAAATTGTATTCTGGAACCCAGGATCAGTTCCTGACTATGTTATACCAGATGCCAGGTTTAAGGAATTGGTGGTCTCATATTCATGGCTAAGAGCACAAACTCTGGAGTTAGCCTAGGTTAGAATCCCGGTGCTCTCATTTTCTGTTTGTATGATTGTGGACAAATCAGTTGACCTTTCTGTGCCTTAGTTTCCCAACATGTAAAGTTGAGATGATAATACTGCATTCATGGCTTTCTTTGAGGTTTAAACAAATGTATGTAAAATGCTTAGAATGTTTGGCACATGGTAAGAGCTATATGTTTAACTGCTGTTATTATCATTATTATCATTTATTTATACAAAAGGAAACTGTCATTCTGCAAATAATTAATTTATATCAAATGTGTTCTCTTCTTTGTGCCTTTTTTCTTCCTCTGGCTGAATCAGTGAAGAAAAAAAAAAAAACTGTTTCCCAAATGAGATTAAAGTCCCTAGAGAATGTTTCATAAGTACCTGTTGATTACTAAGAATAAAATATTAGGTAGCAAAGGATTTTAGTTTTAGTCTCAGTACCTCCAGAGTTATTGTTGCCCCCAATCAAATCAGGTAACCTCTATGAACCTTGGTTTGCACATCTCTAAAACAGGGATAATTAAGTTCTTACCTATTTGCAAATAGTTGAGAACTTGTCATTAATTGTTAATTTGAATATATAAATATAGGATAGTATTGTGTTACTCATATTGATAATATATATTGTTTTCCTCAAGGTACATTAGAAGTGAGCACCTGAAAAAGTTAACACATTGTAGAAAGTATCTCCATTCAATATCTGACAGAGTGATTCTATAAGTAGAAAAATCAGGTACAGTCTTTCTACTTGTTGAAATTAGTGTGGTTTTCCTATATAGGTAAGTGTCCTGAGAGTTAACAACTCCCCAAATAGTCACATTTTCCTTCTGTAAGCCACCCATCAAGATCAACCCTAGCTCCTTTCAGAGGGCCCATATTTTTCTTTTTTTTTTTTTAATTTATTTTTTATTTCAATACGTTTTCAGGGAGCAGGTAGTGTTTGGTTACATGAATAGTTCTTTAGTGGTGATTTCTGAGATTTTGGTGCATCATCACCTGAGCAGTATACACCGTACCCAATATGTAGTCTTTTATCCCTCACCACCCTCCCACTTTTTCCCCCTAAGTTCATAAAGTCCATTGTATCATTCTTATGCCTTTGTGTCTTCACAGCTTAGCTCCCACTTAAGAGTAAGAACATATGGTGTCTGGTTTGCCATTTCTGAGTTACTTCACTTAGAATAATGGTCTCCAATTCCATCCAGGTTGCTGTGAATGCCATTATTTCATTCCTTTTTTATGGCTGAGTAGTATTCCATGGTGTATATATACCACATTTTCTTTATCCACCCGTTGATTTATGGGCCTTTGAGCTGGTTTCATATTTTTGCAATTGCAAACTATGCTGCCATAAACTTGCATGTGCAAATATCTTTTTTGTATATTAACCTCTTTTCCTCTGGGTACATACCCGGTAGCGGGATTGCTAGATCAAGCGATAGATCTACATTTGGTTATTTAAGGAATGTCCACACTGTTTTTCATAGTAGGTGTACTAGTTTACATTCCCACCAACAGTGTTAAAGTGTTCCCTTTTCACCACATCCGCGCCAACATCTATTATTTTTTGATTTTTTGATGATGGCCCTTCTTGCAGGAGTAAGATGGTATAGCATTGTGGCTTTGATTTGCATTTCCCATTTTTTTCATATGCTTGTTTGGGCCCATAGTTTTCACCAGACAAGTTACTTTTTTTCCAAACCAAGTAAGAAAACTGGTAATACTAGTAATAGTAATTATAATAAAAAATAGCTATAATAATAACAGCTGACACTTACATAGAACTTTCTATGTGTCAGATACTGTTCTTAGCTTTTTACATCATCTTACATTATATTTGGGCCACTAGGCAAAAGTTGTGTTATGCCACCATCCGGGTTAACCTTATAATTGAAATAACATTATTCTTTCATGAAATGAATACTTATAGAGAGACTACTATGTGTCTGATTTCCATCTGGAATGTTGAAGTCTTCTACTGCTGCACATACCTCGACCATCTCTGGTTCTGTGAAAATAGACGCTGCTTTATTTTTCAGTCTTTTACAAATTCTCATCTAGAAATTATTTGTTTCATTTCTCTGCCATCCCTTATTCCTGCTCTTTCTCCTGTGTGCCTGGAACCTCTTTTACATAGTATACAAGATACATTCTTAAACTCTCTAGGGAATGTTCTCTTCTTTTCCAACTTCACTGAACTCAACTCAGCTTCAGGGATGATCCTGCTATGTAACCACCCACAGTGTACAATGTCCACACTGGGAGAGGCCACAAATCACAGAGACAGGTTAATGGGTATGGGATAACCAATTTTATTTGCATTCTACTACCCTCCTTCTTTTGTTTTTTTAAAAAAATCTTTGTTTGAAGATTGCATCATATGATTTAATCCATTGCAAACTGGGCTTTTTTTTTTAACAAAAGCAGATAACCTAATAGACATAAATTGATATCAGCTTATTTTATATTTATATATATTCAGATAGAAAATTACACAGAACAGCCATTTAAATTATATTGCACTTTTTAAAATTTATTAAAACCTGAGTGATTACAATAGTACAGTTAGAAGACTGTATCAAACTCCTCACAAAGACAAATTAATTCACATACCCCAGAGATAAATCAATATCTTGCAATTTTTTACATTTGTGAAAGTTCCTTATTTAACTTAAATTAATTTGTCTTAAAATGCAATCAGTAAATGTGAAAAGACTAACAATTTCAAGTCAGATTAAGGGTCATTGGAAGAATAAATGACAGGCAGTTGGACTCCTGCCGTCAATGTATGCTGCAAGCAGCAAAAAGAATGAGACTATTTTGTCTTGATAATAAATTAATAACTCCTAATCATGCTAACTTCTGTTTGGTTTTTGCTCTCTGCTCACAGAGTCAGCACATGGCTCTCCAAACTAATGGAGAGCAGCATTAGCATTGCTAATATGGAACAGATGACCTTCCCTTTGGGAATTTTCTTGTTGCCATAGCAGTTCCCAAGCCTCAGAGAATGATAAGAAAGAAGAGGTGAACGCTAGCTCCAGAAAAGTAATTTAGAGCTTTCTTCCAGTAACTTTAGTCTCTATGCTCTTAATGCTCTTTGAACCTCTTATTTTAGTTTCCTTAATTGTATAAATATCTACTGGAAAATGTATTGTTTTCAAGGTAGTGATAAGTGCTGTAAGATATGCCACTAAGGAGGATGACAGAGGAGATAAGCTATAGGAACTGAATAATGATCCCCAAACTATTCATTCTATAAAGCCATGGAGAATGTCTACAAATTCATTTGCCAACATAGTGCCTAAAACATTTGTGGCTAATAATAAAGATTTGGTGAATGGATGAATCAGAAGCAAAGTCAGAGGAATGAGAAAGTTTGCATAACTCAGACAAGGGTCAAGCATTTAGTCACATGCTAGTCACCAATCTGGCATGATGCTGAGAACTCTAAGAAATCAGTAATGAAGAAAGCAATTACAAATTTAAATATGGCTCAAACATGCCCTTGTCAGTGGATTGAGGGCAATGTAGCTGGCAGTCTGACACTGATATACTTGTGGGTGAGCAGGACATTTATGGTTCTTTATTCCAGATCCAGGAAAAGATCGTAGTATTCAGGCCACTGCCTCAGAACTAGTGGCCTGAATGTGGCCAGTTCAGGCTAATAAGCATGTACACCAGTAAATAGTTATTACCAAATTTGTCATGCCTAAGTCCTCCTGGATAATTTAATACCAAAATATTTCTATTAATTTTCACAAATTGATTCCTAATTTAAAAATGTTCACAGTGGTTCCCCCACCATCCCTCCCCCTCCCACCCCACCCATCTAGTGATTTTGGGAATGACTAGGGAAGTTTAAGTTATGATCTTCGAGATGCAAGGCTCTAAGATATTGCTGTTTACACAGTAGAAAGGATTTAAAATTTGTAGCCTTCATTCAACTGCCTACTTTTATTTTTGGGGGTAGATTATGACTAACATCCTTGTCTACTCTGGTTTTTTAAAATCTGTGCTACTACAATTTAGAATGTCCATCTTTCTATATAATTCTAAGGGGCTTTTCTGAAGATGCACTAAATTTGCACTACAAATCATTCCTTCTAAGAAAGATGTAAGACTGTCCTGGCAGTACACATCTAATCAGCAGGTCTGTCTCTTAGGCCATCTTTCTAAGAACTATGTTGCATAAATTATATGTTAATCTTACCTGGGGTCAGAATGCTTAGAATAAGAGTTACTGTGAAGTGAAATCATATCATCCATTTATACTGCAGTGTTCAGTGGAGTTGGAGTTTTGATTTTTATCTTTCTGTTTTATATTTTTTAAAAAGAACAAAATCACTTGAAGAGGAAACACTAGTACTTTTCTGCCTTTACAGATTATGCTTATTTTAGAAGACTACATCTAAAGGGGTATTTTGGAATGTATTGAATATTAAACAATTCACTATGTGTTTTTTAAATAGTTTTAAAGTTTAATATTTTTTGACTTAATGTTATTTATGGTTGACTGAAGTAGACAATATATAGAATGCATAGTTGTCTTATACATAACTTCAGACACTATATTTATTTCTAAGTTTATTGACTAACTGTACATTTAAAAGCATAAACTCATATACATGTATTTCATTTGTCCCCACTTCAAAAGCTGTCTAGCACAGGGTCAAAGGAAAATATCTAAATATCTACAGTATATATAAGGTTAGAAAGCTCTCTGAGTAACAAGACTGCCTTAATTATAGAAGACAAATTTAGTACAAAATGTTTTTAAATAGTGGATAATATAAAAAACTCAGAATATGCCACACTCTATTTTTACTGTTTTATATGGATTACCTCATTTAAAACTTAACAATGATATTTAGCAATAGGTACTTCTGTTATCCTAGTTTTATGAGTTGAAAACAGTATGTGGAGTTTAGATCTTGCACTTTCAGTTGCTCAAGTCTTCTCATGTATAATAATTATTTCTTCTACTTTCCTTTAGCTCATATGCCCATGATTACATTCCTTATATTATCATCACTACTAGATGTGTCACCTCCAAAAGCTCAAATTGAAGTATTCTATTTTTTTTTTTTTTTTTACTACCACTTCAGATTTTTCTAAGTCACCTGCTCTGATTTTCCAATTTCAACAAGCCTGTTTTGGAACAATACAGAGATTAGCATGGCCCTGTGCAAGGCTAATTTAGAAATTAACAAAATGCTTCATATTTATAGGCTCACGAGTTGGGCAATTTAATGTTGGAATTGTATCAACTCTCTCCAAATTGATCTATAGATTTGATACAATTATAATAAAAATACCGCAAAATTCCTTTTTTTTTTTTTTTTAGGAACTTGAAAACAAACTCTAAAATTTTTGTGGAAGTGTGGAGGGCTAAAAAAAGCTAAGGCAGCTTGAAGACAAAAATCAAGAATATACGACTTGCTCTATAAGTATCAATGATAGTTATAAAGACACAATAATTAAGAGCAGGTGGTATTAGTGAAAAGGCAAAGATATGAATGACCATAATAGAACTCACAAAATGAGCTTCTTTGCTGTAGTCTCACCTACTTAGGAGACTGAGATGGGAGGGCTGCTTGAGCTTGCCACATAAAAATAAGCATTTAACTTTTAACAATGGTAATTCTGTAAAACATTAAAGGAAATAGTAATTTCAATAAATCTTGAAAAAACTAGTTATCTGTAAGAAAAAACAAAATTAAATAAATTCCTACTTTAATACACACACAAACACACACACACACGCACATGCAATCAATTCCAGATGAATCACAGACCTAAATTTGAAAAGCATACAAAAAAAGTTCCAGAATATAGTATAATAGATTCCTAATATAGTCTTTAGGAGCTTGGGACTACAGAGTGATTTCTTAAACAAGATGAAAAAAAAATTAAGCAAAAATAGAAAGACTGACAAGTACACTACATTAAAATTTAAAACCATGCTCATCAAAAGACAGTAGCTAAGAGTATAAAGGCAATCCACAGACAGAAAAACTATATATTTGCAACATATATAACCAATAAAAAACATACTCAGAACATACTAAAAACTCTTTAAAAGCAGAAGCAAAAGATGAACTAAAAAAGGAAAAACATCTTAAAAACCACTTCAAAAAATGCTCAAGCTTACTAGTAATCACTGCAGTAAACACAATCTGAAAATCACAATAAGATACAACTCATGAATCACCAGAATGGCAAAAATCCAATAGTGTAATAATACTAAGTGTTGGCGAGGATATAGATCAATAGAGTTCTTACAATTTGCTGGTAGGATTGTAAACTGTTAAGATAACTTTGGAAAACAATTGGTCATATCTCATAGATCTGGAAGACATAGTATAGTACAGCCTATTTCATGCACTGGTATAAACTCCATAGAAATGCTTATTTATATTTACCAGCATACATGTGCTTGAAGGTTCATAGTGCATAGTTCAAAACTACAAATAACCCAAACCAAAACATTCATGAATCTTAAAGGCAATTTTTTTCTTTTTCTTTTTCTTTCTTTTTTTTTTTGGAGATAGGGTCTTGCTCTGCCACCCAGGCTGGAGTAGAGTAGCACAATCACAAGTCACTGTGTCCTTGACATTTCAGGCTCAAGTGATCCTCCCACCTCAGTCTCCTAAGTAGGTGAAGTTACAGACACGTGCCACCATCACCCCTAGCAAATTTTGTTGTTGTAGAGATGGTCTTGCTATGTTGCCCAGGCTAGTCTCCAACTCCTGGACTCAAGCGATCCCTTGCCTTGGCCCAAAAGGGCTAGGATTACAGGCGTAAGCCACTGCGCCTGGCCAGAAAGCATAAGGTTAAGGGAAAGAAGCCAACACAGTAGGATACATACTGTATGATTTCATTATATAAAATTTAAAAATAGCAAAATTAACCTTTCTTTACTGATGTATGTTTTGGTAGTACTATTCTAAAGAAAGGAAGTAAATACTATGATATTCAGGATAGGTATTAAGACAGGAAGCAGGAAGAAATTTATGACCAAGAAGGCCTGTGTAGGAAGCTTTTAGGGAGCTGATATATTTGATGTCTTGATCTGAGTGGGAACTGCAGAGTGATTATCCTCCATTAATCTGTTAAGCTGGGTATTTATGTCTTCTTTGCTTTGTTACATATTAATAAAAATAAGGCATAATTATATTTAAATATTTGTGGAACAGATACCATATTTTAATATCTGTAGACAACACTTTGAAGAAAGAATTTAAAAACTTTCATAGAGCAACAACTTAAAACTGTAACAGAGTTGAGAGAGGGCTTCACAATACGGAGGAAACTTGAATACATTTACAAATCAATGAAACAAAAACTATACAACTGTGAGAAAAAGAGTTGCAATTTGAATCCAGAGAGGATGAAAGAAGTTTGGATCAGTCAAGGTAGCTGTTGGACACAGACGGCATTTTCAAAAGGATTTATTTGGAAGGAATGAAGTGTCCATAGGGGTGTGAACAGGGGAAGGAGAATAAAAAAAGGGTAGAAGAGGCACCCAAGGACTTGTAACAGCATGAAGTCCCTTAAGTTCCTAGGCATAAGGGGGCAAGAAGAGAAGGAATGATTCAGTCAAGTCCAACTGAGAGCTGAAGCAGAGCAAGAGGTATCACTCACAGGAGCCAGAAACCACATACAGAATCAGCTAGAATTGTAGCAAAGCAGGAAAAGTATAGGGATGGAGAAATAAATAGCCTGATCTCTTTTGCCTCCCATACTCTGATTTCTTCCAGTTACTGCCATTGTCTAAATCCCACTGAAAACCAGAGGGCCCGAGTGTCTGAGTGATGTAGCTTGAAGAGGCTAGACTTCTGGAACTTACAGCAGGGCAGCAAAAGGCAGAGAAATCATGTAGAGATGGAGAGGATCAAATGTAGAATAACTAGCAGGAGACTGAGAAGGAGAAAGTTTAGCTCAGAAAGAAATGTGGTTTAGATCAGAAAAGACAGTCCTCCTTAAGCAAGATGAACTGTAGAAATGCCTGTGTGATAATTCACAATTTCAGTGGAAGGGAAAGATAGTTGAGGGAGTTCTTATCTGATGACCTTAATCTCAATAAAATCAATACAGGGGTTACCTGCTTGTAGGACAGAAAAGCAGGGGCAGATTAGGATACCTGGGAAGATTAGAGGAAATTAGAAATTACTTTGGTGGGATATTTAGTAGGAAGTCAACGGAGAATGGGTGAGAGTATTGCTGAGTTGCACTGAAGGCCACTGGATTTTTTATATTATGAGTTTCTCTGTTAAAGCGTTTAAGAATATATTAAGCAAAATCACTTATGCAAAGGTGAAAATAAGTTTTCTTGATTTAACTGCTTCTAAGATAAACAAGAGTTTTCAAGGCAAAAATTGTGTCTTATTCATACCTATTCACACACTTATTTTCTTCCTCATCTGCTTGATAAACACTAAGCATATGTGCAGGCTTGTATGTGTGAATTCACACAAGAATGCACAAACATAATCTAAGACAATATGCTTATATGAATTGGCACTTGATATTTTCCTAATCAGGATAGGTATTTTTATTGTAATGTATTGTAATTAATTTAATGCAAAATTACATATAAGGAATGCAGGTTGTTTAGGTCCTGGGTTTTATTCCTAGTTTCACTATGTAATTTTGGTAAGTCAGGACGATATGTTCTTTAAGCTTGAATTCAGTAAGCATTCACTTTCATAAAACCATTCTAGGTAAGGCTATATGAAGGATGGTTTCTGCAGTTAATTATTTTATGGGAACAATAAGTATATATGCAAAAATATGTCGATGAGTTCAGAAATGTTTGAATGGTATGTGCATATGTATTTTTTCTTTACTAGTATTTCTGTTAATCTGTGTTCTGACTTTAATAATAAATGGCAGGATGGAGACAGAACAAGATGGCCAAATAGAAGCCTCCACTGATCATGCTCCTCCTAGTTTGTTCCACCAAATTGAACAACTATCCTCACAAAAAGCACCTTGATAAGAATCAAAAATCAGGTGAGTGATCAAAGTACCTGGTTTTAACTTCATATCGCTGAAAGAGGCACTGAAGAGGGTACAAAAGACAGTCTTGAATTGCTGATGCCACTTCTCCCCCATCCCCTGAGCAGAGGTTGCATGGCATGGAGAAAAAAATCTGTGTGCTTGGAGGAGACAGAGCACAGTGATTCTGGGACTTTGCATTGGAATTCAGTGCTGCCCAGTCACAATAAAAAGCAACACAGGACAGAACTTAGCCAGCATCCATGGAGGGAGCATTTAGACCAGCCCCAGCTGAAGGGGAATTGTTCATCCCAGCTGCTGGAACCTGAGTTCCAGCAAGCCCCACCATTGCAGGCTAAAGTGCTCGAGGGTTCTAAATAAACCTGAAAGGCAGTCTAGACCATGAGGACTGCAATTCCTGGGCAAGTTCTAGTAATCAGCTGTGCTTGGAGCCAGTGGACTTAAGGGGTGCATGACCTAGTGAGATAGCGGCTACGGTAGCTAAGGGAGTGTTTGCACCACCCCTCCGCAAACCCAGACAGCAGACCTCACAGCTCCAAGAGAGATGACTTGCTTCTGCTAGATGAAAGCCTAGGAAAGAGTAAACAGGACTTTGTCTTGCAACTTGAATACCAGCTCAGCCACTGTAGGATAGGGCACCAGACAGAGTACAGAGGTCCCCATTCCAGGCCTTATCTCTCAGATGACATTTCAAGACACTGTCTGGGCCAAAAGGAAACTTGCTACATTGAAGAGAAGAACCTAGTCCTGGGAAGATTCATTATCTGCAGACAAATGACACCCTGAGCTGTGAATAGTCAGTAGCAGTAGTCAGGCAGTACTTGCCTTGAGCCTTGGGTTTGACTCAGAGACCTGCTGGTTTCAGGTGTAACCCAGCACATTTCCAGGTGTGGTGGCTACAGGGAGAGACTCTTTCTGCTTGAGAAAAGAAGAGGGAAGAATAAAGGGAACTTTGTCTTGAAGCTTTGATATCATCTCAGCCACAGTGGGATAGAGCACCAAGTGGGCTCTTGGGATACCCAATGTCAGGTCTTGACTCTTGGACAGCATTTTTGGACCTGCTGTGGGGAAGAGTGAGGCCCACCTCCCTGAAGGGAGAGTCACAGGCCTGGAAACATTCACCATGAGCTGAGGAAAGAACCCTTAGGCCTTGAGTTAACATTGATGATAGCCAGGCAGTACTCTCCATTGGCCTAGGGTGGTGGTAGCCATGAGAGAGACTTCTCTGTTTGTGGAAAGGCAAGGGAAGATTGGAAAGACTTTATCTTGTGGCTCAGGTGCCAGCTCAGCCACAATCACTAGATTCCTAATGTTTCCAACTCCAGGCCCTAGCTCCTGAATAGCATCTCTGGTTCCACCCAGGGCCAAAAGGTACCCACCACCCTGAATGGAAGGACACAAGCCTGGCTGAGTTTGCCAATGATTGTAAAGCCCTAGGGCCATGAGCTAACATAGGCAGCAGCTAGGCAGTGGTTACTATGGACCTTGGGTGAGACCTACTGATATGCTGGCTTCAGGTCTGATCCAGTGCAAACCAGGAGTGGTGGTCACAGGGCTATTTATGTCACCCCTTCCCCAGTTCCAGGCAGCTCAACACAGAGATAGACTCTGTTTGTTTGGGAGAAAATAAGAGAAGAGAAGAAGAGTCTCTGTTTGGTAAACCAGAGACTTTTTCTGAATTTTATTAAAGACCATCAAGTCAGTACCTCTATGAATCTGCAAGAGCCACAGCATTACTGGGTTTGGGGTGCCCCCTAATGCAAAGAGGACTGCAGTGAACAAAAACTTAGATTACAAAAACATGCATGTCCCTTCAAATACCTGGAAAACCTTCCCAAGTAGTGTAGGTACAAACAGGCCCAGACTGTGAAGACTACAATAAATATCTACTTCTTCAATGCCCAGATACCGATGAACATCCACAAGCATCAAGACCATCAAGGAAAACATGACCTCACCATATGAACTAAATAAGTCATGTAGGACCAGTCCTGGAGAGACAGAAATATGCACCCTTTCAGAGAGAGAATTCAAAATAACTGCTTTGAGGAAACTTAATGAAATTCAAGATAACATGGAGAAGGAATTCAGAATCTATCAGATAAATTTAACATATAATGTGAAATAATTAATAAAAATCAAGCAGAAATTCCAGAGGTGAAAAATGCAATTGACATACTGAAAAATGCATCAGAGTCTCTTAACAGCAGAATTAATCAAGCAGAAGAAAAAATCAGTGAGCTTTAAGACAGTTTACTTGAAAATACACAATCAGAGGAGACAAAACAAAAAGAATAAAAAGAATGAAGTATGCCTACAGGTTCTAGAAAATAGCCTTAAAGCAAATTGAGTTATTGGCCTAAAGAGGAGGCAGAGAGAGAGATAGGGGTAAAAAGTTAATTTGAAGTTATAATGATAGAGTACTTCCCAAACCTAGAGATAGACGTTGTGATTGAAAGTTATAAAACGCCAAGCAGATTTAGCCCAAAGAAGGCAACCTCAAGAAATTTAGTAATCAAACTCTCAAAAGTCAAGGATAAAGAAAGGATCCTAAATACAGCAAGAGAAAAGAAGCAAATAACATACAATGGAACTTCAATATGTCTGACAGCAGACTTTTCAGTGGAAACCTTACAAGCTAGGAGAGAGTTGCATGACATATTTAAAGTGCTGAAGGAAAAACAAAAACAAACAAACAAAAAAAGAAACCCTTTTACCCTATAGTATAGTATAGTATAGTATAGTATAGTATAGTATAGTATAGTATATATAGCAAAAATACCCTTCAAAAATGAAGGAGAAACAGACTTTCCCAGACAAATGAAAGCGGAATGATTTAATCAATGCCAGATGTTCCTAGGAGAAAATGCTTAAGAGAACGCTTCAACCTGAATGAAAAGGACATTTATGAGCAAAAATAAATTCTCCGAAGGTATAAAACTCAGTAGTAATAGTAAGCACACAGAAAAACAGAAAATTATGACACTGTAATAGTGGCATGTAAGCTACTTATACTTTGAATAGAAAGACTAATGATGAATCAACAAAAGTAATAACTACTACAACAACTTTTCAAGATTATAGACAGCACAATAATATATAAATAGAACAACAAAAAGTTAAAAAATGGGGGATGAAGTTAAAGGGTAGAATTTTACTTAGTTTTCTCTTCACTTGTTTGTTTGTTTATACAATCGATGCTAAGTTGTCATCAGTTTAAAATAATGGGTTATAAGGCATTATTTATAAGACTCACAGTAACCTCAAATCAAAAAACATAAAACAGATCCACAGAAAATAAAAAGCAAGAAATTAAAACACCACCAGAGGAAATCATCCTCACTGAAAGGAAGACAGGAAGGAAGAAAAAAAGGAAGAGAAGACCACAAAACAATCAGAAAAGAAATAAAATGTCAGAAGTAAGTTCTTATCAATAATAACATTGAATGCAAGTGGAATAAACACTCCAATCAAAAGACATAAATTGGGTGAATGAATTAAAAAATGAAGACCCAATGTCTGTTACCTGCAAGAAACACAATTCACCCATAAAGATGCACATAGATAAAAAATAAAGACTTGAAAAAATATATTTCATGTAAATGGAAAAAATAAAAAGAGCAGGAGTAGCTATACTTATATCAGACAAAGCAGATTTATATACAAAAACTATAAAAAGAGACAAAGACAGTCATTACATAATGACACACTTCAGTAAGAGAATATAACAACTGTAAATATATATTCATCCAACACTGGAACACCCAGATATATAAAGCAAGTAACATTAGAGCAGCTACAAAGAGATAGACTCCAATATACTAATAGCTAGAAACTTAAGCACTACACTTTCAGCATTGGACAGATCACTTAGACAAAAAATCAACAAAGAAACATCAGACTTAATTCACACTATAGAACAAATGGATTTAATAAATATTTACAGAACATATTATCCATCAGCTGTAGGATACACATTCTTCTCCTCAACACATGGATCATTCTCAAGGATAGACCATATGTTAGGCCATAAAAAAGGTCTTCAAAATTAAAAAAAATTAAAATTGTATCAAGTATCTTCTCTGAGTACAATGGAATATAATTAGAAATCAATAACAAGAGGAATTTTGAAAACCGTATAAACACATGGAAATTAAACAATATGCTTCTGAATGACTAGCTAGCCAATGATGAAATTAAGAAGGAAATAAAAAAATTTCTTGAAACAAATGATAATGAAGATGCAACATACCAAAACCTCTGGGATACAGTGAAAGCACTTCTAAGAAAAAAGTTTACAGCTATAATAGCCTACATCAACAAAGTAGAAAACAATAAACAATCTAACAATACATCCAAAGAACTAGAAAAGCAAGAGCAAATCAAACCCTAAATGAGTAGAAGAAAAGAAATAATAGTGATTACAGCAAAAAATAAATGAAATTCGAATGAAGAACACAAACAAAATATCAACAAAACGAAAAGTCATATTTTTTGAAAATATATACAAATTTGACAAACCTTTAGCCAGACTAAGAATAAAAGAAGATCCAAATAGATAAAATCAGAGAGGAAAAACAAGACATTACAACTCATATCACAGGAATGTAAAGGATCATTAGAGGGTACTATGAGCTACATGCCAATAGATTGGAAAACATAGAAGAAATTAATAAATTCCTAGACACATACAACCTACCAAGATTTAACCAGGATAAAATCCAAAACCTGAGCATACCAGTAACAAGCAGGATTGAAGCTGTAATAACACATCTGCCAGCAAAGAAAAGACAAGAACCCAATGCCTTCACTGCTAAATTTTACCAAACATTTAAAGAAGAAATAATACCAGTACCACCCAAACTATTTTAAAAACTGAAGAGGAGGAAATATTTCCAACCATTCTATGAGGCCAGTATTATTCTGATACCAAAACTAGACAAAGACACATCAAAAAAAGAAAACTACAGGCTGATAAACATTGATGCAAAAATCCTCAACAAAATACTAGCAAACTGAATTCAACATCACACTGAAAAGATCATTCATCATGACCAAGTGGGATTTATCCCTGACATGCAAGGATGGTTCAACATACACAAATCAATCATTCCGATACATCATATAAATATAATGAAGGACCAAAAACCCACTGTTGGTGGGAATGTAAATTAGTTCAACCATTGTGGAAGAGAGTATGGCAATTCCTCAAGGATCTAGAACTAGAAATACCATTTGACTCAGCAATCCCATTACTGGGTCAATACCCAAAGGAATATAAAACATTCTACTATAAAGACACATGCACATTTATGTTTACTGCAGCACTATTTACAATAGCAAACACATGGAACCAACCCAAATGTTCATCAGTGATAGACTAGATAAAGAAAATGTGGTACATATACACCATGGACTATGCAGCCATAAAAAGGAACGAGATCATGTCCTTTGCTGGGATATGGATGAAGCTGGAAGCCATCATCCTTAGCAAACTAACATAGTAACAGAAAACCAAATACAGCATGTTCTCACTCATAAGTGGGAGTTGAACTTTGAGAACACATGGACACAGGGAGGGGAACGACACACACCAGGGCCTGTTGGGAGGTGGGGGGTGAGTGGAGAGAACTCAGAGGATTGGTCAACAGGTGCAGCAAACCACCATGGTACACGTATATCTATTTAACAAACCTGGATGTTCTGCACATGTATCCCAGAACTTAAAGTAAAATTAAAAAAAAAAAATCACTTTAATTATTTATGAAAAGCATTTGATAAAAACCAATATTCCTTCATGATAAAGACTCTAAAAAAACTTTATATAGAAAGAACATATCTCAATATGTATTGTCATGTATGACAGATCAACAGTTAGTATCATACTGAATGGGGAAAAACTGAAAGCCTTTCCTGTAAGATCTGAAACACAACAAGGATGCCCACTTTACCACTGTTACTGAACTTAGTACTGGAAGTCCTAGCCAGAGAAATCAGACAAGAGAAAGAAATATAAAGGACATCTAAATTTATTGAGGGAACCCACCCAACGTAGGTTCTTTCTATTTTCCATGAGTGTTGGCTGGCTGAGAAATAAAGAGAGACAGTACAAAGAGAGGAGTTTTATAGCTGGGCCACCGGGGGTGACATCACATATTGGTAGGACCATGATGCCCACCTGAGCCTCAAACCAGCAAGTTTTTATTAAGTGTTTTAAAAAGGGGAGGGGGTGTAGGAACAGGGAGTAGGTACGAAGATTGCATGCTTCAAAGGGCAAAAGCAGAACTACTAATAAGGGTCTAACAAAGATCACATGCTTCTAAGGGAACAGGACAAAGGGCAAAAGCAGAGCTACTGATAAGGGTCCAACAAAGATCACAAGGCAAAGGGCAAAAGCAGAACTACTGATAAGGGTCTACGTTCAGCGGTGTGTATATTGTCTTGATAAACATCTTAAACAACAGAAAACAGAGTTTGAGAGCAGAGAACTGGTCTGACCACAAATTTACCAGGGCGGAGATTTTCCCCACCCTAGTAAGCCTGAGGGTACTGCAGGAGACCAGGGCGTATCTCATTCCTTATCTCAACCACATAAGACAGACATTCCCAGAGCGCCTGTTTATAGACCTCCCCCCAGGAATGCATTGCTTTCCCAAGGTATTAATACTAATATTCCTTGCTAGGAAAAGAATTTAGCAATATCTATCCTACTTGCACATCAGTTTATAGTCTCTTTGCAAGAAGAAAAATATGGCTCTTTTTGCCTGACCCCACAGGCAGTCAGACCTTATGGTTGTCTTCCCTTGTTTCCTAAAATTCGTTGTTATTCCATTCTTTTTCAAGGTGCACTGATTTCTTATTGTTCAAACACACATGTTTCACAATCAATTTGTACAGTTAACACAATTATCACAGTGGTCCTGAGGTGAGGCATACCCTCAGCTTATGAAGATAACAGGATTAAGAGATTAAAGACAGGCATAAGAAATTATAAAAGCATTATTTGGGAACTAATAAATGTCCATATTAAAATGAAATCTTCACAATTTATGTTCCCCTGCCATGGCTCCAGCCAGTCCCTCAGTTCGGGGTCCCTGACTTCCTGCAACACAAATTGAAAAGGGAGAAGTCAAATTATTCTTGTTTGAGATGAAATGATCTTATATTAGGAAAAACCTGAAGACACCACAAGAAAACTATTAGAACTGATAAGCAAATTCAGTAAAGTTGCAGGAAACCAAATCAACATACAAAAATCATTAGCATTTCTATATGCCAAAAGCAAACAATCTGAAAAAGAAATCAAGAATATAATTCCATTTACAACAGCTACAAATAAAATTAAATATCTAGGAATCAACCAAAGAAGTAAAATATCTCTACATTGAAAACTATAAAATATTGATGAAAGAAATAACTGAAAAGGACACCAACAAATGGAAAGATATTTTAGGTTCATGGATTGAAGAAATCAACATTGTTAAAATGTTCACACTACTTAATGCAATCTACAGATTCAAAGCAATCGCTATGAAAGTACAAATGACATTCTTCACAGAAATAGAAAAAAAAATTCTAAAATTTATATGGAACCACAAATGACCCAGAATAGCCAAAGCTATCCTGGACAAAAAGAAAAGAACTGGAGGAATCACATTACCTGACTTCAAATTATACTACAAAGCTATAGTAACCAAAACGGAATGGTACTGGCATGAAAATAGGAAAATAGACCAATGAAACAGAATAGGGAACCCAGAACTAAATCCATACATCTACAGTGAACTCATTTTGATATGTTGCCAAGTGCATACATTGGGAAAAGAACAGTCTATTCAATAAATGTTGCTGGGAAAACTGGATATCCACATGCAGAAGGATGAAAGTTGACCCCTATCACTTGCCAGATAAAAAAATAAAATCAAAATGAGTTAACAGCTTAAAACTAACTCATCAAACTGTAAAACTATTAATACTACATGAAAACATTGAGGAAACTCTCCAGGACATTGGACTATGCAAATATTTCTTACATTATATTCCACAAGCATAAGCAACAAAAGCAAAAATGAAAAAATGGGGTCACTTAAAATAAAAGCTTCTTTCCCTCCCTGCAAGTTGAAAAGCTTCTGCACAGCAAAGGAGACAATCAACAAAGTGAAGAGACAACTCACAGAATGGGAGAAATTATTTGCAAACTATCTGACAAGGGATTAGTAAGCATAATATATAACAGACTCAAGTCTATAGGAAAAAGTCTAATATTACAATTAAAAATGAGCAAAAAATATGAATAGACATTTCTCAAAGAAGACATACAAATGGCAAACAGGTTTATGAACAAGTGCTCAACATCACTGATTATCAGAGAAATGCAAATCAAAACTACCATGAGGTCGGGTGTGGTGGCTCATGCCTGTAATTCCAACACTTTGGGAGGGTGAGGCGGGTGGATTAGTTGAGGCAAGGAGTTTGAGACTAGCCTGGCCAACATGGTGAAACCCCATCTCTACTAAAAATCCAAAATATTACCTGGGCTATGTGGCGGGTGTGTGTAATCTCAGCGACTTGGGAGGCTGAGGCAGGAGAATTGTTTGAACCCAGGAGGCAGAGGTTGCAATGAGCTGAGATCGCACCACAACACTCCAGCCTGGGTGACAAAGTGAGAGCCTGTCTCAAAAAACAAACAAACGAACAAACAAACAAACAAACAAACAAAATTACAATGAGATATCATCTTACTCCACTTAAAATGACTTTATCCAAAAGACAGGCAAAAACAAATGCAGACAAGAATGTGAAGAAAAGAGAACTCTCATATATTGTTGGTGGGAGTGTAAATTAGTGCAACCACTATGGAGAACAGTTTGGAGGTTCTTCAAAAAACTAAAAATATAGCTACCATATGATCCAGCAATCCCGCTGCTAGGTATATTCCCCAAAGAAAGGAAATCAGTATATTTAAGACATCTGCACTTGCATGTTTATTGCAGCACTATTCATGAAAGCCAACATTTGAAATCAACCTAAGTGTCCATCAACAGATAATGGATGAAGTAAATATGATATATATACAGAATGGTGTGCTATTTAGCCATGAAAACGAATGAGATCCTGTCATTTGCAACAACATGGATGGAGTTGAAGGTCATCAGGTAAAGTGAAATAAACCAAGCACAGAATAATAAACTTTGTGAATTCTCACTCGTGTAGAAGCTAAAAATGAAAACAATTGAATTCATGAAGATGGCTTAGAGTGGTGGCTACCAGTGGCTGGGAAATGTAGTGGTGGTAGTGGGACAGTGGGGATGGTTAATGAACAGAAAACTATGGTCAGACAGAATGAATAAAATCTAGTATTTGATAGCATAAGAGGGCTTTTGCAGTCAACAATAATTTTTGTACATTTAAAAATAACTAAAAGGGTATAATTGGATTGTTTGTGAAACAAAGAATAAATACTTGAAGTGATGGATATCCCATTTACTCTGTTGTGATTGTTATGCATTTATACCTGTATCAAAATATCTCATATACCTCATAAATATATGCATCTACTGTGTACCCACAAAAAAAAAAATAAAAAATAAAACAGAAATGGCAATATTAAAGGAAGAAAATATTTACCCACCTATAACAAGGTATTAGCAAAAATTTTAACCTGTTACTGGGAAATGTTTAGGTTTTCTTTTTCCTTTCTTTCTTCCTTCCTTTCCCTTCCTTCCTTTCCTTTCCTTCCTTCCTTCCTTCCCTCCCTCCCTCCCTCCCTTCTTCCTTCCTTCCTTCCTTCCTTCCTTCCTTCCTTCCTTTCTTTTCTTTTCTTTCTTTCTTTCTTTCTTTCCTTCCTTCCTTTCTTTCTTTTCTTTCTCCTTCCTTCCTTCCTTCCTTCCTTCCTTCTTTCCTTCCTTTCTTTCTTTCTTTCTTTCTCTCTCTCTCTCTCTCTCTCTCTCTCTCTCTCTTTCTTTCTTTCTTTCTTTCTTTCTTTCTTTCTTTCCTTCTTTCTCTTGCTCTGTCACCCAGCCTGGAGTGAGAGTGATGCAATTATAATTCACTGTAAATTCACTGTGGTCTTGAACTCCATGGCCCAAGTAGTCCCCCTTCCTTAGCCTCCTGAATAGCTCAGACTACAGATGTATGCCACCACACCCGGCTAATTTTTTTTTTATTTTGTGTAGAGAAGGAGGTCCTGCCTTCTTGCCCAGGCTGGTCTCAAACTCCTGGCCTCCAGTGATCCTCCCACCTCAGCCTCTCAAAATGCTGGGATTGCAGGCATTCCATATTTTCATTCAAAGCCAAATAATTTAGAAAAATATGAGTGACCTAGCTTCTAAATTAATGGGTTGTTACTCCAAAAACTATCCATCAATGTATTCCTGAGTTTTGCTTAGCCTAATTTTCAGCAGGAAACAATGAAAACAAATCAAATTAAGTCAACAGATTTTACTTAGAGCTAAAGATGAGCAAGTATTTTCTCAAGCTCAGATTCACCAGCACCAGGAATATGGCCATAGTTGAAATGAACACTGGTCATATATTATTATCTAACTGTACCTAATGAATAGCTTTCAAGACAGAGTCAGAAGGGTGTGCAGTTATGAGCACTGCATACTCAGTGAAAATTGGGATATGGCTTTTAGGTGAGAGACACAATCAGAGACTATATTCTTTGTATTCATTTACAGAGGGGATTCCCTATGCAGAGTTCAATTGTTTATTATGCAGCCATTTACTGAGGGACAGCATGTACAAGGCAAGCTGTCAGGCCCCAAAGCAATGCCAGCAGGCGGGGCCGGTGGGAGGTGTAGGAACACCTTTACTCTGCGACCTATGTTTATTCAGAAATGACCCATTGCCTTGGTGATGACATGGGCAGACTACACAGTTCTTTTAAAATCATCCAGTTATTAGTACTTGCCAATCAGAGAGTGGATCATAATATGTTATTACACATTTCTATCAATAAAAGTCCCAGTGTAGTGAAAACAACGTTGGATGTCCTTGAGATGTTATCTGAGAGCTTCTTCCATTAAGAAGTGATATAAAGCAATAGTATTCTAAATGAGTCAACTCTAAGAAGAAGGCTTAGTATGCAATATATTAAAACAGGTGGGGTTACAAGGGTGTAGGAATTAGGGAGAAGGACAAAAAGCATACAATGATCATAAGACTATGTTTTACAAAAGTTTTTGAAATGTGGGAAAATCATTTGAGAATTGGGAAACATATTTCTTATTCAATCTGCCACCAATTATAGTGTAAAGTGTGATATTTTGGCATGAGTGTTTTCTCATCAAAGTGTAAAAGTTTTGGAATTTCTTTCCAAGTAATGTGTTTGGAACAAACCTCTCTGGGCAGCATCTTTATCTGCAAACCCGATTGAATAGTGGGTAGTTGCAGGTTGGGAATAGGTAGGGAGGTATCTGTTACTTGACAATATTTTTGACAATAAAGTATTTAGGCAGCATCAAAATGTCATACACCGTCTTTTACTGATTTTAGGCAAGTTATTTGACCATTCTGAGTTTTGGTTTTCTCATTTAAAAATTGAAGTACTCGGGATAAATTATCTCTAATTCTCTTTAGCTCTAACAGCCTGCAAAACAATAATTGTTTTAAGGTGAACAAAACACAACTGGATCCTGTGTGTTCTCCAGAAAGTCCACTTTTTACATGGCCCTGATGGACAAAATGTCTTTTCTGCCACAGCATATTTATTAGCAATAATGATAATAATAATATTATCAACAGCCACCCAAAATCTACCAGACTAGACCTTGAACTCTACAATGCTGCTTTCACTAATTAGATGATATATACATTGAATCTGCAACTATAACCTCATTGTGGTTTACCCAAACTAGAGTCTTTTATCAATATGTCTTTGAGTGTTTCCTAATCTTCACATATGCCACATATTATAAAAAATTCTGGCAAGCTCAAAACTGTGTCCATTGGTCAATGTTGAGAGCTCAGAACTTTTACTTATCAGTGTTTATTTTTATTTATCTTATTATTTTCACAATTGTTATGTATAGACAAAACATAAATTTACCATTTTAACGACTCTAAAGTATACCATTCAGTGGCATTCAGTACATTTAGAATGTTTTAACAACTATCACTATGATCTGGTTCTATAACTTCATCATCGAAAATGAAAACTGCATCCATTATCCATCACTTCCCATTCCCTCTTCTCCCATTCTCTCTTCCCCCTCCTTTCTGCCTTCAGTTCCTATGAGCTACTAATCTGCTTTCTGTCTCCATGGATTTATGTATTATGGATAGTTCCCATAAATAAGATCATACAATATGTGTCTGACTTCCTCCACTTAGCATATTTTCAAAACTCATCCATGCTATAGCAGGTGTCAATACCTCATTCTTTTTATTCCTGAATAATTTTCCATTGTATGTATATATCATATATTATTTATCCATTCCTCAGTTGGTGGACATTTGGGTTGTTTCTATTTTTGACTATTATGAAAAATGGTGCTATGAAGACTCATGTACAAGTTATTGTTTGAGTATCTGTTTTCAGTTATTCTGGGTAAATATCTAGGAGTGGAATTATTGAGTCATATGGTAAATCTATCTTTAACTTATTGAGATATCAACAAATGGTTATCAACAGTGGTCAGACTAGTTTATATTCAGCACATGAAATTTATTTTATTTTATTTTATTTTATTTTATTTTATTTATTTTTTTTTTTTGAGACGTAGTCTCGCTCTGTCACCCAGGCTGGAGTGCAGTGGCATGATCTCGGCTTACTGCAACTTTTGCCTCCCAGGTTCAAGTAATTCTTCTGCCTCAGCCTCCAGAGTAGCTGGGATTACAGGTGCACACCACCACGTCTGGCTAATTTTTTATATTTTTGGTAGAGGCGGAGTTTCACCATGTTGGCCAGGCTGGTCTCAAACTCCTGACCTGAAGTGAGCCACCTGCCTCGGCCTCCCAAAGTGCTGGGATTACAGGCATGAGCCACCGCACTTGGCCAGCACATGAATTTTAAAATGAAGTTTTTAAGACACTCCTGTCGTAGGTAGAAATTATTACACTAATAAGATGGCTGAGGCCTTGAGAAGTTAGGGAACTTACTCAAGGTTACCACCTATAATTTGTTGATTCCCTCATTTAATGTTCATCAACCATAAGACCCATCAACCAAAAGGCTGAGTCCATAAAAACACAGACAGAAAAAACATTCCTGACACGAGTTTTTTCTTCCTTGTGATATGAAGAAGGCCTACAGCTTGATTTTGACATTGATTTCATTGTTCTCTTAAACTGAATTAAACATTCTGAATCAAATTTCCTATATTCTCTTAGTATGAGTTACTTCTTACTAACCAGTTTTCTCAGTTTCCTGTTGCCTACATTGTAATGCATGTATGCATCCATTCATTCATTTGCAACCCTTATTTAACAATCTTGCAGTATGATAGCTGAATAATCACTGTTAAACTTTCATACAATTCCACATCCTTTGCTCTAAAAAATGTACCTGATTTGTAAAATAAGAGAGTAGTTGTGGTCTGTTTTTTTCTTTACTGGAAAAGAGAACTTAATGATTTTAGAGAAAACAAAATATCATTGAGAGGAAAATGCAGACATCAAGATGAATGTTGTCATTATGGCCCCCCAAGGCATCAAAGTCACACTGTTGTATTAAAGATAAAAGTGTCTGCAGGCCACAGTGCAGTACTCCATAGGAGTTTTCCCTTACAGAATTCTAAAAGTTTCTGAGGATTACTTGTGAACACTTCTTTTGTGTACCTCCTCCCCGACTCCCTGCCCCGCTTTACACATTAACTTCAAACATCCTTGGACGCATTAAGGAATTGTCTTAGTTCAGTTGCAGGTGTCACAGAGCTCAAGAAAATACATCTAACCTTGTTGAGAAGAATTAAAAAACTGACTTACTCCTTGTATATATATATATAAAGCTAGTGTGCTTATAGGAAGCTTGAGGAATATGATCACACTTACACAATGATTTCTAGGGCAGTGAGTATTCCTATGTGGAATAATATGTAGAAAATTTCTTAAAGCCAGATATTAAAGAAGGATGGTTTTAGTAAAATGTGATGGGGGAAGTTGTACTACCATTATTACCAAAAACACATATTTAGTATTTGAACAGGCAACAGATTGTTTCAGCCGATTGTTTATCCAGCAATATATTATGGTAGGCACTCAAGAAATAGCCAGGCCTCTAGTAGGCCTTCTAGGTACATTATTTAATTTTATATGTACATACACAAGAGGCATCATCATGAAAATATGCATATGAATATAAATATATGTATGCATGCATTTATTTCATGGTAATATCCTATATGAAAGAAATAATGTTAATAAAATGTCAACACATTTATAACTTAAATGTTTTTATATTTTATGCACAAATAGATTAAAAAGTAGTCTTTCTATAGCTATGCATAATTTAATTAGGTTCTAAATTATCATAAAGCAATGATTTAAAACTGTTTTAGGTGAAAGCAATAGCTCCTTCAACAGTTTTAACACAAAGCTTTGAAAAAGTAGGGGGGTGTTATCTGAAGATGGAATAGCTGTAATGTTTGATGCTGCATCATGCTGATAACACTTCTCTGAAAATATCACCTGGTATTGTGAAACACTTGATGTAACTGCAAACATAAAAAAAAAAAATAACAAAAAGCAAAGATTAAAGCATAGTTACTGGACCTCACTTAGAAACAGATATAGTAGTAGTTTGGCTTTCTATGTAGGTGGCATTCCCATTGAATTCCACATGGGATCGTTTTCTACCACATCTAAATAACCAAGCACACTGTTAACCAATTTTAGAGGAAAATTAGTCCCATCCTATAAATGGATTACTCTGTTCACTGTAATCTGTGTTTAAATACTGTCCTGCATTTTTTCTTTTACTCTGCTTGATTCATTGAATGTTTTATGGGCTTGTTTACTACAGAGAATGAAAGGTTACTTGTGAAGTTGGCTTTAGAAAAATGCAAGTGAGAACCAATAATGAAATTATTTAATAACATTTGGCTGTAATCCTTATCCTACCAGGATCACATAATCAGGAGAATAGTACCAAAAATGAAATCTCTGCAGACATCACACATACCAATTGAGTTTACAGACTTCAGAAATCCTAACAGGTGGTGGTAAAACATACTTGAATGACACAGTAGTTAAGTTACAACATGGGAGAGAATGAAGGCATCGTTTCATATTGTTAAAGTGCTAGAATTTTCAATGGTCGTGCAACAATGAAATATTTGAGTTTCTTCAACATGGACGTTCTGAATGTGCCTTCATTTTTAATTTAACTATATAAATTGTCATTTGCTTTAAAAAAATAATTATACTCAATGGAACAGAAAAGATATAGAAAATGTTTTGAACACTTCCAGTGCCATCTATTGGCTGTTAAATTTGTTGTTTCCATGCTGAGCCAAGACATACCAGTTACTATTAGGTAAAGAAGAAGACATTTCACACATTCCAGATAAAAACACATCCAATTAGATACTTGAAGAGTTAAACATATCATAATGTGCCTCAGGATTCCTATCTGTGAGATTTCAAGTGAGTTAAAATGCCTGATATACGATAAAAAGGAATAGGCAGAGATAAAAACTAAACTTTTCATATAATAAATAATTTTCTAAAATCCTGGTAGCTTTTACAAATGCAATGTTAATCTTATTTTGTCATTGTAAGCATAAGGGAAGCTACATCATGTCACAAAAATGGTTCAATTAATAGCATTTTCTCCACCTACAGGGATCAGAAATAAGCAGGGAAAAGATTATAAAGTGCATATTTAAAAATTTTTCTAAATCTCCCTTTTTACATGTGCATAATAATTGTTGAATTAGATAATCAAACATTCAAATTAAAAGACGTAATTAATTTCAGGCAAAATTATTTTCTTACTCAATTTTGCAAGCACAACTAATTGAATAAAGAATTAAGCCTAGGAAAAAAGAAGTAACCCTTATTGGGACATATTTGGCAGTCATAATTTACCAAAAAATAATATAATTTTCTCATGGTACAATTAGTTGTTAAAATTAATTTTTTTTCATTTCCAGCCCACCTGACTTTTGGTTTATAAATCTGTAAATGGCTTTGAACATTACATGTTTATATAACACTTCACTGGAAAGTACACAGTTTTTACTTACATTTCTGCCATATTAATTAATTGTAGACTAGTTATTACAGGCTTATAAATAATAAATGTTTATGAAGTTTTACTGTGAGGTGAAATACACATTTGAAACCATATATAAAAGATAAATTTGCTATTTAATTTTCGAAAATGTGAGCTGTTAGTTTTCTCAGTTTATTTTATATTTTGTATTTCTATGTTGATATTTCAGTTTAACCAAAAAAATCCTCACAGCATCCCAAGGATTTCAGGGGTGATATAACTTCTGTAGACCTAAATCTGTTTAGAAATGGAGCCCTATTCCAATGTTTCTTCTATTCAAACAGATTACCTTCTCATAGGGAAGACAGATGAAACAGTACTTTCCATTGTCAAAGCTGCTAATTTCCTCAGAAGGGTTACCTAGGCAATGAAACAAACAAAAAATGATTGGAAAAAATGTATTTGATTCTTGTCTATAATTTAGAAATGCTGTGTCTGATCCTCATTCTGTGTTTTCCTCCAAGAATATCTTTCATGTGAACAGAGGTATATTAAATATTCAGAAAACATGTGAATAAAATTGTGCTACTTTGTGCTCAAAAATAAATAAAATACTTAAACCCCCAAACACAGAATATTTCCTAAGATGGGAAAGAAAAGCTGCCTTTCCTATCTGAAAACAGTGCTTTCTTTTTCTGTAATGACTTTATTAGTCATGGCTTACATTGCCCCTCAGATGGTCATTCTTCAGAGAATTGGTTTACATAACATCCTTGAAGATGAACCTCAGAAGTTCTAATGATTCAGCAGCTCCCGGGGACTTGCTTGCATTTGGACCATTAATAATTAATACAGTTCAGTATATAATAGGAGTTCCCATCAATGGATTGCTATTTAAGTATAAAATGCTATTTGGATACATATCCTGCCAAGAAACTATGTATGTTAGGATCAATTTAAATAAGAGCTGAGAGAGTTTAAAGGGGAGAATTTAGTTGAATTAATTTTTTGCACAAATTAGAAAGAACATACATGTGCAAATGTATGTGGTATATCATTTTCACAGTTAGCAACATAAATCTATTCAGTATTTTACAGCAATAGCTCTACATTTTCTAGCTAAATAGAAATACTTTTGAAGACCCAGCTCAGTATTTCCCACAGGGAATCATGTAACTGCAGTTGCACAAACTTTTCTTCCATGTATTAACCTAAAATTATTAAGAATCTGAGCTCTGGCCTCAGATGCTTGGGTTTGAATCAGCATTCTGACACTAATCTCCTGTATCAAAGTGGGTAGGTTATATAAATCCTATAAGTCTCAGTTTCCTTATGTGTAAAACAAAAATACCTCTGAACACTGGAAATATCACACATAATGGTACCATCAAAGTGTGTGTTATAGGTACTGGTCAACAAAATACATATTTAACATATTTTAGTAATTACTGTCAAGTAAGATTCGAATTTGTTATTTGGCTAGAAAAAAAGGGAACTGTGATTTATTTTAAGGAGAAAAAAGAGTGGGACACAAGTAAACTGTTGGATTTTAGCCTACCCATAGCTTTCCATTCAGCTTTGTGACTCTCACCTGAGGAAAACAGAGATGCATCCGTGTTGTGGCACCTCATTGGAGCTTGATGAGTTACACAATAATGGCCATACCTGGCCTCAGACCTCTAACCATCACCACATGCAATCAGCATAAAGATATTTAATGAATGTGCAAGAGCTTTGTGTCATGGGAACCTGTGAAATTGGTACTTTTCCTCTAAGGGACATCCTAGAAGTACCACTGTGCCTCCTTTACCCACAACACTGAAGGACACTCCTTCAAAACACTGAGGGAATCTCTCTGGAAGACTCTCCTCCTGCCAGCACTCACACCCTAAGGTCAATTCTGTGATGGCCATTGTATTCCAGTTGAGTTGAAACAGAGATCATGAATAATTTAGCTTTATTTTCAAAAAGCCTCCAATAGCAAAACTAGAAGGGCAAGAACTGAGATAAAAGGAGAGAAGAATGGGTGGATGGGAATTCGGACAGAAGAATTCAGAAACTCATCGTCTGAAAGTGAGAGTGAGAGAGAAAAATAAAATGGCCAGAGTCATAAGATAGCCAGGGAGTAAGAGGAAAGAAAAGAAGAGAAGAAGCTGGCGAGGAGAGGGAAGGAACAGCAGGTGGGGAGAAGGCACTGAGAAGCTTGTTATGAAAACCATAGGAAGCCCTACAGAGACAGCACACTTGTTTATCCTAACAGCACTCTTTTTTCAACTGCTATTCTTGCTTTTGTACCAGATGTAGTTTTAGTATGTTCTTTAACTGATATATTCTTTATGTGAAAAACTTTACGAGATAGGTAGATACTATTATCATTACCATCTTTATACATGGGAAAGCTCAGGCACAGAAATAAGCAATTGGAGGCTGGGCGCAGTGGCTCACGCCTGTAATCCCAGTACTTTGAGAGGCCGAGGCCAACAGATCACCTGAGGTCAGGAGTTTGACCAGCCTGGCCAAAATGGTAAAACCCCGTGTCTACTAAAAATACAAACAAACAAACAAACAAACAAACAAAACAAACAAAAACAAAACAATTTAGCCAGGTGTAGAGGTACACGCCTGTAGTCCCGGCTACTCAGGAGGCTGAGGCAGGAGAATCACTTGAACCCAGGAGGCAGAGGTTGCAGTGAGCTGAGATCGCGTCATTTCATTCTAGCCTGAATGAGAAGAGCAAAACTCTGTCTCAAAAAAAATAATAAAATAAAATAAAAATTTTTAAAAAATAAGCAACTGGAGGAAACACATACTGCTCTTTCCCTTTTTTCTTACAGGTAATTGACTAATCACCCCCATCACCCTATCCTACTGAAGGAACCTCAACTTCTGTTCAAGTCCCTCTTTGATTATTAAGTTAGAATATCCAATGCACCACAGAAAACCAGATTTTCCAGTTCTGGTATCCTATGGCGTGATCAATTAAAAGGTTTCATCTTGCTATGGTTTCAATGTGGCCCCTCCAAAATTCAGGTGTTGCCAGTGTGTTGGTGTTGAGAGATTGGGTGTTTGGGATGTGATTAGGTCAGGAGGGCACCTCCCTTGTGAATGGGATTAGGTGTCCTTATTAGAAGTCTTGAATGGGAAAGTTTGTCCCTTTTTAGCTTGCACTTTCACCTTCTCCCATGTGAGGACACAGCAAGAAGGCCCTCACCAGAATTAGGTGCAGGCACTTTGATCTTGGACTTCTCAGACCCCTGAATTCTGAAAAATAAATTCCTGTTGTTTATAAATTGCTCAGTGTGAGATTTTGTTACAGGAGGACAAAATGGGCTAAGACACATTTATTAAAAAGCAACCACCGGATATTTAAAATGTTTTTGCAAGTACTGAAATTAACTTCATTCTTTCTATTTCAATTAAGGGGAATGAAATATAGTGTGTATATGATGAAAATGTTTATAAAATGTTATATTCCAAAGAGATTTTTAAAAATTAACCCTTAGCTTATTTTAGGAGAAGCTCATATTTTCTTCGTCTTTCTAGTGGTCAGTGTATGTGGCTACATTAGGCATTATACTTATCATTAGTAATTATTGATAAACTAACTAAAATTTTTTAAAAAGACAAAAATCAAAGAAAAAAACAATTTGGGAACTGAAATGTTAAAATAATATTTTCCATACTTTCTCATTAACAGTATTTCAAATTTTTCAGAATTTGCAATGAATTTTGCAATTATTTTCTAGTTAATTTTCACAAAACTGCCATAAAGAAAGCAGGTGTTACAGATTGTGTGATTAAAATGATGTAACAGTTGAATATTTTAAACTACATATCATGCTCCATTGTTTTAAATTTATTATTATTAAAAGATAAGGAAATTAAAGTTCATGTGCTAAGCTTTCAACTAAGAGATTATAATGTCAATTTGATACTATATTGTTAAGATTAGTAAGTAGATTTTAGAAAAAACAAACACAATATGAAAATTGCATAAACTGGAACCTACAATTGTAGAACAGTAAAAATTTCCTTGATTTTAGCTTTAGCTCTGTGATGATGAAGCAAGCATGCAAAATATTTCTGAAGGCATACATCATATATGTTTGACCTGGTAAAATTAGGCCTAATTAATAATAGAAAAAAAAAAACAAGGAAAAAGGAAAAAGAAGAAGATAAAGAAAAGAGAGAAAAAAAGAAGACGATAAAGAAAAAGTAGAAGAAGGAGAGCAGGATGAAAAATAAGTTGACAGAGTTGGAAAAAGAAGAGAAAAAGAATTACTTTTAGGCTATAAAGTACTTTTCACATATGTTGCCTCACAAAAATTCTAAGAGATAGATATTATTATTTTTGTTTTACAGATAAGGAAACTAATGCCCAATTTTAAATCACTTAACTAAGGTCATATGAATGTAATTGGAACAATACGAATCATCATTTTCAATATCTCTTGAGATTTGTGTGTGTGTGGCGGGGGGGGGGTCTGAAATAACTTCAGTGTCAATGAATAATAATTTTGCCATATGATCCCCAAACTGAAATAAAAATAATTCCTATTTTCAACAGCTCATGCTTTATGACCATTTTGTAACATTTAGAAAGTTTAACTAGAAGCCTTTTCTCTTAGGCTGTATTCAAATGATTTATGATAACGTCCTTAGCAAAAAGACGCATCATTATTGTGATTAATCTCATCTGGTGACAGCACCATTGCACAACTAAATCATTATGCTAGAAAGAAACAAAATCACTAACTCCATTTAGCAGATTTGGTGATAATGCTTGTTCAAGTATTGCAAAATTCTTATTAAATTACCTCCATATGGCATTAAACACTGTTCATTGCCTGCTGAAGACCTAGGTCTAAAAAATGAGTGATTTTCCTATCATATTGCATATGCGTGTTTAGACTTGTCTGAGGTTTGAAATTAAAGTGGCATTTGAGGGTAAAATCACTCTCATCAGTGCTGTTCTTGAAACAATTATTTCTTTACAATTTTTAGAGGAGCAATTACTTTCCTATTTGGAAAACATATTTTTTAGTTATGTTTACTTATAATATTGTCCATAACTCCTCACCCTGGTACATAGATGGGATGGTGTTGCCAAGTTTGAGTGTTCTATTTTCATTCTTAATCTATTAAATACCAGTAAACTTGGTTTTATAAGATAATTTTATTTACTATGATTTAAAAATCAAATTGGAGTTTGATGAAGCATCTAATTATTCTGTTTCAAGAGGTCCAAAGAGCTATCTTGTTTCACATAAAAATGTAACTTTATTGTTTCTATCTTTATCTGTTTTCTGCCCCATTTCTTCCTTTCTATAGCACAATTGGCACATCTCTGTTATTCACGTAATGTGATTTATAGTAGTTTGTATATTCACCTTCCTCTTTGGAATGTAAGCTCACTGAGAGCAGGGGACTTACTTATCTTCCATATCTCAGAAACTGGTTGCTACTCAGTCAATAACTGTCAAATGAATAACAATATGAACAATGGTTAATGGGTAAAACATGAATACGGCTGGGCCTGGTGGCTCACGCCTATAATCTCAGCACTTTGGGAGGCCGAAGCAAGTGGATCACCTGAGGTCAGGAATTCGAGAACAGCCTGGACAACATGGTGAAATCCCATCTCTACCAAAAATATAAAAAATTAGATGGGTGTGGTGGCAGGCACCTGTAATCCCAGCTACTCAAGAGGCTAAGGCAGGAGAATCACTTGAACCCAGGAGGCGGAGGTTGCAGTGAGCTAAGATCCAGCCATTGCACTCCAGCATGGGCAACAAGATCAAAACTCAGTCTCAAAATACATAAATACATAAATAAATAAATAAATAAATAAATAAATAAATAAATAAAACACGAATACTTGCTTTGCTAAGCACTTTACTTATATTAGCTCAATTAATGTTTGCAACAACCCATGAGGTTGCTTCTACCATTATTCTCACTTTGGAAATGAGGAAACTGAAATTGAAAAGCGTTAAGTCACAAAGTCTGCTCCACAATTAGTAAGTGGTGAAGCCAGTGTTTAATCCCAAGCAGCCTTACTCTAGGGTCAATGCCCTTAAGCACTGCCCCACAACCCTGTCTTCCCTGAAAGAACTTTTGTATCAAAGAGTGAATAGCTTTTAATTATCAGGATTTTCTTTATGATTTTTGTCAATTACATCTGATATAAAATTACATTGCCATTTGAAATGTTTTATTTATCATGGCTTTTGTGTTTGCTTTTTATTAAAGAAGAACCCTTATTATCCATACCCAGAGATGGACCCTTCTGTTAAGTGAAATAAGCCAGGCACAGAAAGACAAATACCACATGATCTTACATACCACATGTGGAATCTAAAAATAGCTGAACTCATAGAAGCAGAGATTAAAACAGTGGTTACCAGGAGCTGTGGGAGACACGGGTGGTGATATTGGAAAGATGTTGGTCAAGTGATACAAAATATCAGTTGGACAGAAGGAATAAGTTCAAGAGATCTATTGTATATCATGGTGACTATAGTTAATAACAATGCATTGTGTACTTAAAAATTTCCAAGATAGTAGATTTTAAAGTGTTTTCACCACTAATAAATGATAAATATGCGAGGTAATGCACAGGATAACTTGACTTAGCCATTTCACAACGTATGCATATGTCATAACATGTTGTACACCACAAATATATACAATTTTAAAAATAATGAAAAAAGAATTGACTTTTAAAACATTTTCCTAGACTTTACATTTTGTGTGCATAGGAACTGGGCCTTTCTAAAATATAAGTGCTCAGAAAATTTCTGCTTCATTACTATTTCTATTAATATTGGACTTTTTCTCTGAAAACAAGGCAAAGTGACTGTTTTGGAAGACACATTAGGATCATAAATGATTTGCAACAAAAAAGAATCAAACTGGACTAGTGCATAATCACTAAAAGAGATTAATCAAGAGCTCTTTGTTTCCTACCCTTTGCATCTCAACCAAATTTTAGATGGTCATGTAATTACATTGCATAAGAAATACCTGAGCTGGATCATAATCAGAGGCTGTAGTATTAGAAGTAGAAAATATAATAATTATCTGTAGAGTTTAAATTTGGTCTTATGAGAAGGTGAAAGATTACCATGCAAAATCTTATTTAGCCCTAGGTTTTGATAATTATCTTATTAATTAACCCAGCTCTTTAATATAAGTGTAAATATCTGAGTAACATGTACTAGCCTCAAGTTACTGAGAACAGTGAGAAGGATTTTGGAAATGGCACTGCACTTTCGTTGATCCTGAGGCCCTCTCTTATACCAACAGCTAGTTGTAAAGCATTCACTGACCCAAGAGGGAATCATCACAACAGAACCAGGGGGAAACAGGCATTAAATTCTTACTGAGATATAAAAAGTAAGGTTTTGGAAGAGTGCATGATCTAGTTCTTATTTCATTTTGTTTTGTTTTCCAACTTCAGAATAGTTTTTAAAATAAAAAGAAACTCTCTGGGTCGCAAAAAAAAAAAAAAAAAAAGAGGAAGATAATTCCGTATGGAGTTAGATACTGCCGGTGGTCTGTGAGATGACCAAGGCCCAGCTCCCTAACTCAGTAGTTTCATATGCATATTTCTGAACCAATTTTCAGTTTAGCATCTCAGGATGAGTAAGAGTTGAGTAGATGGGAAGAGGGCAGTGTGTTTTACTAAAAGGAAATAGCATATCTATAGACAAGGAGACCTTCATATTCACCTTTCCCCTACCACCACCATTAGGTGCCAATGTCCTCATTAATTGCTTTATGATAACCAACCAAGACCTGACTCCACAGGCCACATATAGTGGACAAAAGTCATCTTTGCAACAATATTAATATAGTTTGCTCACTCTTCTACGCTTTTCAGGGTGTTCCTAAAGCTGTGTATCCATTAGTTGAAACATAATTTGATCAGGTTAATGGAGGGAACACCTGATTCGAAACACAGTCTTATTCATTCCATTGCAGTCAAGTTAAACCAACCTGATTAGTTTTGTATCTGGAAGGCAACATTTTGTTAGTCCAACTGGAAAAAGTTGGATACTTGGAAAACATTTTCCAACTTACAAAAAAAATGTGATCTTAAAAACCCTTGCTATATAGATGCTATAAAGATTGAAGAAGAACATCACAATTAAGATATATAAAAATGAACTTCCAAAGAACTTTGGAGAAGAGTTAAAGTTGATTTTGGAATAAATAGAAAAGTTTAACATAAAATATTTTCTGAGTAAAGTTTAACATAAAATATTTTCTGAGTAAAGTTGTACAGAATTCTTTTTAAAAAATAAGCTAAGGGTGAATTTACATAATGTGGGAGTGTCATTTTACATTACATTAAGTAATTTCTTTCCTTTTACCTGAAGTTGTTTCCCAAATACCCAAGTATTCTCCTACAAGCTGGCCTTTTGCAGAGGGTCCGTTATTTTCTTGTTGAGGTGGCAGGCTGTTCTTTTGATGAGTATATATCTTGAGGTCATTTTCAGGACACTTTATTTGATAGACTGTCCACTTTCTTCTAAGGAAAACTAAGAAAAATGGGGACTAGACCTAGCTTAAAAAATACTAGGACATTCTTGTTTCAAATGACAGCCAAATAATGGAAAATGATACAGTAAAAACTGTTAGTGATAGTTTCATCTTCATTCAGTATCACTATTGCTATCTCCAATGTGTTTGAATTTCCCATTTGTCTACCTGGAAAAATAGGCAAGAGTCACATCATGAGGAAGATTATAGGCCTGTAGCTTTTCCTTCTACATGCTGTAGGATCTTGGACACATTCTTTAATTTTTCTAAACCTCAGTAGCCTCATCTGTAAAACGGAAATAATAGAAGTTCAAACTTCAAAAAGTTGTTCTGAAGACTACATGAAATAATGCCTTTGGGTCATTTAACATAGTTTGTGGCACATTTTAATCACTTCATAGACATTAGGCATTATTATAGCAATAGTTCTGTTTTGTCATTTTAATATTTTAATCCCACTTCATTCCTGAAAGTATTTAAAGTGCTTTACTTTATTAATAACTTATTTTTCAAATTGTAAGAGATTTGGAGGATATATGACTTTCAAAACTATTCTTTTTACTTTTCAAATTCATGTGCTATAGAGAAAATAGTATTATTTATAAGTTTTTCTCTTGTAGATAAAGTTGTAAAATATAAATATTGATAGTAGACATGTTAATATGTTTGCTGGATGAGTAGGTCACAATGATGACAAGAAAGAAGAAAGCCTGTAACAAAATGAAGTGGAAACAAATATGATTTGATCCAAAATTTTTTTTAAAAAGGATGCATTTTCTATCCAGGGTATGAGCCACAAAAGGTTTTGAAGACAAGAAGAGAGACAAAGCTCATGTAAGAAGGAAGATGTGGAATGATGGAGAGCAAAGAAAATATTTAGTTATTAACTCCAGAATGGAGATGAGGTCAAGACAGTAGTTAGAGAAAGTTCTAGAAATGAGATGTTGGTAGACTTCGAAGAATAAAATTTTTGATCTAAAAATATTAGGGGTATGGAACACTATTCTTAAAAACCTAACAACAAAGAACTTTGAAATTGTCATGATACTAACAAGATTTCTGAAAAAAAGAAAAATCTAGGTGATGTTAAAATTGAAACAGAGATGGAACTTAAAACAGCAAACACCTGCAAATTACCAAAATTACTAACTCGTTAACTGGTTCATTCATGAAGAGATGAATGCACTTATTTTATTTGTTGATACCTTATGAATGAAATGCAAATTTTAGAGCTGAGAGAAAATGCTAGTCTATTTCAACACTCAATACTTGAATACTGTTTTAAGAGTGGCATATTAAATGAAGACAAGCTCAATTTAGAAATGTATCAAAGCTAGAGACTTAAAAATGTGTCAGTTCTCCAAATATATACAAAATGTCCCTATCTTTTACAAAAGGTGTCAGTCATCCATCTGAAAACCAGATTCTTGAGAAGAATGGATAATCTCTGTAGCTCCAGCCTATACTTAGCTAACCCTTCTCTATGAGAGTCTCAAGGGATGTTAAGGACGTCTGCACCAAGCTTCTTCTGCTTTTCTGTATTCCAGAATTGTAACCATCAGGCAAGACAGTGGTAAGAGAAGACAAGATTGCATACCTTCTGTTTTTCACAAGCCACTTAGTGACCATTCATGGAAAATACCGCATTGATCATCTTCCAAATGCATGACACTTAATTAGGTTCAAAGATAGAAAATGAACTAACAAAGTCCTAATACCTGTGGAGTTGGAAGGAAATTCTAGTCTAATTCAACATCCTATGCTGGAACCCTGTTCTTAAAGAGATATGTTAAATAAAGACAAGCTATCACAAATGTTTTATTGGGGCAAAAATAGAGTCAATAATTTTAATAACTATAATAAGTTACATAATTGCTAGAGAAAAAAGTTTTATGATAAGAAAAGATAGAATAATCCTCAAAGGTTTGGGGAAGGTTTCTCACAAGAGATAATATTTAAGTTTAATTTAGAATGCTAAATAATGAGTTAAGGCATGAATTGACTGAAGGAAAAGAGTAAAGCCTTCTAAGAAGGATATACGCTAATTACGCAGACATAGCAGCATTAAACTTGGTTGTTGTCAATTACATTCTTACAGGGATCCACCCAGCTAGAAGATCTTCACCAGATGGCTGAAATATTGTTACCAGTGGAGGGTCTTGACTAGGACTTGTCCAGATTCTTGGCATTTTGAACTAAGAATTGGACAAAATGCACAAAGCAACAAAAGAATGAAGCAACGAAAGCACAGATTTACCGAAACCAAAGTACAATCCACAGAATGGGAGCAGGCTCGAGCAAGCGGCTCTAAAGTGCTGGTTACAGAATTTTGGGGGGTTTAAATACCCCTCTAGCCGCTTCCCATTGGTTACTTAGTTACACCCTATGTAAATGAAGACTAGGACCATGACTTGCCTGATTAGTTGCAGGAGGGTACCAATCAGAGGTACTTTCTATTTTGCTTCTGCAATGCAGTGCAAAGGGAGTAGTCTTTAATCCCTTTTTATTTCTGTGTGGAGAGGTGGGATTTTCTTTTTGATTCAGTTCTAGGCAGTCAGCATGAATCAGCCTTAGGTTTCCCACCTCCAGACCCTATTCTCCTGCCTCAATATGTCTGAAATACAGGAGGAATTAAACATTAAAATTTAGGAAAATTCCAGGCTACAGTATAGTGATCAGTTTAGTAAGTACAGAGGGTCCAACCAAGTAAACACTAGTTTTTAAGGATTGTCAAGAGGCAGAGACATGACCAAGGGAAGAATAAAAGAAATACTTGAAGAGCTAGAAGAATAAAGTGGTCTTTCTGTAGGCAAGGGAGAAGAGAATTTCAAGAAGGATGTGATAGCCAAAAGGCAAAATCTGCAGAAAAGTCTTAAAACAAGGATATATCTATTTTGTTTTGAAAATCACAACAAAAATTATTTGAATGGAAAACAGAAATCTAGACCATATTATATAATATAATCATTGTATTTGGTTAAGAAAAAAAATTGGGAAGTGAAGATAGTAGCAGGTACAGCACAGTTCTTATAAGAAGTGGCAAAGAGTCTCTCCTTAACCAAACTCTAACATGGCTTCTTGCAGATTAAGATTTTTTCCCAGGGATGACCCCACTTCTTTAAAATGCCTGCTGGGAACGCTCAAGACTGCCAGAAGAATTTACTGTGTGTTACTAGCCTGCACCTGAAGATAAGGCCCCTGTCTCCTAGTGTCTGTTGGGAGAGGCAAGAGTCTAACTTTGACAAATGATAAATGGTAGTGAAGGTTCTAACCAGTACAGTAAGAAAAATGAAAATCAATAAATTTATAAAAACCAAAAATTAAGAACTAACACTGTTATCTCATAAGAAGACATGATTGTACTTGAAAATGTATGCTTTTCTTAGAAAAAGCCAAAAACTTAATGTTAAAAATCAAATGTATTTTAGTCACTCAACATAAATAATTTGAAAACTAAGTTTTAAAACCAATGTTATTTATAAGACAACAAAACATCAAATTTCCAGAAATTTTTTAAACAAAAAAAGTGCATGACCTCTGCCAGAAACCTATATATTATTGTTGGGAGAAACCAAAAAAGATCTAAAAAAATGGGGAAAGATTCGTATTCATATATTAGTAGACTCAATGGTTTAAAATGAGTTTTATGTTTAAAATAGTTTAAGTTTAAAATGGTTTAAATGGTTTTAAAATGGTTTAAAAAGGCTAGCTCTCCCCAGTTCGATATATATTCAGTGCAATATGTGTATAAACTGAAATGCTGAATCTAAAATTTGTATAGAAACCAAAGGCCTAGAATATTCAAGATAATCTTTAAGAACAGCAACACTGGATGATTTACATTATCATATATCACAAATTATTATAAAGCTAAAGTATTTAAGGTAGAGTAGGATTTATTCAAAGATAAACAGTTATACCAACAGAACAGGAAGAGAGCTTCCAGAACCAGACTAAGTACACATACTCATCTGATATATAACTAGGGTACCAATGTAGTTCGGTGACATAAGGCTCATTTTTTTTAACAAATGGTTTTTTAATATCTATTGATTGGCTCAATTGTATAACCATATTCAAAACTGAATTATGACCCCCTACTTTATAACATAAGTAAAAGTAGTTGAAAAGATATTATAGATTTAAATGAGAAAAGCAGAAGTATACTAGCAGTTAACATAGGCGTTAACAAAAGAGAATAATTTCTAGCAGTTAACATAGGAGAATATCTTTATGATGGGGTAGATAAAGATTTCTTAAAAAGGATATAAAATTGCTATTCATAAAGTAAAAGTTTGATAAATTGGACTTTATTTAAAATAAGTACTTGCTGTTTCTAAAAAGATAAAATAAAGAACATGAAAATGTAAGCTACAGACTGATTTTCCCAATACACGTATCTGACACAAACTTAATTCCAAAAGCTACTAAGATATATTAGAAGAAAAAGATTAACAATCTAGATTTTTAAAAAATGACCAAAAGACTCGAATAGTCACTTAATAAAAGAGGATCTAGACAGCCAAAAAGTATATAAAAGGTTACTAAGCAACATTATACATTATCAGGGAAATGCAAATTAAAAACACAATGAATTACCATTATTTTTCACCGGAGTGGCTAAAATGAAGAAGAGATAACACCAAAGGATAAAAAGCAGGCAAAGTGATTAGAACTCATACAGTACTAGTAGGAATAAAAAATGTCACAAACACTTTAAAAAACTGTTTAGTATGTATCCACCAAAGATAGACCTATGTATATCCCATAGCCCTTTGATTCTAGTCTGAGTAGACTTGTGAAAGAAATGAGTTGAATGCATTCACTAAAAAATTGTATTATAATGTTCATGACAACATTACTTATACAACTCTCATGCTGGAAACAACCCCATGCCCATCAACAGTAGGATGGATAAATAAATCATGATCTATTCATACAATGCAGTTATGCAGAGCATTGAAAAGAATGGACAGCACAGCATAATTGATTGTCTCAGATATAAGATTAGCAATGATTCCATTTATCGGAAATTATAAAGCAAGCAAAATGATCTATGGTAATAGAGGTCAGGACAGTAGTTAGTAGGAGTAGTTAGCAGCTGGTAGTTAGTACTAATAGTAGCCACATATATATTCATATATACAGTGTGTATGTATAAATGTGAATAATGTGTTGATTACATGAGTATACATATATAAAAATATAAAGTTGTACACTTACAATTGAATTGTATGCTTTACTATATGTCATTATATTTCAATAGAAGGGAAAATGAAAACAAAAGAAAATAGAGATCAAAAAATAACTCGAATAAGGCCCTGGAGGTGGCTGAAAGAAATGGGATTAAAAGCACAAGTGGAGAACTTGTATTGAAAAGAGAAATGCCACTGCTTTTTCTGAGATTTGAGGAAAGGAGGTAAGCGTGAATGTGAATAGTAAGATTTGGGGAAGTTTTTGCTAAATGAAAAAGAAAGGAAAATGTAAGGAAGACAAATCCTTCATCAGTGAACAACCATGGCCCAGAAGGTTACTGGCGTGGCATTGGCTCCCCCTTCTTTAGGCTGGTACTAATTACCATCTAAACACGAAGTCAGGTTATGCCACAGCATCCTCATCAGGTGCTTTACATTTTCATTTCCTTCAGTTACAGTTTCTAACAGCTGTTTCTCCATTTCCATCCTCAGCTGTGTAAGATTCAACAGTAGCCTAGAGAAGTATGCCTTCATAGAACATCATAGAACAATGAGCATCTCATGTCAGACCACCATATCACAATGCCACTTTGGCAGCCGATGTTAACATGTGAGTTCTGATCATTTCTCTTGGTATTATCAAGATACGATGCTTTCTATTAGAATATTGGAATGACAAAATTTCTATGAAGATTTTATTGGAACTTATAAAACATTTGATATAATTGATTCAATTACATAATTACCAGCTTTCTACAGGTTGCAGGGTCGTCTTTAAAATGTTCCTGTTTTCAAACATTAAAGATGTCTGTTTCTGGCTGTGATGATTATACATCCTCTGACTTCTCTCATCAGTAAAGCAAAGGTTCAGACCTTCTAGAGCATTTGCTCCTCCAATTGATCTTCCAACTGTATCTGGAACTAAGGAAGCTATTTGTGAAAGCTCCTAGTGCAAGCAATGAGAAGTATTCCCATAATAATAAATCATTATCCAGAGGCCCAGAGACAATTGGGTGGTACTGAAGTCCTTTAAAAAACTTGATCAGATTGAAGCCACAGTGACTGTCTGCTCTGCCAGCTGCCAGGAAGTAAGTCTGCAGGAAAAATTTTTACAGAAGAACAACTGGATTTTCCTAATTTGTATAGAATATGAAAACCAACCTTTGACATTTCAGGAAAGCAGGGCTCAATACTGAAACTACCTCAATATTCTTTGTGCTGAAAACACCACAAGAAAGAGGTAGGGGAAAGGAGTAGGGATAAAGATTGCAAGATTGCGCTCAAAGGGAATGACCTATAGGTTAAATAAAATATCCAGGAGTGGTGGTTGTACAAAGTCAGCAACAGCATCAGACAACAAAGAACTCTTCAAGGATGCCCTGAGCTTTTATCTTTACAATATCTCCTTATGTCTATATAGATTTCTACAGATTACAAAACGCTTCAAACACATTACAACAACGACAACACTTTCTCCCCCACAAATGCAAATCTTACCCACATCAGGTAAACTAAGGGGAGATTAAAAGGAAAACACATCTATGGTTACATACATTATATTTCTAGAAAGGAATTTTGAAATTTCTGTCAGTTTCATTTTATTGTTGAAGGGTAAGGGAAGTTTCTCCAACTTCCTTGAAATGACATGAGTTCTTGGTTATGAATAACCTTTTTTTTTGACTATCTATATTTTAAACCATGTAATTTAGGGTTTCTCAACTTTGGCACTATTGCCATCTGGGGTGAGATGTCTTTGTTGTGGGAGGGTATCCTGTGGATTGTAGGATGTTTATCAGCATCTCTGTTCTCTACTCAGTGGATGACAGTAGTTACAATTATTTCCAGTAGTAAAAACCAAAAATCTGTGCAAATGTTGCCAAAGGTCCCTGAGGGGGCAAAATTGCTCTCACTTGAGAACCATTGTCCTAGGTGGATTGGGAGTGAGGGAAGTTAACCCATTTATGGCAAAAGAGTTTAACAGCTGTTTTGATTCAAATGAATTCCTGCATGAAAAAAAAAACACATGCATAAAAATTTTAAAGACTTATTATTTAACAAATCTACTTATTGTGTGCTAAACAGAATATTGTTGATTGTTTGGACATCAAGTAAGCAAGTCCCAATATTTATTGCACCACCGGGTCAAATGAGTCTGTTTGGTAAATTTTGGAAGAATTTATTGTAACCTTTTTTCACTGGCATACATCTACACTTTGGAGTTCATCTGGATAAAAGTTATTTCCAAAAGGTCAGATTTGAGTTTCTTATTCTTTCTGCCCTCTCTTTCCTGTAGCTGACTAATAACAAAGAGTTTGTAATAACACATTTGACTGCCGTTATACAGAACTCATGCTGAATCTTTGATTAACTTGTGTTTTCTTCCTTTTTATGGAAACAGAACCTGTATTAACTCAGTTCCTTCTAAAGTAATCACAAAAGACATGTTTTTTCGTCTCCAGTGATAACTGAAAAGATTAAGATAATCTCAATTCAAAATAGAAACTCATCAAAGACAATTGAGAATAAGTATTTTCAGAATTTAAATATTTAATAAAAATTTTAAAAGAATGAGAATTACTTATAGGTAAATGTTAATTAACCTAATTTGAAAAATGGGAAGCTTTTTTCCAATCATTGTATAATATCTGAACTTGGAAGAAAAACAAAATGTCAACTTGACCCTAGCAGAAACTTGGCCATGGAACCAGGGATCATCTGGATAGACAGGATTCCAGCATCTGGACATAATAAGATATTCTAAATTGGGAGAAACTGAAATTCAGCCACAAATGAATCCGAGAATGAGGTAGAAAAGTGAAAAATATTTTGGGATGTTCCTACTTAATAAAAGCATAAGGACATGTGACCTAAAAGTACATTTAAAGTAATTTCTTTTGTGAAACAGTAGAGTTCATCTTAAAACTTGGAATCAGGTATCTCATTCATCTTGCATTGGATTTACAGGCCCATTGCCCTGGCTTTTAGGTACACTTGAGGAAAACTTACCCTATGATGTGTCCATCTTCTATGTGTCTGTACATTTTATATTCTCTAAATGCAAAATCCTTGTTGTTTTGCAACAGTTTTGAATTAATTAGAGCCCTAAACTTTGGAAACATTCATTTATTGCTGTTGAGTGCCAACTTTTGGGCTTTCTGGAAGTATGACATAAAGATCCAGAGAGAAGCAGCTGCCCCAACTTCTGGTTTGGAAGATTGTAAATCCAAAGCAGAAAATAATTTAGCTTTAAACACCAGGGCTTTCTTTTAGAAAACAGAAGCAAAGAAATACTAGTTTGCTTCTCAACTTGTGGGAGTTAGACTGGGCTAATTGGTTATTTTGTTTTCTACACTTATAAAATAAAATGTTTATGGCAATTACCATATATCAGCCACTATTCTAAGCATATTCCAAATATTAACTTATTTCTTCCTTGGAACAATCCTTTGAAGTTCATATTATTATAATCCCTATTTTATAGAGGAGGACACTAGAGAAACAAAGTTACTTGCCCAGGACCCTTAACTGACAGAATGTGAAGCCAGATTTCAAACACACACATTCTTGTTTGATAGTCTATGCCATTACATACTCTACTCTGCTGCCTAAACTGGAAATAAAAATGAAATTGCAGCAGCTTGAACCTGGTACCAGGAGCCAGAGGATGAGGAAGTCCCAAGAACTTAGACAGAGAGATCAAAACCTGGAAAATCAATTTTATTACAAAAGCCAGGAGTCTGTGACCAGAACATAAAAGGAGAGAAAAGGGTCAGGAATCAGGAAGGACTGGAAAATGAAATTTTAGTAAGGTAAGGGAGCCCCAAGGAATGGCCAAGAAAGGATTTGCAACATCTGCATATTGGGGCAGCCCTGTGACCTGGGTGCATTGGGCAAACTTAAGGTAACAAAGTAGGATTTGTGGAAAATGCTCTCCCTGAAAATTTATCTCTTTTCCTTCCCTCAGCCTTCTAGGGCGCCGGGAGGCCATAAGACAAGAGGGAAAATAGATGGAATGTCCCAACCTGACATGTTTCCACTAACATTTCAAAGATTACTGCTCATTATTTGTACACTCTTCTCACTGGTGATGATTTCCTTTTCTTCTAGGACTGCTCATTTGATAAAGGTAGCTCTTGGCTCTGAGATGTTGACATGCTTAGAATAGGAAGTGAAAAACAAATCAAGATCCATGTAACATATCATCCTTATCACAATGTATGGGAAAATTGATCTAAAAAAGCCTTGGTCTTGTAAAATGTTAAGTGAAGAAAAATACCATCACTGGGTAAGTTATATTTGTTACATAAACCAACTGAGAGGTGAGTGTCTAGAGCTTATTATACTATTTTGTCTATTTTTATATGACATTAAAATAATTTAAAAATTAAAAGAGTACGTGACTTTCAGTAACAATGATGACTTGAATACAGTCTTTAATTGCCACCTCTTCTCCAGATTCTCACTGAACTGAGGAGAGATATAGAAAAATACAGGAAAGTCTATTTAGTCTGTAAACCAGAAAAGTGAAAAGTACAAGCAAGGAAGTCCTGCAGTATGTGAAGCAGACTCTGACAATGCCTTTGTCAGAAGTGCAGGGATATATGATGAAAATGGCCCACACTGTAGGTGGTTATATATTTGAGGAATAACTTCAAGTTTACTAATATGACTGAGAAAAACATAGACAAAAGTTCAAGAATGTTTAAATATGTTCACTCACATTATGTGCCAATTTAAAATAAAACTTAAAAAATGCTTACTCCTTGCTTTCCGTACTCATGGGGTAATAGTCTTGCTATGAGGGGGACCATTTAACTTACAGAGAAAGTGGCACAGCTGGCTGTTCCCAACACATTTGACAGGACCTTCTTAAGCAAAGATGTCTTGCTCCTTACTGAGAAAGCCTTTAGATGGAGCACTTCTTCCATAGTCTATCTCATAGGCTACCATGATGTCCAAACTGGCAAAGTAAAGCCACAATAAATAAAATTTCTCTTCTTCCTTTAGCTCCCCCTAAAAGATTCTACCATAGATGCACACACACTTTGGAGAACTCGTCTCAATTCATAAACACTGAATGCATAGATCGGCCACTGTAAAGATGTTCAAATAGAAGAAAATCACTAGGATGAGAAATACTTCAGTAATTCAAAATAAGAGAATCAGTTTAAAGAATGAAAAGCAACCATTCTTTGAAATGATGTTTCTGCGAGACAAAAAGTAAGATGTTAGAAAACCTTTATTTTCAATAAGACACAGAGTATATTGCTGCTATGAAACTAAAGGAAGACAGGGACAAAAGGGAAATTATGACATCAGGAAAAGATTGCAGTAAAAGAGAAAACATGATTGCAAAATTTGCAATCATGCAATGTTATGAAGACAACCAAAGCAAGGCAAGTACAGAGAATAATAATAGGTGGCCCAGAGATGGCAGCTCTGGGAAGGCAACATTTGGGCAGATAACTCAATAACATAAGAGGGTGAACTGCGTGAAGAGCATATGAGCAGAGTTTAGCAAGTTCAAAGACCATGAGGTTAGAAAAAGTATATGTATATTCAAGTAGGTATAGTGGAATGACCAAGGGTAGAATGCTAGAAGATGAAATCAGATAGTCAAAGGCAGATGATTTAAATTATAGAGGATTACATAGGAAGTTTGTGTTTCTCAAAAGAGTGACAGGAAGTCACTGGAGGGCTTTAAGCAGGAGAAGGACATAGTTTATATTTTAAAGCAATGATGTTGGAAGTAGGAAAATATACATGTATCTATTCTTTTTTTTTCACTTTCAGAAATAGAATTGAAAGTATAAATCAGAACGAAAGAAATTGCTTCCCTAGAACAAGTGAGTGGAAATGGTAGAAAGAGGAAAGGGAGTTATATTTCCCTGACAGGTTTTTATATATTCAGAAATGACTATAAACAGAAACAAAGGAGCCAAGCTGTATTCAAATTAATAACATAACTGTCCTGAAGAAAAGAGTGTGGGGAGAAATGATGTAAGTGTTGAGTATGTATTTTGAACACATCCTTTCAGTTTAAAAACAAAATAATGGCAAATCTCTAATTCCTCTTAGCAGATTTGTTTTTAGTTTGTAACCATTGTAATCCTGTAACCATTTATGTAACCATTCTGAAACTATTTTGTGTATATAGTAGAATTCAACAAATAAGTAAATATATTAATTTTTAATTATATAATTTAATGTAAGAGGTAAAGCATGTCTTTTCTTCCATTTTACAGGTTAATAATGTCAGACTCAGAGACCTAAAGTCATACAAATGCCAAGTATTGGTAACCAGAATGTTTGCCTCCTGGGTCTATAAGCATTACACCACCATTCACTCAATCAGCAGAGTTATTGCTTAGGGCTATCAATTTACATTTTTCAGCTAGCCCCTTAAAATTAATTTGAATGACAGTATAGCAGAGAGATCATGAACTTTGGAATCTTACAGATATGATTTCAAGTTTCATATTTCTTCTCTATTCGTTTATGGCATTGAGTGGAACACTTAATCTCTTTGAATATGGCTTTCTCATCAGTGAAGTGAACATAATAAAATCTAACTTGCTGGAAGGTAGTGAAAATCAAATGAGGTAATTAGGCAAAGAGTGCTGGGTATGCATTCCCTGTTTACCTGAAAAGAAAATAAATCAAGGATCCATCTTTTTAGAGTGGTTAATGTATCCAATGTTGAATCGTGAATGACTACATTCAATACATATGGCTGAAGGCTAAACTCAAGAACCAAACAGCAGTAATTAAGCTTGAAACAGACCCCAATATCAAAATGTTATTAACATAAGATTTATTTTAGGGGCTTCATATGAGATGATTTGGTAGTTAGAGAGGTTACCTCTTTGTGGATAATGAAACCTCTCTAGCCCGTAACTAAATAAAGGAAGTATTCAAGATTTCCCTCATTTAACACTGAGGAGTCAATTATATAGCTTTAGTAGCTTTTGGTCTTGACATAAAGGTAAATAAAATTGCCATAAAGAAGATGTGGGTCCTTCATCATCTTTAACCTCACTTACATCATGAGTTTTCTGACAATACAGTAAGTGTGAATATAGAATAAAGCAACAGTTTGCCTTACCGACAAGATGATCCAAGTTATTCGGATGCTTTAAGATCAAATATATGTTGACTGTTGAATGGTTTCTTATGAAAACTAAATTTCATTCTATCTCTTTCTAATATAAACTCTATTAATAATCATTCTGTAACATTATAAAGAAAAAGTTTAAAAGGCACATCTAAACATGATCTGAGAAATGCAATGACATTATAAACTACAAGGCAGTATCTTCAAAAATTACTATTTATTCCAAAACAACATCACATAATTATTTTCCTGTTCTGTCAACACATTATATTAATTTTTTAGACTTAGGTGAACAGTCCAAAATATATATCTCAGTATATTTTAAGTTTTTATATAAAAAGTGGCATTTTAAATCAGAGAGAGATGAAAGAATAATAAAATAAATGCTATTTGGATATTGACTTTATTCATAGAAGAAAACAATTTTAATTATTAATCTTCATATATAAAAATCCTAGATGGATTAAAGATTCAAACATTACAATATTTACAAGAATACATGCAGAAATAATAATATTGGAGTAAGAAGAATAGTTTTGAGGTAATGCACCAAACCCAGACCGGATATGGGTATAATGATAAACTTGACTACATAGAAATTATGAACTTCCTGTCATGAAAGATGCCATAAATGACAAGCAACAAAAAGCTGGAAAACATAATATAAAAAGATTTTCAACAAAGCAGTGCAGGTATGAAACAGCTGAATAGAAAAGTGGGCAAATAATGGAAACAGACAATTCATAGAAAAATATAAACACAGCCAATAAACATGTAGCAAGATGTCTAAGTTCATTAACTAGAACATAGCAGGCATCATTAAGCCAAATGAAATGACATAGTCACACCAGCAGTATTTTCACTTCATATCAAAAGGAGACAGCTACACTTTTGGAAGAAACAGTATTTCCATTGCCTTAATGAAGAAACACAGCTAGCTTATTGGAGTCCTCGATTCAGAGGTATTCTCTTAAATTTCTAAGCCTAATTTACTGATGGCTCAGCTAAATGTAAATTTTATAGCATTCATTGAGCCACTACTGATGAGTAGTGCCAGCTATTTAAAAACAAACAAGTATGTGGTCTGGCTCTGGGCAATACTTCCCTTGATGAACCTTTTTGACCAATGTCCCACGTGTCTGGCCTGCCACTTGGAAGACTACAGATTGGCAGATTAAAGACACCCCTCTTTGGAGATGAATTCCAGAAACCAGTATCACCTGGCAATCTGACAGACTGAGTCACTCATTCAGATGTCTATGGTAAGGGCTCACTGTCTGAGACCAACTAGAATCAAGCTGCTGATCAAGCCTAACTGCTTAGAGGGTCACCCTCACCACTGAAATTCATCAGCATACTGGACATGGCAACACATCCACTTTTGTAGATTGGGCACAAAGTACTATATGCTTCTGTGCAAAAGTCACCACTTCATTGCCAAATTTGTGACTCTTACCAGAAGTTGGCCTGTTTGACTTCAGTGGGAGGGCACACTGCAAGACTTGCTGTCCCCACCATTTTCTAGTAGACTTTCATAACCCTTACTGTCCTCAGGTGCTGGCATCGACAGGTGGAATTGATTTTTCAAAAATCATCTAAAATTTATTTCTGACTAGAACTCTCTTATTTCTTCCTGGCCCATACCCTTTAGTATAACAGTTTGGTCACTGAATGTGGCTAAAATGAGTTCATCTCCTTTCGTCTGCCTCCTGGACAATAATCAGATAAAAGGGGAGGAGCAATTTATAAAACTATTTTGAAAACACAGGATTCTGACCTAACAATTCCTGGGCATGATGTGTCTCTTTTTCTTATCAGTGACCTCAGGCAGGCCTGATTGGTACAGCCTCTGGGTGGCAGCCTGGCCAAAAGGAAAGCTAGAAGATTCAGACATAATTCTAGTTCAGCTACCTTCATTCTAGCCACAGGGAGGCACGTGCAGAGGCCTCTGCATCACTTCTGGAGAACATGGGGACTAGGGGAATGGAAACATTTGTTGATGTTCTTAAAGTTCTTTGCCTTTGGCCTTGGAGTCTCATGTCTTCTACCAGCATTCATGAAATAGCAGGAAGCTAATTTGTTAGCTTGTATTAATTTATTAACTCAAATCCCAGACTGGTGTACACTCACAAAAAGCTGAAAAGCACAGAATTAGATTGTAAAACAGAAATTATATATCTCCTCAAAACACAAAGCATGCCTTTGCTTTTCTTTGACCACTCAAGTCCACCTGGTTTATTCAACAAAACCTGTGCTACTTAAATGTCAAGTAAGAGAATTATACCAGAAAGCCATTACTCTAAAGGGAGCATCTTCATTACATTGATAGGATCTCAGGTACAGGCATAATTTCTGAGTCATTCAATATAAAATATATGCATATCCAAGAAAAATATCTCTGTTCTTTAAGCTATTATAACTATAGTTGGTAAAATTTTAGTTTTAATTTTCGTTATACAGGAATTGTTAAATTATATTTAATAGCATCATTTTGTTTAAGAAAATATTACCCAAATTAGAGTAAAAATTTGTCTTTTGATATTGCGTCTTAGCTTTTCTATTACATAACTATTTTCTTTAAAATGAGTTCTACTGAAAGATTTCTTGTTAAATTAAAAGAAGTAAGGAAATAAATTTTTTCAGCAAACCATGAATTCAAAGATAGCTTTGCTGAACTTCTTGTATTTCACTTGTAATTTTTGACTATTATTTTCCTTAGCTGAGTATGTGCAAATCAGGCAAGATTCAAAAATGTTCATTTACCATTTATCTCCAACAGAGTAAATATTATTTTCTAATATTGCAAAGAAGTCTCTCACTATAGATGGAATTTTAATCACAGTATCCAAAAAAGGAGACAAAGACACCACAATACGAATTTCATGTGTGTGATAGCAAAATAACACCTGAGAATCTTCATTTGTGCTGTCGTTAGCTGACACAGTAATTAATTTCAGCATGCATCTTCCTAATAGCACATAAAGATTACTCAGCAGTATAGTGTGTGTGTGTGTCTGTATGTGTTTACATGTGAGATGAATGGAAACAGGTATAGAAGAAATGAGTCAGAGTAAAGCAGTAAATTTTATTTGCTGCTTTACTTCTCAACCAGAGGTAAAGTTTTTTTTTTTTAAATTAGATGTCTCTATATTTTTAGGCCATCTTAATTACTACAGTATTAAATCCAGACTTTTGCATGTGAGCGCTTATTCTAAATGAACTAAAGCTGATCCAAATATAGTCAAGCTTACTTAACGCAAGGTACTTTATGGGAAGAAGTCTTCATATGTCTAATACAGATCTAATTTGAGTGATGGAAAAATCTGACTTCATAGAGATATTCTATGCATAATTTTCATGACATGCTACTTTATCTTGATGCAATTGTCACCTCATTTATTCCCAAGAAAATCTAGTATTAGAAAATGTTGAACTAAAACTAAGGTAGGCATTCAGTCCGGTGTAATACAAAATTTATCTAAACTTTGTGTTTCAACTATCTTTCTCCCAGTGTTCACATTTAGAAACTGGTTGTAACATACTTGTCAATTTTAGGGATTCTTTTTTTTTTCTCTGTCTTACCTTGAAAGTACTAAGAAGGTCAGATCTCATGAGTCAATTTCATATCCTGCCATAGGAAGTGAAATCCTGTGCTGAATCTCTTACATACAAAAAAAGGTCAGTTTCACTGTAAATATCATGTCTGTCATTGAAACAAGAAATTGCTTAGCTACTGACAGATGTAGTTATTCACCTACAGGTTTCCCTAGAGTAGTTTTCTAGTCTTAAATTCTAGCCCTCTTCAGTATGAATGCCAATCCAGTAACAACAGATCTATGTGAGTGAGGAATAAATGCAGCCTGTGCTACCTAAGAGCTGTGTGACCTTCAGTAATTTACTTGGTATCTCTGAGCTTGATTTTCCCCATTTACAGAGTGGGGATTTCAGATTATTTTAAGAATTTCTTGACATAATGTATATAAACGACCTGACATATAGCAAGCACTAAACAAATAAGCTCTTATCACTATTATGTTCCATTTCCACTTTAGTTTCTTCTAGTCACCCCAACCAACATACTCTTTTTCTGTTGTTAACTAAAGAATCCTACCACTCTTGTAAATCCTATCTCAAATTCAACATTTCTTTGGAAATTTTTTAAAATGTCTTAAAGTGGAAGTGATTTCTCTGCCTTCTGAAACCCTTGAATGCCTTCTATAGGTAAAAGTAAAATGGAAAGCAATTGTTATCTTGTTTTAAAATTCTATGTATGCAATTTTTATTTTTCATCACTATGTACTTGGTTGCTAAAACAATAACCCACATATAAGATTTGTTTAATAAATGTGTGTAAAAATTGATTATATGAATTGGAGTTGTCTTGTCATACACAACTAAATTAGTATTGAGAGAGCAGGAAAAAAAAATAGTTGGGCACAAAGCACCTGCCCAGGAGTTATCTCACAAGCCAGCTGCCAAAATGACCTGCTATAACTTTAAGAGTAGTTTTACCTAGTAGCTGCAGAAATGAACCACAGTAATTCTAAGACTAGTTTTACGTACCACTGTCACTTATCAGTCAGAGCTTGCCAGCTCCTGTAAACATTGATGGTGATGAGTTTTATTTCAAAACAATACATAACATTTTTCTTTCTAATAAAATGTCTAATTTTCTCTTTCTTCTTCATGCATACCAAAGACCACCCTGGTCAGTATGTATGCCCAAAATTGCAATTCTCTTTTTTATATATTGCCAGATAAAAAGTTTTGCTTAGAGATTCATTTGTCTATTTTTATTTTACTTAGACATCTGGGCTCAAACAATGGATATATGAATAAATATATAAATTCCCAGCCCCCAATTGGGTTAATATGACTTGTTCTTCAGTTGTGAAACACATCATTGTAAGTTTCACATATGAAAAATTATAATATGTAGCATATGTAGTTCATTTAGGTGAAAATAAAGAGTAAGCCTAAAAACGTTGGTGAATTAAACCAGAAATAAAAGAAGAGAATCATCTGATTTTGTCATATTAAAACATTGTTTAATCTTCAAAAACACTGGAACTTCTAAAAGTTTATGAAGAAAATATACACGACAAGTTTTGTTTTCTTAAATGTGAGGTATGTTTATGCTAACTTTATAAAGAGACATAAAAATTAGTTCCAGTTTCGGCAGTTTTCTCACAGTATATATAAGATTTATTTTAGACAGATATTTTCTCCAGAAAAAGAAAAAATGACTTGTTGATATAAAGCCATTTTGAAGGACTTGCCAATTTAAAGTGTTTCTCAATGATTTTTTGGGCAAATTGGCAACTTGAGCAATTACTTAGTGAATTTGATCCTGATATTTGGACTTACAGACATTTGTTTTTCAGAGCTCATGCTTGCTTCATTCAAATAATGATACAAGCAATTGTTTCTTTTTTTGAAGTAAATCCAAATTTTATGCAATAATTACATTTATTGAGCAATGAAATCTTGGTCAACTCAGTTGAACAAATATTTATTAAAAGAACTGATATGTGTAAAGAACAGTACAATTCACTATTGTAGGTTCTAGAATTAGAATATGATTTTATTGCATCATAAGGTACAACTATGATAATATTTTAAAATAACAAATATTAACAAGAATGAAAATAGATTTCTTTTACACTCAAGAATTTTTCCTGTTCAAGAGTACTTTCCAAAGTACACAAAAGCCTTCTTTATATTTATATTTAGAAACCACATAAAACATTTTTTAGCTAATGAGTTGATTGGCTTTTGTGGCCCCAGAAGGACACAATAAGCTCATCTATTTTTGACCTTAGTCTCAAGCATTAGTCTCAAGCATTAGTCTCAAGTGTTTCCAATTCATTTCCTGAAATGTATAAGAGCATAATCAAAAATTTATTAAAATGTCCTCTTTTTTCCCTTTTTCTCATTCCCAGGAGCACTGCTTTCACTTTAATGTCCCTGGTTTTCCATGAGAATTTATTCATCATTAGTTGGGGTAGATGAAGGACAGTCAGAGAAGAGGTCTTGAGGCTCCCTCACAGAGTTATGAAACATGAAGGATAAATGCCTGTTACCCTGACAGGGGAGGAGGAGAGTGAGGGTCTGTGGGAATCATTGGGAGAGAGCTTGATTTTGTGAGGAGAGCCTGAGAGATGATGTAACCAAATTGGCAAGAGAGAAAACTAACCTCATTAGTTTTATTTATCCTTATTTATGTTTAAAAGATTTTTTTCATAAAAATGTTTTCAAGCACACATTTAAAACATTGTGTCATTTCCATTTCCAAGGAAACTTCTGAGAAATTGTATTTTAATTATTGCACCAGTGTTTTGCATTCAGAGACCCACGATGATCAGTTCGGCATTTGGAATTAAGCAACACTGCCCTCTAGAGATCGTTGAGGTGCTGCCTCAAGAGATGTCCAACTGTCAGGAATGAACTGGGAGAAACAAATGCCCTTCCACATTGCTTAATGCACTTAGGCCCTAAAAGTAGTGTAAAAAAACAGGCTGTGGTCATAGCATTGCTTTCTGTCATGTACAGATCCATTGACTGAGATATGCAGTGAAAGGAATCCAAGCTGGCTGGGAAGAAAATCACTTGGCCCCCCGAGATAAATGTGGTCAAGGAATCCTGACTGACAACGTCAGCAAAAGCAGAAAGGTCAGTCAGCACTTTGGAAAGAAGGCCCGTGTACAAAGACTTCATAATGCTGCTGTGGGAATCTTTTCTAAAGCAACTAGATATATACAAAATAAAATGAATTTAAAGGAACTTCAGGGAGGAAGAGAGGGAGGGAGGGAAAGAGAGAGAAACAGCAGTGGAGTGTGATGGATCTAGAGGAGTTCAAATAATCTGTTGGGTATCATGAAGTTTGATGGTTCAGAAGACATGAAGAACACTTCACACAGAGACCCAGTCAGCTATTGTATATTGTGAACCATAGAATAATAACAATCAAAGGAGAAGTAAGACAATGAGAAAAATAGTCATCAGAACACCCCATCTCTAATGCCCCCATTATCACCAACTTAGGGACTCCCTAAGGACATACTCAAAGAGAAATTATTTGAATCAACTATTTTTTCAGATTTCGTTGCAGTTTCGGTAAAAACTTCCCTCATCAAATGAACTGAAAAATAATCCTTTCTCCAGCATTTTCAGGAAGAGTTTGTGAAGGTTTGATATATCTTCTGCAAATATCTGACAGAATTCACCAACAAAGGTATGTAGGCCTAGATTTTCTTTGTGGGGAGATTTTTAATTACTTATTTAATATCTTTTTTGTTATGGATCTACTCATTTTCACTTTCTTCTTGAGTCAGTTTTGATCATTGTGTTTTTCTAGGAATTTACTCATTTCATTGAAGTTGTCTACTAAAATAAAGTTGTTTATAGTATTTCCTTATAATTCTTTTCATTTCTGCAGGGTCAGTAGCGATGATCCCTCTTTCATTCCTGTTTTGTCAATTTTTGCCTTTTCTTTTTCCTTCTTTTTTCAATGCTTTTTCGGTAGAGGGCTTGTTGAGCTGCTTACTGCACAACTCCAGAAGTAGTATCATGTATTTGGTTTTTTTTTAGACAACATAATCCACTTTAGGTGGTTGAATAAAAAGAATCATTCCAATATACAATACAGAAGAGTCAAGGACCTAGCCCTGAATATTGTGCAACCAGAACCAGGGAAAATGAGCCAGGGAAAATGCCCTGCTATGCCACAGGATTCAGTCAGTAGAGAACGGATGCAAAAAATGCTGTTAAAGTAGCCCCAAGCAAACAAATGCCTCCTACTGTTCTATGTGCCGGAAGATACATTCTTCTAGTGTGTGGTGCCACCTCAAGTCACTCATTTCTGACTCACACCTACTTGGTAGAACTTATGTCACATATAGCAACCCAGTTGAAAAAGAGTCTGAGAAATTTTTATTTTCACTAGCATTATTATACAGAAAATAAAATTAGAGAAGGTTGAAGTAGGTGTTGAATGAGCCAATTTACGTTTTATACCACAATGACTTCGCATGATCTGACCACTTACCATTCCTCCAACCTTATCTCAATACACTCCTCAAATGACCATTCATTATGCTCTAATCATTCTGTCCTTTTTTTCTGTCTCAGGATAACCTTGGAAAACCTCAGAAAATTTGTATTTTCTGTTCTTTGTGGATTCACTGCTCTTATCTTAGGTTTTGTTAATGTCTGTGTATAAAATGTCATAATCGTAAATAAACCTTCCTTAATCATTCTTGGTAATCCACCTCTACTCCCTGAAACCTTCTTTCTGTTTACCAAATATTCCATGAGTACCTGTCCCTGGCAAAACCTAGATTTCATCCAGAACCTTAGCTGTAAAGAGGAATGTAGAAAAGAGTGATGAAAGATGTCAATTGCCATTGGCAATATGGAATTTAGGTGTTTCTTTAGCTGTGCTTAGTTTTTGCCTCCACTGGCAAAAATCTTCCCACACTTTGTGCATTATATCTAATGATGAAAACAAAAGCCATGGATGCAGAAATGTTCATTATTTTTTATGTTTCCAATTTAAACTTGATCCAGTGTTAAGTCATATACAGATATACATACATCACAAAATAATTTCCCTAACTGCTAATAATGGCAGACTTTTAAATGTAAAAATATGAAAGAAGTAATAGTTGTATATAAATCAGATAATAGTTTCCCATCATATGCTTCTTTTGAAGTCACAAAAAAACTTTTTCACCATAAATTTAGTCATTTTATTTGCATCTCAAAATAAATTTTAAAGTAATGATATGTTGAACAAAATTTATCTTTCGAGTTTTTGGAGGATGAGAGCTAGGTAAATTGCCAGAAGCTTATCTGTGTGCATTGTAAACAGGGTGTTAAGAAATTGTGGTTTCAACTAAAACTAGCCATAGACTGCTAGAAGCTACTTAGGAGCAACTACAGGAAAGTTGAGAAAATCAAAATTAGCATTATACAAAGAAAAATATTTTATGGTTGTAAACTCATGGACAGAGACTACTAAGGTTTACGATTAATGCCAATCTAAGTTTAGAAAGCTAAGGATGTACAATTATTTAAGGGTAAAAGAAGAGAAACAGGCTATAGTTGCCCAGAACAAAATCTGCTTATTAAGTCCATACCATCCAGACCAACAGCACATATTAAAATCACATATACAGTCTAGGCCTATTTTATCCCATCCTCATATGCTTCACTGAAGAGAGGCTAAAGTTGAAGCAATTATTCTGCAATTATTTCAAAAACAATGATTTCAAGTGTTTTCCGATCAAAAGGAAACACAACGTATTTCTTTCTAGGAGGTAAAATTTTATCTATGTTCTATAGTAAGTTCAATTTGTTGAACAAAATAGCTACACACAGGTTAAAGATTTAGGTTACTCTCATTTTTTTCATTGCTAAGCAAGTTATTTCTAATCCAATTTAGGGCATTTTTAAAGAAATATGTCAATTTTTACTAGACAATATTTGAAAGTAGTGGTGCACATTGTAAACATTGCTCTGTGTCAAATAATGGGTGGAAGATGGGAAGATAAAAGCTTTAGACAAGCTGGGGCTATTTTAGATTAGGTGAGATAGAGAGCATTTCTCTAAGAAGGTAATATATAAATAGAAACAGGAATAAAATAAAGAAGCCACAAAAGATCTAGAAAAATATTTTTTGGCAGGGGAAAAAGCAAATGAAAAAGCCCTAAAGCTACAATAGACTTGTCAGGCTCCAGGCAGAGCATGGAGCAATACAGCTGGAGGGGAGTAAGTTGGGGGAAAATGACTTTGGTGAGGCAGCCAGAGGCCAGGGCAATCAAGACCTTGCAGGACATAATGAAGACATGAATTTTAAGTGTGATAGTAAACCACTGGAGAGTTTTGAGCAATGGTGTGATATGATCCAATTTATAATAAACAAATAAATTTGTAAAACCTCTCACTGGCTAATGCCAAGAGAAAACTATAGAGCATAAGAAGAAGCAAAAGCATCTATCTTCATTTATTTTTTGTTGTTATAACAGAATACCTGAAACTGAGTAATTTAGAAAGAAAAGCAGGTTATTTATTACAGTTCTGTTCTGGAGGCTGGGAAGTCCAAAACTGGGCAGCTGCATCTGGTTGGCTTCTAAAGAGAGCCTTAGGCTGTATCATAACATGATGGAAGACATTAAAAGGCGAATGAGGAGGCAAGAGAAAGCTACAGAAACTGAACTTGCATCAGCCTACTCATGGGAGGCAATTCCATTCCCACAAGAGCTATTCCAGTCTTTTCATAACTAACTCAGTCTTGTGAAAGACGTTAATCCAACTTAATGGCCTAATGACCTTTTAAAGGCCCTACCCCATAACATTATTACATTGGTAATTAAATTTCAACACGAGTTTTGGTGGAGATCAACCATATCCAAACCTTAGCAGCATCTATCCAAAATTATATTTAAAAAATAGATCCAAAGTGTTATAGCAGTGAAAAGGAAGTAATGATTAATTCAGTCTGTGTGAACTTAAAACGTATTAAAAGAATGAGCGGTTAGTAGAGACTGTAAGATTAAATAGAAAAATACAGATGAACATAGGATTTTAGAGAAATACATCCCCAGTTAAGGGAAAAGCTGAGCAAAAACAGGGCCACTGGATTAAGCAAATTGTGATTAGTGAAAGGCTGAGGGTTAGTATGACTACTAATTTCATGAAGAGAAGAATTAGATTAGATTGAGTAGACTGGGACCAGGTGATGCAGATTCTTGCATGCACTGTTCTGGAGTTTGTGAATTATTCCTTTAGCAATGGATTCCAATTGTAGATTTTATTAATGAGAAAATCTATTTATTTACCAACATTTTCCAGAGTTCCACAGGGTAAAATATGCTTTACTAGGAGTTGGAAATATAGGGGTAAATAAAATGAAAACAGTAATAATTATCCCTTTTGAATTTCATAGTTTCTACACTCTGGTTAGAATAAAGTAGCTTCCTATAGTGAGTAAAATCACCTTTTCTACAGTCTGGTAAAATGGAATTCTCCCCCAGTTTTGCAGTTACTGTGGCTTCATTTTAGAGCCACTGATTTTCCATTTTTGAGGAGTTCAATGTCAATATGCAAGGTGACATAGACTCTTGCCCTTCTCTCAATAATGACCCCATCCATCCTATTTGTAGTATTCCAAGTTACCAATTTATCCTGGTCTCACAAAACAGTGTGGGGAAATTCGTTTATATTTTCATTAAGCACCCAAATAAAAATTGACATAGAATCCCCTTGTGCATGGTACTCCAATTATTTCTGAGAGCTCTCAAAGAAGCTGTCTTACAAGTGCCCAGGAATATGTTCCTCAAATTTTCCACTTGAGCTTCCTCATTAATTAATTACCATTTATGTTGATAATAACACATTAGATAGAGAACCACTCTACACAGTACAGTCAGCCACTCCTGGTGATTGTCACTTACTGAAGCACTTGGAAGGATGGCCTCACCACCCTCTCCAATGCCACCCCACCCCTAACATGGATCAGGCTTGACTCACCATCCACCACTGCACAACTGTGATGATACCAAACATTCTACTAATATTTCACTGAAGATATGAGAACAAGAATACTGAAATATAACACCACGAAGAATGTAAAACTGACTCCTCAATATGCCTGTTCTAGGGTGCTACAAGTCCACAGCCACTCTCAGGGTCTCTTATTGCCCTATCTAGCTTGTAGGAAGAGGCCAACTCTTACTCAGATCACACACACATATACACATAGGCACAGGCACACACACACACACACACACACACACACACACACACACACTAATCTGAGAAGCTGCTATGAATACTCTCTAAAAGTGTCTGTAACTACAAATCAAAAGTCAAATTTCCATGAGGTGGAGAGAGGTCCCAGTTTTAGACTCATATTTCTCAATCTATTTCTTTTTTCCAGCAAAACTCTTCTGAAGATGCTTGATAGTAAGAATACCTCACTGCTTAGAGAAAACCCTATACTCCTACCTGAAAGGATGTGGAACCATCCTCTCACCAGCACAATCCAATAGGTTAAAATACAATAGCCCAAGAGTAGCATTACTTGTCATCCATTTAAATAATAACACACATAAATACTTAGCTCACTATAACTTTTTTACTTTAGAGACTTTTAAATTTTTTATACCTTTTGACCCTTTTGTAATACCATTTAGCTTAAAACACAAACACAGTGTACAGCTGTAAGAAAATATTTTGGTCTTTATATTCTCAGTTTAAGCTTGTCTCTATTTTTAACATTTTAAACTTTTATTTTATTATACTTTTAATTTTTTTTTTGTTAAAAGCTAAGACACAAACATGCACATTAGCGTAGGCCCACACCAGGTCAGGATCACCAATATCACTGTCTTCCACCTCCACATCTAGTCCCACTGGAAGGCCTTCAGGAGCAGTAATACTCATGGAGCTGTCATCTCCACTGATAACAGGCCTTCTGGAATGCCTCTTGAGGGACCTTCCTGAAGCTGTTTTACGGTTAACTTTTTTTTTTCATAAGTAGAAGGAACACACTCTAAAATAATGTTAAAAATATAGTATAGTGAATTCATAAACCAGTAACATCCTTATTTGTTACCATTATCAAGTATTCCGAACTGTACATAATCGTATTGCTACACTTTTATATGACTGGCCGAGCAGTAGGTTTCTTTACACCAGCATCACCACAAGCACATGAATAATGCTTTGCACTACAATATTATGACAGCTATGATGTCATTAGGCAATAGGAATTTTTCAGCTCTGTGATGATCTTATGGGGCTACTACTATATATGTGGTCTGTCGTTGACTGAAATATGATACAACACATGACTGTATTTATATAATTAAAAAGTACATTCTAAGGCACTTTCCTTAAAACAAAAGCACAATTTACTTCAAATTTTCCTTGAAGTTTCTATATCTAGAAACAAATGGATTTTCTTCTTACACACATAAAGATTTCCTAAAATTCTGAAGGTCTCTGTTTTGTCTGGAGAATCCTCACAGATGAGGCCAATTGCTCCAGTGGTCACATGGTGGACTCCTGTTCATCATGGGCAAATTCCATCTCATGTATTATTTATCTTTCCCACAAGAATGCCAGTTCTCTGGCAGCAGAGACTCTTTTCACCTCTGTGCCAGCAGGGTACCTCCCAGAGGAGTGTCTGGCAAATAAAAGGTGTGCCTGGCACATGGTAAGCTCAGTACTTACTTAGTGAATTGCTACAATCTAAAGAAGATGGTTTTTCTAAAAATAACTGTTAAGTACAAACAAGTAGGGACTCTGATTACACTCTGAACTGTATACTTCATGCTATATTATATTTAGTTTTCATTACCATGGTTTCTTTTTCCATTTTTTAAACTAAATTGACAGTTTCTACTGTAATGAATGAATTTTAAAAACAAATTATTACTTATATGGCAAATTCTCTTTTCTAAAATGTCCAATTCAGGTACTACTTCAACTTTATATTCTTCCCTGACATGACCAGAAAAAATACTTGGTCTCTAATTTTTTCTCATAGTGTTTCATAATATTGTGTTTCTAATATTCCATTTCCCACAAAGTTTAATTATTTTTTAGTATTTTTATTTTCCTCTTTAGTCATTGAATAGTCCAGAAAAGATATAATTTTTTTTCTGGCTGAGAGCAAATTGGGGAACTTTTATTTTATTTTATTATTTTATTTTATTTAAGTTCCAGGATACATGTGCAGAACATGCAGGTTTGTTACATAGGTATATGTGTGCCATGGTAGTTTGCTGCACCTATTAACGTGTCATCTAGGTTCCCTCCCCTTGGCCCCACCCACCAACAGGCCCCTGTGTGTGTTGTCACACTCTCTGTGTTCATGTGTTCTCATTGTTCAACTCCCACATATGAGTGAGAACACGCAGTGTTTGGTTTTCTGTTTCCGTGTTAGTTTGCTGAGGATGATGGTTTCCAGCTTCATCCATGTCCCTGCAAAGGACATGATCTCATTCCTTTTAATGGCTGCATAGTATTCCATGTTCTATAGGTACCACATTTTCTTTATTCAGTCTATCATTGTTGGGCATTTGGGTTGGTTCCATGTCTTTGCTATTGTAAATAGTGCTGCATTAAACATACATGTGCATGTGACTTTATAGTAGGATGATTTATATTCCTTTGGGTATTGACCCAGTAATAGCCTTGCTGTGTCAAAGGGTATTTCTGGGTTTAGAACCTTGAGGAATCACCATACTGTATTCCACAATGGTGGAATGTTGAACTAATTTACACTCCCAACAGTGTAAAAGTGTTCCTATTTCTCCACAGCTTCACCAGCATTTATTGTGTTCTGACTTGTTAATAATTACCATTCTGACTGGCATGAGATGGTATCTTTGTGGTTTTGATTTGCATTTCTCTGATGATCAGTGATGTTGAGCTTTTTTTCATGTTTGTTGGCTGCACAAATGTCTTCTTTTGAGAAGTGGCTGTTCATATCCTTTGCCCACTTTTTGATGGGGTTGTTTTTTACTTGTAAATTTGATTAGGTTCCTTGTAGATACTGGGTGTTAGCCCTTTATCCGATGGGCAGATTGCAAAAATTTTCTCCATTCTGTAGGTTGCCTGCTCACTCTGATGGTAGTTTATTTTGCTGTGCAGAAACTCTAGTTTAATTAGATCTCATTTGCCGATTTTGGCTTTTGTTTCAATTGCTTTTGGCATTTTTGTCATGAAATTTTTGCTCATGACTATGTCCTGAATGGTATTGCCTAGACTTTCTTCTAGGGTTTTGGGATTTACATTTCATTCTTTAATCCATCTTGAATTAATTTTGGTATAAGTTGTAAGGCAGGGGTCCAATTTCAGCTTTCTGCACATTGGCTAGACAGTTTTCTCCAGAACTGTTTATTAAATAGGGAATCTTTACCCCATTTCTCTTTTTGTCATGTTTGTCAAAAATCAGATGGTTGTAGATGTGTGGTGTTATTTCTGAGGTCTCTGTTCTTTTCCATTGGCCTATATCTCTGTTTTGGTACCAGTACTATGCTGTTTTGATTACTGTAGCCTTGTAGAATAGTTTGAAGTCAGCTAGTGTGATGCCTCCAGCTTTGTTCTTTTTGCCAAAGATTGTCTTGGCTATACAAGCTCTTTTTTGGTTTTAAAGCAGTTTTTTTTTCTAATTCTGTGAAGAAAGTCAATGGTAGTTTGATGGGAACAGCACTGAATCTATAAATTACTTTGGGCAGTATGGCCATTTTCATGAAATTGATTCTTCCTCTCCATGAAGATGGAATGTTTTTCCATTTGTTTGTGTCCTCTCTTATTTCTTTGAGCAGTGGCTTATAGTTCTCCTTGCAAAGGTCCTTCACATTCCTTGGTAGCTGTATTCCTAGGTATTTTATTGTCTTTGTAGTGATTGTGAATGGGAATTCACTCATGATTTGGCTCTCTGCTTGCCTATTGTTGGTGTATAAAAATGCTTATGATTTTTGCACGTTGATTTTGTATGCTGAGACTTTGCTGAAGTTGCTTATCAGCTTAAGGAGTTTTGGGGCTGAGAACATGGGGTTTTCTAAATATAGAATCATGTTGTCTGCAAATAGAGACAATTTGACTCCCTCTCCTCCTATTTGAATAATATTTATTTCTTTCTCTTGCTTGATATTCCTGGCCAAAACTTCCAACACTATGTTGAATAAGGGTGATGAGAGAAGACATCCTTGTATTGTGCCAGTTTTCAAAAGGAATGCTTCCAGCTTTTGCCCATTCAGTATAATATTGGCTGTGGGTCTGTCATAAATAGCTCTTATTATTTTGAGATAAGTTCCATCAATACCCAGTTTATTGAGAGTTTTTAACATGAGGGGGTGTTGAATTTTATTGAAGGCCTCTCCATGTCTATTGAGATTATCATGTGGTTTTTGTCATTGGTTCTGTCTATGTGATTATGTTTATTGATTTGCATATGTTGAATCAGCTTTGCTTCCCAGGGATAAAGTCGACTTGATTGTGGTGGATAAGTTTTTGCTGTGCTGCTGGATTCAGTTTGCCAGTATTTTATTGAGGGTTTTTGCATAGATGTTTATCAGGGATATTGGCCTGAAATTTTCTTCTTTTGTTGAGTCTGCTAGGCTTTGGTATTAGGATGACACTGGCCTCATAAAATGAGTCACAGAAGAGTCCCTCCTTTTCAATTGCTTGGAATAATTTCAGAAAAAAATGCTACCAGCTCCTCTTCGTAACTCTGGTAGAATTCGGCTGTGAATCCTTCTGGTCCTGGGCTTTTTTTGGTTGGTGGCTATTAATTACTGCCTCAGTTTCCGAACCTGATACTGCTCTATTCAGGAATTCAACTTCTTTCTGGTTTAGTCTTGGGAGGGTGTATGTGTCCAGGAATTCATCCAATTCTTCTAGATTTTCTAGTTTATTTGCTTAGAGTGTTTATATTATTCTCTAATGGTAGTTTGTATTTCTGTGGGGTGAGTGGTGATATCTCCTTTATCACTTTTTGTTGTGTCTATTTGATTCTTCTCTCTTTTCTTTTTTATTAGTCTAGCTATTGGTCTATCTACTTTGTTGACTTTTTTCTAAAAACCAGCTCCTGGATTCATTGAGTTTTTTGAAGGGTTTTTCATGTCTCTATCTCCTTCATTTCAGCTCTGATATTAGTTATTTCTTGTCTTCTGCTAGTTTTTGGATTTCTTTGCTCTTGCTTCTTTATTTCTTTTTATTGTGATGTTAGGGTGTCAATTTGAGATCTCTCTAGCCTTCTGATGTGGACATTTAGTGCTATAAATTTTCCTCTTAACACTGATTTAGTTGTGTCCCAGAGATTCTGGCACAAGATTTCTTTGTTCCTATTGGTTTCAAAGAACTTGTTGATCCCTGCCTTGTTCTGTTAACAAGTTAACAGAACTTGTTAATCCCTGGTTAATTCATTATTAACCAGGAGTCATTCAGGAGCAGGTTACTCAATTTCCATGTAATTGTGTGGTTTTTGAGTGAGTTTCTTCATCCTAAGTTCTAATTTGATTGCAATGTGGTCTGAGAGACTGTTATGATTTTAGTTCTTCTGCATTCGCTGAGGAGTGCTTTACTTCCAATTATGTGATCAATTTTAGAGTAAGTGCCATGTGACACTGAGAAGAATGTGTATTCTGTTGATTTGGGGTGGAGAGTTCTGTAGATGTCTATTAGGTCCACTTGATCCAGAGCTAATTTCAATTCCTGAATATCATTGTTAATCTTCTGTCTCAATGATCTGTCTAACACTGACACTGGGGTGTTAAAGTATCCCACTATTATTGTGTAAGAGTCTAAGTCTCTTTGTAGGTCTCTAAGAACTTGTTTTATGAATCTGGGTGCTCCTGAATTAGGTGCATATATATTTAGGATAGTTAGCTGTTCTTGTTGAGTTGATCCCTTTACCAGTATGTAATGCCCTTCTTTGTCCTTTTTTTTTTTTTTTTTTTATCTTTGTTGGTTTAAAGTCTGTTTTGTCAGAGACTAAGATTGCAACCCCTGCTTGTTTTTGCTTTCCATTTGCTTGGCAAATTTTCCTCCATTCCTTTATTTCGAGGCTATGTGTGTCCTTCCACGTGAGATGGGTCTCCTGAATACAGCACATGGATGGGTCTTGACTCTATCCAATTTGCCACTCTGTCTCTTTTAATTGGGGCATTTAGCCCATTTACATTTAAGGTTAATATTGTTATGTGTGAATTTGATCCTGTCATCATGATGCTGTCTGGTTATTTTGCAGACTAGTTGATGCAGTTTCTTCATAGTGTCATTGGTCTTTGTACTTCAGTGTGTTTTGCAGTGGCTTGTACCAATTTTTCCTTTCCATATTCAATGCTTCCTTCAGGAGCTCTTGCAAGGCAGGCCGGGTGGTGACAAAATCCCTCAGCATTTGCTTGTCTGTAAAAGATTTTATTTATCCTTCACTTATGAAGCTTAATTTGGCTAGATATGAAATTCTGTGTTTGAAATTCTTTTCTTTAAGAATGTTGTATATTTGCCCCCACTCTCTTATGGCTTGTAGGGTTTCTGCTGAGAGATCTGCTATTAGTCTGATGGGCTTCCCTTTGTAGGTGCCCTGGCCTTTCTCTCTGGCTGGCCTTGACATTTTTTCCTTCATTTCCACCTTGGAGAATCTGATGGTTATGTGTCTTGGGGTTGATCTTCTCTTGGAGTATCTTAGTGGTGTTCTCTGTATTTCCTGAATTTGAATGTTGGCTTGTCTTGCTAGGTTGGGGAAGTTCTCCTGGATATTATCCTGAAGTGTGTTTTCCAACTTGGTTCCATTCTCCCTGTCTCTTTCAGGTACTCCAATCAGTTGTAGGTTTGGTCTTTTTACATAGTCCCATAGTTCTCTGAGGCTTTGTCATTCCTTTTCATTCCTTTTTTTCCCAATCTTGTCTGCATGCCTTATTTCAGCAAGATAATCTTAAAACTCTGATATCCTTTCTTCTGCTTGATCGATTTGACTATTGATAGTTACGTATGCTTCATGAAGTTCTCATGCTGTGTTTTTCAACTCCATCAGGTCATTTATGTTCCTCACTAAACTGGTTATTCTAGTTACCAGCTCCTGTAACCTATTATCAAGGTTCTTAGCTTCTTTACATTGGGTTAGAACATGCTCCTTTAGCTCAGCAGAGTTTGTTACTACCCACTTTCTGAAGCCGACTTCTGTCAATTCATTCATCTCATCCTCCATCTAGTTCTGCACCCTTGCTGGAGAGGTGTTGCAATCATTCAGAGGAGAAGACGCACTCTGGCCTTATGTGTTTTCAGTATTTTGTTGTTGATTCTTTCTCATCTTCATGAGTTTGTCTAGTTTCAATCATTGAGGCTGCTGATCCTTGGATGAGGTTTTTGTGGGGAAACCTTTTGTTGATGCTGTTGTTATTGCTTTCTGTTTGTTTGTTTTTCTTTCAATGGTCAGGTCCCTCTTCTGTAGGGCTGCTGTGGTTTGCTGGAGGTTCACTTCAGGTCCTGTTCATCTGGTTCGCTCCTGTGCATGGGGATATCACTTGAGGAGGCTGAAGAACTGCAAAGTTGGGTGGCTGCTCCTTCCTCTGGGATCTCTGGCTTCAAGGGGCACCAACCTGATTCCAATAGAAATGCTACTGTATGGGATGTCTGACAACCCCTGTTTGAGAGAGTCTCACCCAGATGGGTGGCATGGGCTGTAGGACCCATTTAATGAGGCACTTTGGCTGCCCCTTGGTGGAGGGAGTGTGCTTCACTGGAGGGAAACCCACTTGTCTGGGCTGCCTGGATTCCTCAGAACTAGCAGGAGGAAACACTAAGTCTGCGGGACAGTGGAGACTATGGCCACCTCTCCCCATAGAGGCTCAGGCCCAGGGAGATCAGAGTTCCGTCCCTAATCCCTGGCTGGAGTTATTGGAGTTCCTGCAGGGAGGCCTTGCCCAGTGAGGTGGGGATGGGTCAGGGTCAGACTCGAAGAGGTACTCTGGCGACAGTCTGCCACAGCGGGTGTGTTGGGCTGTGGGTAACAGCTCTTGGGACAAAGCCGTCCAGTTCCCTGGGTCTAGCAGGGGAAAAGTGTGGCCTGGAGCTATAGAGATGGCAGCCGCCCTTCCCCTGCTCTGGGAGCTTAGTGTGTTAGGCAGCTAGCAGTCCCAATGTTGGCTGCCGCCCCTTTCCAAAGGAACTCAAAGGCTTAGACAGCAGGTAGCAGCAGCTGTGTTGCTGGTCGCCCCTCCCCCGGGGAATTCATCAGGTTTAAGCAGATTCTAGCTGAGTGGCTGTTGAGAATCAGTGCGGCTCCATAGTTGGGACCCTAGGCTCCGGTGGTGTGGGTTCACAAGTGGGATCTTCCGATCCATGGATTGCACATTTCCATGGAAAATCATGGTTTCCCAGGCTGTGCAGCATGCTCACTCGCTGCCTCTCTTGGCGAGTGGCTTGCGGGTGGCTGCCCCATGTGGCTCTCAGATGGGCCGCAGCACCACACTGCTCTTCCTTCCTCTCTGTGGGTCATGTCAGTCGCCTAGTCAGTTCTGATGACAAGAACCTGAATATCTAAGTTGCCGGTGCTGGATTCGCATGTTATGGTTCTTTTTGACAGGAGCCTCTGATTACCACTGCTGCTTCTTGTTGGCCATCTTGGCCCCACCCTATAAAATTTTTTAAAGGAAATCCTGGCAGTAGTTCCTTAAAAACAATTTCTGAGATATTGTTGAAATGGGGAATAATATTCTTACGTTATGACTTTTGACAAACAAGTCATGATAATTTACATTAAAATATATAGTAAATTATAGAATATAATGTTTGGTATATAGAATCACCAAATAGCTACCAGCCTTGGTTAAAATATTTTTGCAATATTATTTTGGAAAAACCAAGTTATAGTCTGTTTTATATTGTTATATTATCTATCCTTACTGTATCATTTTGTCAACATCATTTGCTTTTCATTGGTTGTTTTGGTCATCTCAGTGGATTATTCTTTTCATCTAGTAGTTGATAGTGCTTCATCTTTCTGGGTGTATTAAATAAGACATATAACTCATTTTTTCCTGCTTTCAAAAAATTTCCTTTTCTGTTAAAATTCTCAGAGAAGTTTGCATATTCAAGAACTGGTTGGCAATTAACATTTTGGTTTTATTTAAGTTCTTTAGTTAATGTAAAAGTTACATTACTATGAATTGTGTTTGTAATGACTTTGTAGGTATGAGCATTTAATTTTCTATTTTCCACTCAAAGACTACGCTAATAAGATATGCTCTCCAACATAACAATATATAGCAAAAAAAAAAAAAAAAAAATCTGGTAAGATTTTGAGATGCCAAAATCTTTTACCCACCATCAAAAATTTCCATTAAATACAGCATTTATCAACACCTACTCTTTGCCAGGTCTTTCGCTGTTTCTGGTTACTTTAACTGGAGTCATATATTAAGTCAGCTTTGCTTTTCATTACCAGTCATTTCTTTAGTTCAGTTGTGGTTAGATCTTCAACTATTTGTCAGGGAACTGCTAAGTACTGTAGATCTAAAGATAAAGAAAATGATTCTTTTTTTCAAATATTTCATATGTGAACATGAGTATAATACTACTTAATTCAACAGAAAATATTTCTTTTCTGTCTGCAGAGTTCAGGGAAGAAGTTAAAAAAATGATGTTATAAACATCTTATTTAATGATAAGTGGTTCTTCAGATAGACATGTTAGCTTACAAAGAGATGGTCATTGTCTTTAAAAGAAGTGTCACAATGTATATTATATAAAAAGCTTCAAAATCGGCAAATCAGAGTAGTTTTAGACATAAAATGATCTTTTATAAATGCAGCTATAATCTTGGTGTGTCTGTTAAAGATCAAACAATGGCTTGTTTCACCATTCGTAAAACCTAAAACCCCTTAGCTTTGTGTAATAAGTACTTAGCCATATGACTTATATTAGTTTACCAGCCTCATGACCAATTAGTTCCTACACTGCACCCCTGACACAAACATGATACTTTTATACTTCAGTCCTATAAAAATGTTTACACAGTGGCTATAACCTGTTTTGTCTTGGCATAAGCTGTTCTCTGTGTCAAGAATTCCCTTCCTAAATGTGTCTACCTTTCCTTTACAGTTCATCCAACTGGCCACTCAGGGCAGAGCTTGGGAATCTCCATCTTTCATGCTGCCATTGCATTTATTATAATCATTTATTTCCTTTACTCCATAAGGAAGAAACTTCTTATTCATCTCTGTATTTCTACCAAGCAGTGTATATTATAAGGGCTCAAGAAGTTATTGTTAACTAGTTATGTAGCAGGAAGAGCTACAGACAAAACCCCTCAGACACCAAGTTAAAGAAGGAAGGGGTTTATTCGGCCCGGAGCATCAGCAAGACTCCTGTCTCAAGAGCCGAGCTCCCTGAGTGAGCAATTCCTGTCCCATTTAAGGGCTCACAACTCTAAGGGGGTCCGTGTGAAAGGGGTGTGATCCATTGAGCAAGCAGGGGGTATGTGACTGGGGGATGCATACACCGGTAATTAGAACAGAACAGAATAGGACAGGGATCTTCACAGTTCTTTTTTATGCAAATACCCAATTAGGTCAGGGGTCGATCTTTAACTACCAGGCCCAGGGTGTGGCGCCGGGCTGTCTGCTTGTGGATTTCATTTCTGCCTTTCAGTTTTTACTTCTTCTTTCTTTGGAGGCAGAAACTGGGCATAAGACAATATGAGGGGTGGTCTCCTCCCTTAGTTAGACAAATTTATCTTAGTGTGTAAAATGTTAATATATATAGTATTTGATATAGATATAACATTTGATATATATAAAATATATAATATTTGGATTCCAGAAAAATCTCAATAATAGACTAAACTTCATTTGGACATTAGATGTGACACAGCAATAATATTTTCAATACTTCCTCCTTCCATCCATGTCTAATGTTTTCTTTTTATTTTTCTGTCACCGGTAGGATAAAATTAAAGATTTGGTTTTACTTTTAGTAATTTTCTCGTATAATATTATATCCATGTCACCACACTCTATCAGCTCTATGATTAATGTTTCGTTAGCAATATCCCTTGAAAATAATTGTTGTTACTGGCTCCAATGGTACACATTGAAATTAGGTTATGTCAGCCAGGTGTGGTGGCTCAAACCTGTAATCTCAGCACTCTGGGAGGCCGAGGCAGGCGGATCACCTGAGGTAAGGAGTTTGAGACCAGCCTGGCCAACATGGTGAAACCCTTTCTATACTAAAAATACCAAAAATTAGCCAGATGTGGTGGCCCATACCTATAATCCCAGCTACTTTGGAGGCTGAAGCAGGAGAACTGCTTGAACCTGGGAGGCGGAGGTTGCAGTGAGCTGAGATCAAGTCACTGCACCTCAGCCTGGGTGACAGAGTGAGACCCCATCTCAAGAAAACAAAAAAAGAAATTAGGTTATGTCAATAGATTCTAGAATATAGACAACTTTAGATTTGTCTGTCTACTTATCTTTAACAGATTAAAAATTAACTGATAGTAAAATGAAAAAATTTTGTTTTCATCTATGACCTATGACCTACAGAGGATATTAAAAATCTAAATGTTAATTCTGCCTTTGTGGTAACAACAACAACAACAACAAAAACCTCTATTTCTTTTCATTGTATCTTTCTTGCACACAAAGCAGATTTTTTTTTCTTGATTTACATCAACTTTAAATTGTGTTTGCCTCTGGTAGCTTGTAAATTAGAGGGCTTTTATTGTATTCTGGCATCTTCACTAATTCAATGTGTATCTTGTTTGAACATTTAAATTTTAGTAAGACTTTATATATTCTCAGTTATATTCAGTGTACTAGTTTTGCCAGAATACCAGTTGAAAAAAGTTATAAAATGCCTGAACATATGGTCCCTTGATGCAAAACATTTAATGCAAAACTCAAAGTAAACATTGCAGAAGTATTTTTGGAATCATTACCAAATGTTGATGCTACATTATAAAGGCTATATGACAACACTCCAAATGTTAAGCATTCTTGAACTGAGAAGCATTTTCATAATAACGAACAAAAGGGGACTATAAAAAGGGAACATAGGCATTAACTTCATTTGTAGTGAATTTGAATCAGGTGTGGCTACTTTAAGTTGAAGATGTCATGTCCTTAAGCCTCAAGATCAGAGAAAAATAATTATTTTCGGAATAGTAATATGAATATCTTTTTATTGTAAATCTTCCACTGAAAAGTGTTTGGTTGTGACAGCAAAGCTTTATTCTTTAAGATTGTGTTTATATCAGATTACAGGTTATATCAGTGCTTTCTGGTTACCTACATTTCTCCTGTAATTTAAATTGGTAATTGAATTGTCTTCCTTAGGAGCTGGATTATGTTGAATAGCTAATCCTATTCCTATGTATGAATAGGCCATACATAGGAAGCATAGCCTCAAAAGGTGATGCATTTTAAGTTGTAAGAGGAGAATCACATGGAATTTTCTCAACTTTGACTTTATTTAGAGATACGCAAGATATTTGCACATTTTCATCAGTTTTTGAATATAATCTATATACAATAAAGTCTACTGTAAGTGTATAATTGTAGAAATTTTGACAAATATGTACAGTCGTGTAGCCATCACCACAATCATGTTAGAGAACATTTCCATCACCCTAAAACAATTATTTAATGTGCATCTTCGACAGATTCTCTCCCCATCACTCCAGCCCCTGACAATCACTAATCTATATTGTCATTATAGTTTTGCCTTTTCTAAAATTTCCTGTGAATAGAATTTTATTCTATTTATTATTATTCTATTTATCTATTTTTATTTCAATGAATAGAAAGAATTTTAAAATGTATAGTCATTTGTGTTAAGCTGATTTCCTTTGGCATGCTGCTTTTGAGATTCATCTACATTGTTGCATGTCTCAGTAGTTTGTTCTTTTTATGACTGAGCAGTACTTCATTATATAAATATACTCAAATTTGTTTATGCACTCACAAGCTGATGGAGATTTACACTTGTTTTCAGTTTATGGCTTTTGTGAATAAAGCTGATGTAAACATTTTAGTAAAAATATTGGTTTATACATATGCTTTCATTTCTCATAGAGAAACAGAGTGGAATTGCTACGTCATATGATAAGTGCATGTTTAACTTCATAAGCGACAACTAAGTTGTTTCCAAGGTGCCTGTACCACTTTGTATTCTGAGTAGCAATGTACGAATATTCTAATTGCTCCGTATCATTATCAATGGTTCTCAAATTTATCTAAGGATATAATATAATCTTAATAAAAATTTGAGCTTACTTTTGTCTTTATTAAGAATTGACAAGCTGATCTAAAATTTCTATGAAAATACAAGGGACCTGGAATAGCCAAAACAACTCTGAAAATATTAACTAATGCTGAGGGACATATACTACCTGATTTTAAGCATTATAAGGGTTCAGTAAACAAGACATTGTACTGATGTAAAGATCAACTCATAGATCAATGGAACTGGATAGAAAACCTAGAAATAAATCCATAAATAAATGGTCTATTTTTGACAAATAATGTAAGACAGTTCAAGGAGGAAAAAAATAACTGTTCAATAATTGATTCTGGAATATATGGGTAGTCACACACAAAAACAAATGAGTATCAATCCTGATCTCACAACATATACAAAAAAACTCACAATGTAGCATAGACCTAAAGATAACAGCAAAAACTGAAAATTCTTGAGCAAAACAAGAAAAAAATCATTGATGTTGGATTAAAAAATAGATTTTAAATTAGACATCAAAAGCAAAAGTATGTAACAAATTAACAATTAGGCTTCATCAAAATTTAAAACACTGTTGAAAAGGCCTGGGAACAAAGAATTAAAAATTAGATTGCATGGGGTTGGCATTGGAAAGGGGCACAAAAGGAGGAATTTCCATTGGCCATGAGGGAAGTCTGGGGGATTAATAAATATGTTTTTTATCTTGATTGTGTTGATGTCTAAGTTTAACTATTAATTCTCCTTAAATATATGCATTTTATTGTATGTCAATTATATCTTAAAATGTTTTAAAAATTCCAGGGCACGTGTATGCCTATGTAACAAAACTGCACTATCTGCACATGTAACCCAGAACTTAAAGTATAATAAAAAAAAAAGTGTTAAAAATTTACTTAATCAATGTTATCAAACAATTTTATTTAACTTCTAGTTATATAGGACAATAATATGTACTGTTAAAATCTGTTAAATTCCATAGAGATTCTGAAATTTCCTCCTAGGAATTTTGGGCTTTTCTTCTTGGTGGTGGTGGTGGTGGCATTTATTTGCTTTGCTTTTTCTGCTTTCTTTTGTTTTTAAGAATGGGACACAGGTTAGATTAAATGCCTCCTTTCTGTTATTTATTTTAAATTTTGTAATTGGGGTTAACTATTTGGGCAAGGATTTTTCACTACTTTGAACTCCCTTGAGTGTATGCATATGAGTTTAAACCCAATTAATTAAAAACTTAAATGCATTGGTTATTTGACTTAGTCTGCTTATTTGCTTGATTTTGTACTTAGAACTCTTTTAAAGAAAAAATTTGAGTCTTCTTGTGCATCTAAAATGGGTGAGAACAAGAAGACAGAACATGTTACCTCTCTTACCAGGCAGAAGACTATCCATTTGGCATCTTGCCTGGAAAGTTGCAAATTCAATTAAATGCACATATGGCCCATAGCAGTAAGCATTCATCTTTGCCAAGACTCATTCCTCTATGGCATTTCCAAACCATGGCTATGCTATAAGCCTTTTCCATGGAATGAATTGTATCTGATTGCTTAATAATTTCAAATTGCACAATACTTTCTCTACCATAAATGTTATCATAGAAATGAACCAAAATAGAATATCAGGACAGATTCTACAAGAGTGCTTTTCCTGCTGAGGTGCATTTTATTTAGGAAATCAGGTCTGGAGATATCTAACCTTAATGAGAGGTAGTGGTAGAATTAATAAATCTCCCAATATTCCCTGAAGCAGCTGCTCTTTTTTGAAATAATGAGCATATGGTTTCATCATATTTTATTGATTTGATCCCCTTGAGCTAAAGAAATATTCCAGTGAAATGCAAACAACTTTCACAATTTCTGCATATTTCTCAAGCCCACTATTTTCTTGATGAAACAGGAAGCTGATGAGCATACAAATGAAAAGTCAAAGGCAGTGTTCAGATTTCTTAACCAAAGAGAAAGCAAAAGGGAAGGTAGAGATCGTGAAACATTTTTATTTCTGAAATATCCCTCTAAACATTTATGAGATTTTAAAAACAAAGTGGAACTGACTAGTAAACTAATGGTATAAAAGAGTCACCATGTTTTGCACAGATGCAGGAATGTCAGTTTGAGCCAATTATGTATATACTAGGAAGGTAGAAAGAGATTGAAACTTCCTAGCAAATTGTGACCAGGGTTGCTTTGTGAAAGTATTGTCAAAATGAGAGGTTTGATGTAGGACATAAAAGGAAAGGATATGCTAATCAACCCAAGACTGGGCGGGAAGCAGTAGAGTGAGTGAAAAAAGAATTAGGTCAACATCAGAGGAAACAGAAAGATAATTTCCAAAAAAGGTAAACCAAGCTCTTGGAGATTTACAGAAAAATTTGTGTTTTAATCTGGGTCTTACCCACTACCCTGTCAATCGTCCATTTTTAGGAGAGCCTATCCTCTTAGAGTTGTATAATTTTATGGAACAAAATTACACTTTTAGTTAGAATTTATTTTATTCTGTTGTGGTAGAGCATGATACTTCTTCAGTATGGACTCTGGCATGCTTTTACAATTAGATTGTTGATTTAAAATGTAAATTATTGAGCCTCACCCTCAGAGAAACAGATTCAGTAGATATGGGGTTAGGCTAAGATCTACATTTTAATGAGCTACACAAATAGCTCTGCACTGATAATTTTTCCCTTCTGCTTCCTGCTGTGTGTGGTCCGGGAAGCTCTGAGTTCTGCCATTTGCAACTTTGACCTGGGTTAATTACCCAAAAAGAGCTACTTCCATGCATATTATGCCAGAAGAAGCAAGGGGTTCTGGCTAATTTGTTTGCTCTCTTTATGAGGTATGACAATAAAGGAAAAGAGTAGGAAAATATTTTAATATAAAACTATACGAGGTTACCATTAATTTTATTGTACTTTTCAGCCATAGTCTTCTGTTAATCTCTGTTAAACAGGTGCCTTTGCAGTCACAGAAAACCAAACACCACATGTTCTCACTCATAAGTGGGAACTGAACAATGAGAACACATGGACACAGGGAGGGGAACATCCCACACCAAGGCCTGTCAGGGGATGGGGGGCTAGGGGAGGGATAGCATTAGGAGAAATACCTAATGTAGATGACGTCTTGATGGATGCAGCAAACCACCATGGCACGTGTATACCTATGTAACAAACCTGCACGTTCTGCACATGTATTCCAGAACTTAAAGTATAATGATAATAAAATAATAATAAAACAGGTGTCTTTGTTGAAGGATTGCTCTAGATCTTTTGTTGGCATGTCAAGGTACCCTATGACCCTCAAAGAAGAATGATTGCAGTCTAGCATTTCTGATACAACTTGATCACATTATTCCTTTTAGGAGGAGGAGTGCCCATTAATATTCTTTCAAAGCTAATGCTCAGTAGAATGCTCAGTAGAAGCTAATGCTCAGTAGCACTATGGATAAAGCTAGTTTATGGACTTAAACCAGTGTACATTTGTACAAATGTATAGCAACAGTGAATAAGAGACTGTTCAACAGTGCATGCCCAGACATTATGGCTAATTTACAGCAGGAGCTGACCTCAATATGTTGTCAAGTTCAACCAGACCAGAGAATGACTGAGAAGAGCTTCAAGTAAGGTTTCTAAACCATAGTACTAGATGTGATGACATTAAAGAGACTGGGTTATAGTTGTGTAAAAATCAGTGGTTGGCAATAGCCTGTCTGAGAAACAAAGATGTTTCTCAGACCAAGATGTTTAAGCTTCCTAGGAAGAGCTGCATAAGTAGGGCTGGATTGTAAATGGAAAAACTCACTAAAGGAAAGAGGCTTTAGACAAGTTGGGGCAAAATGCTATTGTATACAGAGGAAATGAATTGCAGGTACAGAAACAAAGGTTTAAAAGTGTGTGTGGCCTGAATCAATTAATGTCATAGGATGAACATGATAGAGTTTTGTATGTCAGACACTATATATGTAGACTCTAAAAACCATAGACTTTCATTTATTGAGTGTTTATTATACTCTAAACTGATGCCAATCACCTATTTTTTTTTTTTTTTAAGAAAAAGTATTCTGTAGTGAGACTTTTCTCAATCTGTCATCCAGGCTGGAATGCAGTGGCACAATCTTGGCTCACTGCAACCTCTGCCTCCAGGGTTCAAGTGATTCTCCTGCCTTAGCTTCCCAAGTAGCTGGGACTACAGGCATCTGCCACCACGCCCAGCTAATTTTTTATATTTTTAGTAGACATGAGGTTTCACCATGTTGGCCAGGTTGGTCTCGAACTCCTGACCTCAGGTGATCCACCCGCCTCAGCCTCCCAAAGTGCTGGGATTACAAGCATGAGCCACCACGCCTGGCCACTTTTCTATTTATCTTAGAAAACATTATCTAAAATAATCCTTACAAATAATCCTTGCAGCACAATATGCTAGATACTTTACTAGATGATAGATTATCTAATGCAATTGTCACAACAGCCTTACAAAGTGAAAGCAAAACACCACCTCCCCAATGACAAGTTTTTCTAAGGTAGGAAAGTGGAAGAGCCTTAAGTTATTTATTATTGGTAATTTATTTATAATCATTTCATTTAATTATTACTTTAATTTTAGGTTTTATTTCTGTGTTACTTACGACTTTTAAATAGTTTCTCTCTTAAAATTATATCATTGCCTCTGACTCTCTTAAAAAGTAATGACAACTTATAATAGTGACAGAGAAAAATGTTTATGAAATATTTTGTTCTGCTATTAGCCAAAAATGATTTCTGTGCTATCTTAATAGCTTTTCTTTATTTATTGTCTCCAAACTTCATAAAATTATCTGATTGTCAATAATATCGGGCAATTCAATTATGATACCAGTCTGAAAGAAAAAATATTGGACAATTACCTAACAGATTATTTAAAACTGTATTTCAGTTTTTTCATGTTAGAGTGAAAAGGTGTCATATATATCATATGAGGGGCATGAATTAATAATTACTCTAAATGAAAGGTGTGGCCAAGGCATAGTAAAATTTCCTGTAATACAAATAGTCATCTTCATTTCTTGAATTTGTACAAGTTGGTTAAACTGTTCACGTATTCCCCTCCAGAGCTCATAGAGCAATTCTGTTTTCCATTAGGTTAGAAAAGAATCTTTGGTTACATCTCATGGTTGTTTGGCATTAACAGACTATCCAGATCATGACCCAGATGGTCTGATCTTAAACATTTTAGATCAACAGTTTTCCTTGCCACCACAGTTGAGGATAGCTACCACTTTCATTGACTTTTTAGTCTGAGAACTCCATGAGGTCAATATTGTTTTCCTATTTTTCAAGTAAGGAGACTGGCAGAAAGAAACCTATTCAAGTGTCACAATCAAAGCAAATCACTTGAAAATTAAACTTTGAACCTAAAACATCTGAGATATAGAATCAAGCAAGCATGTTTTATGCTCTAAAAGTCTTTGCTTCTTGTTAAAACAAAATATTGTAAATAACAATCTACAATATTGTTTACAAGGAATGAATTCAGCTTATATTTATAAGTCTACAGATGGCACTACAAATTATAATAAATAAATTAGTATCTAATTATGGATAATTTGGGGGTACAAATTTTCAGAATATTGTGAAATGCTAATTATTTTTATTCTGTTCTAATATACACATGACTATCTTTTTTTTTTGTCTGGGCTCAAAAGTTCATTTTCACATCACATGTTACTTAGGGGGGAAAATGGGAAAAAATCAAGGCCAGAGTGTAATTTTTATGTTTTCTGAACTAATCTGTGTTTCTGAATTCCCTCATTTAATATTAAACCAAAATGATCTCACTATGAAAGAAGGCAGACTTTAAAATATCTTGAATTTGCAGAACTTGCAATCACCAGGAAAATTAAGATTGATTTACCGGCTGGGCGCTGTGGCTCACGCCTGTAATCCCAACACTTTGGGAGGCCAAGGTGGGTGGATCACGAGGTCAGGATATCGAGACCATGCTGGCTAACACAGTGAAACCCCGTCTCTACTAAAAATACAAAAAATTACCCAGGCATGGTGGCATGTGCCTGTAGTCCCAGCTACTAGGGAGGCTGAGGCAGGAGAATAGCTTGAACCTGGGAGGTGGAGGTTGCAGTGAGCCAAGATCACGCCATTGCACTCCAGCCTGGGTGACAGAGTGAGATTCCGTCTCAAAAAAAAAAAAAAAAAAGAAAAAAAGATTTATTTACTTACAAGTTTATATATTAATATGGTTTGGCTTGTCCTCACCCAAATCTCATTTTGAATTGTAGTTCCCATGATCCCCACCATGACATGGGAGGGACCTGGTAGAAGGTAATTGAATCATGGGCCAGTTACCCTAATGCTGTTCTTGTGATGGTGAGTGAGTTCTCACAGGATCTGATGGTTTTGTAAGGGGCTTCCCCCCTTCACTTGGCACTCAATTCTCTCTCTTGCTGCCATATGAAGAATGATGTGCTTGCTTCCCCTTCTGCCATGATTGTAAGTTTCCTGAAGCCTCCCAAGCCATGGAAAACTGTGAGTCAATTAAACCCTTACCTTTAAAAATTACTCAGTCTCAGGTATGTCTTTATTAGCAGCATGAGAACTGACTAATACATATATTAATATGTATAACACAAATTTGTCAGATTTCGTGACAAAGTTCTGTGATTATAGCAGACGTAAGACTTTTTTTTACTGATATTCAAGTGACAATAAAACAGATAAAGGCAATACCTCTTCTTTGTAATATGATTTATATGTATACATATATACACACATATGCATACATATATTTGAAACATTATAGTATAGATATTGTATTTAACCAAGATACGTGATTTCTACAAATTAACAGTCTCTTAAATGTGTGGTGAACCAATAAATGACAATTCTGTATAACTTAGTAAAAACAATAAGTTAAATTATTTATCTTACTTTTTTCATAAATCAATATAACCCATTTTGATGCCGAGAGCATCTGGTTTTATGTGTGTACATACTTAGACAGTTAGCTCATACTCAAAGGGAATACATAAATGTGGAGGGATGATGAATTAAAAAAGGGAGTAAAAGCTACCTTGTGATGTTAATACTTGTGGAAGACTAACAATTCCTATTAAAAAATCAGTTATTTAAAATGTGCACATCATAAGGAAAATTATTCAGCAACATAGATGTTTGTTGAAGCATAGGAGAAATGGAAAAAATCCATTTGTTATCTTTAATGTGTCAAAAATCAAATATTATTTGAAATATTTGGTCACCTTTTGTAAGCAGAGTACAAAAATTTATGTCTTGCTGTGCATGCTATTTTTATTTTTTAAAGCTGGGTAAAGTAAACCTAATTGTGAACAAAATTATGAAGAAAGCATTTTGTTTATAAGCCATTTTTATATATAATTTCTGATTTTTGCTCTAAGTTACTGTGCCCTACAGTATCAAGAACTTATGTACAAGCCAGTATTCTCAGTGTTGTCCTACCAATAGTCATCATAGGAAGAATGCTGTCTCTCAAAATTACTTTTTTTGACCCAATTATCTTTCTACACCAAACATTCATGATTTCTGAATACTGTTTTCAAAAAGAAAGAGATCTGATGAATAAATGTATGTTAAAGTGTGAGTGACTCCAGCCTACATATTATGGTTCATAGAAGTTATTTGATAGAAAAATACCAATGGTAACCCAAATAATTGACTCCATATTGGTGAAAATTCAAAACTGCAATAACCTGTTGGAAATGTTTAGGGAGCTAGATCCTTTCCCTAGATTCCTTGAAATCATATCCCATCAGAAAAGATGATTACAATGAGTTAGAGGCAACATGGTATTATTAAAGAACATGTGCTTTGGAATCAGATAGGCTCAGGTTCAGTGCAATCACTACATAAACTGGAGACTTTGGATAGGTTTCATAATCTCTCCAAGTCATAGTTGTCTCATTGGTGAAATGAAATTAATAAAACTTGCTTCTATAGCTTTTTATGAAGATTACAAATAATATATGTGGCCAAGGGCACTGTGGGACACACCTATAATCCCAGCACTTGTTAGAGGCTAAGGTGGGAGGATTGCTTGAGGCTAGGAGCTCAAGACCAACTGGGGAAACACAGCAAGACCCCATCTTGACAATACTAATAATAAAAAAATAGTCTCAGTAATAGTAGTAGTCCAAGCTACTCAGGAGGCTGAAATGAAAGGATTCCTTAAGCCCAGGAGCTCAAGGTCGCAGTGAGCCATCATTGCACCATTGCACTTCAGCCTGGGTGACAAAGCGAGACCCTGTCTAAATAAATAAATAAATAATATATATAAAATATCTAGCATACGGATAAAATTACCACATAATACATATTATATATAGCGAATAAAAAGTCAGTATTTGAATGAATCTTTAAATGCATGTTTTCATATTATTCATGGCTCTAAGAGCATGCTTAATTTGACACAAAATAGTCTCACCATATGGTTTACTGTTTTCCGTATTCAAAGTAAAAATGCCAAATGGTGCTGTAAACAGAATTAGCAAAAATTAGGATAAGAAAAAACTGGAAGAAGGGAATTTGGCAATCAGGCACCTTAAAAATTCAAACCACATAATGAAGAATCTAGAATCAAGGTAGAACAGAATTTGATCAAATTTAAATCTTATGTATACTATGCCATCATATGCTTTTCTGTATTGTTATTACTAACTCTAGTAATCATGAGAATAATGCTTATAGCATCGGAAGGGGTAAGAATAGGATATTTGATAACTAATTGTTTTGTGAAATTTGATTCAGATATTTCAATAATAATGGATATCTACATATTACCCTCTATTTTATGAAGCATTTCCATAAATAATCATATTTAATCCTCCATTGGTTCATGAATTTTTATCAGCTGAGCTAATAAATGTTCATATAGCTTCTGTGTGCTGGATACTTTCTTGGCAGTAACTGTTGAACCCAAATCCATTATGCCCACTTTCCAGTTTTTATCAGTCAACATGTAGACTACAAGCCATTACATCCTCTACCTCTTACACTTTTCCCTTTTCTATTGATCATTTTCTGCACTATGGTTCCTAAAATCTTATATTTCATTCACCTGAATCTGGTCCCTCAAATCAGACTTCTCAAACTGTGACCTATATAAATGCAATATCTCCTAGAAGATTTCTATATGTCTTTAAGATGCTCCTTCAGCTTTTTTGACTTAAGTGAAACTGGTTCTATGCGCCATATCCCATTTTCTCTGGAGTCTTCTCAAATTGCGGATGTTCTCATTCCTTACTAATCTCGGGGATGAGTTGTGCAATCTTTGCCCCTCCTCCTATTGTCGATGCTTCTGCTGAATCATAATTTCTCTATCTTTTTAAGAAAATTAAGTCTTTTTGAGATTTATAGTACCCAGCTATAGTACTCTCTTTGCTTTCAACATTTACATTGATAAGTGTTACTATCTTCACCAATTTTTATGTGGTTCCCTTTCATTTGTTAGGGATTTCATGGCCTGGCTTACAGAATTCCTCTGAAATCCTCTGTATCTGACATCTAGCTATTGCCCTGGTGACTTAAGTGTCCCCATGAATGGCATGTCTGCTCCAGTGACCTCCCAGGTCTTCAAATTATTCACCTTGGATAATTTTCTCTTCCTCTAATTTAGCTACTCTCGCCATCATACTTTGGCTCTTGTCAACACATGCAACAACTATAAAACTGAAAATAAAATATAAGATACTACCTCCTCTCTTTTCAACTTGCTTATTCACATTTTGTTCTTCAAGAAATAGGGACCACCTGTTTTGGTGGTCCCTTCACTTCTTATCCTCTTTAGATTTTAAAGTTCATCATTTCAGCAACCTTTTGCAAAACTTAATCCTTTCTTCTTAATTTTTAATTGAACACATCTGCCCAAACCCTTACTCTAATGAACCTAACCATCTGTTTCCTCTAAGCTTGCACTGATTATCCTAAGAACCCTGAAAAATATCATATTAGACAATATATGAATTCCACTGTAAATTGAGAAGTAACAACTTCAAATGGGCCCTCATGATGGCCACATTTCTCTGATTCTCTAACTCTCTCTTACATTCTCTACTATTATCTCAAACCTTTTCTACTATTTTTTCAAACATTATAATAACCTTAACTTGCTTACTCTCATGACGTCATCTTGACTTCTATTTTAATGAAAAAAATAAAAAGTATCAGAATGGGGTGTTGAGAGCTTCCTTGCCCTCTCTGGGCAGGACTCTCCCAGAAGCTTGATGTACTCACCAACCTGGAAGCTCCTCAAATCCCCTAAGTAAGGTTCTTTTTTAATAAGTTGTTATTCTTTTAATGTAAAGATTGAGCAATTTAAGAAACAATGGGAATGGCACATTGAGAAAAAGTTTAAATAATAGAAAAATTTATTATTTATGACCTCCAAAGGTGAGAGGGAATAGAGCCCACAGCAGAGGTGGCAGAAGCCACCTTAGGGAGAAAACGAGATGTTAGTTCTCTAATGGATAGTATAAAATTAAAAAGGACATGTGAAGATGTGGGTAGGTTGAAATGTTTTAAGTAAAGAAAATGAGGAAGTTTCAATCTGATACTTTTTATTTTTTTCTTGAAAGTCCATATATATATATATATCCATATATATATATATCTCCAAATATATATATATCCATATATATACACACACACACACACAGACACAAGCATGTTACAAGCATACTGACACAACATAATTTTGGTTACTCTTCGGCAACTGCTTTCTTGCCTTTAACACTATGGTTCAGTCTTACTAGCATTTACCTCTGGAGTCTGTCATGTGAGCTCACCTAGGATGGGCAGCATGTAAAATATATATTTTGTGAGCTCACCTAGGATGGGCAGCATGTAAAACATATATTTTGTGAGCTCACCTAGGATGGGCAGCATGTAAAACATATATTTTAACACATATTTTACATATTATATATTTTTATTTTATTTCTCTCTACATAATAAATTCTACTTGACATCTTGCCTTAGGCATTTTAGTGGCTCTTCAAATTCAAATGTGAGAAATGGAGAGCCTTTGCATCTGCTGTTAATCTGCCTGTAATGTACATCTCTCCTCTTTATCTAGTTCATTCTTGCTTACCCTACAGATTTCAGTTTAAACAAAACTTTTTTCTCTTTGACTAGGTCAGTTTTTGTATTATGGGGTCTCATTATATCACTTAAATCTCTTTGTTCATCTCAGTTGCAAATTACATTTTTACATTTGTTACATTTGTGTGATTATTGTCTTTATCCCTCATTAAAGAACACATTCCAAGAAAAAAGAGACAGTATCTCACTGTGAAATTAACACCTAGAGCAATGTGCAGCATACAGTAGGTACACAATGAGCATTTGTTAAATGCATTTCAATGAGTATGTATCGGACTCTCTGACTTATAAACTTTATCTTAACACATTAGGACAGCACATTCTGCTTTTTCTTTGTGTCCCCTTTCACTCCATACCTTAGACAAGCCTGTTCCATCCTGACTCTATGGATGTCACAAGTATATCCACAGAACATAATTTTGGTCACTCTTTGGTAACTATCTTCTTGTCTTTACCACTATGGTTCAGTCTTCCTAGTATTTACCTTTGGAGGCTGCCATATGAGCTCACCTAGGATGGGGAACATGGAATACACAATATTTTAATAAATAATATCTTAATACACTGGCAAAGTCGTAGTAACATAATGAGAAAGTACTATGGTAAAAAGAGAGGGATAAGGAGGTTAGAGTCAGACAGAGGGAGGCTTGACAAGAAGAAACAGGAGAGAAAGCAGTGAGACCAAGAAAGAATAAGAAAGAGCAAGTGCCTATCTCATTCTATTATATTGTAGACTGGAATTGTCTATAACACAACCTTTTTTGTTTTTTACAATAAAAACTCTCCCTTTAGACATAGTATATTTCATGGCTCTACCCCAGTAGGTGGTGCTCTCACCACTGCTTCCCCTGCATAAACCTCCCCCGGAGAAGAGTTCGGCTTGGTTCACCCTGAGCCAGTCACTTTCTGGAAATACCCCATCATTCTTATTCAGGCATCTACACACTGACAAGCTCCAAATAGTCCTACCGCATAAATATGATTCCAATTTTACAAAAGAGAAAACCAAACCAGGAGTTATTATTTGGTTTACAATCAAAGTCACAGAGCTTATAATAGTGAAGAGTTTTCAATCCAGGCCTCCTGGTGAAAAATAGCCTGATTCTTAACTCTTCCCTAGTGATGCTATAGTTGATCACGTCTCAATAATGTATTAAGCAAATCACTGAAGTTAAAAAGGAAAAGGAGGCCGGACACAGTGGCTCACGCCTGTAATCCCAGTGGTTCAGGAGGCTGAGGTGGGTGGATCACGAGGTCAGGAGTTCAAGACCAGCCTGGCCAAGATAGTGAAACCCCACCTCTACTAAAAATACAAAAAATTTTTTACAGGTGGCACGCACCTGTAATCCCAGCTACTCTGGAGGCTGAGGCAGAGAATTGCTTAAACCTGGGGGGCAGAAGTTTCAGTGAGCCGAGATCACGCCACTGCACTCCAGCCTGTGCAACAGAGCAAGACTCTGTCTCAAAAAAAAAAAAAAAAAAAAGGAAAAGGAGAGTTAAATTTATTGAAGCATTTTCTAACAAACTAATGAAATGTGTTCACCCAGGTGAAGAGACCAAAGGCAGACCAGCTAATTCTGCAATCCCAGGGAGAACGCTAAAGTTATCTGGAGAGAAGGAACATGATTCCAGTAGGTTTAGTCCTTTGCAGAAAATTGAAAGATGTTCCTTCACCAAAGATATGACGACAGATGGCTAAATAGAAGTAGATGGCTAGTTCATAAATAAGAGAGCTAAAAGAGATTTTCTTAAATATAAATTCAAGGTATTTTGTTTATAGTAATATTTGTTTATAGTGAAAAATACTTCTTGACAAGCAAATGATGTATTGTGGGGAAGGAAGGACTATGCATTTTCTTTCATTACAAGTGCCAGAAATATGGGAGTAAATGACCAAGATATTTAATTTTACAAATTATATTAATCTTTGTATTACATGAAGCCATCGCTTAATAAACATCCTAGTATACTAAAGAGAAGACATTTCCTTCAAACACTGGAAAAATGTACTAATATATAAACATGGCTCAAATGCTTTCTAAATTTATGAGACTAAGGCCTTGTATAAGTTTAATAAGAAAAAATTACTAAACATTGATAAAAAATTTTAGAGTCACAGCTTATAGCAATATTTAAATCAATAAAACACCCATGTACAAATGTACCCCATTAAGTAAACTTTACATATTTCATCATTATTTAATCAACTCAGGTTTCCCCAAAGTTGTGAGAATAAACTAAAGACACTCATCTTGATACTTTTTCTTATTTTCCTAAGTTGTGTCTTACAGGATATCTTGAAACACAGTGATGGATGCCTAACAACACACATCCCCCGCCACACACACACACACACGTGCCTGCATGTGGCCAGTAGGATTCCAAGGTGAAACAAGTATGAAAAATACTATCTCTGTTATCCCCTTTTTGATATGTACAATAAACGTTATCAATTTAAAAGCTTGGAGAAGTCCTGCAGTAGAAGTTCTGTAGTATAACTTTGTTTAGGCTTTGTTTACAAAATTACTTTGAACACAGACCCTTTTCCATGAGTATGCAATTACATTTTGTATACTATTATTGCTTTTGGAAGACATTTGGTGAAACAAAAATCTATTTGTAAACTCCAGAAGTTTAGGCTTCAACAAATATGGTTAAAAAAATTCTTATGAATGTATTTTTTCGGAAATCTAAAATTTTGTTGGGAGAAAAATTATAATTGGATTTTATAGCATAGGCTCCCTGAGAATATGCAAGTTTTCTTTCTAAAGTAGTTGACCAACTTCTGAAGAAACTGTGTTTAGCAATAAGTAAGTACACACATATCAGTAACTGCACAGAAAAAAATTTCATCCGATCCTAATGGTGACTCAAATTTTTATTTGCTGACTCAATTAGTAATTCCCATAGTTACTTAAGTACAAAGTTTTCATCTGTCTTTATTCAAAGACATTGTCTCTACTTTTCATCAATTGTCTATCTATGTGTGAAATTGGTAATTAAAAGGAAGTCATACAAATAAAGCTTCAGTCTATTGACACTCATTTGAATTTGCAAATCGAAATTGGTGGAAGAAGTTTAGCATGGATAAAAAATTAATCATGTCACAATTGAATAAAAATGCTACCAGTTTAGAATTATCTGGTGGATGAGTTTTTTTTCTTTTCTCAAATCCCTAAACTAAACCAATAAAAATTTTTATTTCAGCTGTCAGTGTACGTAATATTTGATATAATGGATTTCTCTTAATGGGAAGGATACGTTACAAGATAAAGACAGAATTCATTGCCTTTGGCTTATTTTTTCCTACAGGGAAATAGCCTCTACCTTATTTAGTATGTTTCACAAGCAGAAAAGTAAAGACAGATTCCAGCAGGATATTCAAATCCAAAATACCGAGACATACAAATACCACTATGAGGAATAAGGAGCAATGCAAGCGCTTGCCCCTTCTACTAAACTCCACATGATACATTCTCTTGAGAGAAATTTCAAGCTCAGGAGGACTTAGTTTTGAAATGTGCAATTAAAGATATTTGTAAAGAATATCTCGATTGCAATCAGTTTGCCAGTTCTGGAGTGTTTACTTGAGATTTGCCAAAGTATGAGACTGAAATGTTCTGTGTTTTTAATATATGTGGAAGAAAACAAAATCACCATGAATCAAAAATAGTGGGACATTTATCAGGGAAAAGTGTTCATCGCTTCTAAAGTTTCCACACATTTATGTATTCTAGAAGTGTAACTTTAACAAGTGTTTCTGTTTAAAAATAGAGCATTTCTATTCAGATTAACATTTCTCAAGATAGGCAAAAGAAATTCAATTTAACAAAATGCCAATGAATCTGAGAGAAGGGTTGTCTAGCATCTGTAATCTTAGTGAAATAAGAGGAAAGTAAAAGTATCACACATAACAAGTTTAAAATACAAAAAGTACATTTGGTGATTTAAAATTCCAAGTAAAAGTGTTGGGAGCCAGATGAGTATGGCAGTTAGGATGTTCCAACTACAGGTGACAGAAAATCACGGTTTCAATAGCCTTAGTTGGGTTTTATTTGAAAATTTACTAATTCACTACTTAAGAAACTCAGAAAATAACAGGAAAGGACAACTTCAGGATTGGTTATTCCAGTGATGAGAAAAGAAAATGAACAACTTAGTTTATTCTGGTATCTCTGCTCTACCGCCGACCCCCACACTTACTGACTTTGCTCTTTGACTTACCCAGAGTTCCAGACATCACACCCAGACATGGCAACGATAACCACCAGCAAAGGAGATTAACTCTTTTTATATTCTGATTTTAAAAAGTGAAGGAAATTTTCCAAGTGTTCCCCCAATATATTTTTCTTCTCATACAATTGGCCAGAACTACAAACTATTCCCATACTTTAAAATTATTGGTTGGTTGAATGGAACCTCCATCTGCTAGCTTAGACAAATCAGGATTCACTTCCTGCTACCAGGGATGGGTCGAATTCTTTGAGTGCAAAGAAGTAGAGAAACCTGAACAAAGTCGAGACATTTTGGGAAGAGGTCAGGTGGTGGAGAGCAGCGCGGTAGAGACTGGATTTTCATAGGCCGCTTCAAGTGTAAAATATGATACAACCTGCTGTTTTTAAACAATATAAATAATTTTCTTAGAATATTTGCATTATAACTACAAACATAATTATCTAGATGAAATAAATATGGTGATTGTTAACTGCTTTTATTATTTTATTAGGAAAGCACTTAATGGTTTCCTACTAGTTGACAGAGACCCTGCTAGAAATAAGGAATAAAATGTTATTTTTATTCTGAGTAGTGTAGATGTTAAAGCTATCATTAAAAAATGACTTTGCATGCTTGCTTCAGCAGTAATATACTAAAATTGTAATGATACAGAGACAATTAGCATGGCCCCTGTGCAAGGATGACACGAAAAAGAAAACAAAAATACTTTGCTATGTAGACTCTAAATTATTTGCTTATAGTTAGTAGTCTATTAAAAATTAATTTTAAAAAGTTACATCATAAAGAGACTATTGCTTTTCATTGATCTGATATAGAGGAACAATTAATGCAGAGGATTCCTATAAGGAGGATACAATGTATAATGTAGGGAGCAATGTCACCAAATTGAACTCTTCAATATCTAAAACAGGAAGTATCATAGTTATGTTTTTATAAAATATGTTTCAACTTGGCCAGTGGCATAATGGCAAATGACAATTCTATCTTTCTCTCTCTCTCTCTCTCACACACACACACACACACACACACACACACACACACACCCCTACCTCAAAAGGGCAAAACAACGTGGCCAGGCAGGCAGCATACCTGTCAAATAGCCTGTTTCCAAAGTCAATAGTGGGTTGTAAATAGGCTCTAATAAGATAAGGAAATGTTGAGATAAAGTTAAGCAAAGTAAATGTCTTCACTAAAGGACTTCTTAGAGCTTTTACTATGTTAATATGCAGTTATCTAAACAGCTAATATTTATTGAGAATTTACTGAATGCTACATACTGTCTGGCACACAGCGCTTTAAATATTTTATCTAATCAACATGATAATTCTATGAGGTAAGCACTAGTTGTATTTTTACTTTAAGATAAGAAACTGGAACCCAGCTAGAAGCTGAGCTGGGAGAAAGGGCAGCAGGAGGAAGGTGGCTATCTTCTGTAGTTCATTCAAGAGCCTACTTAGACTTCAAAATTATTTCCATAGCTGAGTGGAGGGCTGTCTAGGAATAAGATTATGATTTCTCTCATAAAGTAATTCTGGATCTGTTCTTCCATATACAACATGAACACAGTAATTGTAACCCAGAACACTGTTAAGCAAAGGAGTCCATTACAAGAAAAATGAAAAATCTCAGTAAAGTATCTATACAATATCTATGTGACATGAGTCTCTATTGAATCAAACTATATAATCCTAACTTATTAAATACTTGATGTCTTACATTGGATGTTTGGATATAAGCCCATTAATTGATAGGTTTCTGTAAAAGTGATTTTTGGGTTTTGGTGTAGTGGATGTATTTTTAAGGGTTGAGCTTCTTATTTTTAGCATAAACATATACTACACATGTCAATATTAGCCCAGACAGGCCAAGCAAAAATAATTTGTACATAAAAATAATGTATTGCAAGATTATTAAAATAAGCATAAACAAACCAGAATACAGTTTGGGCTATTTGTAGTTTGTAGTACCAATGCATGTATTATAATTTTACAGTGTAATTACCTTAAGGAAATTGTATAGACATACCACTTAAGATATTATACCCTGAATTTCAAATGTAGTATTATTACTATTAAGATGCAGAAGAAAAGATTAAAGTTAAACACAGAGGACCCTATATATTTTAAAATTATTGCTTGCTTTTATAAGGAATAGTGGGAAAAAAGCAAAAAGTGATAAAAACATAAACACATAATTGTACATAGAAGAGGAAAAGTGAGGTAAAAAGAATACTCAAGACTCTAATATCTCTACCAACTTTGTAAAAGTATCTAGTACAGAATTAAAGGGATATATAATTGAATTAGATGTTTTGCAATTGATCGTATTAATATTCACTACACTAACATTTGTAGTATTGAAGTATAGAAAAATAAAATTGACTGTCTTTATATGATTTAGACCCACTAAAGTGTCAAATAATAAGAATGTATTTAAAACAGATTTTTTAATTAGTTTTAATCTTGAAAGTAGCTATGAACTGTGCCTTGGAGTATTTAACAATATTTAATCTGTGAAAACATGGCAAATGGTAAATCCCTGCGTAGCTTGGAAGGAAACATATGCTCTACAAGAGATAAGTGTAAATATGTATATTCTGAGCAGTTTTTCATTTTTAATCTGAAGTTCTTTGGGGTGAATTGTATTTTTGAATTTTAAGCATTTTGTTCAGCTTATTGCAGTAAATTCTCATGCTTCCACAATTATTACTTCTTATAAGCATTTTTGCGATGAAAAGAATGCCAATTCTTATCACGTTAAATTGCCTTATGAAGAATTATCAACTTTTGTTGCTTCACTGCTTCCTTTCACATCAGCTTTTTTTTAAGAGAACTATTTGCTCCATATCAGCCTGGTTTATACTAAGCTATTATACATTAATATTTGCTACATACATTGAAATATGGTATCTTCTTCAATGCTCAAAATACTCTATCTTGCATGCTTTGATAATGTCACAATATGAGTACACTACTGGTGATTCAATTTGTATTAAGAGATTGCTGTCTCTCTGAGTATTTTCTAACAGGGATCTTTCAGACATATTTAAAAATGATGATAATTTACATGGTTCTGTCCATAAACATTTTTGCTATACAGTACTGAGAAATTCTGTATTTTTAAATATGAAGTTTTTGTTCTCTCTTGAGAAATTTGAGTGGCAGCTATTCACTGCTGAAACTAGGTCATCAGTACCAGCCTACAATTTGTCAGAAAATATGTTTAAAAGTTAATCTAGGAGTGTGGTGTGAATCTATTAATAGTAAATGACACTATTGACAATTTCAAATTTAGGACTTTTCCCCCACGAGTGTAAAATAGTAAATAAATAAACATTTTGTAGGAAAAAGAACATTTCTGTGGCCATTCTTTCGTGCATATATATTAAGTTTACCACACTGAATCACAATTCTGTTGACCTTTTTCAACTTCACCTAAACATAACCTTTCTTATCAATTCTTTTAAACATTGTACATATAATTTTTTTCAGATTGTATTGTATTCAAGCATCTAATCTGGAGATTAAAATATAATAACCTGCAGCACAAAGTCACCTTGAGCTTTGTATGGAAAAAAAATTCTATGATGTTTCTCCTCAGATAAGTGAGGCGATATAAAATAGAGACTAAGTTGGAATGATTACCTCACCCTCTACCTCCTGGCACCAACATTTTGGTAAACTTTATAAATTTTATCTAGTTTCCCTCACCTAAGTTTTGTGTGTACTTAGGCATAGAAGGTAAACTATACCACACACTCACTAGACTGATGGAAAAGAAGAATTTCCATGAGATGGGAAATTTCAAATACTCTTGGTCAAGAAATATATATAAACTTCTGTCACCTTCGTCACTTATTTGATGACCCATCATGGAATATTGGCTAGAGTAAATTATTGTGGTTTGTTTGGGATGTTCTAACAGACACAAAATTCACCTTGTGGGATCCTGGTGGGGGAACACCCTAAAGAAATAAACAGCAATTCTTGAGAGATTTCAAGAACTGAGTGAGGCTTGTGTAACTTGGATGGAAGAGGACGTGTTTTAAAACTCCACGGACAGGAAGAACAACACATTCCTAATCACAGATGCTGATTTTTAATTAAGTTGCTTCTTTCTCAGATATTCTAAGAGCTTAAAGAATACTGCATTAAAAAAATTAATATGTTTAATAATTCTCAAGGACACATTTAGACCAACTAACATAGAAGTAAAATCAACAACTATCTACTTAGTTACTAAAGGCCTGATCATTCAATCAAGACTATGATGGTTAATTTTTTTCGTGTGTGTCAACAGACTGGGATAAAGGATGCCCAGATAGCTGGTAAAATACAATTTCAGGGTGTGTCTGTGAGAAGGTGTTTCCAGGACAGATTAGTGTTTGAATTAGCAGACTGAGCAAACAAGATCCACCTTTATCAGCTGTGGGTGGGCACCATCCAATCATCCAATCTGTAGCAGGACCTGATCAGATAAGGCAGATGAAGTGCAAGCTCTTTCTTACTGAGCTGGTACTTACATTTTCTCCTGCCCTTGGGTATAAAAGCTCCTTGTTCTTGGGCCTTTGGACTTAAACTGAATTATGCCACTAGCTCTCCCGGATCTCCAACTTGCAGACAACATATCATGAGACATTTTATCCTCCATAGTCATGTGAGCCAATTCCCACCATAACCCTCTCTTAATATATCTAGATATTCCTATTGGTTCTGTTTCTCTGGACAATCCTGACTAATACCAGGGGACACAATTCCAGCATGAGGAAATTATACAGCTAGGTTTTGGAATCTTACCCCAAGACCATGATTCCCCCTTCATTCTCCCTAGAAGATGATTTGGCAAGTGCCTTCTGTCATTAGAGAACGTCTTCTGAAAGGAGGCTGAAATAACATCAACTTGTGAGATTCCACAAGTTGCTTCAGCCTAGAAAATCTACCTTGGTGCTGAGCACTGTCTCTCCCCACTCCAAGTAATGATAGGGTAACTTTGTTTTTGCCCTGAGAGTCAGCCATCCTGAGAAACTCCTCAGTCTAGGCAAACATATCTATTACTCTGGTCTGTATGCCAAGATCTAACCTAGCATTTCTTTTTTCTTTTCTTTTCTTTTTTTTTCTTCTTTTTTGAGAGAGAATTGGGACTACTGGTGCATGCTACCATGCCCGGCTAATTTTTGCGTTTTTTTTTTTGTTGTTGTTGTTGTTTGTTTGTTTGTTTTTTGTGGGGACAGGGTTTTGCTATGTTGCCCAGGCTGTTCTCAAACTGTTGGGCTCAAGTGATCCACCTGCCTTGGCCTCCCAAAGTGCTGAGATTGCAGGCATAAGCATCCAGCCTAGCCCAGCATTTCTGTCTTCTGTACCTCAGGACCTAAATGCTCAAGTAGTATTTCATACTCAGCACCCCATAATTTGTTTTAATATTAATAGCTAACAGATACTTAACATGTACTATAAGCAAGGCATTCTTCTTAGCACTTTTATAATATTAACTATTTTAATCCTTAGAGCTGTAAATCAAACAATTCTGTGAATACTTACCCTCTTTCAAAGATGAGAAAAAGAGGTACAGAGGAAAAAATAATAACCTGCGTAAGGTCGCACAGCCAGTAAGTAACAGCGTGAGAATCAAAGTCTGGCTTCGAAATACTCAGATTTTGCCAATACCTGGTACTCTTTTTGTATTACTTTAATAACAATAAACTTTTCTTTCAGGTTTTAATAATAATAATAATAATTATCCCAGTCACTAAGGCTGAAAAATTTCAGAATATTTTTTACTTCTTCCTTTACTTTGCTGATTCTGTTTTCAAAATGTCTCCCCTCTAGGTTCTCTTCCTTTGACTACAAATTATTCCAGATTCAACTTGGGTATTTGTTTCTACCTGCTGGGACAAATACAATATTCTGTGGATATTTTCATAGCAGCATATATAAATATGTTGCATTCTTGTAATGGCAGTAATCATGTAACATTATATGATTGTAGCACAATCTATTTGCAAGATGGTCATCCTTTGTTATATAATCTTTTAATCTTTGCCAATATGGCATTAGAAGATTTGTTTTTTTATGTGTTACAAATATGTTCCAGTTTCCACGTCTTTTGATTTTTTTTGGATACTTTTACTATTCAAGAGTTTTGACTTTCTAATTGGTCAAATAATTCAATTTTTTTTTTCTCAGCAGCTTCTCTGTTATAAAATGCATAAAAGAGTTATGACTTACAGAAAAAGAAGTCCATCTTTTTTTCCTGCTGCTTTTAGGTTGTTTGTTTACATGTGTGTATAAATATTTACTTGCTTTGGGGGTGTTCAGGTAGTTATTGTTTGCTTTTTGTTGTTAGTTTGTTTTACATTTGCACTTTTTCTCTATCTAGCATTTGTTCTTGCTCAAGGTAAAGTAAGGATTAGGCTCTGTAAGATATGCCTCTGCAAGTAATCCCAACACAAGTATTGAAATATTTCCTCCACTGATTTGAAATGCAAACTTTATCATAAACTAAAGGTCTAGTGATTTTCAATTAATTTTCTCAGGTTTTCCAGTTGTATTACATTTACATCAATTACAAATAATGGTACATTTTTCCTTCTCTTTTGAAAGTATCTGATACTGTTTTGCCTAATTTCACAGTCATCGAAACCCAATATACAATAAGTATGGTGATAGCAAAAATCCTTGTTTTGTTTCTAATTTTAATGAGACTTTTTAAATTTTATCATTCAGTTTTAATCTATAATTTTAATTTTACTTAGACTTTTAAAAATAAGTAACGTGTGGTGAATTTCATCAAATGTTTTTTCAGCATCTATGAAGATAATAAGTTTTTCTCATTTCACCTGGTAATATGGTAGATTTTATTAACGTCTTTGCTAACACCAAACCATGGGGACTTTAGTAGAACTGCACTATTTGATCATGTTGTGTGTTTCTTTTAATAACCAACTTGATTCTATCTGTAAATATTTTATTTTGCCTTAGTATTAATACCATCAATATTTATAACAGAAACTGTTTTGTAGTTGTCTTTTAGGGAATATATGTATAAGCTTTTAATATCAATTTTAGAGTACACTTTGTAAAACGTGCTTGGAAGCTTTCTTTCTCTAGGTAATGAAACAATGTAAACCTCTCCAATTCAACATGTGGCTTGTTAACTAACAGCATCAGCATCACCTGGGAGCTTGCTAGAATCATACATCCCACCCAAATCAATGGAATCAGAATCTGTATTTTAATAACATCTCCAAATGATTGGTAAGTTTGAGAACACTGGTATTAATAATATAAGAATTTTATGTTTTTGAAGGCTTAGTAGAATTCACCAGAGAAAAAATGCCCTAGTGCTCTGTATGTGTATATATTTGGAGAGGGCAAAGGACTGCTGTTTGACAACCTTTCTTATTCTCTAACCAAAAAGTTGGTCTGTTTATCTAACCTGAAGTCAATTTGCCTAATTTATATGTTCTGAGAAAAAGACAAACCAAGGATTGCATAAATTTAATCAAAGTGCTCTTTGTTTACTTATTTTTATGTCTTATAAATGTTTGATGTTTTTTCTCCCTTTTTTAGTATAAATTATCTGCATTTGGGCTTCACCCCTTTATTCTACATTATGTTACTTACTGCTCCACTTTTCTTTTGAAGGAAGCAAACTTGTATGTGTTGGTTATAGTTTGATGGTATTCTTGATCACCAGTTTCTGTGCAACTATTTATTTCTTCTTTTTATTTCCTTACCTTTCATGGATTTTTTTCTTGTTTAAGATACAACATGTAATTTATGAATTCCTACATTTCTTATCTGTTTGCATTTTCCTTTTTGCACAGACTCTACTACTAAAAGCTCTCAATAAAAATACAGTATTTTAATTTATAGGTAATGTTTGAAATTACCATTAATTCCCAGCAATCCTTTAATTTCTGCTTTCCCCCTTGATCTAATTTGTGAAATAAAAAATAAATTTCTTATTTTAGATTGATGTGGTTGGATTTTGAGTTTTTTCATCTTGGTTATTTATCCCTAGTTTTTTTGCATAGTTGTCACAGAATGCAGTCGTCCTTGCTATTTCAACAGTTGGAATTTAAGAAAGTGTCCTTTAGGAACTAATATTTGGTCAATGTTTCATGGGAACTTGATGTTTTATTTTAGGATGTAGTTTAATTTTTTTTAGTTTATTTTAATAATATTATTTATATTCTTAAATGTTTTTGTTTACTTCGTCTTGTATTGAAAGAAGTGAAAACATTTAAGGATACATATATCTTTTAGGACAGATTTTTCTATTTTTACTTTTGCTTCCTGCAGCATTCTTCTCTAGATTTTGATTCTATGTTATTTGGTATAGAAATATGCATGCTAAAGAGATCATTTGGAATTGCATTGTTTAATCTTTATAAAATTTTCCTTTGTATTGAAGTTTTTGCTGTAAATTCAACCTGTACATATACTCTTAGCTGAATCACTGCTTTCTTAATTATTAATTTTTGGCATTTGCTTCATCTGTTTATAGTTACAGTTTTACTTTTATTCAGAGATTTAAATATCAATTTGTTTTAGAATTATTTAAGTATAGTTTATGTATTCTATCAGATATATTTTCTGGTAATACTTTTTATTTGCTAAATTAATTTATAACGGGTACAATTAGTGATATAACAATTTTTCCTCAATTTATCATTTTAATTTATGTTAGATTTTGTGTTTTAAATATTTCCCATTTCTATCATTTACTATATTATCCATGTTTTTGCTTTAGCTTATATATATTTTGCTTCTCATCTTTCGATGGCTTATTTTAGTATTTTTATGTTCTTACGAAAAACTTCATATTTTAGTAATATATTTAAACTTCTATGATTCCTCTATTTAATACTTGTAATAAATAAAACAGTGGATATATTTTCTTCTACTTGCCTTTCTTTTATGCTTTCACCTCCTGCTTTTTTTATTTTAAAATTTTCATACATTTAAAGTTTATAACTTTTATATTATTTTCTGTTATCTTAACTATTGCTATTTTTTGGGCTACATTATGTATTTAAATGGCTTTAGAACTACTTCTTCACTTCTGAACTCTTTTTTGGATGTGTTTCTCATTTAGAATTTTATTATTCACTCAATTATGTAAAAGGAGTTTAGAGGTGCCATAGTGTTTTAATTTTCATGTGTTTGGGACTACTTTACTCTTACATTTTTACTTGAAGGATAATCTTAGGTTAGAGTTTAATATCTTGACATTTTTATGGGCTGTATATCACTGTCATTTTGGAGTAAAGAATTTTGGAGTAAAGAAGTCTGAGATTAGTTTGATTTTTGCCCCTTTCATATACAATTTGGTACTTTGCCAGAATGTCCTGAAGATTCTAATATTTGAAAGACTGGAGGCTTCAAGGATACATCTCAATACTGATTAATTTTGTGTCAACTCTTCCTAGGACACAAATTTAAAACATGCTTTTAAATTTGCTTATAATATTATATTTCAGAAAAATACTTTTCTTATAAGTTTGATTTTATTTCAATCTGTTTTATTCTTATAGAGACATGTTAGCCACACATTGTAGATATCTGTTTTCAGTTCATATCAATCATTTAACTCTGTGACCATTTTATCTTGTCATTGTCATTTCATTTTGATTTGTTTTATCAGGCCTGTGTTTCCTGACTCTTAGAGTTTCCTATTGTGTTTCTTCTAGTTTTATTGCCTTCCTTTCAGTAATCTTTTTTTCCCCTCAATTCCTGCATTAGGCCTTCTACATATACTTAGTACAAACTATATTGTATTTCACAGCTCTACTCTGGCTTTAATAACTGGTCTTCCCCCTTTTTATTGTTACTGTTATCATTAGGAATAAAAATTGAGAAGAAAAATATTTGTTCCATCAATCCTAAATATAGTGTACCTATTACTCAAATAAATTCCACATTTATCTTTTGTCAAAATACTGAAATTAAAAAGATTTTTAAAATCAAGAAGGGAATTCTGCTTTCACTGATGATAAAGTACTTTGTATTAGACTAACTCTCTTTTGTCAAAATACTGAAATTAAAAAGATTTTTAAAATCAAGAAGGGAATTCTGCTTTCACTGATGATAAAGTACTTTGTATTAGACTAACTCTCTCATCAAGAGCAATGGTGAAAGTGGACAAGAGAAGAGAAGATACTCAAAAGAGACCTCTTTAAAGATATCTGGTGAGCAAAGAGCCAAGAGTTAAGGAGCTGAGATTCCGGAGAAAAGAGAAATGCTTTGAGGAAAGACAGACTTCCACTACCACTATTTTCCTTTTGGGTATTTGCTAATCCCAGCAGAAGGCAAGAAGGTCAAATAGGAAGTGTAAAGTATAGAGCCTACAACTATGTCATGCTATGGAGAAACAAACAGTAGAGTTCAGGGCTGGCAAAGCAGTTGGGGATTTGAGGGGACAAGACGCCAGATAGCTTTTCTCTAGTTGAACAGACATCTCAAAAGTATGAAATTGGACCTGTTTTGTATCTTATTCAAAAACCTTACTTTCTTTTACATACTCTAGCTTCTCAAATACTTCTCAAATATTCTTTCAACTGGTCACAACATCTTTCTAGTTGCCTCATTAACTAATGAGCTGAACAAAACTGTTGATGCATATTCATCTTAGATTTTCATAATAGTAATTATATTATTGAAAATTATATTTTAATATATTTAATATATTTCAAATATATAAAAGAAAATGAAATTGACAATGATGTGCACATACCCAACAAGAGAAATAAAATATCACCAGTGTATTTTCAAATTCCTTGTGTTTTTTCCTTGATCCCTCATCACACTCTCCTCAGCTCCCTCCATGCCCTAATTAATAGATGAAGTTTGACATTGATGCTTTTCTTAAATTTCTTTAGTACATATTCCTATAAGATAATTACATTCATACAATGAGACATGTATAATAAATATATATTAATCTGTGTGTATTCCTTTATAACAGATTAATGTTTGCAAGCTTTTATAACTTACGTATTTGTATTTGTATAACTTACATGTTTGTATTCTTCTTCACCTCGCTTTTTTCTACTCAGTGTTATATTTGAGAGATGCATCCATATTGACAGATGTAGCTCCAGTTCACTCACTTTAACTGCTGTACAATAATTCATTGTATAAAATACTACTTTTAGATAAAAGCTTCTATAAATGTTTAGGTAGCTCAAATTTATTCTTATACATTTTCCCTTCCTGTGTGTGTAAGACACTCCCTGAAATATATTATAAGGAGTAAAATTTGGGTTCATAGGAACTTTACTAGATATTTCCACATTGATCTCCCAAGTGGTTTTACCACTTTACCCTTGCATACCAAAACTTGGTATTGCCATTTTTAAGACTGTTCCCTTTCAGAGGAATGGCAAATATATCTCATGGTTTTTTTTATTTTATTCTCTTCATTATAAGTGTCATTGACTATCTTCTATTAATTAAACAGGCTGGTTTCTTCTGTAAATTGCTATTGATGAAGGATTTTTGCTCCTTAGCTCAGCTAAATCCAGGTTCTTTTCTCACAACCAGGAATAGTTAGACACACATTCACACTGAGAGGTGAGGAGGGCAGAATTTATTAAGCAAAAAGGGAGCTCTCAGCAGAGAGAGGGGTCCTGCCAGCAGGCTCCCACCTCACAGATCAAATACCAGGCCACCACACACGAGATGAAGAGGGTATCCTCCCATGGATAAGGTGTAAATTCCTGCTGGCTCCACCCCACTCTACAGTGCATGTGGGCCTCCAGTCCACTGCAGGCATGCCCAGGCAAGACCCTGTGAGGGTTTTCTTAACTGCAAAAGCACATCTGATACAAACACTAGTGAGGTGGGTTGGAGATTCTCCAGGGACCCTTACTTATCTGCCTAGGCATTTGTCTGCCTCCTGCCTCTATCACTAGTATGTGAATGTTGCTCTTTTTTCCCCCTTATTATATGCCTACATAATATAGAAGTTTTTTCATATTCTACATCACTAATCATTTGTAAATTACAGGTGTTGCAAATAGTTTCTTGATCTGTCATTGATTTTTTTATGTTTTATGGTATTATTTTGGTGAAAGAAAGAAGTTTTGCATTATGATTCTAGGCAAATATGTCAATCTTTTCTCTTATGGTTTTTGCTCTTTGTGTCTTGTTAAGTAAATCCACTTCTACTCTCAGGTTATAATGATATATTTCTATAGTCCTATATATGTTTTTAAATATTATTGAACTTTGCATGAATTCTTTCATCAATTCACTTTTTTTATAGAATAGGAGCTAGAGACTCCATTTTAGATTTTTTCCTTTGGATAACCAATTGTCTTAATATATTTATTGAAGAGTATATCCTTTTTACAACAATCAATGGTGCCACCTCTGACATAATTCAAGCTGCCATATATGTTCAGTTCTGGTCCTGAACTCTCACTTGTGTTCTATTGATCTCATTATCCATCACTGCACTGAGATGAACTCAGTGCAGTGATGAATAATGGTTTAGAAATTGTCATCTAGCTTACTTTTGAGGAGTTCAAAATGATCATATTTTCTTCCCCTTTAAGAATTCATTTACCAAATAATAAGCACCTGCTATAGGCCTGGAAATATTCTTGATGCTAGGGAGAATTAAATAACTATGGTAAACTGGCCTTAGGAAGCTTACATTTTGTGGAACTATCAGATAATTAACAAATACGTGTATAATGCGATGTTAGTGATAGGCAATATATAGAAATATAAACTGAATGAGAAAATAAGACAACAAGAATGGGCTATCTTAAGTAAAGTCCACCACAAAAGGACTCTCTTTAGAGGGAACGTTTGACTTGAGAACAGTGAAAGGAAGAAATAAACCAAGTGATTACCTGTAGTAAGAATATTTGGGGCAAAAGAAAATAAGTGCAAAGGCCCTGAGGTGAAAATGCATGTCTTTGAGAAGCAGAAGAAAGTATGGTTTCACTAGAATGGAGTAAACAAGTGTGGGAGGGAGACAAAGAGGCCAGAATGAGCGACAGGAAACCTTATACCTAGGCCTTTGAAGGTTATAGTAAGAATTTTGGATTATTTTACGTGTCTTAGGAAGACTTCTGAGCAAGAGACTGACAGAATCATTTATATATGTCAATAATGTTGTTTAGGATGCTGCATGAACTGCTTCTAGGAAGGCAAGTGTAGAAGCAGATTTGGAGACAATTTAAATGGTCTAGGCAAAGACGATTTGGCTTAGATTGGGATGGTAGCAACGGAAGTGGAGATAAATGATTTCATTTACTATATACAGCCGGTCCTCTGCGCCTCCTGTTTCTGCAACTGTGGATTCAACCACAAATGGAAAATGTTAAAATGTATGTGTGTGTATTCAATATAACAATAAAAGTAATATAAAATTTTAAAAGTAATACAGTATAACAACTATTTACATTTTATTAGGTATTATAAGTAATCTAGAGGCCATTTAAATTATATAGAAGGATTTGCTGTAGGTTATATGCAAATATTATGACACTTTATATCAGAGACTTGAGCATCTGCAGATTTTTTGGTATGGAAGTGTTCTGCAACCAATTCTCTGCAGATACTGAGGGACAACTGTATTCAAATGGAATATATATAGCATGTGAGAAATCATAAAGTATGTAAAATATAACTGAAAAACGGTCAACATTTTCAGAATAATGATGAGGTTCATTTGTGGCCTAATAAAGACTGGAAGAGGAGCATGTTTGGAGAGAGAAGAAATAGAAAAAATAAGTTATTTTTTTGGAATGGGTATGTTTGCCATATCTACTAGAAATTCAGGTGGAGGCATTGAGTAAGCAGTTGAATATATGAGTTGGAGATAAGGAGAGAAGCTGAGGCCAGTGGTATCAATTAGATATTGAGTTCAAAGCACCTAGCTTTGAATTTAAAGCACAGAAGAGAAATGCACTGGAGTCTTAAAGAATTCCAATGTTTAGGGGTAGGAAGATGATGCATATCTACCAAAGGAGGCTGTGGGAGTCAATAAAGTCAAGAGGACCAAGTCCAGAAATTGATTCGCACTGCTCAAAGAAATCAGAGATGACACAAACAAATGGAAAAATGTTTCATGCTTATGGATAGGAAGAATCGATATCATTAAAATGGCCATACTACCTGAAGCAATTTATAGATTCAATACTATGCCTATTAAACTATCATTGACATTCTTCACAGACCTAGAAAAAGCTATTTTAAAATTCATGCAGAACCAAAGGGAGTCCAAATAGCCAAGGCAATTCTAAGCAAAAAGAACAAAGCTGAAGACATCATGCTACCCAACTTCAAACTCTAACACAGGGCTACAGTAACCAAAACAAAATGGTACTGATGCAAAAACAGACACGTAGACCAATGTAACACAATAGAGAACCCTGAAATAAGTTCCCACATCTACAGCTATCTGATATTTGATAAACCTGACAAAAAACCAGCAATGGGGAAAGGATTCCCTATTCACTAAGTGGTGCTGGGATAACTGGCTGGCCATATGCAGAAGATTAAATTTGGGCCCCTTCCTTACACTGTATACAAAAATTAGCTCAACATGGATTAAAGACTTAAATGTAAAATCTAAAGTTATAAAAACAGTGGAAGACAACCTAGGCAATACCATTCAGAATATAGGCACGAACAAAGATTTCATGATGAAAATGCCAAAAGCAATTGCAACAAAAGCAAAATTGGCAAATAGTATCTAATTAAACTAAAGAGCTTCAGCACAGCTAAATAAATCATCAACAGAGTAAACAGACAGCCTATAGAATGGGAAAAAATTTTATTCTGCATCTATAAGGAATTTAAACACATTTACAAGAAAAAAACGAACAACTCCGTAAAAAAGTGGTCAAAGGACATGAAAAGACACTTTTCAAAAGAAGATGTACATGTAGCCAACAATCATATGAAAAAAAAAGCTCATCACTGATCATTATAGAAATGCAAATCAAGACCACAATGAGATACCATCTCACACCAGTGAGAAGCGGTATTATTAAAAACCCAAGAATCGACAGGTGCTGGTGAGGTTGTGTAGAAAAAAAACTGAATGTTTATACACTGTTGGGATGTAAATTAGTTCAACCACTGTGGGAGACAGTGTGGTGATTCCTCAAAGAACTAAAGACAGAAATACCATGTGACCCAGTAGTCTCATTACTGGGTATATACCCGAAAGAAAATAAATCATTCTATTATAAAGACACAGCCACGCATTATGCTCATTGCAACACTATTTACAATAGCAAAGACATAGAATCCACCTAAATGCCCATCAGTGATAGACCAGATAAAGAAAATGTGGTACATATACATCATGAAATACTATGCAGCCATAAAAAGAATGAGATCATGTCCTTTCAGAGACATGGATGGAGCTGGCTGAAGGCCATTATCCTTAACAAACTAATGCAAGAAGAGAAAACCAAATACCATATGTTTTCACTTTTAAGTGGGAGCTAAATTATGAGAACGCATGGACACAAAGAGGGGAACAACACACAATGGAACATATTGGAGGATGAAGGCTGGGAGGAGGGAAAGGATCAGGAAAGATAACTAATAGGTACTAGGCTTAACACCTGGGTGATGAAAAATCTATACAACAAAACCCCATGACACAAATTTGCCTAAGTAACAAGCCTGAACATGTACTCTTGAACTTAAAAGTTAAAAATAAATTGAGGAGGCAGTAAATACACCATGTCAGACACACTTTTAAATTTTGCCATGAATATCTTAGATGAAGATAAAATTTACTATAATTGAGAGCAAAAATGAGTGGCATCAAGTTAAGATAGAAATATATCAAGCAGGAAATCCGTTAGGTATTTTTGAAGAAAGCATGCATTTAGGAGACTCCCTGTAATACATAGCTATGGAATGAGACCACCATTTCTCCTGTTGTCCTTCCCAGCTTCTCCCCAAACTCCCCTTTTCCCTAGTTTATAAGACAGGAGAAAAGGAAGAAAGCAAAAAGTTGGAAAGAAACAGAAGTAAGATAAATAGCTAGACGACCTTCGTGCCACCACCTGGCCCTGGTGGTTAAAATAATAATAATAATATTAACCCCTGACCAAAACTACTGGTGTTATCTGTAAATTCCAGACATTGTATGAGAAAGCACTGTAAAACTTTTTGTTCTGTTAGCTGATGTGTGTAGCCCCCAGTCACGTTCCTCACACTTACTTGATCTATTATGACCCTTTCACGTGGACCCCTTAGAGTTGTTAAGCCCTTAAAAGGGCTAGGAATTTCTTTTTCGGGGAGCTCGGCTCTTAAGACGCGAGTCTGCCAACGCTCCTGGCTGAATAAAAAACCTCTTCCTTCTTTAATCCGGTGTCTGAGGAGTTTTGTCTGCGACTTCGTCCTGCTACATAGCATTTCTACCTTCAGAACTGGAATATTATCTAGGTCTGTAATTTTCTGAGTAACTTAATAATATAAGGGTCCATGTTTTAACAGACAAGAATAATTAATCTTTTTGTGTTAAGAGAAAGGATCCTTGCATAGAGATGCTAAACTAAATATTACAAAATATTTTAACACTATCCTTATTGCCCCATAAGGTTTGTAGTCCTTAGTTTTTTAGCCAAGATGATCTGGTTCAACTTTTACAGCCTCATTTAAATTTTCTTTTTCCTTTACATCTTATATTCTGCATCCAAGCCATAGTGATTATTAAAAATTAATTGTAATTCCATCAAAACAGTATGTGTTCTTTCTATTTCCTTTTGCACATACTTCCCATTCAAAAATTATCTCATAATTTTGCTTTGAGAATTTAACAATTCTCCCATAATGCATATGACATGACATGACATGACATGTAGTAAATCCTGTTTACATTTCAACTCATCAGTTATGTTTCTCCTTACTTCCAATATCTTTCAGTATAAATTCCATTACTTCTTTTTCTATATAATTTCTGTGCTCTTAGAGAAGTAAAATTCATAAAGTCCCCTAGAAAGCAGGTGGCAGAGTTAGGAGGTTTGTCTGGCTCCAAATTTCATGCTCTTTCCATGATAGGATGTGATTTAATCCACTTAATTCGTATCCATTCCTTACTTCACAAACTCTTCATGTTGTGCTCTGATGTTGCTTCTAAACCAAGAGAAGCCATTTCATTCAGAAATAAAAATAACTGCTATTCTACCCCTGCCTCCTTTAATGAGGATCAACAGCTAGAAGTGTGAACATTCTGAAGGCCTAGATAACTTTGTCAAGTCCTTTTCACATAAAAAAAAAGAACAATATTACGAAATAAATCCCAATTTAGAGATGGTTTTTGAATAATGTCATTTTGTCAATGTGGTTTGGTTACAACAGCGATGAGAAAAAAATATTGATTCCCAGCCAGAGCCACAGTCTGTGTCTACATTCTCCTCATGTCTGCTGGGGTTATCTCCAAGCATTCTGGTTTACTCCCACATCCCAAAGCTGCTCATCTTAGGCTCATTGGTGTGTCTACACCATTCCAGTATGAGTGTGGGTTTGCATGAGTGCCATGCCAGGGAATGGCAACCAGTCCAGCATGTTTTTCTGCCCTTATCCCTGAGCTGCTGATATAGGCCCCAGCTACCCATAATCCTGAAATGGCATAATTTAGTAAATTTATTTCAATGATTAATATGATTAACATTTAAATGTTTTGAGTCTTTATTTAGAAGTTTGGTGATGTTTTTGTGACCAGAAGTATGCCAGAGGAAATTAATTTATTTTTACTTTTATTTACTTTTTTTGAGACAAGGTCTCACTCTGTTACCTGGGCTGAAGTGCAGTAGCCTCGAACTCCTGGACTCAAGCAATCCACCTGCCTCGGCTTCCCAAAGTGCCAGGATTAGAGGCATAAGCCACTGCTCCTGAGCAGAAATTAAATATTGTTTATATCAATTAGCCTATGGTAAAATTGGTTTCATTATAAGTCATTTTACTTAAAGTCACTTTTTCCAAGAACCTAATGTTAACTGAGAAGTTACCATATTAGGTAGGGTCTTCCTAGAAAGCACAATAATTGTTTACCTTTGAGAAGTTACATATACTTTAAAGAAATTAACTTTTATATGAAAAAAAAACATTTAATTAAATAAACTACCTTATTCCACATTACAAAAACGGGGTCAGGAAATAAGCTCATAACTTGTTCCAGGAAATTTGATAAAAATGAAAAAAAAATAGAAGACATAACATAAATAAATGATACCAAACCTAATCTCACTAGTGAAGGTTTGTCATATAGATCCCAAACTTATTAGGTTGGTGCAAACGTAATTGCAGTTTGCCATTACTTTCAGTGCCAAAAACCGCAATTATGTTTGCACCAACCAAATACTACAGACAACAGTATCAATTTTAGGAAACCATCAGTTCCAGAGATCTTATTCTGCGGGAATGTTACAGACTTGATCACTCCTCACAACCCCTGCCCCCGCCATACCTTGGATAACATAAAGTTCAATTGAATTTATGAGTATTTATATTTATTAATATTTTTATTTTCATTCAAATATAATTATTAATAGTCCAGTCTTTTTACCATTCCATTTTTAATATAGTTTTAAAAAGCACAGTTATCTTGGCAGGTTGTTAATAGTTATCTACAGTGAGTAACCACTTTAATTTGAGTCATTAGTAAAGAAAGTTGCATTCGAAGCATTCGTCTAACAGATTATGCACTTAATTTGTGGTTTATATCTGGTGTTCTGATTCAAGGGCTAATGCAAAGGTAATGTTGAGAAAGTAAAACAAATCAGCTGCTAGTGTATTTTTAAGTGAAAAGCTCAACAGCTCCAGGAATTGCTCATTTATTTAAATAACTCTGTACACTGCTGATCTCTGTTTCTTTTAATATTGTGAAGCCATCAATAAATATGGAACAAAGATACCAATTGTTTGTTGTTAGACACATTGGCCACATCCACTGCCAGGAAATGCATACTGAATTTGAGGTACATGAATGGGGATTTTTCCTAATCTTTTATTTATGAAATCTGAAGGAGTCATTTTTGTTAAAAGAATAAACCTGTATACAAAAGGTGATCGATGATGGTTGTAGCCAATGGATCTTAAGGATGACCAGTAGCAGCAAATTGGACGAGTCAAGACCCATTGGTGTGCTGTATTCAGGAGACCCATCTCATGTGCAAAGACAAATATAGGCTCAAAATAAAGGGATGGAGGAATATTTAATAAGCAAATGGAAAGCAAAAAAGAGCAGGGTTTGCAAACCTTGTCTCTGATAAAACAGACTTTAAACCAGTAAAGATCAAAAAAGACAAAGAAGGACATTACATAATGGTAAAAGGATCAATGAAACAAAAAGAGCTAACTGTCGTAAATATGTATGCAGCCAATACAGCAGCACCCAGATTCATATGGATTCATAAAACAAGTTCTTGGAGACTTACAAAGCAACATAGACTCCCATCCAATAATAGCCGGAGACTTTAACCCCCCACTGTCAATATCAGACAGATAAACAAGACAGAAAATTAACAAGGATATTCAGGACTTGAAGTCAGCTCTGGATCAAGCAGATCTAATAGACAGCTACAAAACCATAGAGCTCTACCCCAAATAAACAAAGTATACATTTTTCTCAGTGCCACATAGCACTTATTCAATTAGAAGAAATTACACATTACTTAGAAGTAAATACAAAAGAACCGAAATCATAACAGTCTCTCAGACCACAGTGCAATCAAATTACAGCTCAGTATTAAGAAACTCACTCAAGGCCAGGCATGGTGGCTCACACCTGTAATCCCAGCACTTTGGGAGGCTGAGACGGGTGGATCACCTGAGATCAGGAGTTCGAGACTAGCCTGACCAACAAGGAGAAACCCTGTCTCTACTAAAAATACAAAATTAGCCAGATGTGGTGGTACATGCCTGTAATCCCAGCTACTCAGGAGGCTGAGGCAGGAGAATCACTTGAACCTGGAAAGCAGAGGTTGTGGTGAGCCAAGATCATGCCTTTGCACTCTATCCTGGGTAACAAGAGCAAAACTCCATCTCAAAAAAAAAAAAAAAAAAAAAAAAAGAACGAAACTCACTCAAAACCGCACAACTACATGGAAATTGAGCAACCTGCTCCTATATGACTACCGGGTAAATAACAAAATTAAGGCAGAAATAAAGAAGTTCACTGAAACCAATGAGAATGAAGAGATAATGTACCAGAATATCTGGGACAGAGCTAAAGCAGTGTTAAGAGGGAAATATATAGCACTAAATGCCCACATCAGAAAGCTGGAAAGATCTTAAATCAACACCCTAGCACCACAATTAAAAGAACTAGAGAAGCAAGAGCAAACAAATTCAAAAGCTAATAGAAGACAAGAAATAACTAAGAACAGAGCAGAACTCAAGTAGATAGAGACATAAAAATCCCTTCAAAAAAATCAATGAATCCAGGAGCTGGTAGAAAAGATTAACAAAATAGATAGACCACTAACTATACTAATAAAGAAGAAAAGAGAGAAGAATCAAATAGACACAATAAAAAATGATTAAGGTGATATCACCACTGATCCCACAGAAATACAAACTACCATTAGAAAATAATATAAACAACTCTATGCAAATAAACTAGAAAATGTAGAATAAATGGATAAATTCCTGGACACATACACCCTCCCAAGACCTAACCAGAAAGAAGTCAAATCTTTGAATAGACCAATAACAAGTTCTGAAATTGAGGCAGTAATTAATAGCCTACCAACCAATAAAAGCTTGGGACCACACGGATTCACAGCCGAATTCTACCAGAGGTACAAAGAGGAGCTGGTACCATTCCTTCTGAAACTATTCCAAACAATAGGAAAGGAGGGACCCCTCCCTAACTCATTTTATGAGGCCAGCAACATCCTGATTCCAAAACCTGGTAGAGATACAACAAAAAAAGAAAATTTCAGGCCAATTTCCCTGATAAACATTGATGCAAAAATCCTCAATAAAATACTAGCAAACAGAATCAAGCAGCACATCAAAAATCTTATCCACCATGATCAAGTTGGCTTCATCCCTTGGATGCAAGGCTGGTTCAAACAAATGCAAATCAATAAATGTAATCCATCACATAAACAGAACTAATGACAAAAACCACATGATTATCTCAGTAGATGCAGAAAAGGCCTTTGATAAAATTGAACATGCCATCATGCTAAAAACTCCCAATGAACTAGGTATTGATGGAACATATCTCAAAATAATAAGAGCTATTTATGAGAAACCCATAGCCAATATCATACTGAATGGGCAAAAGCTGGAAGCATTCCCTTTGAAAACTGGCACAAGACAAGGATGCCTTCTCCCACCACTTCTATTTAGCATAGTATTGGAAGTCCTGGCCAGGGCAATCAGACAAGAGAAAGAAATAAAGGGGATTCAAACAGGAAGAGAGAAAGTCAAATTATCTCTGTTTGCAGATAACATGATTGTATATTTAGAAAACCCTATCGTCTCAGCCAAAAAACTTCTTAAGCTGATAAGGAACTTCAGCAAATTCTGAGGATACAAAATCAATATGCGAAAATCACAAGCACTCCTATACACCAATAATAGATAGGCAGAGAGCCAAATCATGAGTGAACTCCCATTCACAATTGCTACAAAAAGAATAAAATACCTAGGAATACAACTTACAAGGGACATGGAGGATGTCTTCAAGGAGAACTACAAAGCACTGCTCAAGGAAATAAGAAAGGAAACAAACAAATGGGAAAAAAAATCCATGTTCATGGACAGGAAGAATCAATACTGTGAAAGTGCCCATATTGCCCAAAGTAATTTATAGAGTCAATGCTATTCCCATCAAGCTACCATTGACTTTCTTCACAGACTTATAAAAAACTACATTAAATTTTATATGGAACCAAAAAGCCCATATAGCCAAGACAAACCTAAGCAAAAAGAACAAAGCTTGAAGCATCATGCCACCTGACTTCAAACTATACTACAAAGCTACAGTAACCAAAACAGCATGGTACTGGTACCAAAACAGATATATAGACCAATGGAACAGAACAGAGACCTCAGAAATAACACCATACATCTACAACCATCTGATCTTTGACAACCTGACAAAAACAAGCAATGGGGAAAGGAATTCACTATTTAATAAATGGTGCTGGGAAAGCCATATGCAGAAAGCTGAAACTGGACCCCTTCCTTGCACCTTATACAAAAATACACGTGGGGCTTAAAACCTAGATGATGGGTTGACAGGTGCAGCAAACCACCATGGCACATGTATACCTATGTAACAAACCTGCATATTCTGCACAAGAATCCCAGAACTTAACTCAAGATGGATTAAAGACTTACATGTAAAACCCCAAACCATAAAAACCCTAGAAGAAAACCTAGGCAATACCATTCAGGACATAGGCATGGACAAAGGCTTCATGACCAAACACGAAAAGCAACTGCAACAAAACTCAAAATTGACAAATGAGATCTAATTAAACTAAAGAGCTTCTGCACAGCAAAAGAAACTATCATCAGAGTGAACAGGCAACTTACAGAATGGGAGAAAACTTTTGCAATCTATCCATCTGACAAAGGTCTAATATCCAGAATCTACAAGGAACTTAAACAAATTTACAAGAAAAAAACCATCAAAAGGTGTGCAAAGGATATGAAGAGACACTTCTCAAAAGAAGACATTTATGTGGCCTACAAATATATGAAAAAAAGCTCATCATCACTGGTTATTAGAGAAATGCAAATCAAAACCACAATGAGATACCATCTCACACCAGTTAGAATGGCAGTCATTAAAAGCATAGGAAACAACAGATGCTGGTGAGGATGTGGAGAAATAGGAAAAATTTTACACTGTTGATGGGAGTGTAAATTAGTTCAACCATCGTGGAAGACAGTGTGGTGATTCCTCAAGGGTCTAGAACCAGAAACACCATTTGACCCAGCAATCCCTTTACTGGGTATATATTTAAATGATTATAAATCGTTCTAGTATAAAGACACATGCACACATATGTTTATTGCAGCACTATTTACGACAGCAAAAACTTGGAACCAACCCACATGCCCATCAGTGAAAGACTGGATAAAGAAAATGGGCACATATACACCATGCAATACTATGCACCCATAAAAAAGAATGAGTTCATGTCCTTTACAGGGACATGGATGAAGCTGGAAGCCATCATCCTCAGCAAACTAACACAGGAACAGAAAACCAAACACCGCATATTCTCACTCCTAAGTGGGAGTTGAACAATAACGCACGGACACAAGGAGGGAAACATCACATATCGGGGCCTGTAGGGGGCGCACAAGGGGAAGGAGAGCATTAGGACAAATTCCTAATGCATGCAGGGCTTAAAACCTAGATGATGGGTTGATAGGTGCAGGAAGCCATCATGGCACATGTATACCTAGGTAACAAACCTGCAAATTCTGCACATGCATCCCAGAATTTAAAGTAAAATGTAAAAAAAAAAAAAAAAAAAAAAAACAAGATGACCAGTAGCAGGCAGGTGTCTAAGGGAATCTGTTAGGGCTCACATGTGCATTTATTCAACAGATTTACAAAAATGGCCTTATTATCCCAGGTGCTCGTTTTCTCCAAACCAGCAAAATGCTATTTTCTGGAAATCGTTTCTAAACGTTTCTGTGGTTTTTTTAAATTAAGGAACATATGAAAATTAATTTTTTAAAAGAACTACTTATATATCTCAGTCAACTAAGTCCAGCCTTTTGTAACATATTAGCTCTCCATTATTACTTCAGATATTTTTTCCATATTTAGATTAAAATGCTACAATGTTTTTGATTGATAGTTATATAAATTGATAAAGTTTTATAAATATTTTAAAGTTTAAAATATTTAAAATTTTATAAATTGATAAAGTTTTATAAATATTTAAAGTTTTTAAGATTTAGTGAAAGTATTGTCCTCTATACCATGAAAAATATGGTTCAGTGGCTGCCTGCAGCTCTTCTAAACGGGTTGCATGAAGCCAATATAAATAGACTGGGCTTGCTATAGCACTGTGTCCAGTTCCAACTGGCCCTAATCAGTTGGTGCTTATCCTTAGCTTGGCCTATTCCATTATCGCCAATAATCCACATTCTAGTGACTCAAGTCTTAAACGGAAATATGCAACTCATCATATTTTGCCACATGAAAAGCCAACTGATTGCTTTCTGATGTTACATTGCTATTTAACAGACTAAACAAATATTTATTGAACATCATCTCATGAGACAAATATCACATTTCAACGGTGTATCCTACAAAATTGCCTTTCTTGAAAAAATATTTGCACTATTTTTTCTTCCCTTAGGTAGCTTAACAGTAGATATAAAATGAGACATTTCAAAAATTATGATAGGAGCAGGTAAAATATTTTATAGATATTTAAAGTTTTTAAGATTTAGTGAAAGTATTGTCCTCTATGCCATGAAAAATATGGTTCGGTGTCATAATAGGTATAAGGTAGCATGGGGAGTAGGGGAGAAAGAAATCATATTTTGTTTTGGTAACTAGAAAAGCTTAATATTGCATTTACTTGGGTCTTAAAGGTTGGGTAGAATTTACAGATGGAATTTAGAAAGGTATACTGCACGTCAGTAACTTGTACCTCATATATGGAGGTAATAATTAGATGGTCGACTTTGTTTCTCTCTGGAAAAATAAAAAATATGGTTTTACTACAGTTTACAAAACATTCCCATATATTTGGGGAAATTATGGAATCCATTGCCTAAATTATTGATTTTGTCAGTGATTCAGCTAAAGAAACTTTAATACCTTAAGCCAAAGAGTTGGCTTTCCAATCCAATTCTCTAATTGTTTCCTTTTTGCTTCCCATTTTTAGAATATTTAATTGTCCCAAATAAAGAAGGTTAGGGAAGAACAGAAGGATAATTTCAATGTAGTCAGTTTAGCTATTTGTTAACTCTGGTAAATATTCTGGTGTAGAAGGTGATGGGAAATAATGATCTTTGGTAGTTGTCATTGGGTAATGTTAAGTGGCAGAATGCTGCAGCTGATGGCAGCATGTTGCATCTGTGGCTGCTCCTGAGACTCCAGGATTATATTTCTGTATCAGAAATAGATTTATGTGAGTTTCATGGGTTCAAGAGTCCAAACACATCTGTGTATCTTAATTACACATGCTGCCACTGTCCTATATTACAGTGAATAAATGAGGGCTATTTTAAAATCTATATTGATGTTTTCTAAACAGACCCTCCCTAAAAGTAAAATCAGCAGTGCACCTAAGCACCATAACAAAAGAGTTTGCTTTTGTTCTCTAGGTAAAACTTGAAACTTTCCCTCATGGTTCTAGCTTATCTTCTGGCTGTTTGCAATATTTTTATAGGGTCAAAGTGTCTTCCAAGTGCAGCGCATTCTATACCAATTGGCTGAGCATTAAGAATCCTTTATTGCTTAAGGCCAAACTGAAAATTGGCCTTACTGAAGGGCATTAATCAAATGGGGGAGGTAACCCACATTTATATATAGAAAGAGAATATGTTTTTTTTATTTTATTTTATTTTGTATTTTATTTTATTTTTTTGAGACGGAGTCTTGCTCTGTCACCCAGTCTGGAAGGCAGTGGCGCGATCTTGGCTCACTGCAAGCTCTGCCTCCCGGGTTCACGCCATTCTCCTGCCTCAGCCTCCTGAGGAGCTGGGACTACAGGCGCCTGCCACCACGCCTGGCTAATTTTTTGTATTTTTAGTAGAAACAGGGTTTCACCGCGTTAGCCAGGATGGTCTCGATCTCCTGACCTCGTGATCCGCCTGCCTCGGCCTCCCAAAGTGCTAGGATTACAGGCGTGAGCCACCGCGCCCGGCGAAAGAGAATATTTTTAAAATGCCACTTTCCTCAACTTTATCAAATTGATAGAATGTTAATTTAAATTCCAATAGGGTTATAGATGGGACTTGGTAAGCTGACTTTAAATTTGTACTAGTTTTCCAAGAAGTGAAGAAGGAGGAAAAGGAAAAGAAGAAAGCATTTGTCCTACAATATAGATAAGGACTTATTGTAAAGTGATAGTTCTTAAAAGCACATGTTATTGGCACAGTGACAGACAAACTGACACTTGCAATTAGGCGTGAAAGACGAAAGGCAGATCATATCTACATGCAACTTGACAGATGACAGAGGGGGTGTGGCAAGGTAAACTTTGGAGTGGGATTATTTAACACATAATACTATTTAACAATACTGTATTGTATACCTGAACTATTAGTTATTTATATAGGAAAGAAAAAGAAAATAAATTCCTACTTTATACCATCACAAAATTAAACTCTAAATGGATTAATATCTTACATTTCAAAGGCAGAAATTTAAAACTTTTTAGAAAAAATTATATTAATAAAATAATTAATAAATTTTACCTCATTTAAAATTAAAATGTTAGACAACTTTTTTAAAAAGCAATGTAGCAAAAGATAAATTAGAAAACTGGGCAAAACATAAAAATTAAGCAAAAATGTTTCACAGAAAACATATATGACCAAGAAGAAAAAGACATACTCCACATAATGAATAATAATCAGAGGAAAGAAAATAAAGACCTTGATGTGTTTATTTATAAGCACCTTATTGTAAAAATTTAAATCCCTAAATTTATAATAGACATGTATCTATGGCTAACTCTAACATATTTCTAATAATTGGTCCAACCATATTGGAAGACAGTTTGAAATTATCTTTTAAAGTCTAACATGTCATTACCCTACAAGCATTACTTCTATGACTAGACATATTTTTAAGAGAAACTCTTATATGTATACCAGTAAACTTGAACAAGAATGTTCCCAGCACCACTGTTCGTAGTAACACGTAAGTTGAAGCAATTTAAGTAGTCATCAACATCAGAATGAATAAGTGACTTGTGTTATGTTCATAATTTGTGATATTTAAAGGATGTCTTAATGAAGAAACCACAAGAAAAACAACATGTATTACTACATATCTTATAAAAATAATTTTGATAAATCATTTATTGCTGGCATATATAAGAATATAATTAAAAAAGAAAGCATATGATAAACACAACAACTACAATACTGATTGCCATAGCACTCCAGTCTGGGCAACATAGCCAGACTCTGTCTCAAAAAATTACATATTATTTATTTAAGTATTTATTTATTACTTGGTTGGGGTTGGAGTGGAGCATTCAGGTCATAAAAGCCAGAGAAAGAGTATATGTGGGGATGTAAGTATGTAAGTTATTAGAAGTACTTTAGGTGTTATGATGAATTCTACACTCATACTTAGTAATTATACTATTAACTACACAAATAAGAGAGAAAGGGCATGCATGGACCAACAATGATGATGTGTCATGAGTCCAGGTTATGATCAAATCAAGTCACGCATCTGAAGTCCAAGAGAAAAAGAAATAATACATTTACCAGTTTACAGAATTCAGAAAAACGAAAGAATTAATAGGTCCCTCAAAAAATCAGAACTGCCATATGATCCAGCAATTTATCTTTGGGTATATATCCAAACGAAATAAATTTACTATCTTGATGAGATATGTGCACTATCATGTTTATTGCAGCATTATGACTGGATAAAGAAAATGTGATGTGTGTGTGCATGTGTGTGATATGTATGTACTCATGCAAACAAATATTATTCACCCATACAAAAAAAGGAAATCTTGTCATTTACAACATCAAGGATGAATCTGGAGGACATTATGCTAAGTGAAATAAGTAAGACACAGAAAGACAAATTTGTATAATTGCACTTATACGTAGAATCTAAAAATGTTAAACTTATATAAACAGAGAGTAGAAAGGTAGTTACCGAGGATCAGGAAATGGAGACTAGCAAAAGATGTTGGTCAAAGGCTACAAACTTGTGTTTATAAGATGGATAACTTCTGGAGACCCGATGTGCGGCAGGTGGCTATAGTTTATAATACTGTGCTGTATACTTGAAATTTACTAATATAGTAAGTTTCTCATTACACACAAAAAGGCAGCTTTGTAAGGTGATGGATATGTTAATTAGCTGAATTGTGTTAATCGTTTCAGTGTATATGTACAACAAAACACACTACGTTGAGCTCCTTGAGTATGTACATTTTATTTTTCATTTATGCCTCAAAAAAGCTAAAAAAAGATTTCAGAATGAAATAAATCTTAGCGTATGTAGAGTAGGAACCCAAGGGAATATGGACAAACTGAAACTTAAATATATTAATTTTTAATTTAAGAATATCAAAAAGAAATCATTTCTAAAAACTCACAGAAAGTAAGAAGAGATTGCCCAGGAAAAAATAATAAGTAGCTCTACTGCATACTGTTTAACAACAATAGAGGATCCAAGATAATGAAGTAATTTTTAAAAATACGAATAAAAAGTAAAAACTTCAAACATAATGTTTGTCCAGTCCATCAGTCATTAAATTATAAGGGCATACGAAGAATATTCTCAGGCATACAAGACCTTAAAAATGTAATTTGAGAACCTATAGTGGTATTACTTTTGGAGAAGGCACTCACATGGGAAACACATTGAGAGCATTCTGCAAGACTGTATGTGGACAAATGGCGATCAGTTTTGGTGGGGAGAGGGGACATTTACCATTACTTAAAGAACATGAAGACAAGAAGAAGGAAAGGAAAACAGATGATAAGTGATCAAAGAAACATGGGAGCAAGTTAAATAAAGTACTTGCCTTTCTGCGGAAGGTTCTACCTGGAAGAAAGCAGGAAAGATGAAAACCAAACAACTCAATAAAGAAAATACTATATTTAAAAAGATAAAAGAGCAGAAATAATTTCCAATCTAATGGCAATTACAATGAATAAAATGGATTAAACTCACCAGTTAAAAGATGTGATCAAATTGAATAAACAACCTGATGCAACAATATAACATCTTTAAGAAAAAATGGTTAAAATAGAGAGAAGAGCCTGACATGATTGTGGGGTCAAGGGAGAGCTTCTAATTTGTTAAGTCATTGGAGAAAGTTGGTTTATGGGTACAAGGAAGGAAGTAGTAGAGAAATATTTAATGCTCAAAAAAGAAGGTATAATTAAATAAGCAAAGTTTCAGAGGAGATAAGAAATCATGTAAACAAAAATGATAATTGAAAAGATAAGTCTTAGGAAGAAGACCAAGCCACGCTTTCTTCCACTGTTTTAGGAGGTAAGGGAAATAAAATCATTTAGGGAAGATAAAGTACTTCACCTTAGAGATCTGTGAACTCTGTTGACTAAAAAAATGAAAACAATCTACTAAATACAGGGGAAGCTACAAGAATTGTAGTTGACAGTCTAACTTAATTTGGATTAAAAATTGTGTAAATGTTACAAGATTTAATGAAAGATGAGTAAGTGGCAACTGAGCAACAAGAGTTGAGATAAGATGAACTGATAAAGGAAGCAAGTCTCAGTGGGTCATGATTTTCTCCAGTGCTGTTCCAGAACCTGAAAGTGGAGAAGGTGGATGCCAGCATTTCTAAGTTACGGTTGCATACAGCTGGGGGCAGAGCAAAGACCAACAAGGCAGAGGGATGCTTGAAGTAGTTATTGTCAAGATTGACTATGGGGTCTCACAAGTGAGGAAAGCAAATAAATTCAGAAGGGGCTAATGCAACAAGTGGTGAAAGAATCGAAAAAGGATCATTTAATGAGGCCAAGGAGCAAGTTCGAGTGTCACAATTAAGTCAGAGAGGGAAGAACAGGAATTGAAAACAGAAGAGAGAAATTCCACGGAGCTCTTCTAATATGTGAACATTCCTGATAACGTGAGTGAAGATGGAGGATTTTGGAACATAGAAATTAAAAACCTACCAGGCTAGCAGTAAACTAGTTCAACTATTGTGGAAGACAGTGAGGCAATTCCTCAAGGAGCTAGAACTAGAAATATCATTTGACCCAGCCATCCCATTACTGGATATATACCCAAAGGATTATAAATCATGCTACTATAAAGACACATGCACACATATGTTTATTGCGGCACCATTCACAATAGCAAAGACTTGGAACCAACCCAAATGTCCATCAATGATAGACTGGATTAAAAAAATGTGGCACATATATGCCATGGAATACTATGCAGCCATAAAAAAGGATGAGTTCATGTCCTTTGTAGGGACATGGATGAAGCTGGAAACCATCATTCTCAGCAAACTATCGTAAGGACAGAAAACCAAACACCATATGTCATAGGTGAGAATTGAACAATGAGAACACTTGGACACAGGGTGGGGAACATCACACACTGGGGCCTGTCATGGGGTTGAGGGATGGGGGAGGGATAGCATTAGGAGATATACCTAATGTAAACGACAAGTTAATGGGTGCAGCCCACCAACATGGCACGTGTATACATATGTAACAAACCTGCATGTTGTGCACATGTACCCTAGAACTTAAAGTATAATGTAAAAAAATTAAATTTAAAAAAATTTAAAAAAAGAAAGGTATGCAATAAAACTCCTGTTTCAGAGTTCCTTCCTTTTATTTGATACCTTTCCACTGAATTGCTTTTTAAATGTCAGAGTGGCTTACTCCAACTTCAAAATGCAGTTCCTTTGTGGAGATAACTCGTTACACTTACAACTGCTGATGTGTTTGATTTACATCCCCCAGAGTTAGAATGAAGATATTGGTTTGAGAAGGTAGCATTCAAAAGCAGCCCAAACTGTGAAAAGGTGTGCATTCAGTTTGAAAGTAGATCTGCTTGTCTCTTATCTTGAAGATAATTAGAGTACCCTAAAGACAGAAAATCAATGCATTCTAAATGAGAATAATTTAGTTGTTAATGCATTCAGTCAGCATAAAACCACCAAAAGAACCTCTAGAACTGTATGTATTCTCATCATCTCACTTCAAATAATGTTTATAGCATTGTCAAATTACAAGTGTCAAGTTATGTTAAAAATGTTGACAAGACGGATGATGACACATAATCAATATGGGCAAAGCTTCTGTTAGTACCTTAATGCTCCATGCACAATAATTATTTTCAAATAACAACTCTATTTAAAATAAGTTAACATCTTTCGTTAACATGGACACATTTTTCCTTTTAACATTCCTTAGCAACATAGTCTCAAGATTCATATAATGAGGAATACTATAATAATTTGTTATAAATTTTTTAAAAAAAAATTTTTATGGTCTGCCCTGATACAGGGATTGATGGATCAATTGTTGAAGGCATGAACAGATGGTATGTGAGAGAGTTTCTTCAAAATTTACACAGTACAAAACCAGTAGAGCACATTCTGATCAAGATGGATGGAGGGTTAGAGTGAACTTCTTTGCAGCCAGAAAAAAAGCTTACATTTGAAATTTTTCAAAATAATGGACAAGTATTTCACCTTTAGCAGGCCTCTTATATGTAGAGTTTAACCACTGAAGTCAAGCCACTTTACAAATATGTTTCATTTTTTAAGAAAAACACAATCATTAAGGCTTAGTCCTTAACCACAGCACAATGAAGGTTTTCATCTGTAACCTGTTCCCATGTTCTTTTTTCCTCTGAATTCATTTATTCAATAATATTTATACAGACAAGTCTTGTGGTAACCTAAGTCAGCAATGGTGAATATTAAAAAAAAAAAAAAAGGAAATACATGATGGGAGGCCTAATCTAGATAGAATGAATGAAATACATCTCTGATTGAGAGATAATTCAACTGAGATTGTAAAAATACTAAAAGTTACTGGAAATGTGGGGTGTAACATGGTGAAGGGTTGGAGGAGAGATAATTAAAGTGGTAACTGGGTGGTCTAGTTAGAAAGAACAGCATGTGCAAAGATCTTGTGGTGGGAGTAAACAGAAGATGCTTGAGGAAAGAGAGAAGTGCAGCAAGGAAGATAGAGCAAGGTATGTGATGAGGTGAAAGCCAAAGGATACAGGAAAATTATAGCACTCCAGTGCATCCTCTTTTCCATACACGATACCCATTTTCTGTTCTTCATATCTTCCACACTCACATAGTGTTCCTTCTGCTTTTGCAGGCCAGCCCTTCCCTCGAAAATCCCCACCACAGAAATGTCTGTGTGGCTGTAAGATTCTCCTTACCTGTTAGTAACCATGTCAGTGAAAACTGGTGGCATGAATTAATGATTTTAATGACAATCTATGTAAATATTTTTCCATTTTAAAATAGTTTAGAAGCCCTCTGGACTCCTACGCACTGTGTGTGTGTGCATGTGCAGTGAATTTCAAAAACGGGAAATGCATAATTCTCAGAACAAGAATTGTCAGTACTACTGCACACATTACAGTTCTACAATTGATTTATTATTCACTACTTAATGTAGTGGCACATATTTTGGAATAATTTTCACCTCTGATAAAGTTTGTAAACATTGATGAAAAAGTTTGGCCTTAATTATAGAAGGAATTTGAAAAAAAATTTTAGATGTTTATATCAAATAAGAAAATATTTAAAAATCTAACTGGTTATGACCATTTCATTCTTATAAAGAAATAACATATTTTAAATAAAATATTTTAAAGGGAAAATAAATCTCTATACTACTCCCTTTTATTCAGAGACTGACTGAGATGAGAGAATAGGAAAAGTGAAATGTCAAAGCCTCTGCCAGCTTTTCCTACTGAAAGGAAAGAATGGACATAAATAGCAAAGGCATTGAGTCTTTGGATATGTGAAATTATGCACAGAGTCTCACCAAGCATTCGGAGAACTAAATTGCTCTGCCTAATGAGGTGATTTGCATATCTTCAAGGGTACCTAAGGGTGGGGACTAGCGAAGAGGAAAAGGTGGGTTGTTATCAGAGTCTAGAGGGGAAAAAGGGATGAGTAACTTCATGATATAAAACCTCACCATTTTCCTCAAGCCATTAGTGAAATCTACTCTTGCCACAAGTACTTTGCGTGAAATTTGTTCCAGTGTTCGTGAGTGTGTGTGGCTAGAGAACCTTATAAACAGAATAAATTCTACGTTTATATAAGTGAAAACAGAGGAAAAATGATAGTCAAGGACGATGAGATACAAGTAAAATGGATAGTTCAGAGAAAACATAAACTTAGAAACAGAATTCTAAAAAAAGGCCATTCGAACAAATGGAAATCTTGGGTAGGCCCTTCGAGTAGCAACAGAATATGGGTTAGGACATTCGAAATGTCTTTTCTTTCTTAATTTCAAGAGACAATGGCAATTGAATTTTATTAATAAACAATGTAAATTCAGAAGCTAGAATTAAATTATCCCTCTAGTCAAAGGAGGAATTATCTTAAGGATTAGGCACGTGTAACAATCATAGAGTTAGTTATTTTATCATCCTGAAAAATATTTCACTTCCCCATGAAACACTCTTTTCAGGGCCAACAGTTTAGATATGTCTGACTTTTTAAACCTATTTCTTATCAGCCTAACCTGGAAAATACTTTATATTTGGCCACTTTATGCTGGTAAGCAATGCTTCCATTGACATTGGCTGCATTCGCTGCCTCCTGCTTGCCTCTCTTTGTTATCGCTTGATATGCGTACAAACCCATGAACCACATATCTGTACACAACAGCCAGGAAAAGTTAGTTATCCTTTATACACCTTGCCCAAGTGTAAAATAAGTAGTGGTTTTGAAGCTGTGTTTCCTGGACAAGGGCTCATGCCTTAGACACTGTTTATATTCACCTTACTAAAGGGAAAGCTAAAGCTTAGGGAGTTTGTTAGGTTTTCTTCACTAAAGAGAAAATAATATACTCAGAGTTGGGTGTCTCCATAAAAGAAGGTTAAATTCTGGTTCTTTCATTTCTCTCTCTCTTTCTTTCTCTCTCTTACTTTCTTGTTAACTCATGTTCTTGATCTCTTTCTTTGTAACAATTTCATTGAGATATAGTTCACATTTCATACAATTTACTCATTTAAAGTATATATTTAAGTGGTATTTAGTATAGTCACAAAACTGTGTGACCATCACACAATCAATTTTAGAACATTTCTAATAACTCAAAGAGAAATCCTCTACCTTTTAGCAATTATTTCCAATTTCCCCCTGATATCTCTACCCCTAGCCCTAATTAAAAGATAATATACTTTCTGTTTCTATAGATTTACCTATTCTGGGCACTTCATATAAATGGAATAATAAAATATGCTGTCTTTTATGTCTGGCTTCTTTCACTGGCATAGCTTTTTCAAAGTTCATTTATGTCGAATTATGTATCAGTAATTCATTGTACCAGTCATTTAGCTTGTAATTGCTGAATACCCTATATAAATATATTAATATATTTTTATATTATAAATATATTAATATATTTTTATATTAAAAATATATTTTATGTATTCATTCATCAGTTGGTGAACATTTGGGTTATTTCAATTTTTGGCAAATATAAATAAAGTTGCTTTGAACATTCATGTACAAGTTTTTGTGTGGACACATTTCCATTACTCTTTGTATATATGTAGGATGGGGTTTTTGGGCCATATGGAAACTTAATGTTTATTATGTATTTATTAAGGAACTGCCAAGCCGTTTTCAAAAGCTGCAGCACTAATTTACAATCACATTGTCACTATACCTTTTCTAATTTCTTTAAGCATGATTACTTTAGTTATTTAAACATATTCATGATGGCCGCTTTCAAGTCTTAGTCTATTAAATCTTCAGCTGGAATCTCATAGACAGTTTATTTTTTCTGTTCTTCTTCCTGTATATAGATCACACTTTCTTGTTTCTTTGCATGTCTTGTAATTTTTTTGTTAAAACTTGGACAGGTTAGTTACACTATTATAACACTCTGGATACTGATATCTACCTTCCAAATCTCACCCCTAGGAGCTTCTTGTTTTTGTTGTTTGTTTAATTATTTGTTTAATGACAGTAATATGCTAAGGCCTCTAATGGGAAAAGTGAACAACATGCAAGAACAGATGGGTAATTTAAGAAGAAATATTGAAACTAAGAATCAAAAGAGAATGCTATAAATCAAAAACACTGTAAGAAAAATAAAGACCATCTTTGATGGCTCACCAGTAGACTTGATAAAGCCAAGAAAAGAATCAGTGACTCAAAGAAATGCCAATAGAAACTTCCAAAACTGAAACACAAAATGAAAAAGAATGAATAAGACAGAATAGAAAATTTAAGAGCTATGGGACAATTGCAAAGGTGTAACATACCTGTAATAGGAACATCAGAAGGAGAAGAAAGTGATTAAGGAACAGAAGAAGTATCTGAAGCGATAATGACGAGAATTTCTAAAAGTTAATGATAAACACCAAATCACAGATCCAGGAAGCTCATAGAAGACCAAGCAGAATAAATACAAAAACAAAATACCTCTAGGCAAATCATATTCCAACTGCAGAAAATCAAAATAGAGAAAATATTTTAAAAAGCTGGGGAGTGGGATTACTCTTTACCTCTGTAGGAGCAAGGACAGGGATTCCACTGAAACAATTCAAGGTAGAAGGGAGTGGAACCAAATGGAAGTAAACTAGAACTGAATGATGGAAGGATACCCGAAAAATCTCAAACAACTTGGAGATTCAATAATTCCAGTATAGCACCTGGGTGGAAGAAGTCCCAAGAGAAATTTAAACAAATTTTGAAGTAAATTAAGATAAAAACACAGCTTATCAGAATCTGTGGGATGCAGTGAAAGTAGTGTTTAGAAAGAAATTTACAGCATTGACTGCATATATTCAAAAAGATCAAAAATAAATAATTTAAGCTATCATTTTAGGAAACTAGAAAAAAGAAGGACAAATGAGATCCAAGGTAAACAGAAAAAAAAATTATTAGCACAGAATTAAGTAAAATTGAAAACAAGAAATCAACAGGAAAAAAAAAAAACAAAATAAAACCAAAAGCTGTCGTTTCAAAAAGATCAAAACAGGGCTGGGTGTGGTGGCTCACGCCTGTAATCCCAGCACCTTGGGAGACCAAGACAGGTGGATCACGAGGTCAAGAGTTTGAGACCAGCTTGGCCAACATAGTGAAACCCGGTCTCTATTAAGAATACAAAAATTAGCCAGGTGTGGTGGCAGACGCATTTAATCCCAGCTACTGGGGAGGCTGAGGCAGGAGAATCGCTTTGAACCTGGGAGGCGGAGGTGGCAGTCAGCCGAGATCTTGCCACTGCGCTCCAGCCTAGGCGACAGAGCACCACTCTGTCTGGGGTAGGGGTGGGGGTAAGAAAAACAAAGATCAAAACAATTGATAAGCCTTTAGCTTTAGTCAGGCTAACCAAAATAAAAGTGAGAAGTGAGAGACAGAAGACATTACTGATCTATGGACATTGAAATGATAATAAAGAACTATTTTTGAACAGCTCTGTGCTCATAAATTCAATGACTTAGATGAAATAGACCAATTCCTTGAAAGACACAATCTCAAACTTCACACAGGTAGGAATCAATTATCTGAATAGGTCTATATCTATTAGAGAATTGAATCAATTACTAATAATCTTTCTAAACAGAAACATCAGGCCCAGATAGTTTCACTGGTGAATTCTACCAAACATTTTAAAAATAAATTATTCCAATCCTCTATAATCTCTTCCAGAAAATAGAAGCGATATCTTCAGTCATTTGCTCATTTTAATTGAACATTATTAAATGAGTCGGAGTCTAGCAATCAGTACACGTTGGAACCTCACAAATATTTAGTGTGTGCATACTTAATTATGCTACTCTAGTGAATCAAAACATCTGTTTAAGAAAAGCAAACAGTACCCTCCAGTGTGCAGGTGGGTAGCAGTTCTAGGTAAGTAAGTGGCTGTCTAACTCAAACTTGTCACTTTGTCAGTTACTTACAAAAATAGACACAGCTAGTTATTTAAACAACAATTTACCAAATCAGACATTATTTCCAATACATCTGCCACAAGGAATTTATTCCTTAACCTTCATAAAGCTAAAAGCCTTCTCTTTATAATACTGCATGTTTCACCAATTAAACTATATTGACTATCATATGTCATTATCAATGACATTCTATCAATGTGACAATTTCAAATATCATTCTTGGTTTTATAAAGTTATTTTTGAAATTTTATTAGGAGTTTGGATTTTGTAATCTATATAAGAAAGACAATATTAACATTTAAGTGGTACTTTACCTAAGTATTCTAATAGTACCCTATTTGAGGTATGCTAAATGTGCATCCTAGTTCTCATTCTCTAGTGATTGTAAATTCAATATTAAAATCAAATTGGACAATAGTAAACTAAAAATCAGGCCATGACAAAAATGTTCATTTTTAGATGGCAATATAGTAGGACATTACATTAAAATATTGATTGAAATATAAATGTTGATGGTCAATGTATATGATAAAAGTATCATAAAAATAAAAGGAAATATATGTGAATTGAAGTTGTGGATTATATAGTGTGTTCTAAGTTATCAACCTCTTCATTTCCACTTGATGTACTGGTGGATGTACTGGTATAGATACAAAAATTTGTAATACATGAATCTATCTGGTTGTATTTTTAAATTTCTTGAAATGCAGAATATACATGTTATGATTCTCTCAAGAGCAACTGATGTTTTAGGTTAAAAGTTTTTAACAATAATCCTACATACAGAGTTCTGATTAAAGTTGCATTTATCATTCTATTTTACAGACTCTAAAAAGCAAATTTTTCTTACAGATCCCTCAGTTATAAAATATAGCCTTATTACTTTTCTAAAATAGCCATAATTACTGATTTAATAATTGAAAAAATGATTTCCCATATGTAAATAAAAACAAAATCTCTCATTTGTGTCTCATTGTGTTCTTGTTGCCTTTAGTAAGCATACTTTTAGGATGTCATTTATTTTAAAAGCATTAGGTAGAAATCTCTGAAAATCCTTGTTGGATACACTAAACAAAAAAGGAGAGAAAACTAAATTACTATTTTAGAAGATCTGTACAGAAAAATTAAAATGTCATATGTAAACCAAGATCCCACAAAAACCTAGGGATTTAAAAGCTCTTCTAACAGTTTATAATCATCATAGCAAAAAGTAGGATGTATTTTTCTCTATATATTTCCATTTATAAACCTAAAATACTAACTGTTGATACATAAACTTTAGAGAGTTTCTGAAAAACGTGCTTGATAAAATCAATTTTTATAGAATGTTCCCAATATTTTATAGAATGCTCCCAACATCCAAGTTGTAATCATACACATCTTCCCAAATTTTGATACACTAAGCCTAATTTTCTTACCCCACCAAGTCAGTTGTTCACTTATTTTTAATTTACTAAATTTTGAAATAAATTTTTTCTTTTTTGTTCCTGCCATTATTGTTCATAATGATGATTATTCAAGCTAATAGGGTTTTTCTTTAAAAAGAATCTCTACATAAAATTAGCTATCACATTTTGAAAATCATTGGCATATGATATGCTACAGAAATGCCAAGAACATTTTATTACATAAAAACTTGACAAATATTGATAGCTATGTAAAGGGCAAGCTTATATGAATTTTTATTTAACTCACCAATTATCATTTTTAAAGGGCAATTCAGTGCCGGAAAAAAGAGGTTAAATTATTCTAGTTTGCAGTTGATTCCTTAATAGTGCTTGTTAAGTAGCATCCATTCCTCAAGGAGAAAAATGTGGTCACTTTTTTTCTTTACACTTAAAGAATCTGAGACATATTTGACTCAATTTAAAGGCCAATGAAGAGTGGTGAGTTTTTTAATATTGTTCTGTTAAATAATATAATTAATTATAAGGTAAAATTAAAAATCTAACTTTTTAAATGTCATCAATTTCAAATATATGTTTTTTAGGATTATGTTCATTGACTTGCTAATTTGCTTAAAAACAGTACAATATTCTTTAGTAAACATAAAACTATATTTAATTTCCATGTGTGTATAGAAAACAGAATCTCATGTTGGTTTTCCGAGGTCCATCTTCCCTCTTGAAGTTTCTTAATAATTATCTTGGCTTCAGGCGCTTTGCTCAAAATCAAGGAATCCTTTATGATGATGACCCACCACACCTAAACTCCACAGTTTCTCAGTATCTCCATGTAAATTCTTCACAGAACTCGAAATCACTGATCTCATCTGTCTTGATCCAAGCCTCACAAATTACAATTAAGTAAGCAAGGAGTGTACAGATGGTCATCGTTGTGTTAGGGCCACTCTTGATGCAGTTAGCCATTGGGGTGGGGTCTTGTGATAGAAAAAGCATACTTATTGCCTTTCAAAGGGCTCTAGGAAGGGCAGTCTTTTGAGAGCTGCTTTAGGTGAGTAAAGACTTAAACTATGCTTATTGCATTTCTTTGCAAGGAATGTCATGGAGTAAGACATATTGGGTTATTGAATATAGCAACCCTGAATATGATTCTGAGAGTTCCAAGAGCACTCCCTCAGGGAGGCTTAAAGCACACAGCATTGCTTGTGGCTGGATAGAAAAGATTTGTTTAACACTGGGGTTCGGTTTTAGAAAATGTGACGATAATTCCCATGGGAGCCTCACATGCCATACCCTTTTGAAATGTTTAAGGACACAGTGCTTTGCTATTTGCTTCACTATTATCTATTTCTCACCAAGTGAGATCAGATGAGAAAGTGGGGTACATTTGCTGGATTACCTCAAGTATACACAAAAATATTTCTTTGATTATAAGTGAATACTTTGGTATATGTTATAATTGCAAGTGTTCCTTAGAATTATGCAAATTTGTAGTTCCTAATATTTATGATGTATGTGTTCATTTTACAGTGTCTCATTTCATTTATTAATCTCTCTACATCTATCAATCCGGCTCCTTCTCTGAATCTATCATCTCTACACATGTCTACATACATATATCACTTTGTGCATGTGTGTGTGTGTGTGCAAGAGAGAGAGAGATAGAGAATGTATGTGTTTTTCCTAGACTGATCTGTATATCTAGGCAGCTATGGAGAGATTTTGTTTGTTTGTTTCAGAAAATCCCTGCAAACATGGTCACTCTCATGGTTTCAGAAGTTGTAATAACCTGGTTAGAACCCTCACACTTTCCAATGAAAACCACTGTATTTGTATTCAGCAACCATATAACAAAGAGGATGACCAGTCGGTATTTATTATGTCCCCTTCAAAGAGAGAACACAGACTTTCAGATGCATCTTAGTTCAGAGGAGCAGTTAACAAGCCCTGCAGAGGGGAAATGCAGCTGGGAATATCTCACTAGATGTGTCAAGGAAAGTTGAATTTGAACTGTAAATCAAAACTTCTTCATTCATCGATTTTATTTGCTTCAGAGATGTTTTATCTTCATTTTTGATGTTAAGTAGACAGGAGCTGCTAATACTGTCTGTAGGACAGAGAAATGGGGTTTGTGCAGAGAAAGAAAGATATTCACTAAGATATTGTGCTCAACTCCCACGGTAAAAGTTGAAAATGATAAATCCTGTTGGCAGTATATGTTTCCAAATGGAACTGCTTCATTTTCAGTGTGTCACCTACTTCATTCTAAATTTTTTTCTCCCACAAGATGGTAAACACTTAAAATACCTGAGGGGAATTTATTATGGAAAGACATCTTTTGATTTCAGGTGATTTTCTTACCTTTTTTGGAAAAGCAAGCATATACACGTTTTTTGTCATGTGATTCAGACTGCCTGAGGCATACTTCTTTGGAGAATGGAAGAGGTAGTTATTTGGGTTTTAAGAAAGAAAATAAAAATATAATGTTCTTGTATGTGTCTTTGGGGTCCAGGACTCAAGTTACAGTTCAGACAACTCAATACATTTATTTCCCCATTTAGCAGTATCTGCACAAAAAAGAATTAGGAGACTGTCAGGCCTCTGAGCCCAAGCCAAGCCATCGCATCCCCTGTGACCTGCACGTATACACCCAGATGGCCTGAAGTAACTAAAGAATCACAAAAGAAGTGAATATGCCCTGCCCCACCTTAACTGATGACACTCCACCACAAAAGAAGTGTAAATGGCCGGTCCTTGCCTTAACTGATGACATTACCTTGTGAAAGTCCTCTTCCTGGCTCATCCTGGCTCAAAAAGCACCCCCACTGAGCACCCTGTGACCCCCACTCCTGCCCACTGAGCACCTTACGACCCCCACTCCTACTCGCCAGAGAACAAACCCCCTTTGACTGTAATTTTCCTTTACCTACCCAAATCCTATAAAACGGCCCCACCCCTATCTCCCTTCGCTGACTCTCTTTTCGGCCTCAGCCCGCCTGCACCCAGGTGAAATAAACAGCCATGTTGCTCACACAAAGCCTGTTTGGTGGTCTCTTCACACGGACGCACATGAAATTTGGTGCCGTGACTTGGATCGGGGGACCTCCCTTAGGAGATCAATCCCCTGTCCTCCTGCTCTTTGCTCCGTGAGAAACATCCACCTACGACCTCAGGTCCTCAGACCGACCAGCTCAAGAAACATCTCACCAATTTCAAATCTGGTAAGCGGCCTCTTTTTACTCTCTTCTCCAACCTCCCTCACTATCCCTTAACCTCTTTCTCCTTTCAATCTTGGCGCCACACTTCAATCTCTCCCTTCTCTTAATTTCAATTCCTTTCATTTTCTGGTAGAGACAAAAGAGACATGTTTTATCCATGAACCCAAAACTCCGGCGCCAGTCACGGACTGGGAAGGCAGCCTTCCCTTGGTGTTTAATCATTGCAGGGACGCCTCTCTGATTATACACTCACGTTTCAAGGGTGTCAGACCACACAGGGACGCCTGCCTTGGTCCTTCACCCTTAGTGGCAAGTCTCGCTTTCCTGGGGCAGGGGAAAGTACCCCTCAACCACTTCCCCTTCACTCTTAGCGGCAAGTCCCGCTTTCCTGGGGCAGGGGCAAGTACCCCTCAACCCCTTCTCCTTCACCCTTGGCGGCAAGTCCCGCTTTCCTAGGGGGCAAGAAGCCCGCATTCGCTTATTTCCGCACCCCAACCTCTTATCTCTGTGCCCCAATCCCTTATTTCCACACCCTGACCTCTTATCTCTGTGCCCCAATCCCTTATTTCCGTGCCCCAACCCCTTCTCCGCTTTTCTGGAGGACAAGAACCCCCCAACACTTCTCCGTGTCTCTACTCTTTTCTCTGGGCTTGCCTCCTTCACTATGGGTAAGCTTCCACCTTCCATTCCTCCTTCTTCTCCCTTAGCCTGTGTTCTCAAAAACTTAAAACCTCTTCAACTCACACCTGACCTAAAACCTAAATGCCTTATTTTCTTCTGCAATGCCGCTTGACCCCAATACAAACTCGACAGTAGTTCCAAATAGCCAGAAAATGGCACTTTGAATTTTTCCATCCTGCAAAATCTAAATAATTCTTGTTGTAAAATAGGCAAACGGTCTGAGGTGCCTGACGTCCAGGCATTCTTTTCCACATTAGTCCCTTCCTAGTCTCTGTGACCAGTGCAACTCGTCCCAAATCTTCCTTCTTTCCCTCCCACCTGTCCCCTCAGTACCAACCCCAAGCGTCGCTGAGTCTTTCTAATCTTCCTTTTCTACAGACCCATCTGACCTCTCCCTTCCTCCCCAGGTTGTTCCTCGCCAGGCCGAGCTAGGTCCCAATTCTTCCTCAGCCTCTGCTCCTCCACCCTATAATCTTTTTATCACCTCCCCTCCTCACACCTGGTCCGGCTTACAGTTTCATTCCGTGACTAGCCCTCCCCCACCTGCCCAGCAATTTACTCTTGAAAAGGTGGCTGGAGCTAAAGGCATAGTCAAGGTTAATGCTCCTTTTTCTTTGTCCCAAATCAGATAGCGTTTAGGCTCTTTTTCATCAAATATAAAAATCCAGCCCAGTTCATGACTTGTTTGGCAGCAACTCTGAGACACTTTACAGCCCTAGACACTAAAAGGTCAAAAGGCCGTCTTATTCTCAAAATACATTACCCAATCTGCTCCCGACATTAAATAAAACTCCAAAAATTAAATTCCGGCCCTCAAACCCCACAACAGGATTTAATTAACCTCGCCTTCAAGGTGTACAATAATAGAAAAAAGTTGCAATTCCTTGCCTCCACTGTGAGACAAACCCCAGCCACATCTCCAGCACACAAGAACTTCCAAACGCCTGAACCACAGCGGCCAGGCGTTCCTCCAGAACCTCCTCCAACAGGAGCTTGCTACACGTGCCGGAAATCTGGCCACTGGGCCAAGGAATGCCCACAGCCCGGGATTCCTCCTAAGCCACGTCCCATCTGTGTGGGACCCCACTGAAAATCGACTGTTCAACTCACCTGGCAGCCACTCCCAGATCCCCTGGAACTCTGGCCCAAGGCTGTCTGACTGACTCCTTCCCAGATCTTCTCGGCTTAGCAGCTGAAGACTGACACTGCCCGATCGCCTCAGAAGCCCCCTAGACCATCACGGACGCCGAGCTTCCAGTAACTCTCACAGTGGAAGGTAAGGCCGTCCCCTTCTTAATCAATATGGAGGCTACCCACTCCACATTACCTTCTTTTCAAGGGCCTGTTTCCCTTGCCTCCATAACTGTTGTGGGTATTGACGGCCAGGCTTCTAAACCTCTTAAAACTCCCCAACTCTGGTGCCAACTTAGACAATACTCTTTTAAGCACTCCTTTTTAGTTATCCCCACCTGCCCAGTTCCCTTATTAGGCTGAGACACTTTAACTAAATTATCTGCTTCCCTGACTATCCTGGACTACAGCTATATCTCATTGCCGCCCTTCTTCCCAATCCAAAGCCTCCTTTGCGTCCTCCTCTTGTATCCCCCTACCTTAACCCACAAGTATAAGATACCTCTACTCCCTCCTTGGCGACCGATCACGCACCCCTTACCATCTCATTAAAACCTAATCACCCTTACCCCACTCAATGCCAAAATCCCATCCCGCAGCACACTTTAAAAAGATTAAAGCCTGTTATCACTCGCCTGCTACAGCATGGCCTTTTAAAGCCTATAAACTCTCCTTACAATTCCCCCATTTTACCTGTCCTAAAACCAGACAAACCTTACAAGTTAGTTCAGGATCTGCACTTTATCAACCAAATTGTTTTGCCTATCCACCCCGTGGTGCCAAACCCATATACTCTCCTATCCTCAATACCTGCCTCTACAACCCATTATTCTGTTCTAGATCTCAAACATGCTTTATTTACTATTCCTTTGCACCCTTAATCCCAGCCTCTCTTCGCTTTCACTTGGACTGACCCTGACACCCATCAAGCTCAGCAAATTACCTAGGCTGTACTGCCGCAAAGCTTCACAGACAGCCCCCATTACTTCAATCAAGCCCAAATTTCTTCCTCAACTGTTACCTATCTCGGCATAATTCTCATAAAAACACACGTGCTCTCCCTGCCAATCGTGTCTGACTGATCTCTCAAACCCCAAACTCTACAAAACAACTCCTTTCCTTCCTAGGCATGGTTAGGGTGGTCAGAATTCTTACACAAGAGCCAGGACCACACCCTGTAGCCTTCTGTCCAAACAACTTGACCTTACTGTTTTAGCCTAGCCCGTATGTCTGCGTGCGGCAGCTGCCACTGCATTAATACTTTTAGAGGCCCTCAAAATCACAAACTATGCTCAACTCACTCTCTACAGTTCTCATAACTTCCAAAATCTATTTTCTTCCTCATACCTGACGCATATACTTTCTGCTTCCCAGCTCCTTCAGCTATACTCACTCTGTTGAGTCTCCCACAATTATCATTGTTCCTGGCCCATACTTGAATCCGGCCTCCCACATTATTCCTGATACCACACCTGACCCCCATGACTGTATCTCTCTGATCCACCTGACATTAACCCCATTTCCCCAAATTTCCTTCTTTCCTGTTCCTCACCCTGATCACGCTTGATTTATTGATGGCAGTTCCACCAGGCCTAGTCGCCACATACCAGCAAAGGCAGGCTATGCTATAGTACAAGCCACTAGCCCGCCTCTCAGAACCTCTCATTTCCTTTCCATCGTGGAAATCTATCCTCAAGGAAATAACTTCTCAGTGTTCCATCTGCTATTCTACTACTCCTCAGGGATTATTCAGGCCCCCTCCCTTCCCTACACATCAAGCTCGAGGATTTGCCCCCACCCAGGACTGGCAAACTAGCTTTACTCAACATGCCTGAGTCAGGAAACTAAAATACCTCTTAGTCTAAATAGACACTTTCACTGAATAAGTAAAGGCCTTTCCTACAGGGTCTGAGAAGGCCTCCGCAGTCATTTCTTCCATTCTGTCAGACATAATTCCTCAGTTTAGCCTTCCCACCTCAATACAGTCTGATAACAGATGAGCCTTTATTAGTCAAATCAGCCAAGCAGTTTTTCAGGCTCTTAGTATTCAGTGAAACCTTTATATCCCTTACAGTCCTCCATCTTCAAGAAAGGTAGAATGGACTGAAGGTCTTTTAAAAACACACCTCACCAAGCTCAGCCATCAAAAAGGACTGGACAATACTTTTATCACTTTCCCTTCTCAGAATTCAGGCCTGTCCTCGGAATGCTACAAGGTACAGCCCATTTAAGCTCCTGTATAGATGCTCCTTTTTATTAGGCCCCAGTCTCATTCCAGACACCGGACCAACTTAGACTGTGCCCCAATAAAAGCTTGTCATCCCTACTGTTTTCTGTCTAGTCATACTCCTATTCTCCATTCTCAACTACTCATACATGCCCTGCTCTTCTTTACACTGCCAGTTTACACTGTTTATCCAAGCCATCACAGCTGATATCTCCTCGTGCTATCCCCAAACCGCCACTCTTAACTCTTGAAGTAAATAAATAATCTTTGCTGGCAGGACTATGCTGAATCTCCTTAGGCACTCTCTAATCAGATGTCCTAGGTCCTCCCAATTCTTAGACCTTTTATACCTGTTTTTCTCCTTCTTATTCCATTTAGTTTTTCAGTTCATACAAAACCATATCCAGGCCATCACCAATCATTCTATACAACAAATGTTTCTTCTAACAACCCCACAATATCACCCCTTACCACAAGATCTCCTTTCAGCTTAATCTCTCCCACTCTAGGTTCCCACGCCGCCCCTAATCCCTCTTGAAGCAGGCCTGAGGAACATCGTCCACTCTCTCTCCATACCACCCCCCAAAAATTTTCGCCGCCCCAACACTTCAACACTATTTTGTTTTATTTTTCTTATTAAGAAGGCAGGAATGTCAGGCCTCTGAGCCCAAGCCAAGCCATCACATCCCCTGTGACCTGCACATATACGCCCAGAGGGCCTGAAGTAACTAAAGAATCACAAAAGAAGTGAATATGCCCTGCCCCACCTTAACTGATGACATTCCACCACAAAAGAAGTGTAAATGGCCGGTCCTTGCCTTAACTGATGACATTACCTTGTGAAAGTCCTTTTCCTGGCTCATCCTGGCTCAAAAAGCACCCCCACTGAGCACCTTGTGACCCCCCCACTCCTGCCCACTGAGCACCTTGCGACCCCCACTCCTACCTGCCAGAGAACAAACCCCCTTTGACTGTAATTTTCCTTTACTTACCCAAATCCTATAAAATGGCCCCACCCTTGTCTCCCTTTGCTGACTCTCTTCGGCCTCAGCCCACCTGCACCCAGGTGAAATAAACAGCCATGTTGCTCACACAAAGCCTGTTTGGTGGTCTCTTCACACAGACGCACATGAAAGAGACTTTACCAGTGAATATTTTAAAATAGTCTGAAATTACCCCAACAACAGCAAATCAAAAAAGAACAACCATTCTTTTTCTTTTCAAATTACACATCTCTCAAGTGGCATTTTGTACATTCTTTTTTTCTTTAAAGCTATCCTTGAAAACAAGAGTTATTTAGTAACCATTTGAGCAAACGCGGCCTATTTTTCTCTGATCACACCAGTCTGCAGGGGGATGGGGGAGGGGAGGCAGTCACAAAACCAGCATTTTACTGGATTTTACTGACTTTCTATTAGCAAAAACAGTTTTCTTCAAATTCTACCACACAGTTGAGATTTCCCAAGGAGTGCCTAATGAATTTGCCATAAACCAACCTTCCAGATTACCATTTTGCCTCCTCTTCTGCCTCAGCTAATTCTGATGACCATCACTCTATTCTTCAAAAAAGAAATTTGAACTGTAAAGCCAAAGCACACAGAAGGCTTTGTTGCCAGTGTTGGCCGTCATCCAGGGCCTGTCTCAAAGCAGCCTGTCTCTTGTTCCCTGCCTTCTGAATATGACATGCTGATGCTGCTCACTGGTGGTGCTACCAGAAATACTATTGCAGATGGCCACTGAAGGTGCCACCACTGGGACCAGTGCCTGCCAGTTTCTACATTTCAACAGCCACTGACCGATATCTAGGTCCTGCATAGCTGTCTGTACTTCTGGCACCATTTCTCATGCTTGCCAGTACAATGGTACCACCCCTCCTTGCCTTTATAACTGCTGACACTAACATTTCTGATGCTCCATGCTCTCAATATTTTGTGCAGGTTTGAAAGAAGAGGCATTTTTAGTTTTCATCTACTCTTTTATTATTAGCCTTTTTGCCCAAGAATCAAGGCATGAATTTGTAAGGGCCAACTGGAGAACAACTTGAGTGACCAATACCAAGTTGTACTCAAATTTGCCTTCTAGCAGGAAACTACTGCTTTTGAAACAGACGGTGCACTTTTACTTTTTCTTCTTGTAGGATATGTGTTTCTTGGTTTTCATCTAAACAAGGCCTTTGAACAGCCAACCTACAAGAATGCCAGCTATAGCCATGTATTCCTCAATGCTAGGCTGAACGCAAAAGAGATTCAAATTGGGACTTTCGATAAACATCATTCAAATAATTGCTACAACATAACACATGTCACATTGGAGCCCACTGGTGTGAGGGCTAGAGTGATCAACTTTTTTGAAGAGAGTTTAATGTCATGGAGAATTAAAAATAAACATAAACACAAATGCACAGTCTTTTTTATTTGAATGAATAACTAAGGTTTTGTTTGTTATCTTGGCAAATAAAAAGGGGAAAGTAAGCTGTTTTTCTAAAAAAATTGTTTTGATTTTTCTTCCCTTTGAAAAACAGAGCTGAAAGTACCACTAATGTCAGAGTTCCAAAAGGGTGTTTTGCCTCAAATATGAACCATGAAACAAAGGCAAAATTGTACCAATTGTACTGGTCAATATAATCTAAGCAAAAAAATCTGATTTAATGAAGATAACTATAGGAACATCTATAAACTAGATTTTTCTCTTCTGCCTGGGTCTTAGGAGGAAACAACAGTGGGAAACAAGCCTCCTCCCATAAGTGAAGTGACAGCCTTTGGGATTAGGGACTAGGAAGCAATTGGATCTGTTCTGATCCATGGAAAATGATTTGGGTGAGAGTTGGAGAATATTGCCCAATCAGAGACCTGGAAATGGAGACTGTTACATTTGGTCATCATGTATAAATAACCCATCTAGCTTTAGATTTAGTGCCACTTCAGGGCAAGAGCTAGCACCAAAACTAAGTCATATTCCAGGGGAAGACATGAACACAATCCTAGCCAAAAGTTACATATATCCTGATAATAAAATTATCTGAAAATTGAACGTATATTCTTATGACATGGGTGGGAGAATGAGCAGGAAGGATAATAGGTATGGTGTCTCTTCCATTTTTGTCTATAAGAATAAAATAAAGAGATCTCATTTGTTTGAGGTACCAGATTCTCTATAAGTTGGAAGAAATTTAAAAAGATTTTCTGTAAAATGTCAAGCTAGTCCAGGATATATACTACAAAATTTTCTTTTGCCAATTCCTCTCCAAATCCTAAAGATGCAATCAAACATCCATACCTAGTCATGATGTTTATAAATAAATATTCAGTGAAATAATTTTTTTTTTTTTTTTTTTTGAGACAGGGTCTCAGTCTGTCGCCCAGGCTGGAGTGCAGTGGCGCAATCTCGGCTCACTCCAAGTTCCGCCTCCCAGGTTCACGCCATTCTCCTGCCTCAGCCTCCTGAGTAGCTGGGACTACAGGCGCCCGCCACCACGCCCGGCTAATTTTTTGTATTTTTAGTAGAGATGGGGCTTCACCGTGTTAGCCAGGATGGTCTCCATCTCCTGACCTCGTGATCCACCCGCCTCGGCCTCCCAAAGTGCTGGGATTACAGGCGTGAGCCACCGCACCCGGCAATGATAGAACTTTTAAGCTTCCTTTGCTATAAGAATATTTGTCTACAAATATAAAAAGTATCCAGTTGAATTTCCCAAGATAGCCTTTTCAAATGACTCGAATCATCTATTTCATCCCCAGCAGCTCCTGTGTTCTAAAGCAAGCAATGCTTTTAGTCAAATGTTTAATGTTTCTTGTAGTTAGCATATCAGTTAATGATAATAATTAGTGATGCAGTAGAGTTTTAGTTTATATGTCCTGTTTACATTTTATAGTATGTTAGGATCTGCTGTAAAGATCCATTAGCATAATATATTCCATTTTAGAGGGTTTTATATGAGATATTTGTGCCACGGTGTTAAGGTCTAGTGGCCTACTGATCAGGAGATTAGAATTCTGGCCTCAGATTTGTCTCTGGACACATGAAATACACCAGACAAGTCTCTTCACCCCTTGGAGCCTCAGTTTTGTTATATGAAAAATGAGAAGTTGGGTTAGAAAGTCTCTTTTGGTCTGAAATATTTCTCTTTCTTAGATCATAATTTTTATATTAAATTTTAAATTTAGCTTTTCCATTACTACCAACTCTTAATGTCATTTTCTTCTTTTTGTGCCTGGTAAAGAAGTAAATTGACAGTTCTTGCATCAAGAAGTGTCCCTAATGGCCTCTTTGTATAAAGTATTGATTAGGCCCACAGTCCTTTCCTGGTTGTGGTTATCTCTTATCCTAAATGATGAAACAGGGTCTCAGGGAGTAATAACCTTACTCAAACTTATAGTGCCAAGCTAGGATTTGAAAACAGGTCTGCATAACCTTGAAATCCTTGTTTTTTTTTCTACTAAAACACCAATTTTTTAATCACATCTGTGACTTATTTGTGTCCAAATACTGAATCTGAATGCAATCCTCAACTGCATCATTGTTTCTGAGTAAAGCTACTAAAGTTTTATAACTAAACACTTCGCAACCCAACTCCAGGGAAAGCTTTGGAGTGAAAAGCAGCAAGTACTTATTAGAGCAAACATCCTGGGTGATATGTCAACAATAATGCAAACAGAAAGTCAATGCTGTGCATAGCAATCAAAACCATACATTTTCATAGCTAATTGGCAATCTAAATTAAGAATGGCCTGTAGAAATATAATGTGATCAAGTTTTAAAATATCAATCCATGTGTGCTTTCTTTCTTCCATGTGTATTTTGAGCCTGCCTTCAAGCAGTCAGAACCATCCACAAGGCACTGAGGAGAAGGATTGTTAGACAAAAAGAGAAACCATGGATATTCTGTCTTTTGACATATAAATTAAGTTGTTTGGAATCAAACCTTGTAGAGAGTGGAACTTGGGGACTACTCATGCCCTGAACAAAACAAATGACAGTCAGAAACATGGCACCCTTCCCTCTTTCAGCTAGAGTGCAAGAGGAAATTGAAATAATACTAATAATAAAGGAGCTGGTGGAAAGAATTATTTAAATTTGTGTATGCAATATTAAGCTCATCCCCAAGTGGTCCATGTGTAAAACCAACTAGAATCAAAATGGCAAAAGCTTTGGGAACAAAACTGTGGTATGGAATACCACCCAAGTTTCAAATTGGTCTCTTGTAATACAAAGGCCAGCTAGGATGTGCTTTTTTTGTTTTGCTTTGTTTTCTTGAGACAGAGTCTCACTCTGTCACCCAGGTTGAAGTGCAATGGCACGATCTTGGCTCACTGCAACCTCCACCTCCCGGGTCCAAGAGATTCTCCTGCCTCAGCCTCTTAAGTAGCTGAGATTTCAGGCACATGCCACCATACCCGGCTAATTTTTGTATTTTTAGTAGAGATGGGGTTTCACCATGTTGGTCAGGCTGGTGTTGAACTCCTGACCTTGTGATCCACCCGCTTCGGCCTCCCAAAGTGCTGGAATTACAGGAGTGAGCCACTGCACCCAGCCAGAATGTGCATTCTGAATCTAAATGCTGCCAGTTCAAATGAAATATTTAAATAGCAACCAGTGTCACAGAGTATAATATTCAAAATATCTAAGATACAATCCAAAATTACTCAGCATATCAAGAACCAGGAAAATCTCCAGTCAAATGAGGAAAGACAAGAGATGGCAATGCCAACAAAACACAGATATTCGAATTATCTGTGAAGAACTTCAAAACAGTTATAAAAATGCCCCAGTAAGTATCATAAATACCCCTGAAATTAATGAAAACATAGAAAGTCTCATAAAAGATATAGAAGATACAAAGAAGAAACAAGTGGAGATTTTAGGAGCGAAAAATACAATCAACTGAACCTTTAAAAACTCGGTTGGTAGGCTCAATAGTCCATATATCCAGAATACATAAAGGATTCTCAAAACTCAAGCATAAAAACAAACAACCTAATTAAAAAACAGGCAAAAGACTTAATCAGACACTTTACCTAACAGGATATATAGATAGAATAAGTACATGAAAAGATTTCCAATATCATTAACCATTAATTAGAGGCAACTTAAAACCACAATTGCACATACACTTATCGCATAACCTAGCAATCCTACTCCTAAGAATTTGGCATAGAGAAATAAGAACTTATATTCATGCAAATACCTGTACATGAATACATAAATATTTATAACATCTTTATCTGAAATAGTCAAAAACTGGAAACAACTCATATATCCTTCAATGAGTGAATGGACAAACAAGCCACAGTTCACTTTCAAAATTGAACACTACTCAGTAAGAAAAAGAAACATACTGTTTGTTAGCCCAACCTGCGCCATTTTGTAAACCCCACCATTTAGCCCACCCTGGCCAGCATGGAAAATTCCACTGGGGCCCAGGCCGTGAGAAACATCCTGGGCCGGTCCCAGGCCCAATCACCTGCCTGCAGGAAAGTCCTCCCTTATCAGCAGCTAACCACACCGCCCCATCCCATTTTGCAACAATTCCCCCTCTCCTGTCCAGACCTGTAACTGCCCCATTCTGTAAGTGGGGCGTGGGTTCCAGTGCTGGTGTCCCCCTCCGCAGGTTTCCTTAATAAACCTGTGTTGCTGTTGAGCCACTAACTCTCTCTCTCTCTCTCTTTCACCTTCCCTCTCCCTGACAAACCTTGCATTATTGATATCTGAACTTTGAATAATTCCAAGGGAATTACACTGAGTAAAAAAGTCAATCACAGGCCGAGCGCGGTGGCTCATGCCTGTAATCCCAGCCCTTTGGGAGGCCCAGGCGGGTGGATCATTTGAGGTCAGGAGTTGAAGACCAGCCTGGCCAACATGGTGAAACCCCATCTCTACTAAAAATACGAAAATTGGCGGTAATGGAGCGCACCTGTAATCCCAGCTACTTGGAAGGTTGAGGTAGGAGATTTGCTTGAGCCTAGGAGGTGGAGGTAGTAGTGAGGCGAGATCGCACCACTGCACTCCAGTCTGGGCGACACAGTGACACCCTCAAAAAAAAAAAAAAAAAAGCCAATCACAAAAGAAAACTTATGGAATAAAATATATACATTTCATTTACATAAAATTCTCAAAATAACTAAATTGCAGTGATGAAGAACAAATCAATGGTTGCTGGACATTAGGTTTTCACAGCAGTGTGACTATAAAGGGATAGCATGAGTGAGTTCCTTTAGGGTGAGGAAACATTTCTGATTTTGATTATGGTGGTAGTTACATAAATATGTACATATGACAAAATTTCATACAACTATACACAAGCATAAAGTACCCATAAAAAACTGTTGAAATATGAATATAGTCTGTAGTTTAGTTAATAGTATTTTTGTAATTACACTATTTTTCTGGTTTTGATTATCATGCTATCATTACATAAGATGTTATCACTAGGGAAATCCATGTGAAAGACAAATGGGAACTCTGCAGCTTTTGCAAATTCTAGCTGAGTTAATTAAAAGTATAATTTTATTAATTTTTTTGTAAAAATAATCGAATTCTCATATAAATATATAATGAGCATGTGTCCGATAATTATTTATTAATGATTAAAGACAAAGCAAATGCAAGAGGCTATGAAAGACAGATGCTTAGGGCCGGCACGATGGCTCACGCCTATAATCCCAGCACTTTGGGAGGCCGAGGAGGGTGGATCACAAGGTCAGGAGATCAAGACCATCCTGCCCAACATGGTGAAATCCTGTCTCTACTAAGAATACAAAAAACTAGCCGGGCGTGGTTGGTGTGCGCCTGTAGTCTCAGCTACTTGGGAGGCTGAGGCAGGGGAATCGCTTGAATCCGTGAGGCGGAGATTGCAGTGAGCCGAGATCGTGCCCACGGCACTCCACCCTGGCAACAGAGGGGAAAAAAAAAAAAGATAGATGCTTATATAGTCAGCTAAAACAATTGATATGGAAATGAGATATCTAAATTAGGTACAAAAATGTTTAAAAGACAATAAATCTAGAACACTTCCCCCTCTCCCACCCCCCACAGACATATGTACTTGACAAACATTATTTGCATCTTTATTGGGCAAAAATCAGTTGCAATTTCTTATTTTTCCAAGATAACGTCTAATTTTATGGGGCCTAAGCCAAAATCAAAACCAATAATAAGTCAAGCAAAGTTAGAAGTCCCTGAATAACAGATGACGTCTAGGCAGACTTCTCAGATTATTCTCCAATATGACATTTAAAAAACATACAGGCATTTTTTGGTCTTATTTCCAAGTTTTGAAAATTATTTTCTTAATACCTTCAGTTTTTTGCCTTCTGGGGGAGGTATGTTAATTGGTCTCCATTATTGCCTATCAAAGACTTTCTATAAATTGCTGCCTGTTCTTCACCTCTGGCTCATTCAGAAAAGGTTGACCACCCTTATCCCAAGAGTACTGAGTCTCCTTGAAAATTGGCCTTGTAGGTACAGCCATATCACAAGAGATTAGGACACTCATTAACATCCTCCCCCAAACAAAGTTGTGATTTTTGATTATCAAAGGAAGGAGTAACATAAAAGGAAAAGTCCCAACACTAGTACTTGGGTGTAAATGGACCATGGGAAAGTTACGCACATTAACCTATCTGGAGCATCCCAATGACCACACATGAATACAATCCAATTTGTTTAATAATAATAAAAATAGCATTTCTGATCTCATGCTTTGTCATATAAAGTTACTCTACCCAAAATTCAATTGTATTCGTAGGAAGAAGGTATCAGAATGCATAACCAACATCAGATTTTAGAGAGACAAAAATAACACTTAATTTTGCAAAAGTAAATTTTCTATATGGCTGTAGCTTCTAGAATAAGGAACATCAGAGTGATGATACAGGTGAAGGTATGCTGCAAAATCTACTCGAACAGAAGAGAACTCTGGGAGAACACCAGAGCTAATCAATAAAAGGATCTGGCAGCGAGGACTTCAGATATGTTGCATTTCCAATTAAACCAAAGCATGAACATTTCATTTTTTTCAGTTAATTGTACAGTGTTTGATTTCTCTGGAGAAATTCAGGTCTGGTAAATAGTTTTCCTGAATGCTTTCCATGCTAGTTCTAACGTATTGACACTGGAGGAATAATCTAATTATTATATGATTAATCGTTGACTGCTGTTGGTCTTAGGCTGATTACATCGATGGTTTCTGAAGCAGAATCAGTATTTGGCTCAAATGTCTTCTGAACCGGCAACTTCTACCTAGGGATCAGTACTACATTGAGAAAATATTTCAAACAGAAGCACATGTAATAATTATTCAGTTAATTCCCATTGTCACTCAGAGACATGCAGTTACTAAGCAATGGTAATTACAACTGCAGCATGTGTACTGCTGTTGCCATGTTTAAATTAATGAATATTTTATTGTCAACATGAGAATATAAAAATATCCTGCATTAGTTGTGTAGACAATTCTTATGTGTTTCAGCAACAGACAAATAAAATTTACTCTCATGCAAATTTAATTATAATATAATACATGATAAAATGAATGACATTTTATAAATTAGGAAGAGAATTAGAAATTCAAAAATGCTAATTTTTAATAAAGCCAATTAACACACACTAGAATTTAATGCAATCTTTGGCTTTGTCAAATGATTTTTCCATTATTCGTTGGTACAGCATTAAAATTCAAAATGCGAAGAAAAGAAAACATTCAGAAAATACTAATTTTGACAAGAACAGAGAATGAATTCAGGTTTCCCTTCAGGGGTTACTTTTAAATAGATGCCTGGTAACTAGAAAAAATTCTCTTCATCTGCTACTTCTAAGATGCCTGTCTGTCTTTTGTCAATGCTCTCTTCTATTTTATTTGCAATATCTTAGCTGTCTGGAGACATGTACATAGTGATGTTTAAATACATATAATGTATAGTAATCAGACCAGGGTCATTAGCATAACCATCATCCCAAACACTTGTCATTTCTTTGTGTTGGGAGCATTCAACATTTTCTCTAGCTATTTGAAACTACATGTCGTTGTGAACTATAGTCATCCTAGTGACATGGAACAGTAGCATTTACTCCTCCAATCTAGCTAGTATTTTTTTTTGTACATTCTCTGGGGATTCCTATGTAGGACAAATAAAATGTCTTCAAATGATAACTTTGTTTTCTACTTTTGAATTTTCAAAGATTTTCTTTTTCTTGTCCACTTCAATGATTAGAACCTCCATTAAAATTTTGAAAATGCATAGTAAAATGCAGATATTTTTCCACTTTATTTTTTGTTTGTTTAGCTTTTGAGGTAATATGTTAAATTTGTAAATATTAATTTAATTTTTTGATGATTAGGTCTATTCGGTTTTTCTACTTTTTCTTAAGTTTTCTAAAATTTTATATTTTTCTAATGAATATTCCTTTTTTTCCCTAGGTTTTCAAGTTAGTTAGCAAAATGTTATTTGTGATATAACAGGATGTTAAAATGGGACTCCTGTCTCAGCCTTAGCTGAAACCCCAGGACAAATAACACAATCACTATGAAGTACTCCACTTAGAGCAAGTTACCTCCTATGAAATTGCCAGCATTTTTTTTCATGACAAATTGTTTTGGTGTAAAGAGCAAGAGCTAATAAGGCCTGAAGGAAGCTTGTCTTTGGAGCGATTTGGCAATGTACTCTTCAGGCCCCTGTTTTTCTGGGTGGGAATGAAGCAATTTCCTTTTCCCTTGTTTTAGTAAGCTGAGTGAAGAGAACTTTAAGAGAGCCACTCAGAAAGGTTCACATGTGTCTCCTGAAGTTGAGAGTATTTAGGGAATGGTGCTTAATTCTCATAGAAACAAAGAGAAGAGGTAATCTGGAGCCGACAAAGCAATGAAAGAGAAGGCTACCTTCATACCAAATGCTCTTCCTCCAAGAGAAGGCCAATTATGCCTCCAAAAAGCTGGAGAAAGAAAAGAGAGAGAGAAAAGGGCAAGGAGGTGAGAGACCACAGAAGGGAGTCACCCAAGAGTCATCTTAAAAGGGACTCAACCCAAAAGGATCCTCTGAGGAAACAATGTGACCCAGCTAGTAATTCAAGGACTGAGGTGAAGTTATAATTGGCCACACGGCCAGGTTATCCCCCGTAAGGAGGATGCCCCCAACAGGGGATCTCTGAAGGAGTCATAAAAGTGCTCATGAGAGAAAGATCAAATAAGAGTGCATCCACTTTTGGCTTGTTGAACTGTTTGGTTCCCTTATAGATTCTGGATTGTAGAGCTTTGACGGATGCATGGATTGCAAATATTTTCTCCCATTCTGTAGGTTGTCTGTTTACTCTGTTGACAGTTTCTTTTATTGTGCAGAAGCTCCTTAGGTTAATTAGATCCTATTTGTCAATTTGGTCCTGCTTGTTAATTTTTGTTTTTCTTGCAATTGCTTTTGAGGACTTAGTCTTAAATTATTTCCCAAGGCCGATGTCCAGAATAGTGTTTCCTAAGTTTTCTTCTAGGATTCTCACAGTTCGAGGTCTTACATTTAGATCTTTAATCCACCTAAATTTAACTTTTATGTATGGTGAGTGGTAGGCATCTAGTTTCATTCTTCTGCATATGGAATATGTAGCTATCCCGGCACCATTGATTGAATAGGGAGTCCTCTCCTCTTTGTTTATTTGGTGACTTTGTTGAAGATCAGATGACTGTGGGTATGTGGCTTTATTTCTGGGTTCTCTATTCTGTATTATTGGTCTATTGTATGTTTTTGTACCAGCACCATGCTGTTTTGGTTATTGTAACCTTATAGTATAGTCTGAAGTCAGGTAATGTTATGCTTCTGGCTTTGTTCTCTTTGCTTAGAATTGCTTTGGATATTCAGGCTCTTTTTTGGTTCCATGTGAAATTTAGAATAGTCATTTTCTAATTCTGTGAAAAATGACATTAATAGTTTAACAGGAATACTGTTAAATTTGCAGATTGCTTAGGGCAGGATGGCCACTTTAATGATATTGATTCTTCTAATCCATGAACATGAAATGTTTTACCATTTGTTTGTGTCATCTATGATTTCCTTCAGCAGCGTTTTATAGCTCTCTTTGTAGAGTTATTTCACCTCCTTGGTTAGATGTATTCCTAGGTATTTTATTATTTGTGTGCCTATTGTTAATGGGCTTGTGTTCTTAATTTGGCTCTCAATTTGAATGTTTTTAGTATATAGAATTCCTACTGATTTGTACATTGTTTTTGTATCCTGAAACATTACTGAAGTCATTTATCAGTTCCAGGAACCGTTTGGTGTACTCTTTTGGGGTTTTTAGGTATAGAATTATATTCTTGGTAAAGAGAGATAGTTTCACTTTTTCTTTTCTTACTTGGAGGCTTTTTATCTCTCTCTATGGCCTATGTGTTCTAGCTAGCACCTCCAGTACTATGTTGAATAAGAGTGGTGTGACTCAGCATCCTTGTCTTGTTCCAGTTCTCAAAACGAGTGCTTCCAATTTTTGCCCATTCAGTGTAATGTTGGTTGTGGAATTGTCATAGATGGCTTTTCTTGTTTTGAGGTATGTTCCTTCAATGCCTAGTTTGTTGAGGATTTTTATCATGAAGAGATGTTGAATTTTATCAAAAGCTTTTTCCATGTCTATTGAGATGATCATATGATTTTTGTTTTTAATTCTGATTATGTAAGGAGTCACATTTATTAATTTGCATATGTTGAACCAACCTTGCATTCCAGGAATAACGACTACTTGTTTGTGGTGAATGAACTTTTTGATGTGCTGCTATATTTGGTTTGCTAGTATTTTGTTGAGGATTTTGCATCTATGTTCATCAGGGATATTGGCCTGTACTTTTTTTTCTGTATCTTTGCCAGGTTTTGGTATGAGGGTCATGCTGGCTTCATAAAATGAGTTAGGGAGGAGTCAAGCAAATAATCCCATTAAAAAGTGGGCAAAAGGCATGAACAGACATTTCTCAAAGGAAGACTTTCAAGCAGCCAGCAAACATGAAAAAAATGCTCAACATCACTAATCATTAGAGAAATGAAAATCAAAACCACAATGAGACACCATCTCACACCAATCAGAATGGCAATTATTAAAAAGCCCAAAAACAATAGATGCTGTTGAAGCTATGGAGAAAAGGGAATGCTTATACACTGTTGGTGGACATGAAAATTAATTCAGGCACTGTGGAAAGTAGTTTGGCAATTTTTCAAAGAACTTAAAATAGAACTACCACTTTGGCTCAGCAATTGCATTTCTAGGTATATATCCAAAAAAATAAATTGTTCTATCAAAAAGATAACTGCACTTATATGTTTATCACAGCACTATTCACCACAGCAAAGACATGAAATCAACGTAGGAATCTATTAATGGTGGATAGGATAAAAAATGTAGTACATGTACACTATGGAACACTATGCAGCCATACAAAAGAACTAAAATTATACCCTTTGCAGCAATATGGGTGCAGCTGGAGGTCATTGTACTAAGCAAATTAATGTAGAAACAAAAACAAATACTATACATTCTCACGTATAAGTGAGAGCTAAACACTGAGTATTTATGGACATAAAGATGGCAAAAGTAGATATTGAGAAGTACTTAGTGGAGGAGGGAGGGGCCAAAGGTTGAAAAATTAACTATTAGGCATTATGCTCACTACTCAAAAGACAGAATCAACCATACCCCAAACCTCAGCATCACACAAGATATTCATGTAACAAACCTGCCCATTTAACCCTCAAATCTAAAACAAAAATGGAAATTATTGAAAAAAAGAGTGGGTCTTCCACATCAAGAGGCAAACTATTAGCCATATAAGCATTTTTCCATTTCCCTTAGTCCCCTTTATTCTTAATATCTTCTCAGAAGACGTAAAACTGCAGCTAGTCAGTTGGGGATGGGTGGAGCAGGGAGAGAAGACTCCCACCATCTTTCCTACCACTACCACTTACTAAAGACTGAATCAGGTTTAATTGGAAGAGGAAGGGAATCTTTTATCAATTTGGAGTATTGATGTTAACCAGGACTGGACTTTTATTACTCAAAATGAAGGACTTTTCATTTTCTAAGACACTAGAAAAATTATGAGCTTTGCTAGAGATTTCTTCCAATGGAAAACAAAATATTTTTTACTAGATCTTTGCACAAGAAGGGTATGAAAATGGGAAATTCATTTCTGCTTATATCTAAAGAGGTTCAGTCCATTAAACTGGTATGTTTTCTGGTATTGTTTTTAAAATCTCTGCTTGTCTGTGGTTATATTCCACTTTGATATTTATTTCATTTGTATTTGTTATTTTTACCAATTTTTGTCTACTTTGTTAGCTTCAAAGAACATACTTTTGTCCTTGATGCTCTTTATTATATCTTTATTTCATTATTTTAGATGCTTCTTCATTATTGTCATTTTTTGAATTTCTTTAAATTTATTCTGTGAATTTTTTCTTCAGCCTCTTAAATAGAACATTAAACTCATTGACCTTCAGCTTTTCTTTCTTCTCAACTATAAGTCAATGACACTGAATTTCTGTCTAATGCTTATTCTGCATCTCTCCAAAATCTACTCTCTACTTTCTGTTAAAATTCTTCTTTGCCTGCCTGGTTATTTAGAAGTTTCTTTCTTTACTAAATTTATATATATTTTTCTTTTTGTTATAATGTTTGTTATTGATTTCTAAACTAATTACAATGTGCATCCAAATAGCCACATTGTAATTAGCTTAGAAATCAATAACACACATCAGTATGATACTAATTCTTTGAAATTTGTGTTGTTTTATGCCTTGGTACATGGTTAATTTGCAGAAATACTGTCTATGTTCTTGAGAAAAGTATCTGTTCACTAATTATTGCATAAGAGTTCTATTTTTAATTTTATCATTATTATTAATTATATTATTCAAATCTTTTTTTCTGCACGATATAGCAAATATGAAAGAACTGTAGATAGATTCATTTGTCCATATGATTCTGTCAATTTTGGTTTATATGTATTGGAGGCCACATTTTATTTGTATACCTAATAATCAACTAATCGTGATGTTCCCAAATAAATGATAAATGTTTGAGTCAATGGATATTCCAGTTACCTTCATTTGATCATTACACATTATATACAGGTATAGGAACATCACGTATACCCCCAAAATATATGTAACTACTATATATCAATAGAAAGAGTTATTATAGCTTCCAGGGAATCAAGAAATGCAAGTATAAAGAGTGTACCCTATGCTGTCTAGATAAGATTGACTCTGCCCAAGGAGGGCATGGTACAAGGGACTCTCCAGATATTCAAGAGGTCATAAAGGAGCCCTAAGAAATCAAACTAAGAACACTCTTCCCCAGTCCTTGATCCCTCTATGTGCAAAGGTCCAGAGAGAATTCAGAGTACTCAAAAGAAAACTGTCATTCCCCCCAGCCTCTCAGTTGTAACATGTAAGACCTCAGAATGCTGTCATTTCTATTTCCCAAAATTCACAGCTTAGACTTCACTACCTCTACTGAGACTACCGAATCTAATCTCATTGGTTATATACCTAAGTGTGGAACTGTTGCACCATATGGTAATACTGTTTGACATTTTGGAGAACTGACTGAAGATTGTTTTCCAAAGTGGCTATACCATTTTACATTTCTACCTTGAGGCTCCTAGTATTTTCATCGTGTGACTTTTTGATTATAGCCCTTCTAGATATGAAACAGTATCTCATTGTAGCAGTCAAATGCCTTTAAATATTTATTTTTAAATGTGTTGTAAGTTCATAAATGTGTCACGTCTATTAGAGAGCCTTTGAATTTGTACCTTAATTAATAACACATAAATGAATATACACAGTCATTGTATGTGTGTGTACATACAGAGAGAGAAGGAGAGAGAGATGCATATTAATGATAAATTTTCCCAATTTCCACGTTTCCATGATTATCTTTCATGCAAAAAGCAGTTGGCACATATTTACTTATTCCTCAGATTAATATACTAAATTCAAGGTAACTTAAGCCCTATGTTTAAAAACTATTTTTAAAAATCAGGATTTTAAGTACAACCATATGTGCCAGCCCTGCTTACCAGTCCTTGGCATATAACTGTTAAATAAATATATAAAAAAGGTATATAGAGACCAAGAGAGGACAGAATGCCATCATGCCATATTAACAAACGTGATGTTTTCTGCATAGAGAACTAATATTCCAGCGCAGTATGACATCTTATCAGTTTTTCACTTGCCAGGTTCGCTATCTACAATTTATTCTTGAGATGTGGTCATCAAATTGTCAAGGTGTAAGGAGTATTTCTTTAAAAATTGTTTTATATTATATAGTAATTTACATTGGATGTATTACTTTTAGAAATAATTACTATTAATATTATAAAAACTGGAAATTTGGGGAATGAGAATATACAACAGAGGGATTACGCAGAGGTAAATATGGACCAAAATAAGAAAAAATAAATAAAAACCAAAAAACCCAGATCTTAAAATATGGGTCATCAAAATCAAACACAGGTCATCAAAAGGTAAAACCATCTGCAAAAATAATCATATATTGAATGGACAGTGAATTCATTTTCCTAATATAAGGATTTTGCAAATCACTGAAAAGAAGATACGCATCTCATAAAATTAAGATTAAGGGAGTTGGCAAGAATTTCATTAGTAAAATATACAAATGGCTAAAAAATGCTTTTCAATATTCAAACCCACTTCAAATTAATAAAATGCAAATTAAAGCAGCCACCAAATGAATTTTTAGCTAACAACTGAAAAAAGCTGATCATACAGTTATGGTAAGCGGGTAAAGATGTAGAAATTTTTCTATACTGATGGTTGAAAATAAATTAGCACAATTCCACATGAGTGAATTTCTTTTAAATATGTTATTAAGGAATATTCAACATTAATAAATTAAATATATAATGTGCAGGATTTATTCAGTACATTGTGATACATAAAATTAATAAGCATTAAAATTATAGGGACAAAGTTTTAACTAGCAAGGAAACATTGTTGTCATATAGCTTAAGAAAAAACAAGATAACATTCTGATTCCACTTTGATAAACCATATACCATCGATTTATCAATACACCCACTATCGATTTATCAATCAATCCAGGTAGGCTACGCTCTGCTGCAATAACAACTCCAAAATCTTAGTTATTTGGCCTAACTTAAATGTATTACTTGCTCATGCAAAGTCCACTGCAGGCCTGGGCAGTTCTCTTCAGTGTCTGACCTCTATGCCCCATCTCAATGTTCAAGGCTGACCACCTCAACACCAAGTCTCTTCTCAGAAGGGGAAAATGAGAGACTAAAAAAATTGTAAATATTTTACTGCCCCCATCCTAAAGTGACATCTCATTGGCTACAAAAGGCCTGAAAAGTACAATCTTTCATGGGGAAAGATAACTAGATATTGCTGTCATTAGTGATGTCTACTGCATATAGGACAATTCCAATTTGATAAATTATATACTTCATCTATCTATCTGAATGCAGACACACGTCTTGAGAAATATATACATATTCTGACTTTTACTAACATTGGGAATGTAAAGTGCTAATAATCAGAACAGTAAAAGTATTTGCTTTGTTATCTGTTCCTGGATGGTAATATAATTAAATTTAATTATAATATGTCAATATACTCAAGACATTGTCTAGTCAACCCAACAAATTAGGAATGTGATGAGAATGAATGCTAACAGACCTTGATTGGTGGCCTTCTGGGCTCAGCCTTGCTTTGGCAGTATCACTAAAGCTATTGTGCGTTGGTACCTATTTAGGCTGAATTACTTTCTTGGAGAAACCCTGTGGACGCCGCTTTCCCTGTTCAATGAATTCAAGTTAGCATGTCAATAAATTCTCAAAGCTTTCTCAATGCAAAGCATCTAAGTTTCTCTCTGCCTCCTGGCATGGCTACTTATTGAGCTGGAATGATGTGTATAGAATTTGCAGTTTTCAAAGCTCTTTTAATGCATTACCTCATTTAATCCTCAAAACAACTTTAGAAAGTAGATCTTATAGTAGATTACTAACTAGGATATGAAATTTAATAAGTTTTAGAAGGTGCAATTGGTTCCCCAGGCTAAATAATTTGTTCAATGTCACAATTAGTAGCAGACAGTGACAGAATTCAAATTAGTTTTTACTGCTCATATACCCTCTCCATCATACATCTTATCCTATCCAGAATTCTTTGAGAAGGGTAGTATAAAAATATACTCATTTTATTCCTATAAATGAATGTATTATAATTAAATAATTTTCAAATGAACCATTACAAGGGTGATTAGAGAGTAGACTACTCCTGACAAAGCCTAGAATTAGGATTCCTAACTCCTTGGTCTGCCATTGTTTCCCTACCTGACTCTGCCTAAGGGGTTGTATGAGTGTCCCTTAAGAAATCATTCAATTATTGGTGTTCTTTGGGGACATCTTCCTACCCTTTTAAAATAGTTTCATAAAACCTGTACTACCAGCAAAGTTTGCAGTCCTCAGTACTCAGGTAAAGCTAACACCCTAGTCACTTCTTTGACACATTTTTTTTAATCGAAAATAAATATACAAAGCAGTTGGCTTGGACTTCACACCTAGCCAGGTGGGGATTTAAAAAAAAAATCTATCTGAGGAAAAAGCAACAAAACATTTTTCTTGTCTTTTTCACAGCAAGGCAAACTGAAATGATCCCTTAAAAAGCAGAACTTGCTTAGAATAAGATCCCATTTATTTGTAAGTAAATGAAAAATGCTTATGTTTGTACATATATTACTTTTGTCCCAGAAAGAATATGAGGAGCCTCCCAATGATAAATAATAAAAGAGTACAGCTTACTTTTCGAATCAAAAGAGAATTAGATAATCTTTGCTATGCATGCACCTCAATTTGGTGTAATTTTTTTTTTTTTGAGACAGAGTCTCTTTCTGTCTCTGGAGTGCAGTGTAGCGACTGCAGCTCACTGCAACTTCTGCTTCTCGGGTTCAAGCAATTCTCCTGCCTCAACCTCCTGAGTAGCTGGGATTACAGGTGCCTGCCACAACTCCTGGCTAATTTTTGTGTTTGTAGTAGAGACAGGGTTTTACCAGGTTGGCCAGGCTCATCTCAAACTCCTGACTTCAAGTGATCTGCCCATCTCGGCCTCCCAAAGTGCTGGGATTACAGGCTTGAGCCACAGAGCCTGTCGTGTTCTAAACTTTTAATTGGAGAGATGGTCACCAAAACTTTTCTCCCCCATGGTCTAGCCTCTTATTCTTTTGTGTTAGGAAAAAAAGGAATCACAGTTTTAGAGACATACAATAAAAATTCTAGTAGAGAATTGAATAAAAATATTGCTCTGCAATGTTAGAATAATATAGCACAGTTGCTGAGGTTAGAAAGGATTAAAATGCTAAGGGTCAGCCACAGCTCTGGACTGTATATGAAATATTTACTCAAGCAACAGCTAGAATCAAAAATATAAAAACAAGTAAAATATTGAAGTAACTAGGTCATGCAAATGTGCTAATGATCGCCTGTTTCTGTGAGTGAGGTCAACTCCACCAGAAGGTGCATGTTCCAGGACAGTATCTGTGGTGAGTATTCTAATCCTATACAGAGTTGGACAGACAGTGGGGACAGGGTCCTTTACATTTGACTTGGATGATTCTTCTAATGGCATTTTCTTGCCATGTGTGCTTTTATAAACCACTGAGTTTACAAGTCGCCTAGAACTTGCAGGCATCCTGTGTATGTTTTCCACTGAGCATCACCATGATGCCCTTCCCTGTAGGATTCAGCTTATAAGAAATGAGGAAGATAGAAAGGAAGGAAATGCCATTAGCAATCGTGGGAGGTCGCTGCAGGAATACACCTGGGCAGAAGAAAAGATTTTGAGAATCATCTGCTTTAGAAACCAGATAAGGCTAGAAGCTGCAATTACTGAGGTTTATCAATGCTTCCAGGTGAGCTCCTGTATGTCACCAACTCTAACAGCTTTATGCCCAAGCCTGCCACTAGCTAATTCTCTGTATTAAAATTCTTACTGTTTAGCATACCCAGAATGGCTCATGTTTTCCTGGCCAACCTCTGATACTTCAGCAAGTGTGCTTACCAAAATAGCTTCTCAGCAGCTGCGGTGTCAAAGAAAGCCAGATCTGTTACTTCTCAGTGTCCATAAAAGAAAACAGAACCAGTTACTCACGAGACATACATCTATTCTCAATGTAAGAGAGCTTTCCTTCAACAACATCCTTCAAATAAAGTTTCATAGTGCTGTTTTATTAAACATCATTCAATAGAGGGAGGGAGCGGGTTGTGGGAAGGAGAGAGAGCTATAAAATGCTCCCATGGCACTCAGCTTCCTATTGATATAGCTTGTTTCAAGAATATGTTTTAAATTATCTGACTTAATGGACAGTCTATTCTCCAAGAGGTTCTTTGCTTAGCTCAGTTTTAATAAATATCTGTTGGTGCACAGTCACATTATACTGGAGAGCATATTAATCTAGAATATATCATTTTGGGTAACCAGTTAAATACAGGTTTGCAGACCTTGAAGACAATTCACCTAGATATAATACTATCTATCTCTATCTCTACTGAGTAGCACAACAAGACTGAATTCCTGATTAGAGAGTCTTACCTTGGAAGTTATGAAGGTTCCCCTTACAAAATTGTTTTACATCCTCTCTAGCACAAAGATACTTGGGCAATCACGGCATATTGATAATTTTTTTTTTTTTGATATGGAGTCACGCACTGTCACCTGGGCTGGAGTGCGATGGTGCCATCTTGGATCACTGCAAATTCCACCTCCTGGGTTGCAGTGCCTCAGTCTCCTGAGTAGCTGGGACTATAGAGGCACATCACCACACCCAGCTCATTTTTGTATTTTTAGTAGAGATGGGGTTTCATCATATTGGCTAATCCGGTCTTGAACTTCTGACCTTGTGATCCACCTGCCCTGGCCTCCCGAAGTGCTGGGATTACAGGCATGGGCCACCACGCCCAGCTGATAAAATTTTTTAAATAAAAGTTTTAATTTTATCAAATGTCTTTTCTGCATCTATTGAGAGAATCATGTGGTTTTTGTCATTGGTTCTGTTTATGTGATGGATTATGTTTATTGATTTGCATATGTTGAACCATCCTTGCATCCCAGGGATGAAGCTGACTTGATTGTGGTGGATAAGCTTTTTCATGTGCTGCTAGATTTGGTTTGCCAGTATTTTATTGAGGATTTTCACATCAATGTTCTTCAGGGATACTGGACTAAAATTCTCTTTTTTTGTTGTGTCTCTGCCAGGCTTTGGTATCAGGATGATGCTGGCCTCATAATATGAGTTAGGGAGGATTCCCTCTTTTTCCATTGATCGGAATAGCTTCAGAAGGAATGGTACCAGTTCCTCTTGCTACTTCTGGTAGAATTCAGCTGTGAATCTCTCTGGTCCTGGACTTTTTCTGGTTGGTAGACTATTAATTCTTACCTCAATTTCTGAACCTGTTATTGGTCTATTCAGAGATTCAACTTCTTCCTGGTTTAGTCTTGGGAGGGTGTATGTGTCCAGGAATTTATCCATTTCTTCTAGGTTTTCTAGTTTATTTGTGTAGAGGTGTTTATAGTATTCTCTGATGGTCGTTTGTATTTCTGTGGGATCGGTGGTGATATCCCCTTTACCATTTTTTATTGCTTCTATTTGATTCTTCACTGTTATCTTCTTTATTAGTCTGCCTAGCAGTGTATCTATTTTGTTGATCTTTTCAAAAAACCAGCTCCTAGATTCATTGACTTTTTTGAAGGGTTTTTTTGTGTCTCTGTCTCCTTCAGCTCTGATCTAAGTTATTTCTTCTCTTCTGCTAGCTTTTGAACTTGTTTGTTCTTGCTTCTCTAGTTGTTTTAATTGTGATGTTAGGGTGTCGACTTTAGATATTTCCTGCTTTCTCTTGTGGGCATTTAGTGCTATAAATTTCCCTCTACACACTGCTGTATATGTGTCCCAGAGATTCTGGTACATTAGTCTTTGTTCTCATTGGTTTCAAAGAACATCTTTATTTCCGCCTTCATTTCACTATTTACCCAGTAGTCATTCAGGAGCAGGTTGTTCAGCTTCCATATAGCTGTGCAGTTTTGAGTGAGTTTATTAATCCTGAGTTCTAATTTGATTGCACTGTGGTCCAAGAGACAGTTTGTTGTGATTTCTGTTCTTTTACATTTGCTGAGGAGTGTTTTACTTCCAATTATGTGGTCCATTTTATAATAAGTGTGATGTGCTGCTGAGAAGAATGTATATTCTGTTGATTTGGGGTGTAGATTTCTGTAGATGTCTATTAGGTCTGCTTGGTCCAGAGCTGAGTTCAAGTTCTGGATATCCTTGTTAACCTTCTGTCTCGATCTGTCTAATATTGACAATGGGGTGTTAAAGTCTCCCATTATTATTGTGTGAGAGTCTAAGTCTCTTTGTAGGTCTCTAAGGACTTGCTTTATGAATCTGGGTGCTCCTGTATTGGATGCATGTATATTTAGGATAGTTAGCTCTTCTTGTTGAATTGATCCCTTTACCATTATGGTAGGTCTTCTTTGTCTCTTTTGATATTTGTTGGTTTAAAGTCTGCTTTATCAGAGACTAGGATTAGGATTGCAACCCCTGTTTTTTTTTTTTTTTCTTTCCATTTGCTTGGTAGATCTTCCTCCATCCCTTTATTTTGAGCCTATGTGCATCTTTCCATGTGAGATGGGTCTCCTGAATACAGCACACTGATGGGTCTTCAAAATTCAACAGCCCTTCATGCTAAAACCTCTCAGTAAACTAGGTATTGATGCAATGTATCTCAAAATAATAAGAACTATTTATGACAAACCCACAGCCAATATCATACTGAATGGGAAAAAAACTGGAAGCATTCCCTTTGAAATCCAGCACAAAACAAGGATGCCCTCTCTCACCACTCCTATTCAACATAGTGTTGGAAGTTCTGGCTAGAACAATCAGGCAAAAGAAAGAAATAAAGGGTATTCAATTAGGAAAAGAGGAAGTCAAATTGTCTCTTTTTGCTGATGACATGATTGTATATTTAGAAAACACTATTGTCTCAGACCAATATCTCCTTAAGCTGATAAGCAACTTCAGCAAAGTCTCAGGATATAAAATCAATGTACAAAAATCACAAGCATTCCTATACACCAGTAATAAACAGAGAGCCAAATCATGAGTGAACTCCCATACACAATTACTACAAAGAGAATAAAATACCTAGGAATCCAACTTACAAGGGATGTGAAGGAACTCTTCAACCAGAACTACAAACCACTGCTCAACGAAATAAAAGAGGACACAAACAAATGGAAGACCATTCCATGCTCATGGATAGGAAGAATCAATATCGTGAAAATGGCCATACTGCCCAAGGTAATTTACAGATTCAATCTATCCTCATCAAGCTACCACTGACTTTCTTCACAGAATTGGAAAAAACTACTTTAAAGTTCACATGGAACAAAAAAAGAGCCCACATAGCCAAGACAATACTAAGCAAAAAGAACAAAGCTGAAGGCATCACACTGCCTGACTTCAAACTATACTACAAGGCTACAGTAACAAAAACAGCATGGTACTGGTACCAAAACAGATACATAGACCAATGGAACAGAACAGAGGCCTCAGCAATAACACCACACATCTACAACCATCTGATCTTTGACAAACCTGACAAAAACAAGCACTGGGGAAAGAATTCCCTATTTAATAAATGGTGCTGGGAAAACTGGCTAGCCATATGTAGAAAGCTGAAACTGGATCCCTTCCTTACACCTTATACAAAAATTAACTCAAGATGGATTAAAGACTTAAATGTAAGACCTAACATCATAAAAACCCTAGAAGAAAATCTAGGCAATACCATTCAGGACATAGGCATGGGCAAAGACTTCATGACTAAAACACCAAAAGCAATGGCAACAAAAGCCAAAATAGACAATTGGGATCTAATTAAATTAAAGAGCTTCTGCACAGCAACAGAAACTATCATCAGCATGAACAGGCAACCTACAGAATGGGAGAAAATTTTTGCAATCTATCTATCCAGCTGACAAAGGGCTAATATCTAGAATCTACAAAGAACTTAAATTTACAAGAAAACAACCCCAACAAAAAGTGGGCAAAGGATATGAACAGATATTTCTCAAAAGATGACATTTATGCAGCCAGCAGACATATGAAAAAATGCTCATCATCACTAGTCATCAGAGAACTGCAAATCAAAACCACAATGAGATACCATCTCACCCCAGTTAGAATGGTGATCATTAAAAAGCCAGGAAACAACAGATGTTGGAGACAATGTGAAGAAATACGAACACTTTTACACTGTTGGTGGGATGTAAATTAGTTCAACCATTGTGGAAGACTGTGTGGCAATTCCTCAAGGATCTAGAAAATATACACTTTTTTCTCAAGTATTTTAAATGATGGAAGGATAAAACAAAAGCTTAAAAAAAATTCCTGTAAGTGGAAGGTGAGAACAGGTGAAGAAGGCAACTTCTCTGAATACACATTTAGAAGCATGTAAATGTTTTATAATAATAAAACAAAACAAAATTTATAAAAATAATACCTACAAATCAAAGGTAAAATGAAATAAACGAATATGACTGTATGCCAAGGATTTATCTCAAGTGACTTTATGTATAGTAATTTGATTGTATATACTTGCAGATGGATCCTAAGGATAAAAATAACTGCAAAAAACTCATACTTTTTTCATAATCATATTATTATTAGCATTATTCTTTGAAACTATGTATATGTGCATATATGTATAATAAATATGCTAATATAGTTAATGTATAGTTATTGTAGTTAGAACCAAGATCTTTCACCCCCAAAAATGAAATTTGATATAAAATTAAATAAATAAAAAACTTTAAATATTAAATTGAATTTCAAATAACTATATGAACACATAATTTGCTTTTAAAAATACATATTTCTTGACCATACTCACAAAAAGAAACTAGGGATTAGTAGAGACATGTTTGTTTCTATGTCTGGGCCAGCTAATACATAAGATAAACCTAGAAAATTTTTTTATTCTAGAAGAAAAGAAAATTGTCAAGACAACTGGAGTCACTTGCAAAAGATTCAAGGATCAATTTAAAAGGTCTTTTACTGGCCAAAGATGGTATAATTGTATCATTAATAAGAAAATAACTGAAATGGACTGAAACACATCAAATATACCTAAATCCAGGAGCCCATGATAGAATTTTGTAAAATTCTACTGGTGACTTATGTAGGATGCTAAGGAAAGATCTCCGAATATTGGAAAGGAATTAATCAAGCATTTACCCAGCCTCTAATGAACAAACGCTCTATCAGGATGAAATCAACACAACCCAGAAAGTGGGAAACTCTGTAAAACAAATGTTTCACTTTCTTTAACAAATAATTTAGAAAGAAAAATTAGAGAAATTAAAAGAGACTTAATCATTTCAACCGATTGCAATGCATGACTGTATTTTAATTCTGATCTGAATAAACCATTAAAAAATTGGGAACATGTGAACTATATGTATATATTTGATGATATTAAAGTCTTATTAAGTTATATTGCAATTACATTTTAAAAAGAGAGTTATTGTCTTAAACACATACACACTGTGTTAGCTAGCCATCAATTTGTCCTTCAGTGATATTTCCTTCCCGGTGTTCACAGCCTTGTGTAGTCAGCCCCTTGCCACATTGAATCATGGTTGGAACAACAGAAGTGAGGATGTGTGACTTCGAGGCTTTGTCCTGAAAAGCACCGCAGCTTCCCTTTTGGCCTTCTGCATCATTTGCTACAGAGGAAGCCAGACAGCATACTGTGAATATGCTCAATCAGCCCAATTAAAAGCCCTATATGGGAAAGGACCCTGGCCTCAGCCCAACTTGTCATCCATGTGAGTGAGCCAGTCTGGAGGTATGGTAAGAACAAATAGCCATGAGTTGTTCATTGTTGAAACCGAATCACAGGCACAGGTGGTTAATTGTACTATTTTCCCTACCTTTGAATATGTTCAAAATTTTCCATAATTAAATCATTAAAGATTCTATTGACTCGAAGTCTCAAGGCATGGGACTTTTTTTCCTAATAGTGAGTATAGATTGCACTAAACCATTTTCCATATGAATTATTTACAGTTTCTGAAATGGTCAGTAGAAATTATCGTTGGAAGCTATGATTGAGGAGTATATTTCTTCGGGACCACAAAAGCTTATGACTAAGCTGTCAGCACCCATTCTGAGAAATGTTACCTGGATTAATGCCAAAGAAAAAATTATAAAAATAACACTTTACCTATCATTACTCTCCAATAACTTAAAATGTTGAGCCTGGAAACTGTGTTTAAGGTATAAATCATGGAAAGTTATCAATTAATTAATTAATCAAGAGACTTAGAGGTTATCTAGTATACAGTTCCTCTTCTATCATTAATTTATTTTTGTCATCTCCGCAAGGAAATTTTTTACCCAAGTATTTCCCAACTGTCGATTCAATCACATTTTATGGTTGTAATTATTTACTCAACTGTACAGCAGTTGTAGCCCACACAACTGGCCACCTGTTTAAAAATTAAACAGTATAACGAAAATTTTGTTGGTGAATCTCACTTTAATGGCTGAAACATTTTAAATAAATAATTTCCAATTGTGTAGCATCTTTAGCATACTGCATATATATTTCCTAATTGTCTGAAAATAATTTGTCTTTCTGTCTATAAAAAATGCCTGGCATAAAGCACATACTCAGTAATTATTGTTTTAAATAAATAAATAACAATGAAGAAATAAACTATAATAATTACATATTAATTTATTTATAAAAACTTTCCGACACCACATTTCCTTCCACTTAATTTCTTATTTTCTTTCTTCTTTTTTTTTTTTTCAAAACGAAATTGTATTGAAGAGTAATCTGACACCTGCCTTCTTCATTTCTTTACCTTCTGTTATGGCTTCTTTCCCTATAAATCTGCTGTAACAGATCTGGTCAAGGGCAAACCCGCTGTTTTGAAAAATCTAATGGATATTTTTAGTGCTTAATTTTGCTAAGACTTACCTTAGTATTGGACACAATTAATCAGGCTTTTGTTCTTAATTACATTACCACACTCTCCCAGTTTGTTTCCTTCCTTTGTGGGCTCCTTCTCAGCTTGTTTTGCTAATTTTTCAATTTCCTTATAATACCATAATTTTTAATTTTCTCAGAACTATATTTTGCATTCCTTCACTTCTTTCTCTGTATTATGTCCCTCCTGATGTTATTACTTTTCATTAAATTTTACAGCATCTCTATGACATCCAAATTTACATCTCCTGTCAACCTCTTACATGAATTCCAAACTTATATGTCAAATTTGCCTTTGAAATCTCGACATAGGTGCCTCCAAGGCATCAATACTCAACATGTGTAAAACCGAACATGTAATCTTTAACTTCCCCACATACACAATAGCTGTTCTCCAATCCTCCATGATAGTTCTTATAACCAGAACATTCATTTTTTAAAAACCAGAAATCTAGTATTTATATACTAAGTATACCAGGTATACTCATTTTGTTCCAACATATGTACTTTCTCTTCCCTCTATGGTCACTACCATGACACTCATACAAGTCATCATCACATCTTATTCATACCACTCCAATAACTTCATTCTTTTTCTACAAAAATTTACTCTCGGCTGGGCGCAGTGGCTCACGTGTGTAATCCCAGCACTTTGGGAGGCTGAGGCGGGCAGATCACCTGAGGTCAGGAGTTCGAGACCAGCCTGGCCAACATGGCAAAACCCCGTCTCTACTAAAAGGACAAAAATTAGCCTGGTGTGCTGGTGGTCGCCTGTAATCCCAGCTACTCAGGAGGCTAAGGCAGGCGAATCACTTGAACCCAGGAAGCAAAAGTTGCAGTGAGCCAAGATTCCACCACTGCACTCCAGCCTGGGTGACAAAAGCAAGACTCCATCAAAAAAAGAAAAGAAAAGAAAATCCACTCTCTAATGAAAGCCAGAGTGATTTTCTTCAAAATGCAAATAAAATCATATTAATAAATCCCCATTGCACTTTACATAAAAATCCAAGTTCCTTATCATTACCTACAAGGCCCTGCACCACCTGGATCTGTCTTGACTCTCCATCTTCATTTCTTGCACTTCTTCCCTGAATTCACTCTATTTGAGACTCACTGGTCTACTTTTTCTTCCTTGAATGCACTGAGTTCCTTCCCACAGTTGAGCTTTTGCACATGCTGTTTCCTTTTCTGGACTGCTCCTTCTAACATTTTGTAGTCATATCGTGTCCAGAATTGGTTCCTTCCGGTGGGTTCTTGGTCTCACTGACTTTAAGAATGAAGCCACAGACCCTCACGTTACAGTTCTTAAAGATGGTGTGTCGGGAGTTTGTTCCTTCAGATGTTCAAATGTGTCTGGAGTTTCTTCCTTCCGGTGGGTTCCTGGTCTTGCCGACTTCAGGAGTGAAGCCACAGACCTTTGCAGTGAGTGTTACAGCTCTTAAAGGTGGCACGTCCGGAGTTGTTTGTTCCTCCTGGTGGGTTCGTGGTCTCGCTGACTTCAGGAATGAAGCCGCAGACCCTCGTGGTGAGTGTTACAGCTCATAAAGGTAGTAGGGACCCAATGAGTGAGCAGCAGCAAGATTTGTTGTGAAGAGCAAAAGAACAAAGCTTCCAAGGGGGTGGAAGGGGAACCCAGCTGGTTGCTGCTGCTGGTTGCTGTGGCCAGCTTTTATCCCCTTATTTGGCCCCACCCACATCCTGCTGATTGGTCCATTTTACAGAGTGCTAATTGGTCCATTTTACAGAGTGCTGATTGGTCTGTTTTTACGGAGTGCTGATTGGTGCATTTACAAACCTTTAGCTAGACACAGAGTGCTGATTGGTGCATTTACAAACGTTTATAGCTAGACAGAAAAGTTCTCCAAGTCCCCATTTGACCCAGGAAGTCCAGCTGGCTTCACCTCTCAGTATCAAATATCATTTCTTTAATGAGGCCTTTGTTGATAACTCATTCTTAGAGTCCTTGTGTTACTTTACCTGTTGTTTTTCTTGAGAATGCTTAAACACAACTATTGATTTTACAGTTAATAGTTGGTTTTCTTGTCTGATGTTTATCTCCCCCATAAGTATATAGGCACCATGAGGGCCAGGAAAGTTTCTGTTTTGTTCACTACTGTATGCCCAGCAATTAGCACAACACCTAATAGGAGCACAATTACTCAGAGCACAATTACTCAACACCTATTAGGTCCCCAATAAATATTTTCTGGATAAACTAATGAAGTCTTTATACCATATAAACATTAAGAAGTGACATCTAATCCTTTCATTTTAGGAAGATAAATGTCTTTCAAATTTTCTCACCTTTTGTAAAAGGTAAACCTAAAATACAAAAAAAAATTGAGGACACTGTCATCCAGGACAAGTTATGTCATCCATCATATCTTATCCAAATGACCTCAGGAGCCACGTCACTGGTTACCTCCCTTCCACTCTGTTCCTGCTAAAATTTGTTCCCCACAAGTAGCCACATCTGGGACTCCTGGGTAATTTGCCATATTTCAAAGGAAAGGAGAAAAGTCAATGCAAAAATGAAGTACAGCTTAGGATGAAGCCTCCAAAGGTACTTATGCCCATTAAACTTTTTTTCCCTCCAAACCTCTTGAGCTTCTTAACTAAGAGAAAAATTGCTATGTACACACCTTCTAAAGAAAGCATAAGAGGCTTCCTTGAAAATCAAGAAAAGTCGATACTGAAATGGTAGTGAGAAGCAGCACAGATAAATTCTCCAAAGGGAACTCACGAGTGTGTTTCTTTTAATGTCAAAGACACACAGATACACTCAACTGATTTTAATTAAGGTCTCCTTAGGCTTAATAGCAGGTGAACTTTCCTAGCACCATAGATAAGTAATTTGCCAACCAGGATAAGTGTGAAAGATACTACAGCCCTGGGTAGCTATATAATCCTTAGAAGTAATTAGTAAGAGATTATAACCTGGCATTCTGCTCTCAGCAAAACACCCTGTTATCACAGCAGTGACCTCGATAGGTGTTAATTTGACACCTATCAAACAAGTATCTTAATAAGACGAACACGTCAGGGAAACAGAAATGGGCTTGTTTTAATGTCATCATCATGTTTCTTATGATGATGATGATATTTAAGTGCAGAACTCTTTAACATATTTGTTCAGTTGACATACTCCATAATCAGTAAAATTATAGGAAAGCAGCACGTTGTTTGAAATTCAGCTCTCTCTCTTTTTTTAACAATATAGTCATGTTAGCCAGAGCAATGCTAAGCAAAGCACCAGGAAGTTTAATGAGAAGCTGGAGTTTTAAATTTATCTGACATGCCAAATTTTCAAAGACCTTTTAAGAATTTTTATCCCTTACCCCTTACAGCAGTCCTGTAAGGAAGCTCAGCACTTATTAGCATCCTAATTTTGCAGAAGAAGCAAGTGGAGATGCCGAGAGGGTAAATGGGCTGCTCAGGGTCTCTTAGAAAGTCAGTGAGGGATTACAGCCTGAAGGTCTTCTTGCTTTCAAGGCAGCAAGTGGAACCGGCTCCATTGAGTGCTTTTTCTAAGCAATAGAATGCATAGGCAAGCATCTATGGACATTTAAAATGAATAGCAACTTTTTAGAAAGTAGTCCTCTTAGTACAAAAAGCTCTTTAAAAAAAAGTGATTTTCCAGATAGATATAATGAAAGTTACAGGGAATTAAGGCTTATTGTGCCTCTTTCTGCAACACATATTTCTGAGTTTTCAGAGCATCTTGATTTGTTTTAGTGAAGTAAAATGTATGAATTTATAGATTTAAGTTTATAAACAGGTATCCTATCTTCTTAATCTTATTATACATTTTATAACTAAAAAATGTCTAATGACTTTAAAATATTATTTTTATAGGTGTGTTTTAGTTACCAATAGCTACATAACAATGTATCTCGGTTGAAAACCATAAATATTCATTAGCTCATAGTGTCTGTGGTTCAGGGATTCAGAAACAGATGAGCAGAGTGGAGTCTTTTGAAGTTGCAGTTAGGAAGTTAATAGAGGCCTCAGTCATCTGAAGGTGTGATTGAGGCTGTAGAAACTGTGTCCAAGATTACTTACTCACATGGCGGTTGGCAGGAGGCTTCTTTACTTCCTCACACATCAGCCTCTCCATAGCCTATTTGAGTGTCATCATAAGTTGTCATCTGGCTTTCCCTAGGGCAAGTGATCCAAGAGAGAGAAAGGCAGAAGCGACACTGTCTTTTCTGACTTCGTCTCTGAAGTCTCGCATGGTTACTTTCTCTTTTCATATCTATTTATTAGAAACAAAGAAGTAAGTCCACCCCATGCTCTAGAGAACGTGATAAGCTCCATCTCTTGAAAGGAAAAGAAGAAAATAATTTGTGTACATATTTTTAAACTACCACAGTTGTTTATTTTAGAGGTGTTTCTAGGATGTGGCTATTAAAGGGAGATGAGCATGTGTCAGTAACATTTAAGTCTCTATGAATTACCTTATCAGTTAATGGGGCTATGTAATGTAGTGCTAAGAGCCCAGATGCTGGGGCCAGACTTCCCAGGTCACAATCTTGGCTCTAATATGTACTAGCTGTGTGATCTTGGGTAAATTGTTTGGATAGATTGTGCCTCAGCATTTTGTCTTCAAACAGGAGCTAATAATAGTTCTTACCTTTGGCTTCTCATGAGTACTACATGAACGGATATTAAAAAGTGCTTAGAATATTACTTGTTGCATTAGAAGCTCAATAAGCTTTAATGATTATTCTGAGTTGACTTTAATTGTAGTAGCTCAGCCATATAGGAATGACTTTATTTCTATAGTCAGAAATATATTTTTATTTCTTTGTCAAAAATAGAAATTTAGGTTGAATCATTGGACAATAAACATACCTTACCTAACACAGCACAATTCATTAGCCAGTATTTAAACATTCACTGTAATAATACTTCATTACTTATATTTCCACAAAGATTTACCTCCTTTTCCCCAATTTGGGAGTGATTCTCTTTGTTTTTTTTTGTTGTTGTTGTTGTTTGTTTGTTTTATTCCCATAGGTAGTTTCATTTTAGTCCCCTAAGAAAAGGTTTAATGTGTTTAATATTTATTCAACTCAAATAGTTGAATCAAGTAAAAACAATGCTGCCTGAAATTAGTTTGGTTAATGTGTTTTTCTCTTTCCAAAAGCTTATGTCTTGGCTCTACCTGAGTGTCCTTGGTTTTTACTCTTTTGACAAGCTTATCCCTTACTATGCTATGTTTCTTTACAGCTTGATTGCAGTGTGTCAAAACCGCTGGGCTCTAATCATGAACCTCCTTTTAAAGATTCACTTGCTTCCCAGTAGTTGAATACTTAACATCCATCCACCAACTGTTACTATCAGTATCCTGCTGCCTTCTCATGTGAGGAGTTCCCAAGCCCTTTTTACTTCAGCAGCTTAATGAGCACTTTGAGTTGTGAATACTATTTTCTCTGTGAGTCTAGGGCCATAAATCCTTCCAAGTCTGCCCTCTCTATATTAGAGATAGGACAAAAATACATCCCCCCACCTCCCCACCTTACCATTCTTTCTCCTGGCAGATCAAAAAATTATCTTAGCTGTTCTAAACTAGCTATTACCAATCCTGCATCTCAACGTCTCTCTCTGCTTCCTGTTCAGATACAAATGTAATTTTTGTAGAAGCAAATTGTGATAGCAGATCTGTCACTCACCAAGGTGATCATGTTGGAGAAACTCTTCCAGGACTGCAGAGTAGAAAAATGAGCTGTGTGTAAATAAACACGTTATTTGCAAACTTACCTTCAAGATTTCCTTTTCACTTTCTTTCTGAGAATATCTCTTTATTTCCTGGTAAGACATAGAAGGATGTTAAATCGCATTTTCTCTTATAATTTGCAAAGTTTCGGTATTGTTAGGTATGTGCTACTCAGTAATTTTAGTTCCCATCCCCATTTCTGACTACCCCACTGTACCTGCTTTCACCTTTTACACACACACACATGCACACACACAGGCACACGCACACACACACAGGCACACGCACGCACACACACACATGCACACACCTTTCCCCATGGTGGAATCACACTATACAAAGTATTCCTTAAATGATTGCTTCCTGAAATTAATATGTGTTGTTGCATCTATTCAATCATTAACAGCATAGGGACAATGCACTTGAGATTTGCAATTGGACTATCTGGATATAAATACTGTCTGCTCCACTCAGCACTGGGTATAATTGGGTAAATTACTTAATCAATCTTATTAACTATTGCCTATCCATAAAATGGAGATAGCAGAACATCTACGTCATATGATGATTGTAAAGATTAAATGTGATACAGTAAGCACATAACATATTGCCTGGTAATTGGAAATCAATCATTGTATTTCAGCTATTAATTTATAATTCTTATTGCCATATCACTAGTAATAAATATACTTCATTTATTAAAATGACCAAAAAGAGTATTTTACTTTATGAAGGTTGAATCTCAATGTGGTCAACCAACTCCCTATTAATGACTCTTGACAGTGTTTCTGATTTTTTGATATTATAAAATATGATGCTGTGATGGACATTCTTGTACAAATATGTTCACACATGCATGGCTATATTTTTGCTTGGAATATTCCCCAAATTATCAATAATCCTACGAAGAATGACTACACAGAAATTAAGAATTTTTCTTCTATAAAAGTGTTTTTTCCATTATTCTGCTGAGATGTTTACTGAACGGTAGGGATATTTACAGCTTTTTTTGCGTAAGGCAAAAGGGTTTGTGTTATGGCTTTAATCGTGTCCCCCAAAAAGATATATTGAAGTTCTAACCCCTGGTATCTGTGAATGTGACCTTATTTAGAAATAGGGTCTTTGTAGATGTAATTAAGATAAGGTCATTAGGAAGGGGCCTAATCCAGTGTGATTGCTGTCATTCTAAGAAGGAGAAATTTGGACAAAAACACAGATAGGCACTGAGGGAAGACAGTGTAAAATCACACAGGAAGATAACCAGGTAACACACAGGCAGAGACTTAATTAGGAATGTATTAACACACCAAGGAATGTTAAGAATTGCTGGATAATACAAAAGATATGGGAGGCAAGGAAGGATTCTCCTTTTCAGATTTCAGAGAGAGTATTATCTTGCTGACACCTTGATTATGGACCTCTAGCCTCCAGAACTGTGGGACAGACAATAAATTTCTGTTTTTTAAGCCACCCAATTTGTGATACTTTCTCATGGCAGCCCTAGGAAATCAATATAATTTCCCCCATCTGTGTTGGTAATCAACTTCAATTATTGTTTCATATAAGTTGAAGAGAAAAATGGAAAGCTTGGAGCATCTTGTCCCCTACATAAAAAATCTATTTTACAGAAAAAAATATAATTGCAGAATTATCCATAAATTAGTTTATATTGCTGGAAATGCATAAATAAAACTTGACATAAAACACAAGCACTCAATAAATATTAATTGAAAAGCACAGTTTAGCATACTATAAAAGCCATCCAGACAGAAATCAACTAGCTAAGATCTATCTATCTGTCTGTCTGTCTATCTATCTATCTATCTATCTATCTATCTATCTATCTGTCTGTCTATCTTATATATATCCAGGATGGGCAGCATCCTAATTTAGATGGGGTTAAAACAAACAATGTTAATGTTGATTAATGATCAACATTAACGATTAACAAATATCCACTCATTATAGTAGTCAGAATTAAGATATTCACATCTGTGAACAATACAAGCTAATATTTATTTGCCATCTACTCTGTGTCAGTGGTACATGTACACCATAGAATACTACACAGCCATAAAAAGGAACAAAATTACATCCTTTGTGGCAACATGGATGGAGCTGGAGGCCATTATCCTAAGCAAACTAACACAGGAACAGAAAACCAAATACCACATGTTTTCACTTATAAGGGGAACACATTGAGTACACATGGACCCAAAGAAGGTAACAACAGACACTGGCGCTTACTTGAGGATGGAGGTTGGGGAGGAGGGTGAGGATCAAAAAACTACCTATTGGGTACTATACTTATTGCCTGGGTGATAAAATAACCTGCACACCAAGGCCCTGTGACATGCAATTTACCTATAACAAACCTGCACAGGTACCCCTCAACCTAAAATAAAAGTTAAAAAATAAAAAATTTCAAAGAAAGTCCACATTAAAATAAAAATACACAAAAAACTGTAACATTAGGTATGTTTTTACTTATGATAATGATTGACTTTTTGACATACAATTTTTTTCTCATCTTATTCTTATATTGTTTAATTATACATATATATACATATAAATCTATAAAAATACATACCTTTACCTATAAATCTGAGCTCTGTGGTAATGCTTATCTGATCTTCCCATGTGGGATATCAAAATCATAGTTTTAAAAATGTATTGAGTCAAAAAAATTAATACTATAAAGGAAATAATAAAATGAGAAAAAAATTATCATAAATCAGATCATTGAGAAATAGTTAATGTTGTTGGAGACAGTGGCTCATGCCTGCAATCATGGCACTTGGGAGGCCCAAGGCAGGAGGATCACTTGATGCCAGGAGTTCAAGACTGGCCTGGGCAACATTGTGACACCCTGTTTCTACAGTTTTTTTTAAGTTAGTCCAGCATAGTGGCATGTGTTTATAGTTATAACTACTTGGGAAGCTGAATCAAGAGAACTGCTTGAGCCCAGGAGTTCAACATTACAGTAAGGTATGATTTTGCTGGACCAAGACTCTGTCTGAAGAGAAAAAAAAAGGTTAACGTTGATTAACTATTAACAGTATTTAATTATAACTAGTGGAAAACTCTGCAAAATGCTGATCAAATAAATCAAATAAGAGTTAAATAAATTAAGAGATATTCCATGTTCATAGATAGGAAGACCCAATACTGTCTACATGTTAGCTCTTTGCAAATTGATCTGTGAATTCAATGCAATCCCAATCAAAATCCAAGAAAGTTGTTTTGTGGATAAGAAAAAACTGATTTTAAAATTTATATGCACAGCAGAAAGACCCAGATATCACCTGGACCTGTTGCTTAGTGTTTAAAAAATTGTTAATTATTAATTTAACTTCCTTAATGAATATAGACCTATTCAGATTATTTATGTGTGAGGTTGGATAGATTGTCTTTCAAGGAATTGGTCCATTTCATCTTTGTTATCATATTTGTGGGTATATAGTTGTTTGTAATATTCTTTTATTGTCCTTTAATGTCCAAGGATTTATAGTGAGGGCCCCTCTTTTATCTCTGATATTAGTGATTTGTGCCTTCTGCCTTTTTTTCTTAGTCTAATTAGAGGCTTATCAATTTTGTTGATCTTTTAAAAGAACAAGCTTTTGGTTTTGTTGATTTTCTTGTTTTTATGTATGTGAAATCTTTGAAGTTTTCTATATATGCAATTATGTCATCTGCAAATAGAGATAATTTTACTTCTTCCTTTCAAACTTGGATGTCTTTTATTTCTTTCTTTTCCTATTGCTCTTGCTAGTATGATCAGTACTATGTTGAATAGAATGACCTGACTGGGTAAACCTGCCTTGTATCAGATCTTAGTGGAAACACTTTCAGTTTTCCCCCATTTATTTTAATGTTAGCTGTTAGTTTTTCATAAATGGCTTATTATGTCAAGAAATTTTCCTTCTTCACCTAAATTGTTGAGAGTTTTAATCAAGAAAGTATGGTGAATTTTGTTAAAGGCTTTTGCTGTGTCAATTGAGATGATCACGCGGTTTTTATCTTTTCTTCTGTTAATGTGAAATATTACTTTCGTTGGTTTGCACACGTTAAACCAGCCTTTGCATGCCAGGAATAAATTCCACTTGAATATGATGTGTAATCCTTTCGATAAACTATTACTAACATTTTACTGAGGATTTTTACATCAATGTCCATTATAGATATTGGCCTTACTTTTCCTGAGGTGTGTTTGTTTGGCTTAGTCAAGGTGATGTTGACCTCACAAATTGTGTTTGGAAATATTCCCACTAGCTCTATTTTTTGGAAGAGTTTAAGAAATATTTATTTTTATTTTTTTCTCCTTTTTTTGGTACTTGAGGAAAGTCAGACTTCAAAAGTATTTTTTATAATAACCTTTTAAATTTAATTGTGCTGAATTTCTACTGGGTTAGTTTCTTGTTTGTGCACAGTACCTTCATATATCCGATTCTTATGATTTTCAGTTTGTATGTCTGGTCAAAGTTTCTGTCACAGAAAGGTTATTTATACACTGCAGTTTCTTAAGTAGTAGTATTTGTTTTGCTTTTTGTGAAACTAGTAATTATTTGATGTAGCAGCGATTATCAAAGTGTCATCTAAGGACTCCTGTTATCTAAGACACCTTTTCTGTGTGTGTCTAAACATCCAAGGGTTTTCTACATCAATCATTTCTCATCCTCTGATTTGACTTCGAAGGACATAGAAGTGAAGGGAATTTATCTTTGTAGAGTATCATGTGCAAAATATTTTACACACTTTAGTTATATAACCTCTCAACAAATTAAAACCATTTTATGAGTTCCATGTTGCAGAAGAAAAAATCTAGCTTTCAGAAGGGTAAGTGAAGTTGTCCACATTTTCACTCCCAGTCATGAGATTCAAAATGAGAGCAATCAGACTCCTTTTCACCGTGCTACAGTGATGTCGTGGGCCAGGATGATTACTCATGACTTAATAGAAATAGATACTATTGTAAACCTAAATAATAGTAGGTTAGAGTGATCAGGGTCAAAAAAATATAAGGCCATTTGTTCATTTATTCAATAAATATTTATTAAGTTACTATTAATTGGGCACTGTGCTAATAGGTATGGAGAAAGGAGAAGAAATTAAACTAGATCCTTGTGACTATTGATTGCGATAATAGAAAGAAATAAGTGCAGACCAATTTGTACTTGGTTTGGAGGTCCAAAAGAGTCTGGTTGTATGACACATATATTTTACTCTTTGTGGATTTGTGTATGTGCACATACCCATATATGAGTGTCTTTTCTTTTCATTTGTTGTACAGTTAGCATATTTTGTTACCTAAGGCAAAGTCCAAAACAAGAGAATTTCTGTTTTTTAAATAAACTATTATCTGTTTCCCTTGTTTATGGCAGAAAAGTGTTTTTCATCAAATAAGACATTCAGTTACTACCACGCTTTGATTAGTATCTACTTAATAAAAAAAGCAGCTGACTTTTCTTCTATCCTTCCAAACTTATACAAGAATAGGGAGCAATTCAAAACATGGGTAGTACCTAAGCATGGCTGAATGGTTTCTGTATGAGAACATGAGAGTTCCAGTGCTTAATGAGAAAAGACTGATTGTATTAGGTGTATATCTTTAAATATTTATTGCTGTTTTTGAGTCATTAAGTGTGATGTAAGATGCAGTTTAATTGACATGTGTTAAAAAGATTAAAATTTCCATATGAATATAATATGTTCAAAATGTAATTTGTTTTTATTAATTCCTTTTTACATGAGAAACTAGTACATATGAAGAGAAAAAAAACAGTGAAGTTTCTAATTCAAAACTTCAAAGAAATAAAGATTAATTATAATAAAATTAAAAAATAAATAAATAAAAATAATAATAATAAATTCTATAATGAAAAAAACAAAAAAGAAATAAAGATGAATGTGACCACTGAAAAACTTTTCAAATGAGATTTACTATCCAGAAACTCTTAAGTATTATACCACGCTTTTCTAGTTTTTCACTAAGTTACAGTTAAGGATAGATAAAAGTGAAAAAGAATTCACAGGTGTCTGGAAATGTGACTATAAACAGCATGCTACCAGGCTAAAATTTCTTTGAAATTTTAGGTTTTATCTGAAAAACTAAAAATTTTTCACTTAATATATTATTTTACTATTAATATAACATTCCTTATTTTGCAATAAAACTAATGTTTTAATGCTTCAAATATAATAAACATTTCAGGAAGATGTTTCATGTTTACTGTGTGTTGGACATCTGAATTATAGAAACAAAGGAATACTTATCTGGCAGGAAGGTGGGAGATGATTATCCTGTCAATTTGCCAAATACACCCTCATTTCCAGCCATACAGCAGTATGAAGAAAAGCTTTTCAATAAAACGAGCATAGGTTTAATATTTTAACACTCTCTGTCTGTCTGAACTTGCATAAGTTACTTAATAGCTGTGAACATCATGTGTCTCATCTAAAAACTGGCTTGTTTAAAGATTGTAAATAGTGTTTGTAAAGTGTTTAATGGAGTCATAAATATAATAAGTGCTCAATAAATGGTAAATATTGTTTCATTCTTATCATCATTCATAGTAATAGCACCATATTATTCCCTCTTGTTGGCACTGGCAGTCAATACTGAAAAAGAAACAGCCAAGGCTAAAATTGCTAAAAATTTTAAGCTTTATTATCATTGTCATTATTGCCACCATCAATAGGCTATCCATCAATAATTACTGAGCACCTGCTATGTGCTGAATCTTGAGAATAACAAGAGATAGGACACACAGGCCCTTTCAAAGTGACTTGAACACAACATGCTTAAAATTTAATTCAGGATCTTTATCCTAAAACCTGATTTTTCTTCAAGGTTCCTCATCTTTATGAATCACATCACTACACATGCCAGACATCAAGAGTTATCCATGATTCCATCCGTTTCCTCACCCCTAATATCGAATCTATTAACAAGTCCTGCTGGTTTAACTCCATATATCTTTCCATGTATGCTAGGTTGAACAGTATCTTCCAAAACTGTATGTCCATCCAGAACCTGTGAATGTAACCTTAGTTGGAAATAGGTACTTTAAAGATGTAATCAAGTTAAGTTTACATGGGATTAGGGTGGTCCTTAAACCAGTAACTAGTATCTTTGTAAGAAGAGGAAACTTGGACACAGACACCCAAGGGGAAAGCCATTAGAGTCAGCTACAAAGATTGGAAGAATACATCTACAAGCCGAAGACAGCAAGGATTTTCCACAACCACTTGAAACAAGGAAGAGGCAAAGTAGGATTCTCCCCTAGGGCCTTCAGAGAGAGCATAACACCACCAACACCTTGATTTCAGACATTAAGCCTCCAGAATTGTGAGAGGATAAAATTCTGGGGTTTTTTTGGGTTTTTTTTTTTTTTTTTTGAGACAGAGTCTCGCTCTGTCGCCCAGGCTGAAGTCCAGTGGCACAATCTCGGCTCACTGCAAGCTCCGCCTCCCAGGTTCGCGCCATTCTCCTGCCTCAGCCTCCCCAGTAGCAGGGACTACAGGCGCCCGCCACCAGGCCCGGCTAATTTTTTTGTATTTTTTTAGTAGAGACGGGGTTTCACTGTGATAGCCAGGATGGTCTTGAACTCCTGACCTCGTGATCCGCCCGCCTCAGCCTCCCAAAGTGCCAGGATTACAGGCGTGAGCCACCGTGCCCGGCCAATTCTGTTGTATTAAGCCACCCAGTTTTCTGTATTTCATTATGGCAGGCCTAGGAAATTAATACACCATCTCTGCCTCATCACTCTATTCCAGGACATCATCATCCACATGCTACAAAAGCTTTCCGCCTTCACCTGTTGGAACCTGAAACAAAGACTAAGTACTAATGTTTAATTTTTGAGGCGCCACCCCAGGGCATGGAGAGTGAGGACACAGCAAAGTAAGAGGGGGAAAGATTCGAAGTGATGCAAAATCATGCATTATTATGTTGACCACTGCATCATCACGAGCCACAAAATAGATGCAGCTGGTTGCTCAGCCACATGAGATATCTCTAGACATACCATGCAAAGGTAATGTGTCAAGGTATTGTCCATAGGGAGGAGGAAAGAGACAACATTTATTTACGGGCTGTCTCCTATCACCTGTTTTCTGATAATCAAAGCGGCTTCTCAAAGGGTTAACTTCCAAACATTAGAGCAATATTATCTGGCCCCTTTGGTGGCAACTTGAAAAGCTAAATCTCATATCCTGTGAAATGATACTTTATACAAATCCAGAGTTAGCAAGAAAAACTGGAAACTCAGAACATGAGGTTCATTGACTCAGCAGTTCAGCAGCAGCCACAGGGGAAGAGTGGGCCTCCCAGGTGAGTGACTGGTAGACTCCAGGGAGTAGAACAGCAGGGGGGCCAAGCAGCTGCAGCTGGAGTGATGCAAAGAGCTGAAATGTAAGAGAGAATGCACAAAGGGCGGTGCTCAAGAAGTATCAGATACATATCTTGACAATACTTTCTACATTGACTGATAACATCTCTAACTATTCCATTATCAACACCACGGCCATAATCAATTTTGTAGGATATAGTGTCATTTGCTTAGAATTCATCAAAGACTCTCCAGTGCTGTTAGGATAAACAGTAACATCTTTAACATGACCTATGCGATTTGGATTCTTTCTTTTTTTATACTTTAAGTTCTAGGGTACATGTGCACAACATGCAGGTTTGTTACATATGTATACATGTGCCATGTTGGTGTGCTGCACCCGGTTAACTCGTCATCAAGCCCCTCTCACAAGCCCCCTTGCTCTCTGCCCTGCAACCACAGTGTTATACTTTCATTTCCCCCTACTTGGTATCCTGTGTTGCATTATAGAGGCTTTGAATATGCTGCTGCCTGTGTCTAGAATGTTCTTTTCTAATCACCAGCCTTGCTTTACCTAGTTAAATCCTACCATTATTTCAGATTCCTTTTCAGCCTTTCTTTCTTTAGGGAGAACTATTATCACTTACCTAGCCTCCTAAATTTCCCCCATCATATGCTTTCATAACCATGTACTTCATCCCTGTAGCACCTACCACAGATATATTTTAAAGGTTTTTTTTTCGATGGAGACTTGCTCTGTTGCCCAGGCTGGAGTGCAATGGCACAATCTCGGCTCACTGAAACCTCCGCCTCCCAGGTTCAAGTGATTCTCCTCCCTCAGCTTCCCAAGTAGCCGGGATTATAGGCATGTGCCACCATGCCTGGCTAAATTTTGTATTCTTAGTAGCGATGGGGTTTCGTCATGTTGGCCGGGCTGGTTTCGAACTCCTGGCCTCAGGCAGTCCACCCACCACACCCTCCCAAAGTGCTGGGATTAGAGGTGTAAGCCACTGTGCCCAGCCTGTATTTATGCAATCTTTTATTAACTTCTGGATCCTCCAATCCAATATAAGCTCCATAAGTTCAGAAGTTTTTCTTTTTGTGGGGATGTTTATTTGCACCAATATAAACCCAAAATTCAGCACTGTGCCTGGCACATGGTGTACTAGACACTCAAAAATACCTGAAAATCACTTCAAGAGTTTAAGAACTAGTTTTACAGGGACAGGATGTCCATAAAAGATAATATGTACAAATTTGACTCAATAGTTAAGTCTTTAAATGAAAATTCAAGTCAAGAAGAGCTACAACAGCTTAGAAGAGAGCACATTCCTAAAGGACAGGGCAACTAGAAGCTGCCAAAGAGGAGCCAAAAATGAATTCAAGAAACAATGAACTTTAGATAATCAGAGAAGAGGGAGCAGGGCTACCTTGATCAAATATGCTAGTGTTGGCTTCCCTCCCGACGCCCCCTGCTTTTTGGCCATGAACCATAAACCTGTGATTTTCCTATGAGTGATGTTTTCTTAATGTAATATTTTATTCTGGTAATTCTCAACCTACCACTGTGATATGATTTATTTACTTGGTTAGGGTGGAAAAAATTAGGCATTTGTAATAAACATGCCATAAACCCATTGTAAATAATAACTTTATGTACCACTGCTATCTCATATCTCGCATGATTTCATTTGCATAACACTCTTTATGTTAGCCATATAATTATAGAAATATCAGACAGCAAGGATGCAATTCAGAAGTTGCATTACTAAAAGAAACTCGTACTAGGATCAGGCTAGTTGGAGAACAGTATAATACTTTGGCAATCATATTTTTGTGTTGTTGTTTTTGCAATTATTGATGTTTTAAGAAGCAATACATTTCAAACAAAATTTGGGAAGAGTTGTTTTGTTATGATAAAATTAAATTGTATTTTCGTGTTTCAAATGATAATCTACTAGAAAATTAAAATATAGGATATGTTATAAATAAGGACCTGTTCAGCCCAGTTGAAATAATGAAATATTCTGTTTATTTTAACATAAACTTGGCTCTCCCATCAATGACTTTCTTTCTAATCTGGTAGTGAGCTAGGAACTTAACCAGTCCCTTTTCCAGTTTGCATGTCTCGAAGACCTTTCTACCAAGATACTATTTTAATGAGTGTCATATGTACCTGCAGCAACTTAAGATGTGGTCTTGACTTTGGGACTGGGTGGCAGCCAAATGCTATAAAAGTGTTGAGGAAACTGTTATCAAAATCCAAGTTTTTAAAAAAGAAAACCTGTTAGTGGATGCCAGAAACTATGTGAGGAAAGTGATATTTGAGCCTGGAAGTAATGGTGAGCCATGCATGTAGTATTGGAACAAGCGGTCAAAAGATCAGTGTGAAGTAGAATATACAGGTGACCCTTAAGCAATGCAGTTGACCTGTGTGGGTCCACTTATATGTAGATTTTCTTCTGACTCTATCACCACTAAGTAAGCAAGACCCATACCTCATCGTCCTTCTGGCCTACTAAACATGAAGATGACAAGGATGAGGACCTTTATGATGACCAACTTCCTCTACATGAATAGTAAATATATTTTCTCTTCCTTCTGATTTTCTTAATAACACTTTCATTTTCAGATTAGTTTGTTATAAGAATAGAGTACATAGTACACATAACATACAAAATATGTGTTAACTGTTTATGTTATCGATAAGACTTTTGGTCAACATGCTATTAATAGTTCAGTTTTGGGGAGTCAAAAGTTATATGTGAATTTTTGGAGTGTTGGGATCCCTAATCCCTGAGTTGTTCAAGGGTAAACTGTATATGTAATTGTAAATCTGCTAAGAAGTTTTCTGGGCATAATTATTAAAATGTCAATTGTCTTCTTTTAATGGCATACACTAAAGTACAGGGTGAGGAAGATGAGCTAAAGAGAAAACTATTATGTTTTCAAGCAAAATTAGAACAAATATAGAGAAGACAGGATTGCTGGGTTTGACTATAAGGACTATTTCACATCTCCAGTCCTTGACAGAAAAACACTCTCAGAGAAAGAAATGGTCACAGAGTAAATATCTCATCAAGGACATCAGAGCCTTTGTTAGGACTTCTGAAATATTCAAGGTAGTATCTATTTGACTTTCTCATTTTTGACAGAAGACTTCAAGAACATTAAAGTTATGGTTCTTTAAAAGTCTAATTTCAAAATACTTTTAAAGATATCTAGAAAAAGGATATCTCAAAAAGAAAATAGTTGTAGATGTGGCTTTTGTCTAATGAAGTGAACTATAATTCATGGAAAACATAACGTTTTTAAGGGAATTGGATCAGTTTGGATGTTTATGAGGACAGAAACAACTCAAAAGCAAAGAGAGCTTGGGGATCCCTTTTTCTTCGGTTTCTTCTTATTATTAGTATTCTTATTACTTTTGAGACAGGGTCTTGCTCTGTCATCCAGGCTGGAGCACAGTGCAAGCTCCCTGCAGCCTCCATCTCCTGGACTCAAGGGATCCTCTTACTTCAGCCTCCCAAGTAACTGGGATTACAGGCAATTTTTTATTTTTTGTAGAAAAAGGGTCTCACCATGTTGCCCAGGTTGGTCTTGAACTCCTGGCCTCAAGTGATCCACATGCTTTGGCCTCCTAAAGTGCTGGGATCACAGGCATGAGCCACCATGTCCAGCCGGAGATCCAACTTTCAATAGACAGGAAGCAGGATGAAGAACCTACTCACCCACTTATGAAAAATAAGGTTTTTGGGGGGAGTGGGAGGCAGATCCAAGAGCTATGAAGCACAACAGACTAGCAAATGACTATGAAAGCAGAGCTGGGTCCTGATAAAGGAACACCCCTTGAGCTAGTAGTAGGGATAGGAAGCCTAACAAAATATGCCTGATTAAATTTCATAATTGCTATGAACAAATGACTGTTGTATGCCTTCTATTCTTTGAGTGAGATTGTCTAATGCAGTTATTGCAGCTATCCTTTTTCCTCTCTCGCAAATATATGTTGTGTTTTTGTGGGGAGGTGATAGATAATTATTTTAGTTTTAGTTAGTAGGGGAGATGAGACCTTTGAGGCCAGAGGGTATCTGTGGTGTTATATTTCTATAGTCGCCCCCAAGGAATCAACTTCCCTGTATCCATGTTCTTACATGGTACTCTCCAAAATTGACTGTTATTGGCTGTATGATGTGCTTTAGCCTATGCAACATTAGCAGATGCATTGCGAGCATAAAATGAAAAGCACTTGTGAATTAGAGCTTTCTGTCTCCTGAAACATTTTTACCCACTATGTGGAAAAGCTTGAACTAACTTCTTCATGTATAAGAGAGCATACGTAGAGAGGTTCCAGTCTTGTTCATCTCAGATGAAGTCCACTTATTTGTCTCCACTTTGAAACAGAAGAGCTCTCTTTTGTACCACCATGTCAGTCATCCATTTGTTATCACTACAGGTGCTTCAGTTTGTCACTTCAGAAAGTGGGATTAATCTCCTAGCTATGGCAGCTCCTGTCCAGCCATAGGCAATTCTCTGGAAAAGGGGGCAAACATGAGCCATTAGCAGTCAATACTCTCAGCAATTGGGAATTCTATCCACTGACCTATTAAAACGGATCTGAATAGAGCACCAATCAAATTGACTAGTTGTATAAAAATGAGAAGGATATTCAGAAAACAGCATGTGGAAAGCATGAGCATGTGCAATAGGCCATATTTTGTGTTCTGTTGACATGTTATATGCATGTATATGTAAGTGATAAATATAATATTTAACATATGTTATATATAATACAAAATATAAACATGTTATATGTATAACATGCTACATATATATGTATATATACATCATATACAATGAGAAATGATGCTGAAATGATAAGCAAATATTGTCAACAACTTTGAACAACAAACTTTAGACTTCAGCCTCTAGGTTTTCTCCTTTACATCAATGGCAAAAATAGTTAAAAATGGATAAAAACATTGATTAGGATAGAGTGCTATCCAAGGACCCATTTCCTGTTTGACTCTGATCCACAATCTAGCTCTCTTGGAAATTATTTGCTTAATAGTTCATAAAATTACTTAAATGGTCTCATATTATCCATAGAAATAACATAAACATGCTTTTTGAAGTAACATTTACTATTATCTTTTAAAAATGTTTTAGAAACTTTTCAAAGTACGAAAACCAGAAAATTTCCAGTCAGCTGTTTTAAAGAATAAAGGAAATATATTAACTCCACATAATAAAAAGTTTTGGGGGGCAAGCTCCTCTAGGGCTAATGAACTGAGCTTTTGCATAATGTCATCAAGCTCCTCAGTTCTTGCTCCGCCATGCTCAGTGTGTCCCTGATCTTTCAAGATGACAATAAAGCTACCCAAGACCCAGCCATTATAGTCAGATAACACAGCATTCAGTGGGAGAAGAAGTTATTTCCTCCTCTGTTTCACTTTTTAGTACTGAGGAATATCTTTCAAAGAAGAACCTCAACAGACCTCCTCATATTTTATTGACTAGAAATGTGTCACCTTCATGTAACAATCTATCACTAATGAGAGAAATAGTACCACTGTGATTGGCTTCAACTGATCATAGCTCAGTCTCTTGATTTAGACATGGTTTCAATGCAGACTAAGCATACTTCTGTAAATAAAATCAGGACTTTATTTGGAAGAAAAGAGAGAATGTTGGTTAAAAAGGCAACTAAAAGTACTATTATGACATAAAAATTAAACATCAAAATCAAAATTCCAAAAACAATCAAAATAAATGAAGCTAGGTTGGTAGATCTTACAATTAACACATATTACTTTCTAATAATCATGACATTCTCTTCTAAACTCCCTTGAAGAGTCTCTGTTTGGCGCAGAAACAAGTATATTCAAATAGATTACATTATAAACATAATGAACTAAAATGATATCAGAAAACACACAGGTTTTTTTTGTTGTTGTTGTTTGTTTTGTTTTGTTTTTTTGAGACAGAGTCTTGCTCTGTTACCCAGGCTGGAGTGCCGTGGTGCAATCTCGGCTCACTGCAACCTCCGCCTCCTGGATTCAAGCAATTCGCCTGCCTCAGCCTCCTGAGTAGCTGGGGTTACAGGCGCGTGCCACTACGCCTGGCTATTTTTTGTATTTTTAGTAGAGACGGGGTTTCACCATGTTGGTCAGGCTGGTCTCAAACTCCTGACCTCGTGATCCACCTGCCTCAGCCTCCCAAAGTGCTGAGATTACAGGCATGAGCCACTGCACCTGGCCAGTTTTCTGTTTCAGATCCACTCTTCATTATTCATGTACAGTAGAGAGACTCAATCATCACAGTGGTAATATAAGCATTGCCAACATATAGCCCACCTTCTCAAAAGTTAAACATTATTATTTGCTGATATCTCAATGAGTAAATTAAGATATATTCTAAACATGTATTATCCAAATTCTCCACCCAGATATTGACAATTTCATGGAATCTAACTGGTTCTATGACAGAGATATAGTGAGATTATCTTTGAATGATAATCCAGGGACTGAATCTAAAAAACAATGAAAAGCAAACAGTTTTGTTAGATGCATTCATTAAATTTTCAGTAAGTTCAGTAAGTTAGATGTATTAAATTTTCAACATGATATATTCAACTTAGAAGGGGTTTGGGGGACATAACCCTATTAAAAATTGAGAAGCACCTGTATTCCTCAATATTGAGGCAAGATCCTTCCTGGCCCTGTATAAATAATAAATATTTTTCCCTCATGCTTTCAGGTGGTTCTTTCATTGGACACAGGTAGTTTCTTCATATTTATGTGTTAATCAGTACTCAGTTAATTACTTCAGGGAAATCCTCCGCAGTTTTCCAGAGTTTATTGTGTAGCAATCTCCTCTCCAGTACTCTGTATTAGAAACTCCAGCTGACTTGGTGTTACGCTGGCTCTCAACTTTGTCTTTACAACTCAGGGAGTCTGTCAGGCTCTACCTGACTTTGTCTGTGAAAACTGTGATTTGTAAACCATCTTGGGAAATAGCCTGGGAAAATAGTAAGGAAATAGTAAGAAAATAGTAACGTTTATTTCACATTTCTCAGAGGTCAATGACTTACATTTTTTCTGATTTTCAGGATCTTGAAAACTGTTGCCTTCATATTTTTTCCATTTTTTAAAATTTTTTGGTTGTCTTTGGTGGTAGGGTATCCCTGGTCTCTGTTACTTTATCTTGATTGAAAGCAGAAATTAGATTAACATGTGTTTACGCACAAAGTAATAGCACCAAAATGTATGCTGGCAAAAACTCATTACAAATTTAAAGAGACGTTAAACAAAACAGACAGAGAATTTAAACATAATTTTTGTTATATAATGAAAATTAAAATGAGACCGTATTGTATTTGATAAAAATAACCAATAAGGTTAGTAGGCCAGTACATCATACTTAGCTTCCTACAAAGAATATACATTTTCACTCAGTCTTGGATATATGAGTTATCACTTATAAACCATAAAATGGATTTCAATACATGCCATGAAAAATAAATTACACATACTGCATTATTTAACCACAAGTAATACAAGAGAAATCTGTAATCTCAACAGAGGAAAACACAATCTCAAGGAAATTAAATATAGAAAATTGCTTAGTAGGCAACCGAATAAAATAAAAAACTAAATTGAAAAATTGTAATTATAGTTGTTTCATGTTAATCATAAACATATAAGAGGTTTTCAAAAGGTTCATTGGAAAATGTGTATTATGAAAAAACTATGAGTGGATTTCAATTTTTTTTTGGCACCAAAATAAACTCATGCTAACTTGTTATAGCTTGAGTCTAAACAGGTCTAAACAGGATCTAGCTTGAGGCACAAAGAAGGGTAAGACATCAGTTTGAAAAGCATCTCTATCAGAGGAGCATTAATTCTGCTAAAATTGAAGCAAGAACAAACATCAAATTAATGGTGAAGCATGGGTGAAGAATGGTGAAATCATTGATGCTGTAGCAAAAGTTTATGGGGACAACGCCCCTAAAGAAATAAACAATTTACAAATGGATAACTTCTTTTAAGAAGACATGAGATGATGTTGAAAATGAAGCCTGCAGGGGCAGACCATCTATATCAACTTATGAGAAAAAACTAACCTGTTGGTTTGTGTACTGATTGAAGAGGACCAGTGATTAGCAATAGAACACTAGCCAATACCATAGACATCTCAACTCTGCTTACACAATTCTGACTGAAAAAATTAAAGGTCAGCAAGCTTTCCATTCTATAGATGCTAAATCCATTGCACTCATATCAGCTGCAGATAGGAGGAGGGCTTTCATCAGAAATTTTAAACAAGTGGGAGGGAGATCCTGAAGTATTCTTTGGAAAAAACATGTAACAGGAGATGAAACATGGCTTTACCAATGTGATTTTCAAGACAAAACATAATCAAAGCAAGGGTTACCTAGAAGTGGAAGTGGTCCCTCAAAACAAAAGCAAACTGGTCAAAAGCAGAGGCCATTGTGGTAGTATGTCAGGATGCTCAGGGCATTTTGTTTGTTGACTTGCTGGAGTGCCAAAGAATAACATCTGCTTACTATGAGAGTGTTTTGAGAAAGCAAAAACTTAGCAGAAAAATGTCAAGGAAATCTTCAGTGAGTACTCTATCATGACAATGCTCCTGCTCATTCTTCGCATCAAATAAGGACAATTCTGTGAGAGTTTGGATGGGAAATCATTATCCATTCTCCTTACAGTACTGATTTGTCTCCTTCTGACTTCTTTTTGTCTCCTGATCTTAAAAACTCTGTAAAGGGCACCCATTTTCTTCAGATAACAATGTAAAGAAAACTGCATTGACATGGGCAAATTCCTAGGACCCTCAGTTTTTTTTAGGGATGGACTAAATAGTTGTTATCATCATTTACAAAAGTATATTGAACTTAATGGAAGTTATGTTGAGAAATACAGTTAATATTTTAAATTATTTATCATTCAATTCAAATTTTCATGGATTTCTGAAATCTCCTTGTATTTAATATAAAATGTTATAAAATGTGGTAAAAGCTATGGTCAAAGGCAAGTATGAGGCTCAAAATTGTTATTATTAGAAATAAATTTAAAATAATTAACTCGGCCCTTTGTTATTTTCTGCCAAATTCAATATATATTTTTTAATCATACTTTAAGTTCTGGGATGAATGTGCTGAACATGCAGGTTTGTTACATAGGTATACATGTGCCATAGTGGTTTGCTGTACCCATCAACCCATCATCTAGGTTTTAAGCCCTGCATACATTAGGCATTTGTCCTAATGCTATCCCTCCCCTAGCCCCCACCCCCTGACAGGCCCTGGTATGTGATATTCCCCGCCCTGTGTCCATGTGTTCTCACTGTTCAACTCCCACTTATGAATGAGAACATGTGGTGTTTGGTTTTCTGTTCCTGCATTAGCTTGCTGAGAATGATGTTTTCCAGCTTCAACCATGTGCCTACAAAGGCCATGAACTCACTCTTTTTTATGGCTGCATAGTATTCCATGTGCCACATTTTTTTTTTAATGGCCCAAATTTGTGGCCATTTGGGTTGGTTCCCAGTCTTTGCTATTGTAAATGGTGCTGCAATAAACATATGTGTGCATGTGTCTTTATACTAGAATGATTTATAATCCTTTGGGTATACACCCAGTAATGGGATTGCTGGGTCAAATGGTATTTCTGCTTTCAGATCCTTGAGGAATCACCACACTGTCTTCCACAATGGCTGAACTAATTTACACTCCCACCAACAATGTAAAAGCGTTCCTATTTCTCCACATCTTCACCAGCATCTGTTGTTTTCTGACTTTTTAATGATCGCCATTCTAACTGGTGTGAGATGGTATCTCATTGTGGTTTTGATCTGCATTTCTCTGATGACCAGTGATGATGAGCTTTTTTTCATATGTTCGTTGACCACATAAATGTCTTCTTTTGAGAACTGTCTGTTCATATCCTTCACCCACTTTTTTATGGGGTTGTTTGTTTTTTTCTTGTAAACTTGTTTAAGTTTTTCTTAGATTCTGGATATTAGACCTCTGTCAGATGGATAGATTGCAAAAATTTTCTCCCATTCTGTAGGTTGCCTGTTCACTCTGATGTTAGTTTCTTTTGCTGTGCAGAAACTCTTTAATTTAATTAGATCCCATTTGTCAATTTTGGATTTGTTGCCATTGCTTTTGGTGTTTTATTCATGAAGTCTTTGTCCATGCTTATGTCCTAAATGGTGTTGCCTAGGTTTTCTTCTAGGGTTTTTATAGTTTTAGGTTTTACGTTGAAGTTTTTAATCCATCTTGAGTTCATTTTTATATAAGGTGTAAGGAAGGGGCCCAATTTTAGTTTTCTGCATATAGCTAGCCAGTTTTCCCAGCACCATTTATTAAATAGGGAATCCTTTTCCTATTGCTTGTTTTTGTCAGGTTTGTCACAGATTAGATGGTTGTAGGTGTGTGATGTTATTTCTGAGGCCTCTGTTCTGTTCCATTGGTCTATATATCTGTTTTGGTACCAGTACCATGTTGTTCAGATTACTGTAGACTTCTAGAATAGTTTTAAGTTAGGTAGCATGATGCTTCCAGTTTTGTTCTTTTTGCTTAGGATTGTATTGTCTATACATGCTCTTTTTTTGGTTCCATATGAAACGTAAAGTAGCTTTTTCTAATTCTGTGAAGAAAGTCAGTGGTAGCTCGATGGGAAGAGCAGTGAATCTATAAGTTACCTTAGGCAGTAAGGCCATATTCGCAATATTGATTCTTCCTATTCATGAGCATGGAATGTTTTTCCATTTGTTTGTGTCCTCTCTTAGTTTCTTGAGCAGTGGTTTGTAGTTCTCCTTGAAGAAGTTCTTCATGTTCCTTGTAAGTTGGATTCCTAGGTATTTTATTCTCTTTTTAGCAATTGTAAATGAGAGTTCACTCATGATTTGGCTCTCTGTTTGTCTATTATTGGTATGTAGGAATGCTTGTGATTTTTGCACATTGATTTTGTATCCTGAGACTTTACTGAAATTGATTATTAGCTTAAGGAGTTTCTGGGCTGAAGCGATGGGGTTTTCTAACTATACAATCATGTCATCTGCAAACAGAGACAATTTGACTTCCTTTGTTCCTATTTGAATACACTTTATTTCTTTTTCTTGCCTGATTGCCCTGGCCAGAACTTCCAATACTAGATTGAATAGGAGTGGTGAGAGAAGGCATCCTTGTCTTGTGTCAGTTTTCAAAATCAATGCTTCCAGCTTGTGCCCATTCAGTATGATATTGGCTACAGGTTTGTCATAAATAGTTCTTATTATTTGGAGATATGTTTCATCAATACCTAGTTTATTGAGTGTTTTTAGCATGAAGGGGTGTTGACTTTTATCGAAGGTCTTTTCTGCATCTATTGAGATGATCATGTGGATTTGGTCACTGGTTCTGTTTATGTGATGGATTACGTTTATTGATTTGCATATGTTGAACCAGCCTTGCATCCCAGGGATGCAACCGACTTGATCATGGTGGATAAGCTTTATGATGTGCTGCTGGATTTGGTTTGCCAGTATTTTATTGATGATTTTTGCATCAATGTTCATCATTGATTTTGGCCTGAAATTTTCTTTTTATGTTGTTTCTCTGCCAGGTTTTGAAATCAGGATGATGCTGGCTCCATAAAATGAGTTACGGAGGAGTCCCACTTTTTCTTTTGTTTGGAGTAATTTCAGAAGGAATGGTACCAGCTCCACTTTGTACCTCTGATATAATTTGGCTGTGAATCTTTCTGGTCCTGAGCTTTTTTTGTTGTTGTTGTTGGTAGGCTATTAATTACTGCCTCAGTTTCAGAACTTGTCATTGTTCTATTCAGAGATTCGACCTCTTCATGGTTTAGACTTGGAGGGGTGTATGTGTCCAATAATTTATCCATATCTTCTAGATTTTCTAGTTTACTTGTGTAGAGGTGTTTATAGTATTCTCTGATGGTAGTTTGTATTTCTGTGGGATCAGTGGGGATTTCCCCTTTATCATTTTTTATTGTGTCTATTTGATTCTTCTCTCTTTTCTTCTTTATTAGTCTGGTTAATGGTCTATCTATTTTGTTTACTTTTTCAAAAAACCAGCTCCTGGATTCATTGATTTGTTGAAGGCTTTTCTGTGTTTCTATCCTTCAGTTCTGCTCTGATCTTAGTCATTTCTTGTCTTCTGCTAGCTTTTGAATTTGTTTGCTCTTCTTTCTCTAGTTGTTTTAATTATGATGTTAGGGTATTGATTTTAGATCTTTCCTGCTTTATCCTATGGGCATTTAGTGCTATAAATTTCCCTCTTAACACTGCTTTAGCTGTGTCCCAGAGATAGATTCTGGTACATTGTCTCTTTGTTCTCCTTGGTTTCAGTGAAATTTTTTATTTCTGCCTTAATTTTGTTATTTACCCAGTGGTCATTCAGGAGCAGGTTGTTCAGTTTCCATGTAGTTGTGTGGTTTTAAGTGAGTTTCTTAATCCTGAGTTCTAATTTGATTACACTGTGTTCTGAGAGACTGTTTGTTATGGTTTCTGTTCTTTTGCATTTTTCTGGGGAGTGTTTTGCTTCCAATTATGTGGTCTATTTTAGAATAAGGGTTATGTGGTGCTGGGAAGAATATATTCTCTTGATTTTGGGTGGAGAGTTCCATAGATGTCTATTAGGTTCACTTGATCAAGAGCTGAGTTCAAGTCCTGAATATTTTTGTTAATTTTCTGTCGCGTTAATCTGTCTAATATTGGCAGTACAGTGTTAAAATATCCCAGTATTATTGTGTGGGTGTCTGAGTCTCTTTGAAGTTCTCTAAGAACTTGTTTTATGAATCTGGGTGCTTCTGTATTGGGTGCATATATATTTAAGATAGCTAGCTCTTCTTTTTGCATTGATTCTTTTATTATTATATAATTCCCTTCTTTGTCTTTTTTGATCTTTGTTGGTTTAAAGTCTGCTTTATCGGAGACTAGGATTGCAACCCCTGCTTTTTTTTGTTTGTTTGTTTGTTTTTCTTTCCATTTGCTTGGTAAATATTCCTCCATCCCTTTATTTTGAGCCTATGTGTGTCTTTGGACATGAGATGGGTCTCCTGAATACAGCACACTGATGGGTCTTGACCCTTTATCCAATTTGCCAGCTTGTGTCTTTTAATTGGGGCATTTAACCCATTTACATTTAAGGCTAATATTGTTACATGTGAATTTGATTCTATCATCATGATGCTACCTGCTTATTTTTCACATTCGTTGATGTAGTTTCTTCATAGTGTCATTGATATTTTGGTGTGTTTTTGCAGTGTCTAGTACCGGCTTTTCCTTTCCGTATTTAATGCTTCCTTGAGGAGCTCTTATAAGGCAGGCCTGGTGGTGACACAATCAGTCAGCATTTGCTTGTCTGTAAAGGATTTTATTTCTGTTTCATTTATGAAGCTTAGTGTGGCTGGATATAAAATTCTGTGTTGAAAATTCTTTTCTTAGTGAATGTTGAATATTGGCCCCCACTCTCTTCTGGCTTGTAGGGTTTCTGCAGAGAGATCTGCTTTTAGTCTGATGGGTTTCCCTTTTTAAGTAACCTGACCTTTCTTTCTGGCTACCCTTAACATTTTTTCCTTCATTTCAACTTGGAGAATCTGACAATTACGTGTCTTGAGGGTGCTCTTCTCAAGGAGTATCTTAGTGGTGTTCTCTGTATTTCTTGAATTTGAATGTTGGCTTGTCATACTAGGTTGGGGAAGTTCTCCTGGATAATATCCTAAAGTGTGTTTTCCAACTTCATTCCATTTGCCTGTCACTTTCAGGTACACCAATCAACCATGGGTTTGGTGTTTCTACATATTCCCATATTTCTTGGAGGCTTTGTTCATTCGTTTTCATTCTTTTTTCTCTAATCTTGCCTTCACACTTTATTTCATTATGTTGGTCTTCAATCTCTGGTGTCATTCTGCTTTATCAATTTTTCTATTGATACTTGTGTATGCTTCATGAAGTTCTTGTGCTGTGTTTTTCAGCTCCATCAGGTCATTTATGTCCTTCTCTAAACTGGTTATTCTGGTTAGCAGTTTCTGTAATCTTTTATGAAAGTTCTTAGCTTCCTTGCATTGGTTTAGAACATGCTCCTTTATCTCGGAGGTGTTTGTTATTACCCAACTTCTGAAGCCTACTTCTGTCAATTTGTCAAACTCATTCTTCATCCAGTTTTGAGAGGAGTCGCAAACATTTGGAGGAGAAAAGGCATTCTGGTTAATTGAATTTTCAGCATTTTTGCACAGGTTTTTCCTGATCTTCGTGGATTTTTCTACCTTAGATGTTTGATGCTGATGACCTTTGGATGGAGTTTTTGTGTGGGCATCCTTTTTGTTGATTTGATGTTATTGCTTTCTGTTTGTTAGTTTTCTTTCTACCAGTCAGGATTCTCTTTGGCAAGCCTGCTGGAGTTTTCTCAAAGTCCACTCCAGACACTGTTTGCCTGGGTATCCCCAGCAGAGGCTGCAGAACAGAAATGATTGCTGCCTGCTCCTTCCTCTGGAAGCTTCATTCCTGAGGGGTACCTGCCTGATGTTGGCCAGAGCTCTCCTGTATGAGGTGTCTGTCGACCCCTGCTGGGAGGTGTCTCCAGGTCAGGAGGCATTGGGGTCAGGGACCTACTTGAGGAGGCAGTCTGTCCTTTAGCAGAGCTCAAGCTCTGTGGGGGGAAATCCATTGCTCTCTTCAGAGCCTGCAGGCAGGAGTGTTTAAGCCTGCTGAAGCTGAGCCCACAGCCACCCCTTCCCCCAGGCACTGTGTCTCAGGGAGTTTTAACTATAAGCCCCTGACTGGGTCTGCTGCCTTTCTTTCAGAGATCACAAGCCCAGTGAGGAGGAATGTACAGAGGCACTCTGGCCACAGCTCCTTTGCCATGCTAAGGTGAGTTCCGCCCAGTGCAAACTTCCCAGTGGCTTCCTTAACACTGTGAGGGGAAAATTGACTACTGAAGCCTCAGTAATGGTGGATGCCTCTCCCCCTACTAAGCTTGATCATCCCAGGTTGACTTCAGACTGCTGTGCTGGCAGTGAAAATTTCAAGCCTGTGGTTCCTAGCATGCTGGGCTCCATGGGAGTGGGACCCACTGAGCGAGACTACTTGGTTCCTTGGCTTCAGTCCCCTTTCCAGGGAAGTGAACAGTTTTGTCTTGCTGGGGTTCCAGGCGCCATTGGAGTACAAAAAAAATCTCTTGAAGCTAACTTGCTGTGTGCCCAAACAGCCTCCCAGTTTTGTGCTTGAAACCCAGGGCCCTCGTAGTGCAGGCACATGAGGGAATCTCCTGGTGTGCGGGTTGCAAAAACCATGAGAAAAGCGTAGTATCTGGGCCAGATACCACAATCCCTCATGGCTTCCCTTGGCTGGGGGAGGGAAGTCCCTGGCCCCTTTCACTTCCTGGGTGAGGCAATGTCCCACCCTGCTTCTGCTCGGTGTTCGTGGGCTTCACTCACTGTCTAACCAGTCCCAATGAGATGAACTGGGTACCTCAGTTGGAAATGCAGAAATCATCCCCCTTCTGCATTGGTCTTGCTGGGAGCTGCAGACCAGAGCTGTTCCTATCCGGCCATCTTGCCAGATCCTACTACCACATTCAATATTGATCTAGATGCTGGATATATAAATAGTGTTAATTCTAGTGAATAGAAGACTCGATGCAACAATTTTCGGAAACATTCAAAGCAACAAAAAAAATGAAAAAATAAACAGGATTAAAGCCATTAATATAAAGATTTTTATATATGAGTATTGTACATAGTTCTATGCTAACAGCTAGACATATGTTAATTTCAATCAAAAATTTTTCTAAGTATAATTTATAAGTAATATATTTGAGAAGGACTAGAAGACCTAAACAGACCAGGCAACACAGAAGAATCATAAAAAGCTATCAAGGATTTTTGTTCAATAGATTTAGGGATCTAAGGCCAGGATTTTGTCCAGATGATTTCTTTCAGACTTTCTAAAGAGCACAGATAATAATGTAAAGAAGATAATATTCTTTCTATGTTCTTTAGAACATAGGTACTGGGCTTAGGATGGGGTGGATATAATGCTATCTACTGTAGAATTGAGGAGCATCTAAAAACACCTTATTGTATTTTGTGAAGCTAACATAATGTATTACCAAAATGCAAATACTGTTGCACTCAAAAGAAAGCCAGTGACCACACTTACTTGTGAAAATACACATGAAAATTCAGATCTCCTAAAAAAGAAGAAAGCTAACAAGTCTACATGCATATACATATATAACTTCACGACAAAGTTTATCCAGAAATGTTGATATTCTCATTTTAGAACATATTTTACTTTAAGATATATTATTATTGAATAATTAACAGCATCATATAATCTCAATTATTACTGAACAACCATTCAATTTAATTCAAAAACAGATTACTTTAAATAGTTAGAAAATTATATAGATGAATATTTTCTGAACATTATGAAGATTATTATAGTATTCATAGTGATCTGAATATTTGCCCTTTCCTCTGCCCGTTTTGTCATTACCTGTTCCACTGAACATTCTCTGGCACTGCAAATTCTGGACTATGATCCATCAGTATGAATGTTCTAGAAAATAATGGTAACCCCATAGCCACAGCAATGATAGGGCAATGGAACTGCTATCCGTGGCCCAGAATTCTTGGACACCACCTAAGTGGAAGGTCATGAGATTAAGTTCATGTGGAACTTACAGGAAAATGACATTTTGAAAGAAAACTTGGAAGAATAAAAAGTAAGAGAAAGAGAAAGTTGATGGAAGAAGAAGGAAAAGAGAAAGTGTGAGGATAGAGCAGAAGTAAAGAAAATGATGGATGTAAGTAGAATAGGAAAGGAGGACAACGAAAACAAACGAAAAGGATGAAGTTACTAATATTTGTATTTTGAATATAAAAGAAACTTGTTCAAGAACAAATAGCTAGTAAACATGGAACTGTGATTTGAACATGCATCCCAAATTCTGGACTCCTGAGTCTGAAGGCTACTTCCTTTTCATTACACCATGCTGCCTCTTCCCTTTGCCTCTGAACTCCCATGATCCTTAAAAGCTTGGAGGACCATACATTAAATGACTTTCATCACAATTTTTCTACTCCAACTTGACCTGAAGATCAGTGAATGTGTTTCCCCATCCTGGGCTTGCAGAATATTGTATTTGGTTTCTTTATTTCCTTTACTTTCTACTCATCGTCAGAACCCTATATATACTTTTGTTGAAATTCAACATGTCAAATTGAACAGTTTGACAGGTTTTACCCTGTCAAAAAATTCTTAAACCTACATTCTGGTTTCTGTCTAATTCACAGTTTCTTTGAGTTTTATGCCATTAGCAATTTTTATAATTTCTTCCTGGTTATGGATAAAATCACTGAAAAGGAATGGATCAAGAAAAGATCATTAAAAATCTTCCTTCAAATTGTCCTCAAGTGCTAAATCAGAGCGGAGTAGTATATTTTAGTTAGTTGCTAATCCACCAAATAATACAACCAATCCAATAGCATTTCTCTTTATTTTGTTCAAGTAAAATAAAAAGTCCCTGACAAATATCTTATTGAAATATAGCCTTATTATATGCATTATATTTGATTTATCTTTCCATTTAGAACCTAATTCCAAGTTACTTACTTGGCCAAACTGAAAATACACCACAAACCTCATATGGTCTTACAAGTGGATTATTTTACTATCTTGCCTAAATGTCAACAGAAAATGTTTTCACTGATATATTTTTTAAATCATCCAATGTGATATTAACATAAGCTTAGTTAATTCACAGCATTAGCTCAGCCATCTGTTTTGTTTACAGAGCCTTAGTAATTTTAGGAATTCCACAGATTGTTTATGCACTCACATACCTCTCTATCATTTTCTTAAAGAACATGAACCAAGACTTGGAGGAAGAAGAGCTGGATTTTATTCCTTATTCTGCCAGTAACTACCTTCATGATGATATTATGTAATTACTAATTCAGGTTATTTTATTCATATATTAAGTGAAAAGAATTTACCATATTAGCATTTCCCAAAACGTCCATAAAATTTACCCACATGGTTTAGTAGATATTGCTGGAAATATAATATCTATGGTAAAAGATCTTTGGACTGTGCCAATAAATTTACTTACTTTTGGATTGTCATAGCAGAGCCTTAAAATTAAAACAAAATTGTCTTTCCAACAAAGAGCTATGATAGTGTTTCCAAAACCTATTAAGATACAGAACACTTCTGTATAGTTTGTCTTGTTGGCTAATGTTCTCTAGATCATATGCTAGAAAATATAGAAATATACTTGGAGATCTAACATCATTTCTGCTCCACAGGATTCTATCATTACCATATATTCTGCACCTACTCAAACAAAATACAGAATCTAGAGTTTTCATGATAAAGGCAAATCCAGAGAAACTGAATAAAAATGGATGGTGTCAACAGATTCAAATAAGGCTAAAATTGAAATTTTGAGATCCTTAATTATGAAAGGATTCTGAGTGTATTAATGGCAAAAGTCTATTCCATCAAATAAAAACAAACTTAATGAATGTCATCCAAAAGTTGCTGCGATATATTCTTATTGATTTTGTTGTTGTAGAGTTAACAACAACTTCTGGATAGGAAACTAATATAAATTTAAAGTAAGCTTTATGTAGGATAGATTAAATATAAGAATGTAAAAAAAGTAGATAGAAATACATGGTTAAAAATGAAGAAAGCTTTTAAAACCACACACTGTATAAAAAGACACAAAATTTTATTAGGTAGGAGGAAGAATTTAAATAGATCTGTCATGCATCGTAAGTATGTGAGGTAATGCCTATGTTAAATGGCTTGATTTAGCCATTCCACAATGTACACATATATAAAAGCATCATGTTGTATACCATAAACATACAACTTCTACTTCTAAATAAAAAAGAAAATTATCTCAAAATAAAAAAGTAAGAAATCAGATAACATATAATATTTTAGTTAAATATTCTGACAGATGGCATTGGCCTGGTTGAACAGAATGTTAACATAACAAAGTTCTTAAATATTTTCTTGTTTTTTTTTCTGTAGATTTATCACTTTCCTCTTAAGTTTCTATCGAATATAGAAGTGTTAAAACAAGAAAAGAGTTGGAAGGTACTTAAAGTGAACATGATTTCTTGGAAGGTATAATGTATTTGTTAAACTGTAATATATGTTTGCCCTAAAAGTGTTAGTTTAAGGAAGCTCTTGTATCTGTCGTCTCTGTGCACATTTGGCCACAGGAAAGTATGAACCTAGCTGTTCTTCATTGTATATTTTTTGAAATAAACATCAAGTTCCTTCGAGGTAGTGTTTACACAACTTTGTATTCCTCAGAATTCCTATTTTAGTACCTTTCCAGAGTAAGTGCTCAATAAATATTTGTTGATGAAACTGCCCTAGAAATGATGCTAGGTGCTGGACATACAAAGATGAATGATACTGTTTCCTCTCTGAAGGCATTAGTGTTGTCGTAATAAACAATAGGACTTTTTAGGACAGAAAATGCTATGGAAGAGTTATACACAGCTCAAGGGATATACACAAGCACAGCACCTATCCCAGACAAGGAGAGACTTCAACTGACCCCTCAAGGATGAACAGTGGTAAAGACTCAGAAACGATACCCCCAATAGAAGCCACAGAGTGTGCAATGAGCAAGAAACACGAGAGAATGAGGCTGAGAGAAGACAGCAAAATGACTAGAGGATGAATGCTTGAAGAGTAAAAATCAAATCCTAGCCATCCATCCAGCTCTTCAGTTTCCATTTGTACCTCCATTCTCTGTGCTCAGCTCACACTGTTTTTAGTTCCTCAGACGCTCTATCCTCCATCTTGCTTAAAAGAGAGCATATGTTTTTCTCCCTGGTTGAAATTTTTTTTCTCATTTTGTGCTTAAAACCGATACTCAACCTTGAAATCTTAACTCAAATATCACCTCCTTGGAGAGGGAGGCCTTTCCAAACCCCTAGAATATGTGATGTATTTTTTACACGGATACATCCTCTGTGTTTCCTCCCTAGCACTCATCACTTTTTTGTATTATGTATTTCTATGTGTAATTTTGAAATTAATGTCTGCATCCCATGCTAGACCATATGTTCCGTGAAACCATAGACTCTGTCTATTTTATTTAACATTTACCCCCATAAACTAGCAAACTACCTTTCATATACAAAGTACTCTATAAACATTTCTTGATTGAATGAATAAGTGATGAAGGCAGAGAGAGATTAGAGAAATTAGCAAGAGTCCAGAGAGTTCAGACATCATAGGCAATACTAAGATTTTATGCTTTATCCTTTATTTCAACTTTATTCTGAAGTCCCTAGGGAGAAATTGAAATTTAAATCGGGAAGTTCATTTTATAAAGATTGCTCTGACTACATGTTAAAAATTAATCAAAGTGGGATATGTCTGTAGGTAAAGAGTTGAATTAAAGATTACTACATTAACTCACACAACAAATTATGGTGACCTGAACAAGGAATTAGCTGCTGAGATAGAAGGAAGTGTGAGATTTGAAACATATTAAAGAGATCAGAAAAATGGGACTTAGTAACTGCTTGGAGATGGAAAAGGACAATTAGACAATGAGGTTTTTAAAAGATTGTGGTAAAATACCCATAACCTAGATTTTACCATCTTAATCATTTACCATCTTAATCAACCATCAGCACCATCCATCTCCAGAACATTTTCATCTTTACAAACAAAAATTCTGTGCCGATTAAATAATAACTGCCCATTTCCCTTCCCTCCTCAACTTCCAGTAACCATTATTTTACTTCTTTCTATGAATTTGAATACTCTAGGTACCTTATATAATTGGAATCATACAGTGTTTGTCCTTTTGAGATGGGATTATCCTCAAGGTTTATTCATATTGTAGAATGTTTAAAAATTTATTTTCTTTTTAAGGCTGAATAACATTCCATTTTATTCACACTTTGTTTGTACATTCATCTGTTGATGAAGGCTTGGGTTGCTTCCAGTTTTTGGCTTTTGTGAATAATTCTGCTATGAATATGATTTTATCTGTTTTCAATTCATTTGAGTATATATAATCAGAAGTAAAATTGCTGGATAATATGGTAACTCTATTTTTAATTTTTTGAGGAACTTCCATAGTGTTTTTCATAGTGGCTGCACCATTTTATACTTCCATCAAAAGTGCATAAAGGTTTCAGTTTTTCCACATCTTCATCAGTACTTGATATTTTCTGGGTGTTATGATGGTAGCCATCCTACCTTCAGTACAGCATATGAGATGGTGACATAAGCTTTTTGATGGTAGGCACAGGGTCTCATTGATATGAAGTTGTAGTCGCAATATGATGGCTCAGCATAGGAGATGCTTGATATATATTTGTTTAATAAAGAGCCATAGACAGAGATAATTTAGCACATCATACCCCACAGTTTACAAAGGCCTAGACCACATTCCTAACATGCAGTCTTTCAGAATTGACTTAATTCCAGTGAAAGAATGCTCATAAGCATTCAAAACAATCCTAATCTTGAAGATTTGTCATTATTATTGCTTTTTTATTAGGAACTAACCCCGTTTCTGAATTGTGCTCCTTCCAGAACTACAAAGAACATATATAATCCGGTTTTTGTATGGAAGCCTTTCCAATATTTAAAAGTAACTGTTTCTTTTTTTTTCTCTCCCAACACCAAATCTTTTTCTTTACATTACAAATTTTTAGTTCAACTGTTAAACTATTTCAACAGTTCCTCACACACCATGGTTTCTTGACTCAGTAGTTTCATCTATCACTTGATTGACACATTGACCTTTATTTGATCAGCTCTTTTCATGGAAAACTTAAGAAAACATAAAAACTCAAGTGAGTCAGTTGCCTTGAAATATTGGTACATGTGGACATATAGAGTTTGGAAGCAAACTGTAAAATAAGCTTCAGGAAAATACACATTTCAAGGGTATTATTTCAGACTTTTCTCATCATCATCCTAGTTCTCACACAGGATCCACATGTTTGTGTCTTCTGTTTGCCAGACCACCCCATCAATTCTCTGCCATACATCTGCCTCCTCAGAGTTGGCGTCTAGTGTCTTCCACTCATCAGTTGATAACATCCCCCCATCATTTGTTTCTAGGTTGCCTGTAAGAGGGAATTTTAATCTAAACCATGATTTTTCTGATTTATTTTAGTGACTCAGTATGAAAAGTTCACATAAGCTTCATACTGAGAAGCAATGACACAGTACACACAAAGCTACAGATGAAATATAGACATATCTACTCAAGGCAACAGGGTATTCAAATACATTTTGTTGTAGACATTTTTCCAACAGTAAATAATTTCTTTCAGTGAATAAAATTATCTAATTAAGATTAAAGTAAGTTAAGAAATAATAAAAGTGTATTATAGGTTGTTTTTTAAGCATCCCTCATAGTTAAAGTTTTATTATTGCTTCTGGTCTAGTGTCAGTAATTTTTCCAATAGCTATGTTTTTGCTTCATAAAATGCGATGAAGAGAATATTTAATAAATAAGTTAGAATATGTTTTTTCTCCTGGTTAAAGAAAATTAGGGTTATTCTACACCTGCTGTCAATTGTCACTTTATGTTGTCAAAGAATGGGAATCCACTCAATATTAAAATTCTGATCTAAGAGAATGCAACCTTGTTAAACACTTAGAATTGGTAGAGTTTATTCAATTTAGCAAGAAAATAGATAGATGGAAATAGATGGATATGCAGATGGCCTACTTTGTGTCTGACTCAGCCATATCCTGCAGCTACAAAAATGAATAAAGCTCTGTACTGTGTTTAAGGAGGCTGTAACCTTGCGGCGTTTTGGAAGTAATTTGCACAGCCTATTACTCTAAGTAAGGTTTGCATAGGACTTTATGACAGAGATAGGGGATGCTCAAAGAGTCTAAGAAAACATTAATCACTAATGAGAAGAGAAATGTTTCACATTACCTTGAAAAATGAGTAAAAGACAGTAAAACAAAGAATGTGGGCAAAGACTGAGCATAAGCAAATGCAGTAAAGCAGTTCCATATCACTAGAACATAAAACTCAATAACAGATTTGGTCAGAATTGAAACAATGAAAAACGGGAAGAAACTATTAGGTCATGGAGAATCTTGAATGACGCCATGGAACTTGTACTTTAGCCTATGAAGACTGTTGCTTCCATAATCCCAGTGAGAAGTGATGAGCATCTACACCTGGGATGGAAAGCAGGAACAGATATTGGACATATTAAAAAGATAAAATGAATAATTGATTTACTGTGATGGTTAATAATTTCCATTGACTGAACATTTGCTGTGTGTCAAGTACTTTTCTTTACATGTGTTATCTCATTTGATCCTCGTTACCACCCTATGAAGTAAGACCTCTTATTGTTCCATTTTACCAATAAGATAACTGAGGCACTGGCAGGTTTTAATGCTGTGGCATGAGTAGGATTGAAACTCAGGTAGTTGAAATCCAGGGATATTTTTTCCATTTATCTATGCTGTCTGGAAGAGGAGGTGGGAATAACACAAAGTATTATATTTTTATTCTGAGCAAAATGCAGATGGTATCTGAAAACATAAAAATTTCCCACTTAAATTTTATTCTTATTTATTTACTTTTGTAGACAAATAAGTTCTTTAGTGGTGATTTCTGAGATTTTGATGCTTCCATCACCTAAACAGTGTACACTGTACCCAATGTGTAGTCTTTTATCGTTCTCCCCATCCCACCCTTTCTCCTGAGTCCCCAAAGTCCATTATATCATTCTAATGCCTTTGCGTACTCATAGCTCAGCTCCCACTTATGAGTGAGAACATATGATGTTTGGTTTTCCATTGCTGAGTTACTTCACTTAGAAGAATGATCTTCAATTCTATGATGTGAATCACATCATGTGAATCACATAATGATGTGAATGTCATTATTTAGTTACGTTTTATGACTAAGTACTATTCCATGGTTGCTATAAACATGCATGTTCACGTATCTTTTTTGTATGATGACTTATTTTCCTCTGGGAAATAAGTCCCCTGGAGTGGGACTGCTGGATAAAATGGTAAATCTACTTTTAGTTCTTTAAGGAATCTCCACACTGTTTTCCATAATGCTTGTACTAATTTACATTCCTACCAACAATGTAAAACAATGTAAAAGCCTCACTTAAATTTTAAAAGAAAAGATGTATTAGTTTTCTATTGCTGCTATAGCAAATTAACCACAAATTTATTGTCTTAAACCAACACATATTTAATGATCTTACACTTGTTGAGATCAGAAATCTGAAATAAGTCTTGCCAGCGTAAAATCAAGGTGTCATCAGGGCTGCATTCCTTCTGGAAGCTCTAAAGTTCTTTTTACTTGACTTTTCCAGCTTCTAGAGGCAATCAACATTCATTGGCTGTGACCTGCTTCCATCTTCAGAGTCAGCAATGGCTAGTTGATTCTTACATCATATCACTCTGACATTGAATTCTGTGACTCTTTTCCACTTTCAAAGACTCTTACAATTACATTGGATCTGCCTGGATCACCCAGTATGATCTCTCTATTATAAGGTCAGCTGATTAGCAAACTTAATTCTATTTACTACCTTAATTTCCCCATGCTATGTAATACAAAATATTCCCAAATTCTGTGAACTAGGACACGAACACAGTTGGAGGGCTTTATTTCGCCCACAGATGTCGTAACTAATTGACGGTAATAACCAAGCCAACAGAAATTATTTTCAGCTCTTATTAACAAAAATATATTAACTACAAAATGTCTACTTACCTTCAAGTATGAGAATATGTTGGAACATTTATAGATAATGCTGTCCAGGAAACATAGCCACTTCAAAAATTGTTGTTTTGCATAGCTCCTCTCAAATAGCTCCAGAAATAGCTGAATTATCAGAAACTACCTCATTAAGGACCATTCTCCTTACTTTTATCTCTTTTGTGAGAGGAAATTTTTCAAGATTGTATAACAAGAGTATTGCTTGGAAGTTATTGTCCAAGTCTGAAAAAGAGCTGCTTCTCAGAAGATCCAACATCCCATTTATTTTTAAATAAGTTTACATTATAGCTCAGTCATGACAGCTACAGTGAATTTGTCTCCTAATCCAGTCTGACATAGAAACTTCTTTGCATGATCATATTCTTCCTTCTTATTTGCTTCCTATTTATTATTGATTAATATACTCAGTGCATTATGCAGCATTTGGATTTCATACTGTTCTTTCACAGCATTCAAGTAAGAGAGCTTGTGCAGTTACAAATTTAAGACACTGAGTTTAATGATTTTGAGCAAATAAAAAGTGATGCTGGGTAGTGAGGGAACAAATCCATCTTTAGAGACAGTCAATAATTCACATGAAAAAAGCAAAGGATTGGAAATATGTGAGGATAGAATGTGAATCTATCTCAACTTCACCAAATAGTTGAGTGCATGACTCTAAGATCCAAGAGTGTGTTACAAGAGGGGGATGAGGCTAAAAGTCTAGAATGAGCACATCAGAATCACAGTGGGGTTACTGTGGGATTCATTTCACTGTTATCCTCAAGTAGCTGACATTTATACCAGGACTGTCATGGTATTGAAGACGTAGACACAGGTGAGATAACCACATGAAACGCAGGGTCTAAATACACAGCAAGTAAAACAAATATGTGGTAATGTATCTACAAAATTGCACATAAAATATTAAGCAGAAGAAATGACCACATGCACATGCATATTAAAGTCTTATAATATCCCTATTCTTTTTATCTTAAAGAGCAGGTCTTTATGGAAAAAACTTGCACAATAATATCTACCTCTTAAAGTCAATTATTGACATATACTTTAAATAGCAGATGCATTTTTTCCATTATAAACTTTCTCTCAAGTTGAAAGAGAAGCATTATATAATATCTATTTTAAGCTTGAATTCATCTTTAATAATTCAATAATTATTTATTGATCATCTTTGTATGTGTGGCTACAATTCCAAAGATCCAAAATAAACAATTGCCTAATGGGTTTTAATAACCTGCAGGATTCTTACAAATTTCCAATGAAGGAATCTAATTAGCTAAGGCTATCAATTAGATTTATTGTTTTCTTAAATAAAATGCTAACCTCAAAGCCTAGAATCACTCTAAAATTTGAGTTTCTCAATTGTTTTCAGAAAGTTTTGGTGCTTCAATTCTATCATCCATCTATCTTTTTCCAAAGTGTGAGCCAGGGATGGCAGGTGGTCTTTGAAGTTCTCCAGTGTGTTGCTCAGCAAGCTTTTTTGTGTATTAATGATGAAATAAATCATCCCAATGGCTAAACTTTGATCTTTGGTATAGATTCATATTTCTTTTCTTCTATAGTTTGAATGCATCCTCCAAATTTCACATGTTGGAAACTAAATCTACAAATTTATATATTCGTGACATTTGGAGGTGGGGTCCTTCGGAGGTAATAGAAATTAGATAAGGTCATCAGGATGGGGCCACCAAGATGGGACTGGTGGCTCTGTAAGAAAAAGGAGAGAGATAAGAGTTGGTATGCTCTTTCCTTCTTGTCATGCGATGCCTTCTGCTGTGTTATGACATGGCAGGAAAGACCTCATCAGATGCCACAGCCATGTTCTTGGACTTCCCAGCCTTCAGAACCGTAAAAAATAAATTTATTTTCTTTATAAATTACCCAATCTCAGACATTTGGTTATAGTAACAGAAAATGGACTTCTTATATTCTTCATTGGCATCTTATTAAACTACAGTGAGCCTCTTCACCCATTTTGTAAGGAAAAGGTAGAGGATGAGGGGCTCAGAGCTACGTTTGCACCTCAGTGCTGCCATCTCCCACTTGTAGTTCAAGCTATATTTTCCTGTGAGCACGTTTTAAGATGAAGCTGAGTGGTGGGTGCTGAGGGTGAGATAACACCTTTTAGGATGATTGTAAATATTAAAGGATTAAAGGAATGCCTAATTTCTCCATAATATAAACAAACACCAAACTGCATGCTGTTATTGCTATCATTGATTTATTAAGAGGTTTTTCTTTCAGTGACAAATGTGTGTGGATATCAAGTAATTCATGGACATTTTGACAAGTGAAGTGCTTTGTAGCATGAAAACCATGAACCTAGAAAGAATTTATAACCACTCTTTCCCTCACATGTTTCATAAAGTATTTATCTCTAATACTGATTTTTGTATAATGCTTTGAGAATATATTCTGCCTTTTGAGCTGTATCCTTGTTTTGGTGTCTTTTCTGAACAAAATGACGTAAGAGAATATATTTATTAATTTATCATCTAAATTCAGGGAACATATCACTGCAAAAGACCAAACATAAATGTTTACTTTCTTCAGAACTAAAGAAATATTTTGAACTCAATACACTACAAAATTTAAAAATTTTTAAGTTCAAACAGTTGATTGTTCTATTCAGAATTAAGATTTTGTATACAATATAAGGTAGGAGCATTCTGAGCTTTTGTAATCTTAATCTGTCTTGTATTTCTTTTCTTTTCCTTTTTTTTTTGTCAGAGTCTGTCTCTGTTGCACAGACTGGAGTGCAGTAGTGTAATCTCGGCTCAATGCAACCTCTGCAGCCCAAATTCAAGCGATTCCCATGCCTCATCCTCCAGAGTATCTGGGATTACAGGCATGTGCCACCATGCCCAGCTAATTTTTGTATTATTTAGTAGAGACGGCGTTTCAGCATGTTGGCCAGGCAGGTCTTGAATTCCTGGCCGCAAGTGATCTGCCCATGTCGGGCTTCCAAAGTGCTGGGATTACAGATGTGAGCCACCGTTCTTGGCCTCTCTTGTATTCCAATAACTTACTCTTCTGTAAAGTGCAGGCCACTGTTTTGTTACGTACATCTCTCAAGACAAATATCTAGGCTGATATAATTCTAGTGAAGTAATGTGGGAATTATTTCTGATGATTATTTTTTCTTTCTTTATACCCATGTAAAAATTGTTACAAAGGTAAGCTTCATCATGGAAACTGGGGCAAAAATTCACCAGATTTTAACATTTTATAAACCAAGTAAGTTGGAAATATTTGCTAAATTTAAAAAATCTACTTTGCTTAGCAATGTTCATAATCTGTTTTCCTTCAATAATGTACAGTCTCATTGATGGAGCTTCACCTGCATATTTTCCTGTGCTTTTCTAGTTAGTCTTCTTTATCTACAAATTTAGAAAATGCAAATATGTATGCTAAAACCCTAGTTAAATAACTACTTAAATTTAACTATTTAAACTTAACAGTTAAATAGATATTTAAATTCAAAATTTGATATTTTACTATTAGTGCATAATACAATTTCCATAAACGACTCTGGTTTCAGAACTTATAACGTGCTAAAATACCAAGTGAAAGGACCTTCATGCATTCATTCATTTAATCAATAAATATTTTTGAGTATCCGTTACATGCCAGAGGTAGATATAATCTATGCCCTCATGGAAGTGAGAGTTAGAGGCATAGAAGATTTTACACACACACACACACGCACACACAGATATACACAATACATAAACACACACATATATATATACATATATATGTATACACATATGTATATGTATAGAAATTCAAATGGACCAGTATATGTTTATACATTGAGGAAAGAGTAATAAAGCAAGAAATGTGATAGAGAACAATGACAAGGGTGGGGAGATACAGAGACAATGAGTCAGGGAATATCTATCTGAGAAGGCCATATTGAGTTTGAAATAAAAAGATCAGAAGCCAGCCAGTCATTCTAGAGGTAGAAGATTCCAAGATGGAAATACAATGTGTGAAGCTTCTAAGACAGAGAAATACTTGGCAGAAAGGTTGTGGCTGAAAGGTGCATAATGAGTAAAAGAGCCATTAGAAAAAATTAATTTGGAGAAGAAAGAGGAGACCCCAATAAGAAATTAACATCTAATTCTATGAAAATCAGAGATGAAAAAGAGGGTATACTAGTATGTTCTCACACTGCTATAAAGAACTACTTGAGACTGAATAATTTAAGAGGAAAAGAGATTTAACTGACTCACATTTCTGCAGGTTTAACAGGGAGCATGACTGGAGGCATAAGGAAAATGACAATCATGGTGGAAGGTTAAGGGGAAGAAAACACATCTTATCATGGCAGAGTAGGAGGGAGAGAGGGAGAGAGTGCAGAGGGGGAAGTGCCACACACTTTCAAACAACCAGATGTCATGAGAACTCACTCACTATTATGAGAACAGCAATGGGGACATCTGTCCCCATGATTCAATCACTCCCCATCAGCCTGTTCCCCCAACATGTGGGGATAACAATTTGAGATAAGATTTGGGTATGGACACAGAGCCAAACCATATCATTCCACCCCTGGCCCCTCCAAACTCTATCATTTTCACAGTTCAAAATACAATCATGCCTTCCCAACTGTCCCCCAAAGTCTTAACTCATTCCAACCTTAATCCAAAAGTCCAAGTCCGAAGTCTCATCTGTGACAAGACAAGTCCTTTCCACCTATGAGCTTGTAAAATCAAAAGCAAATTAGTTAGTTCCAACATACAATGGAGGTACAGACATTGGATAAATGCTCCTATTATAAATGGGAGAAATTGGCCAAAACAAAGAGGCTACAGGCCCTATGTAAGTCCAAAATCCATCAGGGAAGCCATTAAATCTCAAAGCTCTGAAATAATTTCCTTGACTCCATGTCTCACATCCAGGGCATGCTGGTACAAGGGGTGGGCTCCCAAGGCCTTGGGCAGCTTGACCACCTGTGTCTCTGCCAGATACAGCCCACATGGCTGCATTCACAGGCTGATGTTGAGTACTGGAGGCTTTTTCGGGTGCACAATGGAAGCTATGGGTTGATCTACCATTCTTGGGTCTGGAAGATGATGACCCTCTTTTCCACAGCTCCACTAGGCAGTGCCCTAGTGGAGATTGTGCAGGGGCTCCTATCCCACATTTCCCCCTGTACTGTCCTAGTAGCAGCTCTCCATGAAGTTTCTGCCCCTGCAGAAGACTACTGTGTGGACATCCAGGCATTTCCAAACATCCTCTGAAATCTAGGCAGAGGTTCCCAAAGCTCAACTCTTGCCTTCTGTGCACCCACAGGCCTAACACCACATGGAAGCTGTGAAGACTTGGGGCTTGCACCCTCTGAAGCCATGGCCCAAGCTGTACTTTGGCCTCTTTTAGTTATGGCTGGAGCTGCAGCAGCTGTGATGCAGGGCACTGTGTTCCAAGGCTGCACAGAGCAGCAAGGACCTAGGCCTAGCCCACAAAACCATTTTTCCCTCCTAGGCCTCCAGGCCTGTGATGTGGGAGGGGCTGTTGCAATGATCCCTGAAATGTCCTGGGAACATTTTCCTCCATTGTCTTGGCTATTAACATTTGGCTTCTCTTTACTTGGGCAAATTTTTGCAGCCAGCTTGAATTTCTCTTCAGAAAATGGGTTTCTCTTTTCTACCACATTGTCAGTCTTTGTATTTTCTAAACTTTTATGCTCTGCTTCCCTTTTATAAATAAGTTCCAATTTCAGACCATTTCTTGGTTCACACATATGAGATTATGCTTTTAGAAACAGCCAGGTCACTTCTTGAATTTTTTGCTGCTTAAAAATTTCTCCCACCAGATACTCTAAATCATCTCTCTGAAGTTCAAGGTTCCAGAGATCTCTAGGGCAGAGACAAAATGCCCTCAGTCTCTTTGGCAAAGCATAACAAGAATGACTTTCATTCCTTTTCCCAACAAGTTCCTCATCTCTATCTGAGAACACCTCAGCCTGGATTTCATTGTCTGTAACACTATCAGCATTTTGGTCAAAACCATTAGACAAGTCTCTAGGAAGTTCCAAATTTTTCCACATCTTCCTTTCTTTTTCTGAATCCTCCAAACTGTTCCAATCTCTGGCTGTTGCCCAGTTCCAAAGTCACTTCCATATTTTAGGGTAACTTTATATCACTACCCTACTCCTGGTACCAATTTTCTTTATTAAATTGTTCTCATACTGATACCATGTTATTATGTTCCTGTGTCTTTATACCACTTACAAAAGGCAGATTATCGTATGAGGTATTGCTTCTTAAAAACTAGTGTATGTAAGAGGCAATTATTTAGAGTTCTTAAGTTATTTTTCTTTATTTGGTACTGCCCTAAGCTAATTTTGTAAAACTACCTTTTCCATACTTTAGCTTAACATCTAAAACTTTCCATCATAATTTTAAATAGTTGTAAAGGGTACAACCTCTGAAATATTGTAAATCTAAGCATTTTAGAAAAATCTGGTTACTATTTTACTATAATAAATGGAATATAAATGTCATGCTGATTTGATATGCAATATTATGTAGTTAAAGGGATACATGAAAAAATGTATTCAATAGCTGGAGAATTAATACCATTCTATTTTCTCATTAAAATAATATTTTAATTCTATTTTCAACAGAGAATTTAATCCTAATTTATATATTTTATGATCAACAGTTTTAATGATCATGTTATAGTTATAAAAATAAACATTATATATTTAACTATATATTAAATATATAAAGTATATAATTATTAAGCATATAAGTTAAAATTAGTTTTTAAAAACAGCCTCTGACCATAATATTCTGTCCTAATTTTTCTTCCAGATTGAGTCATCATTATGATTATTAGTACATGTTTTACCACAAGATTGCTAGCACATTTTAAACTTTGATAATAATAATTTAGCATAAAGTAAAATTTTATTGGAAATTTATTTATTAATGAAATGAATGGTTCTTTCTCTGAGCTAGGTCCTGTATCTGACTGAGGAAGAATATTGCTTGTGATCATAATGAGACAGGCTTTAACACTAATCTATTCCTATTTAAAAAAATTAACCACTGAGAAACTTCATTCACATAAATAATTAGATGGGATTTGAAGAAAATTTTGTCATAACAATATAACATGGCTCTGAATTCTTTTGGAGTTATATGCCAAAAATTTCAGTAATCCCCATCATCAAAGATTGTATTTAATGATCTATAAGTTGACAACTCAATTGAGTTCTCTTATAATTACATTGAAAGGAAATAATTAGAAACCACTGTACTTGCAGAAGGATTTATTTTCTAGTCATTATTGACATTTACCTTCCCAACATCAACATCAATTTTTTAAATTCTCTTTTTGTATTTGGCACTGTGGAGGATTTCACATGCTGGAGACAATGCACAATTGTCAAATTCACAATGTGTGAGGTCAGGCTTTTCTTTTGTGAAGCAGAAGAAGCCACAGTATTAGAAGGGATGTGATCAACAATAATAACAGAACAGGAAGATCTAAGTACATTCTCAGGCAGATCACTTTTATAAATGGCATTTATGTTAATGGGGAAATTTACTCTCTTAGAACTCTCTGAGCCCCCACACTTCTTTGGAAAATATTTATGTGCCCCTAGAGATATGTATGCCTTGTTTGTAAAGCTGATATCCTAAGATAGTTACTAAAAAAGTAAGATGTTGCCTCACTCCTGTAATCCCAGCACTTTGGGAGACTGATACAGGAGAATCGCTTGAGCCCGGAGTTTGAGATCAGCCTGGGTAACTCAGGGAGACCCCATCTTTACATAAAATTTAAAAATTAGGTGTGGTTGTCCTTGCCTGTGGTCCCAGGTACTCAGGAAGCTGAGATGAGAGGATCCCTTAAGCCAGGGAGGTTGAGGCTGCAGTGAGCACTGATCATGCCATTGCACTCCAGCCTGGGTGACAGAGGAAGACTCTGTCTCAAAAAAAAAAAAAATCTGAAACTTAACTTCAGAGATTGTAATTCCATAGATCTACTATGGAGCCAGGAATCTCCTCTTTTTTTTCTTAAACAAATTCACTCTAGATTATTCTGAGGAAAAGTATCCATAAGCTGCTTTCTGGAAAGCATTTAAATAAAGAAAGGAAATTTTTACATAATAATGACAGCTAACAGTTATTGATTACTTACTTGGTCCCAAGGACTATTATATTGAAAGTATGTATTCATGAAATCCTCATAACACTCTATAATGTGGGCATTATTATTATTTCCATTTTACTTTTGGGGAAATTGAGTTACTGAGGAGTTTAATCACTTGTGTAAGATATACAGAATAGAGAAATCAGAGGGAACATGGGAAAAAATGATTGGAGAAGAGTCAAGTCTTAGATAGCCTGGAATTTCAGGCTGAGAAGTAAAGATGTTGTTAAGAAGCCTATGGAAATCTATGGAAAGATTTAATAAAAGTATGTCACATGCTCAATTTATAATTTTATAATTATAAATTAGGTCTTGGGTAGGGCCTAAAATTCTGTATTTCTAACAAGTTCTCAGGTAATTCTAATATTGCTGGTTCATGGGTCATGGTTTAAGTGGCAAGAGATGAGGACTGTGTCATTCAATATGGCAAACACTAAATACATGTGGTTTTTAAATTTAAATTTAAAATAATTAAAATTAAATAAAATTAAAATTTTGGTTTTTAATTACAAGAGCCACATATCAAGAGCACAATAGCTACAGCAGACATATATGGAATATTTTCACCATTGAAGAAAGTAATAGTGGACTGTGTTGAATTAGAAGAATATTGAAATAGTTTAGGGAGAAAAAACATTGAAACATTGATCAAAGGGAACAGCAATGGGAACATATATTGATAGAAGATAAACAGACTCAAGACTGTTGTTTATGGGAGAAAGGGAGGAAGCAATGCTGACTCCCAGGTTTTTGAACTACATAGAAAAAATAGGAAACAGCATAGAAGGAGCAAGTTAGGAGCTGATGAATTCTATCTGAAATATATTGAATATCAGTGCCTGCAAAACATCCAGGTTTACACATACATTGTAGTCCATTGTTTGGTATACATTTAGGAGACAAAGTTACTTGAGCTTAAAATACATTAATTTGAACATTGTCATTTAATTAATAATTATTACTTTGAGGATTCATGGACTTATTAAGAAACCATTATGATAAAATCTTTGGGTCTCCCTTTGGTGCCAGAGTAGTGGAGGGCAGGGAATGAACACATTACAAAAATTTTGTATTGAGGTAAGCTTCACATAAGATAAAATTAACCATTGTATAGTGTTTAGTTCAGTGGCATTTAGTGAATTCACAATGTTTTTCAATCACCACCACTAATTTCATAACTTTTATATCACACAAAAACACCTTATACTCATCAAGTAATCACTTCCAATTCCCCCTCTTCATGGCACCTGGTGGCCACTATACTGCTCTCTGTCTTCATGGATTTGCTTACTTTACATATTTCATATAAATGAAATCTTACAATATTTCACTTTCATTGAACATGTTTTCGAGGCTCATCCCTGTTGTAGCATGTATCAGTAATAATTCTCTTTTTTTCTTTATTTCTTCTAAAAAATGTGATACATGTGGAGAACATGCAGGTTTGTCACATAGGTGGTGTGCCATGGTGGTTTGCTGCACCTATTTACCCATCCTCACTCCCCACCTCCTAACAGGCCCTTGTGTGAGTTTCCCTTTCTGTGTCCATGTGGTCTCATGTTCAACTCCCACTTAAGAGTGAGAGCATGTGCTGTTTGGTTTTCTGTTCCTGTGTTAGTTGCCTTAGGATGATGGCTGCCAGCTTCATCCATGTGCCTACAGGGACATGACATCATTCCTTTTTATGGCTGCATAATATTCCATGGTGTATATGCACCACATTTCTTTATTCAGCCGTCATTGATGGGCATTTGGTTTGGTTCCATGTCTTTGCTATTTAAATAGTGCTGCAATAAACATACATGTGCATGTGTCTTTATAGTAGAATGATTTATATTCCTGTGAGTATATACCCAGTAAAGGGATTGCTGGGTCAAACAGTATTTCTGGTTCTAGATCCTTGAGGAATCGCCACACTCTCTTCCACAATAGTTGAACTAATTTACATTCCCACCAGCAGTGTAAAAGTGTTTCTATTTCTCCACAGCCTCCCCATCATCTATTGTTTGCTGACTTTTTAATAATCGCCATTCTGACTGGTGTGAGATGATGTCTCATTGTGGTTTTGATTTGCATTTCTCTGATGATCAGTGATATTGAGCTTTTTTTCTTAAGTTTGTTGGTTAAGTAGTGTATGTCTTCTTTTCAGAAGTGTCTGTTTGTTCATATCCCCCCCCCCCTTTTTTTTTTTTTTTCAGAGGGAGCTTCACTCCTGTTGCCCAAGCTGTAGTGCAATGGTTCAATCTCTGCTCATGGCAAATTCTGCCTCTTGGGTTCAAGCGATTCTCCTTCCTCAGCCTCCCTAGTAGCTGGGATTACAGGCATGCCCCACCATGCACAGCTAATTTTGTATTTTTAGTAGAGATGCGGTTTCTCCATGTTGATCAGGCTGATCCTTTACCCAGTTTTTGATGGGGTTGTTTGTTTTATTCTTGTAAATATGTTTAAGTTCCTTGTAAATTCTGGATATTAGACTTTTGTCAGATTGCAAAAATTTTCTTCCATTCTGTAGGTTGCCCATTCACTCTGATGATAGTTTCTTTTGCTATGAAGAAGCTCTTTAGTTTAATTAGATCCCATTTGTCAATTGTGGCTTTTGTTGCAATTGCTTTTGGCCTTTTTGTCATGAAATATTTGTCTATGCCTATGTCCTAAATGGTTTTGCCTAGGTTTTCTTCTCGAGTTTTTATGGTTTTGGGTTTTACATTTAAGCCTTTAATCCATCTTGAGTTAATTTTTGTATGAGGTGTAAGGAAGGGGTCCAGTTTCAGTTTTGAGCATATGGCTTGCCAGTTTTCCCAGCACCATTTACTGAATAGGAGATCCTTCTCCCATTGCTTGTTTTTGTTAGGTTTGTTGAAGATCAGATGGTTGCAGATGTGTGGTGTTATTTCTGCAGTTTCTTTTCTGCTCCATTCATCTATATATCTGTTTTGGTACCAGTACCATGCTGTTTTGGTTATGGTATGCTTGTAGTACATTTTGAAGTCAGGTTGTATGATGACTCCAGCTTTCTTTTTGTGTAGGATTGTCTTAGCTACATGCAGTCTTCTTTGATTTCATATGAAATTTAAATTTTTTTAATTATATGAAGAATGTCAATGGTAGTTTGATGGGAATAGCATTGAATCTATAAATTGCTTTGGCAATATGGCCATTTTCACGATATTGATTCTTCCAATCCATGAGAATGGAAAGTTTTCCCATTTGTTTGTGTCATCTCTTATTTCCTTGAGCAGTGGCTTGTAGTTCTCCTTGAGGAGGGCCTTCACATCTTTTGTTAGTTGTATTTTTAGTTATTTTATTCTCTTTGTAGCAACTTTGAATGGGAGTTCATTTATGATTTGGCTCTCTGCTTGCCTACTGTTGGTGTAAAGGAATGCTTGTGATTTTTGCACATTTATTTTGTGTCCTGAGACTTTGCTGAAGTTGCTTATCAGTTCGAGAAGGTTTTGGGCTGAGATGATGGGGTTTTCTAAATATAAAATCATGTCATCTGCAAACAGACACAACTTGACTTCCTGTCTTCCTATTTGAATACTTTTTATTTCTTTCTCTTGCCTGATTGCCTTGGCCAGAGCTTTCAATATTATATTGCACAGGAGTGGTTAGAGAGAGCATCCTTGTCATCCACCAGTTTTCAAAGGGAGTGCTTCCAGGCTTTTCCCATTCAATGTGATATTGGCTGTGGGTTTGTCATAAATAGCTCTCATTATTTTGAGGTATGTTCTTTTTTATTGAGACAGAGTCTCACTCTGTCGCCCAGGCTGGAGTGCAGTGGTGCCATCTCGGCTCACTGCAACCTCTGCCTCCCAGGTTCAAGTGTTTCTCCTATCTCAGCCTCCTGAGTAGCTGGGATTACAGGAGCCCACCACCATGCCTGGCTAATTGTTTTTCTATTTTTAGTATAGACGGGGTTTCACCATGTTGGCCAGGCTGGTCTCGAACTTCTGACAATATACATTCTTCTCAGTGCCATATGGCACTTATTCTAAAATCAACCACATAATTGGAAGTAAAACACTTCTCAGCAAATGCAAAAGAACTGAAATTATAACAGTCTCTCAGGTCACAGTGCAATAAAATTAGAACTTGGGAGTAACAAATTCACTCAAAATGATGCAATTTCATGGAAATTGAACCACCTGGTTTTCAATGACCCTTGGTTAAATAATGAAATTAAGGCAGAAATCAAGAAGTTCTTTGAAACCATTGAGAACAAAGAGATACCATACCAGAATCTCCGGGACACAGCTAAAGCAGTATTAAGAAGGAAATTTATAGCACTAAGTACCCACATCAAAAAGCTAGAAAGATCTGAAATTGACACCCTAACATCACAATTAAAATAGCTAGAAAGGCAAGAGCAAACAAATTTAAAATCTAGCAGAAGACAAGGTGATCCGCCCACTTCAGCCTCCCAAAGTGCTGGGATTACAGGCGTAAGTCACCGCGCCTGGCCTATTTTGAGATATGTTCTATACCTAGTTTATTGAGAGTTTTTAACATGAAAGATATTGAATTTTATCAAAGGCCTTTTCTGCATCTATTGAGATAATCATGTGGTTTTTTTCTCTGGTTCTGTTTAGGTGATGGATTATGTCTGTTGATTTGTGTCTGTTGAGCTAGTCTTGCATCTCAGGGATGAAATTGACTTGATCGTTGTAGATAAGTTTTTTGATGTGCTGTTGGATTCAGTTTGCCAGTATTTTATTGAGGATTGCATGGATGTTCATCCAGGATATTGGCCTGAAGTTTTCTTGTTTTGTTGTGTCTCTTCCCAGTTTTGGTATCAGAATGATGCTGGCCTCCTAAAATGAGTTAGGGAGGAGTCCCTCCTTTTCAATTGTTTGGAATAGTTTCAGAAGAATGCTATCAGCTCCTCTTTGTATTTCTGGTAGAATTCAGCTGCAAATCTGTCTGGTCCTGGGCTTTTTTAAATTGGTAGGCTATTAATTACTGTCGCAATTTCAGAGCTTTTTATTGGTCTATTCAGGGATTCACCTTCTTCCTGGTTTAATCTTTGTAGGGTGTATGCATCCAGAAATTTATCCATTTCTTCTAGATTTTCTAGTTTATTTGCATAGAGTTGTTTACAGTATTCTCTGATGGTAGTTTGTATCTGTGGGGTCAGTGGTGATATCTCCTTTCTTTTTTATTGTTTATTTCATTCTTCTCTTTCTTCTTTATTTGTCTAGCTATTTTGTTAATTTTTTCCAAAAAGCAGCTCCTGGATTTGTTGGTTTGTTGGAGGGTTTTACGTGTCTCAATCTCCTTCAATTCTTCTCTGATCTTAGTTTTTTCTTGTCTTCTGCTAACTTTTAAATTTGTTTGCTCTTGCCTTTCTAGCTATTTTAACTGTGATGTTAGGGTGTCAATTTCAGATCTTTCTAGCTTTTTGATGTGGGTACTTAGTGCTATAAATTTCCTTCTTAATACTGCTTTAGCTGTGTCCTGGAGATTCTGGTATGGTGTCTCTTTGTTCTCAATGGTTTCAAAGAACTTCTTGATTTCTGCCTTAATTTCATTATTTAACCAAGGGTCATTGAAAACCAGGTGGTTCAATTTCCATGAAATTGCGTCATTTTGAGTGAATTTGTTACTCCCAAGTTCTAATTTTATTGCACTGTGACCTGAGAGACTGTTATAATTTCAGTTCTTTTGCATTTGCTGAGAAGTGTTTTACTTCCAATTATGTGGTTGATTTTAGAATAAGTGCCATATGGCACTGAGCAGAATGTATATTCTGTTGATCTTGGATAGAGAGTTCTGTAGATGTCTACTAGGTCCACTTGATCCAGAGCTCAGTTCAAGTTCTGAATATCCTTGTTAATTTTCTCTCATCAATATGTGTAATACTGATAGTAAGGTGTTATTATATGGGAGTCTAAGTCTCTTTGTAGGTCTCTAATAACTTGTTTTATGAATCTGGATGCTCCAATATTGGGTGTATATATTTTCAGAATAGTTAGCTCTTCTAGTTGAATTTTTCCCTTTACCATTATGTAATGCCCTTTTTGTCTTTTTTTTTTTTTTAATCTTTGTTGGTTTAAAGTGTGTTTTGTCAGAGACTAGGATGGCAACCCCTCCTTTTTTTTGCTTTCCATTTGCTTGGTAAATTTTCCTCCATCTCTTTATTTTGAGCCTGTGTGTGTCTCTGCACATGAGATGGTTCTCCTGAATACAGAACACAAATGGGTCTTGAATTCTTATCCAATTTGCCAGTGTATGTCTTTTAATTGGGGCATTTGGTCCATTTACATTTAAGATTAGTATTGTTATGTGTGAATTTGATCCTGCCTTCATGATGATATTTGGTTATTTTGCACACTAGTTGATGCAGTTTCTTCATAGTGTCATTGGTCTTTATATTGTGGTGTGTTTTTGCAGTCATGGTACCGATTTTTCCTTTCCATATTTAGTGCTTCTTTCAGGAGCTCTTGCAGGGCAGGTCTGGTGGTAACGAAATCCCTCAGCATCTGCTCTTCTGGAAAGGACTTTATTTCTCCTTTGCTTATGAAGCTTAGTTTGGCTGCATATGAAATTCTGGGTTGAAAATTCTTTTCTTCAAGAATGTTGAATATTGGTTCCCAATCTCTTCTGGCTTGTAGAGTTTCTGCTGAGTCGTCTGCTATTCATCTGATGGGCTTCCTTTGTAGGTGACCTGGCCTTTCTCTCTGGCTGCCCTTAACAGTTTTTCCTTCATTTTGACCTTGGAGAATCAGGTGACTCTATGTCTTGGTGTCGATCTTCTTGTGGAATATCTTAATGTTGTTCTCTGTATTTCTTGAATTTGCATATTGGCCTGTCTTTCTAGATCGGGGAAGTTCTCATGGATAATATTCTGAAGTGTGTTTTACAGCTTGTTTCCATTGTCCCCATCTCCTTCTGGTACTCCAGTTATAGGTTTGGTTTTGTTATGAACTCCCATATTTCTTGGAGGCTTTGTTCATTCCTTTTCATTCTTTTTCCTTTATTCTAGTCTGCATGTCTTATTTCAGTAAGGTGGTCAGAGATTGGGCATAAGACAATATGGAGGCAGAAGCTGGGCATAAGACACTATGAGAGGTGGTCTCCTCCCTTATTCCAATGACAGTGAAAGAAGAGACCAAGGGCAGAATGCTGGAAAACACCAATATATAAGACAGTGGAAGAGAAGAGAAGCGTAAATACATACTAAAAGGATTGTTTAGAGAGAGAGAATGAGATAGTCAATGCAGGACTTAAGAAAAGGAATAAAATGAACCATAGTGTCACATGCTAGAGTGGTAAAGAAAGAAAAAAGTACAAAATTTTACACTGAATTTAGCAAAAAAGAGATTGTTATTGAAAATTATTTAGTTGGAGTCATAAAGATAGAGGCTATATGGATAAAGATAGAAGCTAGACTGCAGTAGTTTGGGGGACACATGGAGGCAAGAAAAAAATGTGGAGAGTGGAGAAAACTTTTTCAAGAGACAATTGTGAAGCAGAAAGAAGTTTGTTGCTTTGTTGCTGAAGGAAGCTGATGACATAAAAGTATTTTTGAAGACATGATCATAGAGCATTTTTGTATTTTTAAGAAAAAATATATGAAGAGATTAATGATAAGGAGGAAAAAGCTCATGAATAAACAAGTCAAGAAAATAGAAAGGCAGAAACTTCAGGGATCAGCAAAAGGAAATAGCCATAGATAGAAAGAGACATCTTCCTTCCACTGAAATTGGAAGGGGAAATAGCTAAGAACTGAAAGACTGACATACTTATTCAAGAGGATAATAAGCACGAGGCTGAGGGCATTTCCACCTAACAGACTCAAATATCTTTTTACAATAAAAAATGTATGCAGATGTAAGGAGGGCTGGGGAGAAAAAGCAGATAACATGAGCTCTTGTGGGAAATGGAATACTGAAGGACTATGGATTTGTTACAGGGTTGTCAGGCAGTATAGACATGACAGAAGATAACAGAAAATACAAAATTGTAGTCATGCCAATTACACAGTTGCAGTAATTTTTACTCAGTAAATGTTGAAACCTCCATTGCCTAGAGTAGATAAGTCAGACAGCTATATTAATCCAGGATTGTGGTTTTACAAAGAAGGTGTGATAGGGAAGAGATAAAAAAACTTGGAGAGTAATGATAAAATAATAGTTCAAACAGGAAACCTTTGGGTCTAGACTAATTAAGAAAATTTTAAAAAGGCAGGAAAGCAGAAAAATCGGGGGTGAGTAAAGGGTGTAAGGAACGAAGAATGTTAAAATATTGAGAGACTAAATGCATAGAATAAAGTTTAAGATTTTGAGTTAGACTTCTCTTACATGTTGTCAGTATCCAAGGTTTGAATATAGATTCCCAAAGTAAAGTGGAAATAAAAACCAGTAGAACTGAAAGAGTGCAAGACTCAAAGTGAGGAGGAGTTAGCTACTCAATTAATCTAGGATGAGGATAAGATTTGGATGAAAATAAAAGATATCTGGCACTAAAATTTTGCTTAATAGGTGTCAGTAGGTCGGTAGACAACAGTGATTAAAAGGAATAGAAGATGATAGCTCTGCATAATATAATCCTCAAGGGATCAGTGATTTCTGCAGGAATTTGTAAAATACACCTCATGCATAAAAGGTGGCAGTCAGGTGCTATGATAATGATAAACCAGAGCTGTAAGAAACAACAGAATTGAAAAATATGCTTTGAGTCAACCATTTAACAATTTTGTTGCTTGCTTAGTCTTTTCTGGTAACTCCTGAGGACTCAAAGTATAAATATGGATATTTCAGTAGTCTTCAACTAGTGGTAATACTTAACAGAAAGGTATTCATAGAAAACATTGAGGTATTTACAGAAGACTAGAAGCATAAAGCATAAACGGGTCCTTTCTGAGAAAATAAAAAAAAATTTAAAAAGTAGTTTTTCTCCTTGTTTTCATTTTGATAGCACCAGATTTCTTGTTAAGGTGATTCGTGGTAATTAGGTGTGAAAGGTTGGAATAAAATACAATCTGTCTTATAAATGGACAAGACTGTCATATCATAAAAAAAAGAAATAAAATCTACTGACAGAAATATATTAAAATGCTGTAGGAACAGAGAGTGGGAGTGCTCATCAAATCTTAATGTAGGGAAGATGGGAATGTTACATGTAGGAGGTACCATTTATGTTGAGTCTCATCCAATGTATTTTCTAGGTTTAGGAAGGGGGAGCAGACCACGTAGGTGATTGTGAGAATCATGAGGTCAGAAAAGTAGCCTGAAGCCATGTTTTGGAGAACAGTGAATAAATGCTATTTCTACTCATCCCTAGAAAAAATTCTGGGAAGTGAAGGTGGAGATTGAAAGATGTTAACCAAGGAAAAGTGGAATAATGACATTCATCTTTGAACATGTGAATCTTATCAGTGGTTGTGAAGAATTGGCTTTTGTGGGGAAACTGGAGTGAAAACATGTTAAAAGGTTATTAAAATTGTTTAGACAAGAGCTAATAAAAGCCAAAATAAAGCAGAATCTATGGGATGCAGAAGAGTGTGAGAATTTGGGGGAGATGGGATATATGGTGCAGATGCTTTGAGTAGGAAAAAGAGTCAAGAATTCCAAATCCTTTAACATGAACAACTAAACAGATCTATGGTGGGGACATTAACCAAGGTAAGACTGTCCAGAGAAGAAATAAATTCTTAAGGCCAGAGTACCACATGCTAAATCAACCACATGTATAAAGTAAAATATTATCAACATAAGAAATTCTCTCCCTATATATATATATATATATTTTTTTTTTTTTTGCTGCACATTTAAACAATTGATCACTCCGCCTGAAATTTAAGACCATGTTGCTGACTTGCTGAGAGCTCATGCTTCTGTTTTTCAGTTTTCAAAGACATTATGCTGCAAATGAAGTGAGCCATTCTGTAGCTCACTTTTCACACAACATAAATCAGAAATTGCACAGTCTGTCAGTGGGGCTCTGGAAAATATGGATAAAAAGGAGCTCTTCCTTCTTTTTTCCTCCTCCCTCTTTGCCTGCTTAAGGCGTGAAGACTGATCAGACATGTACAGCAGCAACTGCCAAAGTCTTACTCACTGCACTGTGGGGGTGATTGTTGTATATCTCCAACAAAAGCAAAATGGCAGCATTTAAATGAACTGACACATCAGATATCTCCAGCTGTTCTTTAAAAGTAATACATTAATCAGGGGATAAACAAGGTATTGTCACCCTGACAAAATTTTAGAGGACCGCATCAGAGAAATCTCCTGAAATTACTCCTCTTGAATACAAACCAGGGCCTGACATTTTCCAAAAAGAACAACATATCTCAAAAACCTTTAGCTGTTTCTTTTTTAATCTTTCTAAAGAAAAAAAAACTTTCTTGATTAGTGACCTGATTCTGTAGAATATTTTACTATCTGGGCCTCCCTTGAAATAAGTGTGTTAGGTAAGATCTGAAGGCACTTTTTCCTCCAGCAGTGACTTTTATATTGATGAATTTTTTAGACTTCCTTTAAACATATTCCTTTCTTCTATTTTTTAATGATATTTTAGTTTGGGTTCTCCTTACGTCGTACTTAAGTTATAGTTTGGTAAATGGTTTTTTTTTTTTACTCCATTCTTTCCTTTCCTCATTCTTTCCTGCAAAAGAGGAACAGATTTAGTTTTATATGTGTCACTTGACCATCAAAAATAAACCTAGAGGACTCTGCCTTCCTCTAGGCTACATTCTCATCCTTTGTTTGGTCTTAGGATTCTCTGAAATTGATTATTAAACTGACTCCCAAACTTCATCGTCCACTGCCCTCTGCACACAGCCTCTTCTCTAGCTAATAAACACTGTGCTTTCTTATTCCCACATTTTAAATTCCTACCTGTTTTAAAATTCAGTTCAGTTGCTATCTCTTATCTCTTTGATGATTTCATTCCTATTATTCTCCTGAAATTACCTTTGCCTTTAACTATCATTTATTATATATATATTATATTTCAAACATTTTGCCTTTGCGAAAGAAGTGTTTCTCCTTTGAACCATTGTTTGTAAATGGAGTTTATAGTGCCAGGTGGAAGAGTAAACACGTTGAAAGTGGGCTTCTGTCATTTTTTTTTTAGAGAAGCCGAGTGTGGGAGATATTCAGGGAAAGAGGAGGGCTTAACAGATTAGCTGAAGTTTATATTTGACCTAGAAAACAAAGGAGAGCTTCAAGAATAGCTCCTTGTGAGCTTGGAGTGTGCAAAGAACTCTTGTTATTTATTTTGTTAAATATCTTCATCTCTGTGTCATCGATCTCCCTATCTCTCTGCTCTTCAGTTTCCTAAAGCTGACTCTTAGTCTCCACTGTCACCACCCATCTCCAGTTTACGGTCTCTTACCCACCGCTCTGTCCCCTAGTGGAGGCCCCTCTTGGCCCAGATACCTCCAGCTGCATTGCTGAACCAGAGATAAATTTAACTTTTCAGAAATTGTTATTGTAAAGAAAAAAGGTGAACCAATCAATGTGAGTCAATCAACAAATATCTGCCAATCAGAACTTTACAACCCAATTACTGTAATTTGGAAATTCATAAACATTCAATATTCAGCCAAGGATATTGGTCAGAAATGAAGATTCACAGACAATGTGAGTCAATCAACAAATATCTGCCAATCAGAACTTTACAACCCAATTACTGTAATTTGGAAATTCATAAACATTCAATATTCAGCCAAGGATATTGGTCAGAAATGAAGATTCACAGAGTCCACCTCAGACTTTCTAAATTAGGCCCTTATCTGCACATTAAGGCAAAAAAAATCAAGATTGCAAAAAACCATAGCTTTCATTATTCATAGATATCTTTGTTTCTGTATGAAATTCTAAAAGAATTTATAGATCAGTAGTTGGCATTTAATAAGAGAGATTAACAAGATTTATTGATACAAGATCAAAATATAGAGATCAATTTCATTTTTCCATAAGAAACAAAAAAAAGGAATTTTTAAGTATATGTCATTTACATTAACATCACAATATTGAAGTATTTTTCACACTTTTGGAGGCTGGGAAGTCCTAAATTAAGATGCCAGCAAGGCAGATTTCTTTCTGAGGCCTCTTCTCTTGGCTTATGTGTGGTCACATTCTTGCTGTGTGCTTGTGGTCTCCTGATGGACAAAGAGAGGGAGAGAGAGAGAGATCTGTCTTTTTTCTTCTTATAAGGCCATCAACCTTACTGGATTAGGACCTCACCTTCATGACTTTATTTAACCTTAATTACCTCCTAAAGGCCTTATCCCCAAATATAGTCACTTAGGGGGTTAAGATTTTAACATATGAATTGAGGGGACACAATTCAGTCCATAGTAACTCTTAAAACAGATCTACATGAAAATAAGAGAAATGCCTTATTTCATGAATTGGACGACTCCATGTGAAATGTAATAGGAAACGTAAATTCTCTTCAAATTGATAAATAGATCACTTGTAATACAAATGAAAATCACAACAAGGTTTTTGTATGCTTCAATGTGGACTTGAAAAACTGATTCTATAATTTATAGAATTATACTTACACATATTTTATATTTATATTACAAATTCTATGACTTATATGAAAATATAAAGGGTCGTGAATAACCTTGATGCTATTGATAAAAAAGAAAATAGTTATTTTTCTTCAAATTTCAAGCATATGTAAAGCTATATTAATTAAAGTGTGATATTATATAGGGATAGACAAACAGACTAATGAAACAGAATATACAGCCTAGGAAGACACTCAACACTATGGATGCTTGTTATAAAACAGCAGTGATTATGCAGATCAACAGAGAAAAGCAGTGTTTTTCATTAATTGGTGCCAGGAGAATTGCATAGCTAGCCATAAGGAAAAAAACAGGAAAGTAAAAGGATTCTATCTCACAAAATACACAAAAATGCATTCCAATAGGATTAATGATCTAAATGGGTACAGGAAATTTATAAAGCTCTTGTTTTATTTTGAAGATAAAATAAAATATAACTTCATTATCTTGGTAAGGTGATAATTTCTTGAAACACAGAGCACTAAAAACACTGGTACATTGAAATGTATTAAACTTAATTCCATGTGTAATTGAATTGTATGTCTAATTAAGAAAAATTAAATAATCTATATTCATCAAAAGTCAAAGAGAGCAGAAAGCCAGTTACAAGGTCGATTTCTGCACAACATAAAAGAAACAAAATAAACTAGCATTCAGAATACATACTGAATTCCTTTAAATTGGCAAGGAAAAGACAGACAGCCTAAAATAAAAATAAATACTTGAACAGGCATATAAGAAAAGAGGAAATCCAAAAGGTTAATGCAAAACATAAGAAAAGGTGATTAATTGCACTGATGATCAAAGAAATAAGTCCACAGTATAATACCCTTTTTAACCCACTAAATTGGCAAACATTGAAAATTCAGACAGTAACAAGTGTTGGTGAGCACATGGGACAAGAGAAACTATCATGCACTGTGATGGGAGTCTAAATTGGAAACCTCTGATAGAGAAATGTGTATCCTAGGACTCTAAATCTCTACGCCAAATGTAACCCCTAGAGAAACTAGTGTGTATGTGCATTAAAAGAGGCATAAAAAATGTTCACTGGAAGGTCAGTTCTAAAAGGACCTTCCTTTTAGAAAGGAACAATTCAATGTCCACATAGAAACAATTCAAATGTCCATCAACAGTAAGAAGAATGAATTAATCCTGGTAAAACTAAAAAGAGAATTAGAAAAATTATTGCCACCAATGTCGGAGGGTTGGTGTAGGAGAGTGCAATGATAGAGAAGATGCATATAAGAAATGGCTTCTAAGGTCTGATCATGTTAGATTTCTTAATTTTGGGTAGTGATTACACAACATTTGCTCTATAATTACTATCTAAATTTACAGCTATGTCACACATAGTTTATATACTCTTTTAGATATGTAGGATATTGCAGAACTTTAACAATATTCAGTCATTTTAGACCCAAGGGCAATCTTGATTAACTAATAAAAATGTTCATTAAGCTTAATCATAAAAGGTTTCTTCTGACTTGAGAGAGCAGCATTTTTCTTTCCCCAGCCCTGTGGCCTTTCAGTAAGGGACCTCAACCACTCAATATGGAAAATAAGCATCTGCTCAGCTTCTCTGTTTCCCAGGCCTGCACATCTCCTTTCTCCCACCAGCTGACTCCACCTGATTTTTTATTTCTCCAGTGTTGGGGCTAAGAGAAGAAAGAGTGGAGAGGAATAACAAGGTGTTGGTTAACAGACTCTGTTACCATCAGGCTTTGCTGTTCTTTGGGCTTGGAGAATGCTTAAAACTGATTCATTCCCTCTTGAAGTTGGTTCTAGAGAGATCCTACAGTGGGACCGCCTGACTTCACTTGCCTCAATGAGCCAGTGCCTTTCCTCTGGCTGGACATTAAAAAACACACACAACTAAAAGGTAATAAGAACAAAATCTTCAGCTTCTACATCCATATGTACAATTCTCATCTTTTTCTACTGAGATTATGTTGCCTGTAGCAAGAAGCAGTCTTGACTAAGGTTCCCTGTAAAATGATTGAGGCTGGATCTTGCTCACCCAGGGATCCAATATCTAGATCCCAGAAAAGAAACTTCTCTTTCCCATCACTCCTAGTGCAGCAAGTTTTAGTTTTTTCTGGAATGGGTAAAACTCAAATGCATGTGCCCTTGGGATCAAATTCAAGATTTCAATGGAATTCCACTGAAGGTTCTCTCGTAGGCTTGGGGTAAGAGACAAAGGCCACCTTCTTTCCCACAGAACCATGGAGAGGTAGGGTGAAGAGGGAAAATGTTGCAACATTCTCTCTCTAGTGCTCTTGTAATTGTCTCCAAAAAGATTTTTGTCCCAGTCTCTTCATGCTTGATACTTTTTTATCTATTAGATGGATGTTTTGCTAAAACTTGTCAGTGCCATTGTTTGCTTTATCTTTTGGAATGCAAGAATTCTTTCCAACTTCCTATTTTATTCTTCATCTGTTGAGATCTTAGCAGAAAATAAGTCCCATTTTGACAGCTTGTCACAAACACTTTCAACCAATCCACACCACACTTCTATATATGGATCCTTCACTTTCTGAATCTTTCCACAGTTCTGCATGTTGATTTTCACTGGTTTCTCTCTTACTAGCCATTAGCAGAGCAAAATAACAAAACACCTAAGGTATTTACTATTCATCCTTCTGTTTTCTTTCTTTCATAAGTTGGTCTACATTGCTTGTTTGTTGTGTTTCTTCTCTGAAATTATTTGTCTTTATGGACTGTGCTTATTATCCATTTTCTGCATTTTTGTAGAATGTCAGGAGAGAAAAATTTGCTTTATAAATAATGTAATCAGAAGACTAGGAACTAGGTCTTAACCTGCCCTATGGTGCCTAGTAATGTTGTGGCTCCAGTAGTTAAGCGAGCAGGAGGGAGTTGTGCCCAGTGGCTTTTCACTTTTTCACTCCCATAATTCGGTGAGCAGGAGGGAGTGGCACCCAGCAACGTTTTTACTCCTGTAGTTTGGTGAGCCGGAGAGAAGGTTACAGCTCTTTTATTCCCACCACCCGCATCTCAGCGAGCTGGCCAGGCGTGTTACAGCTCTTTTGCTCTCACAGTTCAGTAAACAGGAAGGAGGGTTACAGTTCTTTTATTCCCACCACCTACAGGTTGGCGAGGCAGCCAGGAGCATCACAGCTCTTTTGCTCCCACAGTTCGGCAAGCGGGAGGGAGAGTTACAGCTCTTTCATTCCCACCTCCCACAGCTTGGTAAGTTCCTGGTTCTTGTCCCGAGACCAAGAGAAATAAGGTACACAAACACCAGAGAGTGAATAAGGCAGAGAAGAATTTTATTGAGTGACAAAAGGAAAGCTGTCCCCTGCAAGAGGAAAGTGGGTAGCCCTCTGTGAGGCTGAGTGTGGGTTTTTTATGGCCTTAGAATGGGGAAGTGCATGCTGATGGGTCCATAGGTGTTCTTGGAAAAAGCACCATTTCATTGGTTAAAAGGCATCATCCAGAAGGAACCAGTCGAGAGAGTGGATAAGACACGGATAGAAGGTCTCGCTTCAGTCGTGGACTCTATCCAGGATTGGCAGCTTAGTTTTCAGGCTTTAAATTGTCCTTGGTTTGAAGGTTGAGTTTTATTGGGGGACCCGACCCTGTCTGCCTAAGAATTTGTCTGTCTCCTGTCGCCATCAGTGAAGTGCTCTGTGCAAGATCATTTTATAAATAAATTAAATTATTCATGAAACAAAAATTTATCCCAACAGTTAAGAAGAAACATGCTTCCTGTATTATATATTGTATACTGTTGAAATGGTATACTCTGCTAAGTATTTATATGACAGCTAAGTAATTATCTAAGCAATGAAAGAAAAACTCAATAATTTTTCTTACTTAGGTTTTATGATTTCCAGTGAATGTGTTTGTATGTGTATTTGATGAGCTCCTAGTGTTATCAGAAATTTTCCATTATTGTGATGCAGCTAGTATATCTTATTGAGACAATTTCTCTCAGTATGCAACCGTCTGTATCAGGAAAGAACTTAAATATCGTATGTCTTCCTTTGCTCCTGTTTAATGTGATTCTTTTATCTTGGCAATTGTGTAAATCCCATTATAATTATTGTGTGCATAAAAGTATAATACCTGCCTATTTAGTTTACCAATTATATATTAAATTGCTACTTTCATTAAATGAGCATGATAGAAAAGAAAGAAAAAATTTTAAAAGCCTGAATGCATTATTTGCTACCTTGAAAAGAACAAAAATTTGTCACCCAACACGGAGACAAAATTATAATATTTGCTTGAAAACCACCAACTACACTTTTAGATAAGATTATAACTTATTTCAACATATGAAATCATTCTCATTGTGTAGGAGTTTTATCTACTTAATTGAATGTAAATCTAAGATAATGTTTTCAAAGTACAAAATACAAAAAGATACACTCTAAGGTAGGTACAAATTACTTAAAATAAATCAGCACTTTTATTTCACAAGGAACCTCCTTTTTTTTTTCTTAATCATCGAATCAGCAAGACTTTCTATTAGGTACAGCTTGGTTGTAACATAAAATAGTGACTTGCTAATGATCTTCAAAATATAAAGGGTTAAAATCCATTAGTTTATAATCACCTGCATAAAGAAGAGATCGAACATAAAAGCAAATAAAAACTATATCTAGCCATGTGTAATAGAATTGCAGTTGAATCTATTTCACACCAGATAACTTATCTAAACCAATTATATGTAATTTCATCACTCTTGCCAGGAATTGCTTCAGACATTGGATATGTTGCCTAATTTTTTTTTCTAATGAGACATGAAACCTGCTGAGAACTCTAGAAAAAAATCTCTAGAAAGATGGACAAGAAAAGATAATTTTCCATCTTTTCCTTGTCTGATATATGAAAAGAAGCCATTTTTCTATCAGCCTAATAGTGAAGACACCACCAAGAATGATAGGAGACAGAAAGGAAGGAAAAGAAAATGAGAGTGTTTGATACCATCCTTGAGTAGCTAAATCAACCAACATTGGAATCCATCTGCCTCTTGTTGTTATCTGAGATAATAATTTTCCATATTGCTTAAGCTTATTAGTGTCAGAGTTTGCTGTTTTTCATAGTCAAAAGCATCTTGACCAATATATGAAGGGATATGAGGAATTATTAAGCAAACTAGAAAAGAGAAGACAAATGGGAACCCAAAATCTCTTTTCAAGAGTATGGCCATAGTGGAGATATTGTCAGTAGAAGTTACAAGGAGCTGAATTTAAGCTTGAAATAAAACTTGCTGTCAGAACCATCTGAAAAGGCATAACTGCCTTGGAAAGTGGTAATTCATTCTTACTAGAGATTGGCCAACCACGTCTTAGTTATGCTGCCAGCCAGAGACATTAGACTATATAACTTCAAGTCATTTCCAATACTGGAATTTCTTTATTTCTGTGAATCTGGGAAAAATGATTTTTCAACATGAGTCAAAGTCTAAACTATGTCTATAAGACAATCTTCCTTCTGTCCCATATTTTTAGTTCTCTGAGCATTTGCTGAGTCTTTGCTGAGTTTCCAGAGTATGTTGGTAATTGAGAGAATTAAATTACTGTGTGATTACTATACTAAATAGTTTAATTCCTCATTGGGACATATTCTCAATTAATGATAAATAAACCACAGCATATAATTGAATGTCAAAATTTGTGATAGAGCTAATAAAGGGTTTGGCACAAGAGGTAGACAAATCAATATGGGCAAAAATGGTTGACCTTGAGTTTGACTTTAAGAGTGAATAAAAACTTACCAAGTGCTGATCTTGACAACATATGCATAAATATTATATAAATATTGTTTTTGAAAATAGAACCAATTGACACAATGTCATTTTGAGTTAGTACCATTGAACTGTTAATATTAAGTCTCACTATATGGAGTTATTAAATGAAATGTTAGACCAGGCTGGGGTTAAGCTTAAGATACAAACTTAATTTTGTCTCTGTCAGTTTGAAGAAAGATATATTTTTAACAACAGGGTTAAGGCAATGCCATTAGTCATACAATGAAACTAGGAGCTGCTATAGTTATTTCAAAAGAAACTTTTTTCCTGTTCGTATTATTTAGAATAAATAAAATTTCTACCAATGTTCTTCTTCTTCTTCACCATTTCCACCATTTATTTGTGGTTTATAAAGAAGAATTTTAATAATTTTATGGTCCACTGTGGCCATTTTATAATGTAACATTTCTCTACTTAATCCAAACATCCTTACAAGAGGCATAAGGAAAATGGACATCACCAGACTCTTAAACATAACAGCAGCATTAAGTCATTTTCAGAATTGTTGGAGAATGTACCAGAATTAACTAGGAGAGTACAGTAGAGAGCTCAATAGATTACAATAGCAATGAGAGAGCTACATGGGAAACTCTAGCAGGAGTTGTTGATCTAGCTTCAAATCTAATAAATCATATTAATTAAAGAGAGGACTATTCCATTTTTATTGATAAAAGTTTTCTGATTTCCCTGGTGCCAGGTACTTAGTCCACTTTTCATGTGTGGAATCTTTAAGAAGGAAAAGATAAATGGAGAAAGGATAGCACTAAGAGGAAGAAAGAAAAAGGTAAGGAACAATCCTAAACACGTATGGTGACTAACAATTCTGTAAATCACCTGATCCAACATGACCTCTTGCTGTTACTAGCAGAAAAATTGCTCTCATTTGCATTTTTTATTTTCTCTCTTACAAATAGTGAAGGAAAGATGAGTTCAGGTAAGAGTTCATTATCTCCTCTCACCCTCCCATAGGCTTTGGTGAAAGAAAGCATTTGCAAAATGTGTTCTTCATATGCTATGCTCCTCTCTCCTCCCATGCAGTAGAATCAATTTCAAACCATTTCATTTCTTAACATAAAATCACGTCTCATGAAAATAGACCCATTGCCATAAAATCAAAAAGCCTGTATTCTTCTATTGCAGGCTTCTGCTGGCTGGCCTCTACCAAGTCCACTGCTTCAAGCATAGTGCAAATAGTGTAAAATAATTATATTTTATTTTCTTTGAAGCTCAAGCATGTATACTTTATTTGAACTAAGCACACACAAAGGTTGTCTACTCTCCTTTTTATTAAAGCTTCATTAAGTACAGATTTATTGCTAGATAATCTTATCTATTAAACTTTCAAGAAAATTGTACAATTTTAAACTTTTATTATTTATTTATTTATTTATTTATTTATTTATTTATTTATTTTTTGAGATGGGATCTGTCTCTGTCACCCAGGCTGGAGTGCAGTGGCACAGCCTCAGCTCATTGCAGCCTCAATCTCCTAGGTTCTAGTGATCCTCCCATCTCAGCCTCTGGAGTAGCTGGAACCACAGGCATGCACCACCACACCCAGTTGCTTTTTGTATTTTTTGGTAGAGATGGGGTTTCACCATGTTTGCCAGGCTGGTCTCGAACTCCTGACTTCAAGTGCTTGGCCTGCCTTCACTTCCCAAAGTGCTGGGATTACAGGCGTGAACCACTGCACCCAGCCAACTATTATCTTTTAAGCTTTCAGGAAATTATAAACTCACCAAAACTTTGCCTGCAATTCAGATATCTTTGTGATAGATTACACTACAATGTTTTCATGATATTTGCTGCATGGAAGTATTTGTCTCAGTAGATATATGACCATGAATTTTTCGTTTCCTTATAAAAAAAGAACTCTTAATGAATTACCTATGCATAAGTAGCATTTACAAACTTTACACTTAAAGGTGACAAATAAGCAGGAAGATTTTACAGAAGAAAAAATACCATCTTATTATTTGGATGGTTCTTCATTAATATGTAAATGTTGGGAATCCTGGTGTTTTCCATCTTTTCTCTTTTTTGGCCTTAGAGAGATAGAGCCTTAAGTCATTAACAGATTTTGTTTCTTTTCAAACGTTATCCCAGAATACACTCCTGTTTAAGTGACTCAGGTCTAAACATTAGAGTCTTAAACACAATACTTCTTATGCCCACAACCCCTTATGAGTTCTACTTTATTATTTTTCCCTTCACAGCCAATTTATTTTAAAAGGTGTATAACTCACAGTCTGCAATTTTTTATTTTTTATTTCTCCTCAACCTGATACAATCTGGTTTCTACCTCCCATTCTAGGTCACAAATGAAGCAATATGGAGGTCATTGGTGGCCTAGCTTTGCAACAGTTAAACTGATTGACACTCCTTCTTAGAAAATGTCTTCCTTCTTGATATTACATATAAGTATCTTTCCTGGTTCTCAGTAAAAACCTGTTAACTTCTTTATTCATTTATTCAATACGTTGAAAAGTTATCGAAGGTCAGGTTCTGTTTCCTGCTCCTCTGCTACATCTACTGCTTAAATGTCATAGCCCTCAGTCTATGTGCTTTTCTCAGTATACACATTTACCTTAGGAGGCTTCATCTAAACCCACTGCTAATGATTCTCAAACTTGCTTCTCCAGGCAAGATTTCATTCTTACTTTTCTCAACTGTGTGCAGAATGTCTTTATGCTGGTGTTCAGAAGACACCATATACTGACTTGTCATTAGTTGTAAAAATAAAAGGTTTAAAATATTTATTCTGATCTACCCCTTTTATGTTTTTGAATTATTTTATGAAACCAAATTCAAATAAAACAGAAAGTTATAAAACAGAAGTAAAAGTTCTCCTAGTCGGAGAAAAAAAGGTAGCATCTCATGAAGAGTGAGGAATAATAAAACAGAAATTAGAAAAATGTAAAATCTTTTTGCAATACTTTCACAAAATAAATGTTTAACTTTGGGGAACTTGCATTTTTAAACTTGCAAAATAGTGGCCAAATGTGCAGATGAGCATGTACAAATGTATACGATGTCTTTAAATATCTATATACTGCACAATAGCTTAGTGATCCAATGGATAATATCTTAACTGTTTTTATGTTGATAGAAGCTCAGATGACTTTGTTGGTTTCTATTGTTGTATTAATTATTCTTGTATACATAATTTTGGGGTATTGGTGTGAATAAAATTCTAAAATATAATAAATTTTTATAAGTGAATTTCCTAGATTAAAGGGTATGGATATCCAAAATTTTAATACATAGCTCTCTACGCCAAAAGGGTTATGTGGATTCACATTCGCACTAAAATTACCTAGGTACTTCTGTTTCTCAATATTCTTGCAAACATTTAGTACTCTAATTTGTTTAATTTTTGCTAAAGCTATAGGTAACAAAAAATGATGTCTCATTTTTAATTGCATATCTTTAATATTAAAGAAGATTGAGGGGTGGAGCCAAGATGGCTGAATAGGAACAGCTCCAGTCTACAGCTCCCAGCATGAGCGACACAGAAGACGGGTGATTTCTGCATTTCCATCTGAAGTACTGGGTTCATCTCACTAGGGAGTGCCAGACAGTGGGCCCAGGACAGTGGGTGCAGTGCACCGTGCGCAAGCCGAAGCAGGGCGAAGCATTGCCTCACTCAGGAAGCACAAGGGGTCAGGGAGTTCCCTTTCCTAGTCAAAGAAAGGGGTGACAGATGGCACCTGGAAAATCGGGTCACTCCCACCCTAACACTGCGCTTTTCCAACGGGCTTAAAAAACGGCGCACCAGGAGATTATATCCCACAGCTGGCTCGGAGGGTCCTACACCCACAGAGTCTCGCTGATTGCTAGCACAACAGTCTGAGATCAAACTGCAAGGCGGCAGCGAGGCTGGGGGAGGGGTGCCCACCATTGCCCAGGCTTGCTTAGGTAAACAAAGCAGCCGGGAAGCTCCAAATGGGTAGAGGCCACCACAGCTCAAGGAGGCCTGCCTGCCTCTGCAGGCTCCACCTCGAGGGGCAGGGCACAGACAAACAAAAAGACAGCAGTAACCTCGGCAGTCTTAAATGTCCCTGTCTGACAGCTTTGAAGAGAGCAGTGGTTCTCCCAGCATGCAGCTGGAGATCTGAGAACGGGCAGACTGCCTCCTCAAGCGGGTCCCTGACCCCTGACCCCTGAGCAGCCTAACTGGGAGGCAACCCCCAGTAGGGGCAGACTGACACCTCACACAGCTGGGTACTCCTCTGAGACAAAACTTCCAGAGGAACGATCACACAGCAGCATTCATGGTTCACGAAAATGCACTGTTCTGCAGCCACTGCTGCTGGTACCCAGGCAAACAGGGTCTGGAGTGGACCTCTAGCAAACTCCAACAGACCTGCAGCTGAGGGTCCTGTCTGTTAGAAAGAAAACTAACAAACAGAAAGGACATCCACACCAAAAACCCATCTGTACATCACCATCATCAAAGACCAAAAGTAAATAAAACCACAAAGATGGGGAAAAAACAGAGCAGAAAAACTGGAAACTCTAAAAAGCAGAGCGTCTCTCCTCCTCCAAAGGAATGCAGCTCCTCACCAGCAATGGAACAAAGCTGGACGGAGAATGACTTTGACGAGTTGAGAGAAGAAGGCTTCAGACGATCAAACTACTCCGAGCTACAGGAGGAAATCCAAACCAAAGGCAAAGAAGTTGAAAACTTTGAAAAAAATTTAGACGAATGTATAACTAGAATAACCAATAAAGAGAAGTGCTTAAAGGAGCTGATGGAGCTGAAAGCCAAGGCTCAAGAACGACGTAAAGAATGCAGAAGCCTCAGGAGCCAATGCGATCAACTGGAAGAAAGGGTATCAGTAATGGAAGATGCAATGAATGAAATGAAGCGAGAAGGGAAGTTTAGAGAAAAAAGAATAAAAAGAAATGAACAAAGCCTCCAAGAAATATGGGACTATGTGAAAAGACCAAGTCTATGTCTGATTGGTGTACCTGAAAGTGATGGGGAGAATGGAACCAAGTTGGAAAACACTCTGCAGGATATTATCCAGGAGAACTTCCCCAACCTAGCAAGGAAGGCCAACATTCAAATTCGGGAAATACAGAGAACGCCACAAAGATACACCTCGAGAAGAGCTACTCTAAGACACATAATTGTCAGATTCACCAAAGTTGAAATGAAGGAAAAAAATGTTAAGGGCAGCCGGGTCGGGTTACCCACAAAGGGAAGCCCATCAGACTAACAGCGGATCTCTCGGCAGAAACTCTACAAGCCAGAAGAGAGTGGGGGCCAATATTCAACATTCTTAAAGAAAAGAATTTTCAACCCAGAATTTCATATCCAGCCAAACTAAGCTTCATAAGTGAAGGAGAAATAAAATCCTTTACAGACAAGCAAATGCTGAGAGATTTTGTCACCACCAGGCCTGCCTTACAAGAGCTCCTGAAGGAAGCACTAAACATGGAAAGGAACAACCCGTACCAGCCACTGCAAAATCATGCCAAATTGTAAAGACCATCAAGGCTAGGAAGAAACTGCATCAACTAATGAGCAAAATAACAAGCTAACATCATAATGACAGGATCAAATTCACACATAACAATATTAACTTTAAATGTAAATGGACTAAATGCTCCAATTAAAAGACACAGACTGGCAAATTGGATAAAGACTCAAGACCCATCAGTGTGCTGTATTCAGGAAACCCATCTCACGTGTAGAGACACACATAGGCTCAAAATAAAAGGATGGAGGGAGATCTACCAAGCCAATGGAAAACAAAAAAAGGCAGGGGTTGCAATCCTAGTCTCAGATAAAACAGACTTTAAACCAACAAAGATCAAAAGAGACAAAGAAGACCATTACATAATGGTAAAGGGATCAATTCAACAAGAAGAGCTAACTATCCTAAATATATATGCACCCAATACAGGAGCACCCAGATTCATAAAGCAAGTCCTGAGTGACCTACAAAGAGACTTAGACTCCCACACAATAATAATGGGAGACTTTAACACCCCACTGTCAACATTAGACAGATCAACGAGAGAGAAAATTAACAAGGATACCCAGGAATTGAACTCAGCTCTGCACCAAGCGGACCTAATAGACATCTACAGAACTCTCCACCCCAAATCAACAGAATATACATTTTTTCAGCACCACACCACACCTATTCCAAAATTGACCACATAGTTGGAAGTAAAGCTCTCCTCAGCGAATGTAAAAGATCAGAAACTATAACAAACTGTCTCTCAGACCACAGTGCAATCAAACTAGAACTCAAGATTAAGAAACTCACTCAAAACCACCCAACTACATGGAAACTGAATGACCTGCTCCTGAATGACTACTGGGCACATAACGAAATGAAGGCAGAAATAAAGATGTTCTTTGAAACCAACGAGAACAAAGACACAACACACCAGAATCTCTGGGACACATTCAAAGCAGTGTGTAGAGGGAAATTTATAGCACTAAATGCCCACAAGAGAAAGCAGGAAAGATCCAAAATTCACACACTAACATCAAAATTAAAAGAACTAGAAAAGCAAGAGCAAACACACTCAAAAGCTAGCAGAAGGCAAGCAATAACTAAAATCAGAGCAGAACTGAAGGAAATAGAGACAAAAAAACCCTTCAAAAAATTAATGAATCGGCCGGGCGCGGTGGCTCACGCCTGTAATCCCAGAACTTTGGGAGGCCGAGGCGGGAGGATCACGAGGTCAGGAGATCGAGACCATCCTGGCTAACACAGTGAAACCCCGTCTCTACTAAAAATACAAAAAAAATTAGCCGGGCGTGGTAGCAGGTGCCTGTAATCCCAGCTACTCGGGAGGCTGAGGCAGGAGAATGGCATGAACCCGGGATGCGGAGCTTGCAGTGAGCCAAGACAGAGCCACTGCAGTCCAGCCTGGGCGAAAGAGCGAGACTCCGTCTCAAAAAAAAAAAAAAAAAAAAAAATTAATGAATCTAGGAGCTGGTTTTTTGAAAGGATCAACAAAATTGATAGACCACTAGCAAGACGAATAAAAAAGAAAAGAGAGAATAATCAAATAGACGCAATAAAAAATGATAAAGGGGATATCACCACTGATCCCACAGAAATACAAACTACCATCAGAGAATACTAAAAACACCTCTACACAAATAAACTAGAATATCTAGAAGAAATGGACAAATTCCTCGACACATACACCCTCCCAAGACTAAATCAGGAAGAAGTTGAATCTCTGAATAGACCAATAACAGGCTCTGAAATTGTGGCAATAATCAATAGCTTACCAACCAAAAAGAGTCCAGGACCAGAAGGATTCACAGCTGAATTCTACCAGAGGTACAAGGAGGAACTTGTACCATTCCTTCTGAAACTATTCCAGTCAATAGAAAAAGAGGGAATCCACCCTAACTCATTTTATAAGGCCAGCATCATCCTGATACCAAAGCCGGGCAGAGACACAACAAAAAAAGAGAACTTTAGACCAATATCCTTGATGAACATTGATGCAAAAATCCTCAGTAAAATACTGGCAAACCGAATCCAGCAGCACATCAAAAAGCTTATCCACCATGATCAAGTGGGCTTCAACCCTGGGATGCAAGGCTGGTTCAATATACGCAAATCAATAAATGTAGTGCAGCATATAAACAGAACCAAAGACAAAAACCACGTGATTATCTCAATAGATGCAGAAAAGGCCTTTGAAAAAATTCAACAACCTTCATGCTAAAAACTCTCAATAAATTAGGTATTGATGGGACGTATCTCAAAATAATAAGAGCTATCTATGACAAACCCACAGCCGATATCATACTGAATGGGGAAAAACTGGAAGCATTCCCTTTGAAAACTGGCACAAGACAGGGATGCCCTCTCTCACCACTCCTTTTCAACATAGTGTTGGAAGTTCTGGCCAGGGCAATCAGGCAGGAGAAGGAAATCAAGGGTATTCAATTAGGAAAAGAGAAAGTCAAATTGTCCCTGTTTGCAGATGACATGATTGTATATCTAGAAAACCCCATTGTCTCAGCCCAAAATCTCCTTAAGTTGATAAGCAACTTCAGCAAAATCTCAGGATACAAAATCAATCTACAAAAATCACAAGCATTCTTATACACCAATAATAGACAAACAGCCAAATCATGAGTGAACTCCCATTCACAATTGCTTCAAAGAGAATAAAATACCTAGGAATCCAACTTACAAGGGACGCGAAGGACCTCTTCAAGGAGAACTAAAAATCACTGCTCAAGGAAATAAAAGAGGATACAAAGAAATGGAAGAACATTCCATGCTCATGGGTAGGAAGAACCAATATCATGAAAATGGCCATAGTGCCCAAGGTAATTTATAGATTCAATGCTATCCCCATCAAGCTACCAATGACTTTCTTCACAGAATTGGAAAAAACTACTTTAAAGTTCATATGGAACCAAAAAAGAGCCCGCATCGCCAAGTCAATCCTAAGCCAAAAGAACAAAGCTAGAGGCATCACGCTACCTGACTTCAAACTATACTACAAGGCTACAGTAACCAAAACAGCATAGTACTGGTACCAAAACAGAGATATAGATCAATGGAACAGAACAGAGCCCTCAGAAATAACGCCGCATATCTACAACTATCTGATCTTTGACAAACCTGAGAAAAACAAGCAATGGGGAAAGGATTCCCTATTTAATAAATGGTGCTGGGAAAACTGGCTAGCCATATGTAGAAAGCTGAAACTGGATCCCTTCCTCACACCTTTTACAAAAATTAATTCAAGATGGATTAAAGACTTAAACGTTAGACCTAAAACCATAAAAACCCTAGAAGAAAACCTAGGCGTTACCATTCAGGACGTAGGCATGGGCAAGGACTTCATGTGTAAAACACCAAAAGCAATGGCAACAAAAGCAAAAATTGACAAATGGGATCTAATTAAACTAAAGAGCTTCTGCACAACAAAAGAAACTACCATCAGAGCGAACAGGCAACCTACAAAATGGGAGAAAATTTTCGCAACCTACTCATCTGACAAAGGGCTAATATCCAGAATCTACAATGAACTCAAACAAATTTACAAGAGAAAAATCAAACAACCCCATCAAAAAGTGGGAAAAGGTTATGAACAGACACTTCTCAAAAGAAGACATTGATGCAGCCAAAAGACACATCAAAAAATGCTCATCATCACTGGCCATCAGAGAAGTGCAAATCAAAACCACAATGAGATACTATCTCACACCAGTTAGAATGGCAATCATTAAAAAGTCAGGAAACAACAGGTGCTGGAGAGGATGTGGAGAAATAGGAACACTTTTACACTGTTGGTGGGACTGTAAACTAGTTCAACCATTGTGGAAGTCAGTGTGGCGATTCCTCAGGGATCTAGAACTAGAAATACCATTTGACCCAGCCATCCCATTACCGGGTATATACCCAAAGGACTATAAATCATGGTGCTATAAAGACACATGCACACGTATGTATATTGCGGCACTATTCACAATAGCAAAGACTTGGAACCAACCCAAATGTCCAACAATGATAGACTGGATTAAGAAAATGTGGCACATATACACCATGGAATACTATGCAGCCATAAAAAATGATGAGTTCATGTCCTTTGTAGGGACATGGATGAAATTGGAAATCATCATTCTCAGTAAACTATCGCAAGAACAAAAAACCAAACACCGCATATTCTCACTCATATGTGGGAATTGAACAATGAGAACACATGGACACAGAAGGGGGAACATCACATTCTGGGGACTGTTGTGGGGTGGGGGGAGGGGGGAGGGATAACTTTAGGAGATATACCTAATGCTAAATGATGAGTTAATGGGTGCAGCACACCAGCATTGCACATGTATACACATGTAACTAACCTGCACATTGTGCACATGTACCCTAAAACTTGAAGTATAATAATAATAAAAGAAAAAAAAAAGAAAAAGAAGATTGAGCAACTTACTAAATATTTACTGTTATTTGTATTCCCTCTTCAGAAAACTTATTATTATCGCTTATTAATTTTCATTAGTTATTTTAAGATATACTTACATAGATCATGAACTATATAGATAAAAATATGGTATTATCAAACAGAAAATCCTAAAATTATCTCAAACATGCCAGATTTTGAAACTTGAACAAAAGAATTTTAGTGTTGTTGAAAGGATTATTATTCTGTATAATTTTTAAAAATAAAGCTAGAAAAGGTTTTGCTAAAGTATTATGTTGGGCCAAAAACATAAAAAGCGTTTCTCAATTGTAAGTCCTCCAATGATATATGAAGAATATTCTGATTGAATAAAAATAGAGGCAAAACTAATATTTGAGGTTGGAACTTCTCGATGACAGTACATTCTCCTGGCACACCTTCTGCAGCAGATTTTGACAAAACTATATTGAATTAAATGGCTTATGTTATAGCCTTAGCAAGAAAAAAATAAAATTATCCCATTATGGCCTACAAAAACAGAGAAGAATTATCTGCAAAGGGTCAGAAAACAGTAGCTGGTTAATGCAGAACAATTAAACATAATAGTATTTCATAGGTAATTACCACTTTCTAAAAGGTGTTATTCTATCATAGTCCTTTAAAAATAATATAAACACTCATGTATTATCCTATATTGGAAATCTCAGTATAGCAGCAAATCATACAAACTTTAACATTTTCTTGGTGTTTTCAATAACTTCTTACATAAACTATTTTTACCATTTATCATAAAGACAAATCAAAGTAAGATGCAGACTTTGAATTTTTTTAAATTTATCACTCATAAAGTTTATGCTCTATAATACTTTCTAGATATTGTCCTATAGAGATTAAGAATGTTCTACATGGAAATTAGATTATTATAGATTGTGTAGAAATTGCCACAACCATATTGAGTCTCAGGAGACTAGATTTCTGCCTTTTAAAAATGCTTCAAATATTTGAAACAAGATTTAGATTCACATCTCTGACCCTCAATATTTAAGTGTACCTGTGAGGAATCAGGATACAAAATAGTACTTCTCACTGTTTCTTTCTATTCTGACTTTTCTTAACAATAACTAAAGGTTCTATCTCTATATTTAGTAGTTTCAGCTCTTACTGTGATGATCTATTGGCCTTTTTTCTTTCTCTGCAGCAGAAGAAAAGTGATAAATTGTGTTCTTGGAACTGCACAAATAAATACATTTCAGCACTAAAATAAGACTGAATGGATAAGGTTTTGGCTCTCAAGTATAGTAAGTCATAGATGTTTTTAGGTAATTTATGCCTTTCCTATTGCCCTTGAAACTATGATGTGCAAAATATATATACAACCTGGGAATGTGCTTGTTTTGCTCACTTCTTTCATTCTCAGAGAGAACTCCCTTGAAGTGTGAACCTGACAGGAATGTACTGCTGTGCAGGAGAATTGGGGTTACTAAATTGCATTAAGCTCATGATGATTTGGAGAATGCAGAGAAATTATACATTCAGGTTAAAGCTAGTCAAATACTCTACTAAAGGTACACCCATCCACTATGGTGGAAACCACACGTTGTTAAACTTCAAAACCTCTCACATTGTTCAATTTAATGATGAGCTGAAGAAAAAAAAATGTAATTTTCCTCACCCAATCCTTCAGTTCTCCTTTAGGATAGAAGAAACAAATTTGTAGGCTGGAAAGAAAGTTAATCAGTATATCATCAAAACAGCAAGACATATGGATAAAAAATGAATACTTCTACCAGTCATCTGGAGGTTTCCTAATGTTCAGATGTTTGGTATCATGTTAACAAAATATTTAAATTACTGATTGAAATTTCTCACTTGGAAGTTTTGGTGTCACCTAGACTTCTTCAACAGGTCTGTGTTATACCCGGACGTTCCATGGTTTAAAAAAAAAAATTTTATTTTTGAAAAAAATAATATTGTTATGGTTAGATTAAAGGAGGCATGTTAATATTCAGCAGATACCAAATTTATGGTTAATAAAGTGAGGAAATTTGACATCTCCATTGTGCAGATTTAGGAGGCACAACTCTGTTCATGAATCATTTTTAATAATGGTATTTCTTGAATCGTCAAAAATTAAAACTTTATTCAACATAAAATTTTTTCTTCTTCCTGAGATAATGTAAACTGGGAGGGAAAAGTGCCTTCTAGCTGATACAATCTAATGCCAGCTAACTTGAGGGCAGTTCCTTGTGGCACATTTTGGGTCTGTATTTTATAAGGCTCTTGGCTCTTTTCTCTGCTGTGATAATGTACCCAGGAACTCCAAGACTCTAATTACTGAACAGAACTCTTCACTAGCTAGCAAAATTAGGTATAGTGTCTCATAATCAGCCATCAAGTCCCACTTAACCATGAAGACAAGAATTGATTGAGTGACTACAGTGAACGTTGTTGTAGAATAAAATAGAAATGAAAAACAAAAGACATATGCAAGTTCTAAGTTCTAGCATTTTATGATTTAAATCTATTAGACAGCACACTAGGACAACTAGTTAAACTAGATTTCCTTTAAGTTCCTAATTTTACCATTACTTTCTTTGGGTTATACCTTTTCACTGTGGATATTCTTAAGAAAGTCACACTAGAGTCAAATATGAAGAGGGTCACGTGACATAAGGTGTAGATGCACAAACCTCCTTAGATAGAAATCACTTGCAAACCCAAATGCAAAATATTGTAGTCTACAGAGACCTTAGGGAAGGCACAGTTGGTAAGAAAAAATAAAAGGATAAAGACATATGCATATACTTGCATGTGTATGTCTGTATGTGTGTGTGACAGAGAGAAAAAAATAGACATGAAAATAAAAATTATAATTATAATCAAAGCTTATATACCTTCAAATAAGCAATATATACTTAAATAACTTTATACAGAAAATGAACATGTTGGGAAGTCCCACCTAACGAAAAACTAAAGGCAGGATCTGGCTAACAATCAGCAAGAAACAGAGGTCCCAGTCTGATAGCTTTCAAGAAACTGACTGCCATCAACACCATGTGAGCTCAGAAGAAGATTCTTCCCCAGTTGGATCGTTACATGAGAACCCAGCCCTGGCTAACATCTTGATTGCAGGATTGTGAAAAATTCCAAAGCAGAGGACCCAGCTAAGTAATGCCCAGACTCTGGACTCACAGAAACTGTGAGACTATAGTTGTATGTTGTTTTAAGCCACTAAGTGTATGGTAAGTTGTTAGGTTACAAAAGATTACTAATTGCAGATTCCAAACTCTTCAAATGCAGAAGCTATACATGTAATGTGTTTTCCCAAGCTCCTAACAGAGTTATTGATCATAATCTACATTCAGTGAACATTTTTTCATCAATTTTACACAAATAAAAGTTTTTAAGTCCTTTCCATGTACACAAGTAGAACTTCAGACCATCATTTAATACTCAACTTCTAGAAATATATTTCTGTAAGACATATCTCTGTTTGCTGCTTTCAAAATAAAATAGAAAATGGGCAGAGTAGACGAATAATAAAGGCCACTATGATGGAAAATTTTTCTTCATTCTGAGTTGTTTAGCAGAGGTTTGGTTACTTTTAGTATTTTTATATATAACCATACACTATTTGTTTATGTATTCACTTCCAAGCCAAACAGAATTCCCATTTACTGAGATGCATATAAAAGATACCTTTTAAAGCCAATAGTCGGTTAATACAAAACCTTTTCCTTTGTAGCCTCCAGAACAAAAAATAGCTTTTCTACCTTGTTTCTTTTGGAAATGTATTCATTTTTTCTAATAGTGAGCTGTGGTTTGAAAGAAAAGGGCCTTTATCTTGGCAAATAAAAGAAAGGGAGAAAGTTAGAAGCAATGTATAAAATTGCACCTAAGAGAAGGAGAGTTTAGTTATCCAAACAGATTTCAGCAGAGAAAAAAGGAGTGAAAGCTAAGCAACTCTTACATGGTGTTTGTATTTCAAAAACAACACATGATTTTTCATTTGTAGAGTCACTCAGTACTGAGGAGGCAGTTTCACATATGGACAGTCTTACAAAATGCTTTATTGGTGCAAATTTTATGGGCTGGTCTACCACAAATGTCAACTTAAGATTCTCTAGAAAATTGTACACAAGGCCAGTAGGTGTTCAGCCCCGTGCTTTACATTTGTAGAACCAACTTTGCTTGTCTCAAAAATTATTAATGCGAGAGCCATGTAATGGTTCTGTCTCCAGATTTAGAAACATGGAGTCAAGACACTTAGATCCTATTCTAAGCCTGACATTGCAAGGGAATAGTAGCAAAAGGAAAAGGAACACTTCCAGATTTGTGAAGGGGCCACCAGTTGCTCTCCTTAGCAAGGGAGTAGGGATGCTTGGCAGAGTTTTAATAATGAATACAATATGGTAAATGTATTCTCGCTAAACTCCAATGTCATATTTCTAAAAGAAAAAAATTTTTAATTGGTGTCAAGGATTTTAAGAAAGTTTTGTAACTATCAGTGTTTACTTTTAAATATAAAAAAATTATTGCAGAGCCTAATATCCCCATCTAATTACAAATAAATGTAAAATTTTACCTGACAATATTAATGACACAACATCACACCAAATTTTATTTTAGAATTATGGCCTTTTATGAGATCATTTTGAAAAAGCTTTGTGTATTGTGCCTAATTTTCTTGACCTCTAAAGAGATGCTCTTTTATTTGACAAAAAGCAACTTTTCAATTGTCAATCAAGAGTTTATAAATTGGGCTGCAAATATTTATCTCTCTGGAATTTTAATGATTATAGAAAGGAGAAATGAGATAACATATTAATATTGCAGTTAAAATACAAAAATTTCAAAAATACTCTAAGGCATTTTCTCTTTTATTCAACTATTTAAAAGGGAAGAATTTAAGCAGTGGAACAATCATGAGTTTAATTAACATAGAAAATGTCTAAGGCAAAGTAAGCAATCTGGGACCTAATAAAAATGCCACAACTGAGTGAAATGAAAAACAGCCCTCAACTTGCTTTGGCATAATCAGGTGTGGATTTTTCCAAGTGTATATTGTGCACGATGAAGCCTTGATTAGAACTGTCTATAATAACCACCAGAACTCTCAAATATTCTCACAGTGGAAAAAGCAAACAAAAGAGCTTCAGGGAGAGTTTGGATGTAAATAAAACTCTAAGGTAATAAGCAAACATGTCTTCAGGTTCAGAAGAGATTGGAAAATAGAGAAAGTATAGTTCTATTGGGGGAGAGTTCTGAGCTAAAATTCACATGTCAATACTTTGATTAAACTTATAAATATTATACTTTTTAAAAAAATCAGATTTACTTACTGAGTGGAATTATATACTAACTGATGATTCCTTTTAGACTGCCTCATCAAAACTTTTCTGAAATTAGCACTGTATAAGCTATGAAATGGCACTCCATAAGTATTTGTTAACTGATCTGCCATAACTGTATGTAGATGAGGTGGCTATTATCTACAGAATTACCACAGGTTGCTGTGAAGACTGTGTCATTCCTAATATTTCCACGCTCAGCACTTTATTCGTGTAAATAGAATGAGGATTGGTATGTATGCCTGTTTCATGGGGTTATAATGGTGAATACTTGGATTAATATATGTAAAGCACTTAGAACTATGCCTGAAACAATGTATGCTCAGTGAATGAGAGACTTTAGAAGTATGGTACAACAGAGGAAGAAGTCATTAAGTGAACCTTGGGTATAACAAAAACCTTCACAAAAAAAGGGTGCATTTGAAATGTGAATAGGATATTCTCAGCAGGGAAAGAAGATGAGAAAATTCTAACCAATTTCCTCTCCTGCTATTCAAATCCTTCAATGGTTTTCCAAAGAGAGATATGTGTGTGTGTGTGTGTGTGACACATACATCTTTTGTTTCTGCATATATACATGTGTACATACACATCACACAAATATATAAAGGATAAAATGTATATGCCCTAATTTAATGTAAAAGACCATTCCTGGCTTGCTCAGTTAGGTTTGGCAAACTACGCATGCAAGTCTGTCACTCTTGTCACCTCAGAAGTCATATGATCTTGTTTCCATCCCCAGTGCATGCATTTTTCTCACATTTAGGCATCTGTATATCTCTCATCCTGGGTTCTTCCTCCCACTGCTCTCTCCTTGCTCACTCTTACTCATCATTTCAAATCTGGGGTTCATATAATTGCCTCTAGGAAGACTTAAGGATCTGCCTAGATGAAGTTGGATGAGCGTGCTGTATGCTTCCATCAGATCCTGTATTATTTCTTTTTCTACTGATACGTAACAAGTTACTACAAACTCAACTACTTAAAATAACACTCATTTATTATCTCACAGACCATAGGGCAGAAGTCTGAGCAGGCTTGACTGGGTTCTCCTTTTAGAGACTCACATGGCTAAATTAAGGTGTGGACTGGCCTGGCTGGGCTCTTGTCTGGAAGTTTCAGTGGAGAATCTGCTTCCAAGTTCATTAATGTTGCTGACAGAATTCAGTGCCTGCACTTTTTTGACTGAAGTCCCCATTTCCTTACAGACTGTCAGGCAGGAGCTTACCCTTAATGGCCAGGGAACTTCTGCCTGTGGCCTCCTCTGTCTTCAAATCAGCAACTGCAAGTCCAACCCTTCTCAAGCTGTCAAGCTCTCTGACTTCCTCCTTTTGCTACAGCCAGGGAAGACTCTGCTATTAAAGGGCCTGTGTAATTAGGTTGGGTTTTCCAGATTATCTCCCTTTTAATTAATCCAAAATCAACTGATTAGAAACCTTAATTAATTATGCAAAAATTCCTTTCACCGTAACATAATCACCAGGGGAGTGATATCTCATCACACGCACAGGCTCCACTCATACTCAAGGGGAGGAGATTAGGATCACTGGGAGTTATTCTTAGAATTCCATCTACTACAAACTCCAAAAGCTCCATTTTATAACTCACTGTTCATTACAATTGCTTATTTTTTTCTTACTATATTTAGTGAGCTCTAATTTAGCACTTACTACATAGTAGGCACTGTCTTACCCTTTTAGGAGGCTACTTTTAATATGCCCATTTTTCATATGAGGAAAAATAGATGGCATATAGAGGTAGGATAATCAGCCCAAGGTCACACTAACTCTGGCTGGTACATTCATTTCAGAACAGCAAATGTTCCTATAATAGGGGAAGTGGGTTTGAAACTCAGGTGAGCTGTCTCTAGATTCTATGCTCTTAATGTTATAATGTCCTCTGGGCACAGCTAGTATGCAAGCTTTATGTCAGAATATCTTTCCCGTTTTTTGTATTCCTTATGCTTAGTTAAGTAAGTGGCACTTAAGTTTGGCACTTAAGTTTGTTTGTTTGTTTGTTTTTTGGAGATTGGTTCTCACTCTGTCGCCCAGACTGGAATGCAGTGGCGGGATCTCACCTCACTGCAACTTCTGCCTCCTGGGTTTAAGCAGTTCTCCTGCCTCAGCCTCCCAAGTAGCTGGGATTACAGGCACACACCACCACACCTGGCTAATTTTTGTATTTTTAGTAGAGATGAGGTTTCACCATGTTGGCCAGGCTGGTCTCCAACTCCTGACTTCAGGTGATCCGCCTACCTCAGCTTCCCAAAGTGCTGGGATTACAGGCATAAGCCACCATGCCCAGCCAAGTATTTAAAGTATAAATCAATATAAAATAAAACTTTCCCAAGTATTTTTTTCAAACAATGTTATTGAGCAACCATGGATAATTTTTGTGCCATATTGAACAACTATGACTCCATATATGACCCTCATATGTTTCAAGCTTGATTCTAGACATCGAGGAAATCATGTGTCAACATCTATCTCCTCTTGGAATTTGTCTGGATGGCCAAACATACAAGCAGACATCCACATGCAATATGATGTGGAGAATGCTATAATACAATTAAGTTTTATTGTCTGATGAATTAAGAGAATACGTGCTGAAAATACAGCTTTTGCTTTCTTATATTTGAATGCTCCAGATCAGATCACACAAAATACTGATTTGAGAAATGACTTGAATAAAAGTAAAATCCTAAGAGCTGAAACATTAACTAATCAAGAAATTAAATTTGAAGTTCTCTCAGCATCCTATTCTGTTACACAGTGAAATTAATCATATTCCCATAGGCAGAAAAGCTAATATAGGTAAGATCAGCAACAGGGATTTGCGCCAATTGCTACTGTTTCTGAATATATTACTTTCCCTAGGTGGAGTCTGAGTGGAAGCACTTCAAATCACATCAGCACCAAAATTAGTCCTCTTGATTAATGTCATGTTTTATAACAAACATTTGTAAAGCAGTCAGCCTTTGCCACTATAAAATGGGGCATCTGTTAATGTGTGTTTATATCTGCTCATCGATTAAACTTAATTATCTTTCCCTGTGGTTTTCAACCAAGGAAGATTTACATGTAAATGTATGGCTTTTTTTGCGATTAGCAGAAATTCTGCATAAAGAGGAAAGGAGGAAGGAGCAAATGAAGTTAGCATTTATTAAACAACTATTATATGCCAGGTGCTTTTGATATATTATCCAATTTAAATCTCCCAATAACTGCATGACATTTTAGTGTAATCTCTAGTTTACAAATGAAAGCCTCAAGATTTAGTAAGATTAAGAAAATTGTTTAAGATCATGAAGCTGACTTCTAACTCTTTTATACCTTGTATTAACCACCTGTAGGCATCTAAAAGAAAGTGTATGTTGATAGATTTTGGAATAAAAAATAAAATGCCAAGTTTGCTGCTTCCTGAGGGTATTTTAATTTTGTTTTTTAAATTTCTCTTTGTGACTCAAAAAAAATCACTGTACGAATGTAGTTCTCTGGCAGGTACATTCACTTCAGAAAAGCAAGTGTTCCTATGATTTTTGCTTCTGACATTAGCACCATGTCTCTAACATGTTTCTCTTGTGTTCTGACAATATTCTGATAACCTATTGGCTCCATCTTCACAGCCCTCTATTCATTTGCACATCAGTTCCAACTGTCTGACAAAACTGAAAAAAACAAATAGCTTGGCTCTAGAGCAATTTTTTTTCCCAGTATTCAGCTGAGGGTCAAAATTTAAGTCCACTATTCTTAAAGGAAATCTCCAAAAATTATAAACATATCGAAGCCATGATACAAATTATCCAGTAATCATTAAAGAAACACAATTTTACAACTAAAATGTAACTTGAAAACAAGCAAATTCATACTTGCAATTCTCAAATAATAAGAAAATGATACTTAAGTCACAGCCACGCTTAATTATAGCCTCTTTCCTTCCATTTCCTATAGTAACCTTGGTGCCACTCTTCAAATTATCTAAAAAATTTCTACCTCAGCCTTAGAACATGCATGCCTTTTTGTCTATAGTACCTTCTTCCCTTTCTCAAACCTGCATCAGGGAAAAAAGAGGAAGAATTAGTCTCATGACTTAACCAACAGACGAAGAGGTTAAGGGAAAAATCTTGCAAGAAAAGCAAGGACCCATTTACTAGGTGGGAAAAGGAAAAGATTCAAAATAGTCAAAGGTTGATTATTTATGGCAGTTGGAACTCTGAGTAGGGAATTAGCCAGAAATGTGAACAATGAAAGCAGCCAAACAATAAAAATATTCACAAAGTACTTTAACAGCTTCACTGGATATAATTCACATACTACACAGTTCACCCTTTTAAAGGGTACATACAATTCAATGTTTTATGGTATATTCACAGACGTTCAACAATCAGCACAATCTAATTTTCAACAGTTTTCTCACTCCAGAAAGAAAACTAACAGGCAGATCACAGAGGATATTTAGGAGTAAAAGTCATTTGTATAATACTATAATGGTAGACACATGCCATTACACATTCATCAAAAATCATAGAATGTACAACACCGAGAGTGAGTCCTAATGTCAACTGTGGGCCTGGGATGATGACGATGTGTCTGTGTAACTTCATCAGTTGTAACAAATGCATCACTCTGGTGCTGGATGTTGATAGTGGGGAAGGTGGGATGAATGAGGGGCAGGCAGTTTATGAGAACTCTCTGTACCTTCCTCTCAATTCTGCTGTGAACCTAAAACTGCTCTGGGAAATAGTTTCTTCCTTTAGAAAAAGAGAAGAAACCCCATCTCCAGCAGGAGTAATTCCCATCCCTCCATTGCCCCAGCTCAAGACTACCATAAGTCTACCTTCTGTCTCTTCAGGTTTTCCCTATTCTGGCAATTTTACATGATTATCTTCACAAGATAACAATCACACTTATGTAAGAAATAGGAAATTGGGCTGGGTGTGGTGACCCCAACTGTAATCTCAGCATTTTAGGAGGCCAAGGTGGGAGGATTTCCTTAGTCTAGGAGTTTGAGACCAGTCTGGGCAATATAGTGAGATCTCATCTCTACCAAAAAATTTAAAAATTAGCCAACTGTGGTGGCACTTGCCTGTAGTCCTAGCTACTGTGGAGGCTGAGGTGGGAGGATCCCTTGAGCCTGCAAGGCAGAGGGTGCAGTGAGCCAAGTTGATGCCACTGTACTCCAGCCTGGGTGACAGAGCAAGACACCCTCTCTCTAAATAAATAAATAAATAAATAAATAGGAAATTGTTTACTAAATCTTTGCAGTGTACTTCTGGGTTATCCCAGGATAATGCTAGCTTCTTAGATTAAAGCTTCTCAATACTTTTTCCAAAAGCAAACTAATCAAGAAGAAAAGCAAACGAAACAAATGAAACCACACAAAACTGACTTATTTGGCATAACTTGGACACAGAGAATGCCACAATCCTCAAACTACATATAAAGAAAGAAGCTAACCCTATATTCCAGCAAAGATATCTGTGAGTTCACTCCCTAAGATTGTGGAAATAAGATGGCATCTGAAGGGCCTGGATGGAAAAGAGGGCGATGGAGTCTAGAGCAAATAATATCCAGATATGCAAAGGCCCAATATAGCCACAAACATTCTAAAACAGACCTTGGACCTGGTCTATCTGAGCACTGGCCATAGAAAAGGTACCTTGAAAGTATGTCTGATCTGGAGTACCAAATTCAAAAAGGAAACTTTCCTGGAAAAGAGGGAAGTGAATAGGATCTGGAGGGCACTTTTGAAGATTTGGTGATAAAGCAAAAGCAGAAAGTAAGGAGAGAAATTAAGGGTCTCAGAAACAAAAGAGAACAGCAAAATCCAGACATGCCATCCCATTTCCAAAAAAAAAAAAAAAAAATCCTTTACCCTTGGGTGCATAAATTGTGCAGAAACAAATACAAACAGAAAAAAAAGTCTATTTGTATTAAAAAAAACTTTAAAAAAATTAAAATAATTCAGTTGGTGAAAAATCTTCCCTCCTGAAAGGGAAACAACCACAAAGCAGAAGAAAAAATAACCCTGCACTTGAATCTGGGCTAAGTATACCTGTATATGCATTTGCAGGTATTTAATGAATGCCTAAATCAGAAATTCAAAAATTCAGATTCAAAATAGGCAAAAAATAGGAAGATAGATAAAAAAGATTTTGACCAAACTCCAAGAAATAAAAAAAAACAAAAACCAAAAAACACCTCTCTCAAGATGACTAAATTACAAGTGATTCAGTCCCGATGAGTTGTAATCAGTTACCAATTACAAGAGCTCGATTCAACTAAAAACTTAAAAGTTTAATAAGAGATATGGAAGAAAGGCTGGAAAACAACCAAATAAACAAAATTAGACAAAGAATGAAGTAAAAAATAATCAGGAATGTGGCAGAAATTGAAGATATTCAATGAAGATTCAAAACCACAAAATTGTTAACAGGTAAAGATTAAAATCTCGTATTTAAAACAATAGCTGCTAGGAACAGTGGCTCACACCTGTAATCCCAGCACTTTGCTAAACTGAGGTGGGTGGATCACTTGAGTCCAGTTTGTCAAGACCATCCGGAGTAACATACCGAGACCCCGTCTCTACAAAAATACAAAAAACTAATCTGCCCTAGTCGTGCATGCCTGTAGTCCCAGTTACTCCCAAGGCTGTGGTGAGACGATCACTTGAGCCGGGGTAGTCCAGCCTGGGCGATAGAAACCCTGTCTCAAAAAATTAAAACACACACACGTAAGACCAATTTCCATATTTTGAATAAGAAAAATGATATTTCTTTCTCAGAAGTGTTTATGCCTTTTATTTTTCTTTGTTGTCTTACTACACTGTACAGACTGTCCAGAAAAATGCTAAATAAAACTGATAAAAGCAGATATCTTGCCTTGTTCCCAATGTTAACGGAAAAGCATTTAGTCTTTTACTACTAAGCACGACATTAGCTGTAGCATTTTTGTAGATGCTCTTAATTAGTTTTAAGACATTCCTTTATTCCTGGTGTGTTGAGATTTTTATCACTAATGGGTTTGAATAGAGTCATCTGTTTTTCAGAGGGCGTCTACTGGCATGATCATTTATATTTATCCTTTATTCTGTTAATATGGTGAATGTACTGATCAATTTTCCAATGTTAAACCAACCTAGAAATTCTGGAATAAATGACAGTAGTCAAGATGGATTAATTTGTATTAATTAATATATATGAAAAAATATATATACTTATACATGTGTTTTAATTAAACACATATTAAGTATATTTATATGCACATATGTTTAATTTGATAATATTTAGATAAGGATTACCTATTTTTTAAGAAATAATATTTTTTCATGTAGGGTTATTGTCTAATTTTAGAATAAATGTAATTCTAGCTTCATAAAATATGTTGGCGGCGTTCCCTCCTCTAAGACTTTTTCGAGGCTTTCATGTAGGGTTGGGATTATTTTGTTCTTACATATTTGTTAGAATTTACCAGGAAAGCCATCTGGATCTGGATTATGTCTGTGGAGAAGTTTCTAATTAGAAACTTAATATTTTTGTTAAGTATACGTTATTCAGATTTTCTTTATACTCTTCTGACGAATTTGGTCTTTTCTGTCTTTCAGTACTATTAATTGTCATATGTATTGGCCTAAAGCTCCTGGATTGTGCTCAATCCATTATCCCTGTATTTGATAATCCATAGCAACACTACTCTTGCTCAAGAGGTACAGTAAAATGCATAAGGAAAGAGAGGCCTAAATCTTTCTTTTCTTCCCCATGAGCCAACAGATGAATGTATGAGTAGTTGTTGTGCATGTATGCATGTGTGTGTACAAAATTTGATTCAGAATATAACTTTGTATTGACACCCTGTTGCAGTTTAGCTTCCCCAAGAAGCAGACATTGATACAGACATTAGCATGCAGAACATCAGTTAGGGAGTGTTCTTGAGATCAGCACCTCTGGATGGGAGGAAAAGGAAGCAAGATTGGACAAACGGATAAACTGACTTGTGATTCAGTCCCAATCAAGTTCACAAATGAGCCCGCTGGAAGTTCTAGAGTCAAGATGGCCCTTAAAAGTTATTATTTCTTTTCTTATATTCAAATATATATATTTAGATTTAATATATTATATCTTTAATATAATAGATTAAGTATTTCAAATCAGTGGAGGAAACATAAATATTCAGTAGAATTACAGGAGCAATTGGCTATCTACATGGAGATGAAGCTAGATTTCTCCATTATAGAATTCACAAAAGCTAATTTCAAATAAATTATAAACATAAATACAGAGAAAACTACAACATTGTTATTTTGTAGCTATTGATATTTTAAAATATTATTTCAACTTGACAAATCACAAGTGTATATATTTATGGGGTACAATGTGATGTCTTGATGTATGTATACAATATGGAATAATTAGCATTAATTCTAATTAATTAAACATGCATCACTTATTTTCATGGTGAGACATTTGGAATTTACTCTCTAAGTTATTGTGAAATATACATTACTGACTATATTCACCTTGTGCAATAGATCTCAAAATTTATTCCTCCTGTTCATCAAAACTTTGTACCCTTTGATCAATAACTTCTCATTCCCAAACCCCATTCCCCTCCTCCCGCCTTGCCTCTGATAATCGTAATTCTACTCTCTACTCCGTAAGTTCAACTTTCTTTGATCTCATACATAGGTGAGATCATGTGCTATTTGTCTTTCTGTGCTTGGCTTATTTCACCTAGTATAATGTCTTCTAGATTCATTCATGTTGTTACACATGATAGAATTCTCTTGTTTTAGACCTTGAATATGATTCCATTGTGTATATGTACCACATTTTAAAATCCATTCATCTGTTGATGGACACTTAGGATGATTTAATGTATTGACTATTGTGAATAATGTTGTAATGAACATGGGAATGCAGATATCCCTTTGACACACAGTTTTCAATTCCTTTGGATGTATAGCCAGAAGTGGGATTGTTGGATCACATGGTAGCTCTATTGTTAGTTTATAGAGAAAACACCATCCATAATAGCTTTGCTAATTTACTTTTGCACTAGTGATGTACAAGAGTTTCTCTGAATCCTAACCAACATGTGTTGTCCTTCATCTTTTTGAGAAAAGCCATTGTAATAGATGTGAGGTGATATCCGATTATGATTTTAGTTTGCATTTCCTTAATGATTTAGTGATGTTGAGAGTTTTGTCATGTACTGTTGGCCATTTGTATGTCTTCTTTTTAAAAATGTTTATTCAAGTCTTTTGCCCATTTTTAATCAGGTTATTTAATATCTGTTTTGGATATTAACCACCTGTCAATAAATTATTTGCAAATATTTTCTCCCAGTATGTGGGTTGTCTATTTTGTTAATTGTTTTCTTCATTGTGTAGTAGCTTTTTAGTTTGATGTCATCCCACTTGTCTATTTTTGCTTTTATTGTCTGTGCTTTCAGGGTCATAGGCAATCAGTTGTTGCCCAGACCAATGTCATGGAGCTTTCCCCCTGTGTTTTCTTCTAGTAGTTTAATGGCTTCAGGTCTTATATTTAAGCCTTTAATCCACTGTGAGCTGATTTTTGTATGTAGTGTGAGATAAATATTCAATTTCACTCTTCTGCATGTGGATAAGTAGTTTTCTGAATACCATTTCAGAAAACTTCTTCATTTATCAAAGAGATTTTCCTTTTTACATTTGTGTATTATTGGCACCTTTGTTGCAAATCTATTGACTGTGAATGCATGAGTTTAAGGTTTCTGTCCTTGGCAATGTGTTTGCTTTTATGCCAGTACAATGTTGTTTTGATAACAATTCCTTCATAATATGTTTTGAATTCAGGGAATGTGATGCCTCCAACTGTGTTCTTTTCACTCAAGGCTGTTCAGGCTATTCAGGATATTTTGTGGTTCCATATGAATTTGAAGATTTTTGTTCCTAATTTTGTGAAAAAATACATTTGAAATTTTGATAAGGATTACATTGAATCTGTGGATTGCTTTGGGTAGTATGCACATTTTAACAATATTAATTCTTTCAAATGATAGACATGGGAAACTTTTCCACTTATTTGTGTTTTCTTCAATTTCTTTCTATGGTTTTTTTTATAGTTTTCAGTATACAGGTGTTTCACCTCCTTGGTTAAATTTACATCTAAGTATTTTATTTTTTGTTATTACTATCACAAATGGAATTGTTTTCCTAGTTTTTTAGGTAATTCATTATTAGTACATAGAAATGCTACTAATTTTGTATGTTGATTTTGTGTCTTGCACTTTTACTGAATTTATCAGTTTTAATGGTTTTTGGTGGAGTCTTCAACAGCTTTTTGGTGGAGTGTTTTGGGTTTTCTGTATATAAGAACACATCATCAGCAAACAGAGACAATTTCACTCTTCCTTTCCTATTAGTATAATTTTTAATTCTTTTTCTTGATTAATCTCTATCTAGGACTTTCTGTACATAGTTCAATAGAAGTAGTGAGATGACATCCTTCTTCCTTATCTTAAAGGAAAAGCTTTCAAATTTTCACTATTAAGTATGCTGTTAGCCATGAGTTTGTCATATACGGCCTTCATTGTATTGAAGTACATTTCCTCTACCTAATTTATTGACAGTTGTTATCATAAAAAGATGTTGAATTTTGTCAATTGATTTTTCTGCATCTATTGAGATGATCATTCTAATTCTTCATTTTGTTAATGTGGTGTACCACATTTATTGATTTACACACGTTGAACCATTCTTGAATACCAGGGATAAATCCCACTCAATCATAGTGAATTATTCTTTTAATGTGTTGTTAAAATTGGTTTGCTATTATTTAATTAAGAATTCTTGCATTTATATTCAATGGGGATATTGGTTTATAATTTTCTTTTCTTGTTGTGTCCTTGTCTGGCTTTGGTATCAGGGTAATGCTGACCTTAGAAAATGAGTTTGGAACTATTCTCTCTTCTTTCATTTTTTGAAAGAGATTGAGAATAATTGGCATTACTTATTATTTAAATATTTGGTAAAACAGCAGTGAAGCTGTCCAGTCATGGGCTTTTCTTTGATGAGACACTTCTTGTTATGGATTCAATCTCCATACTTGTTATTGATCTGTTCAGATTTTCTATTTCTTCATGACTCAGTCTTTGTAAATTGTATGTGTTTAGGAATTTATCCATTTCTGGTAGGTTATAAAATTTTTTGGCATATCACCATTCATAGTTATTTCTTATAATGCTTTGTATTTCTGTGATATTAGATGTAATGTCCCCACTTTCATTTATGATTTTATTTATTTGAGTCTTCTCTTTTTTTTCCTAGTTGGTCTAGCTAAGGTCAATTTTATCTTTTCAAAAAATCAACTCCTAGTTGTGTTGATTTTTTTCTATTGTTTTTCCAGTCTGTTTTTCATTTATTTCTACTTTGATTTTTGTTATTTCATTTCTTCTGCCAACTTCCGGCTTAGTTTGTTGTTTTTTTCTCTAGTTCCTTACATATAATGTTAGATTGTTTATTTGAGTCTTTAGTCCTTCTTTGATCTAGGAGTTTAATGCTATAAATTTTCCTCTTAGGGATGTTTATGTTGCATCTCGTGAGTTTTGGTATGTTGTGCTTCCACTTTTGTTTGTCTCAAGGTATTTTTTATTTCCATTTTTATTTTTTGTGACCCATAATTTGTTTAGAAGCATGTAGTTTAATTTCCAAATATTTATGAATTTTACAAAATTCTCCTGTTATAGATTTCTAGTTCCATGTCATTGCAATCCAAAAAGATACTAGTTGACAGGATTTCAATCTTCTGAAAATTGTGAAGACTTGTTTTGTGGCCTACCATATGATACATCTTGGAGAATGCCCCATGTGTGGTTGGGAAGAATGTGTATTCTGCTGTTGTTGGATGGAATGTTCTTTATATACCTGTTAGGTCCATTTGTTCTGAAGTGTTGTTCAAATCCAATGTTGCCTTATTGATTTTCTTTCCTAATAATTTGTCTATTGTTGAAAGTGGGGTATTGGGGTCCATTATTATTATTGCATTATAGTCTATCTTTCTTCTCAGATTATTTATGTATTTAGGTATTGTGATGTCAAGAGCACATATATCTACAATTGTTATGTCCTTTTTGTTAACTGACCGCTTTATTATTATTGATGACTATCTTTGTCTCTTTTTATAATTTTTGACTTGAACTCTTTTTTGTTTGACATGAATATAGGTACCCATGCATTCTTTTGTTTTATATTTGTGTGAAATACCTTTTTCTGTTTCTTTGCTTTTAATCTATGTCCTTACTAATAAAGTGAGTTTCTTGTAGGCAGGGGATCTAGTTTTTTTATTCATTTAGTCATTCTATGTCTTAGATCAAATAATTTAATCTGTTTATATTCAAGGTAATTATTGATACATAAAGACTTGCTACTGCCATTTTGAAATTTGTTTTCTGGTTGTTTTGTAGGTCCCTTATTTCTTTTTTCCTTTCTTTCTGTCTTCCTTTGTGGATTGACGGTTTTCTGTGCTGGCAAGCTTTGAATCCTTTCTTTTTGTATTTTGTGCATGATAACCACAAAGCAAATGCCTATAGCAGTTGCAAAAACATATGTGGTTATCAAGGGGCTTACATATAATATTTTGTCTTTAGAACAGGCTACTCTGAGCTGGTAGTAACTTTAATCACGTGAACATTCATTCTCTACCCCCCAGATTTTATAATTTTGATGTGAAAATTTTCCTTTTTTAGGTAATTTGTATTATTTAACTATTTGTTGTAGCTGTAGATGTTTTTCATAGTTTAATCTTTAACCTGTCATAGTAGGGATAAAATTCTTCAAACACCACCTTTGCAGTATTAAATAATCTCAGTATGACTATGTATTACATTTTGAGATTTTACTTTCATATGTTTTTTATTAATTAGCTGCCTTTTGTTTCAGCTTAAAGAATTCCCTTTAGCAATTTCAGTAAAGCAGGCCTAGTGTTGATGAACTCCCTTCATTCACCACCTTTTGTTTGTCTGAGAAAATTTATTTCGACTTAATTCCTTAAGGACAACTTTCCCAGATAAATAGTCTCAGTTGGCAAGGGTTTTTTTCTTCACCATTTTGAATATAATAATTATCCTGTCTTAGGTGGGGACCTTGTCTCTATATCCCTACACTGATAAGCCATCAGATCTGAACTTCTTCAGGAAGGAGATTTGACCTTGAGTGCGGCAACTTTCTTCACCATCACTGTTTTTATCCTCTTATTAAGAGCTGGCACTTAAGAACTGAATTCCAGCATCACTCTCTGCTGCTGTATGAATCAGTTCTTCACATAGGCAGTATATCTATGTGTCATCCTCACCATACAGTCACCTTCTTAAATTACTACCATTGACAAATTCAATCCATACTCAAATATTTATCTTATGTTTTATAAACATTTAAATGCGGTTATCAACATGCCCATGTGTGACAAAAATTTATTAGCAAACTCAGTCAACTGAAATTGTAAAAGTGATGCACAGCCAAAAGTTACTAACACCATGCAAACCTGACAGTCTGCTCCCCAGATAAAAATATAATTGTAGAAAATTGGTCTGCCATTAATTTTTAATATGCTGTCTAATTTAGGCAGTGTATTAAGGATCCTTGTTGAGTCACAAGGTAATATATCTCCCTGAAACTTGTTAGAGGTTGCTAAATATTACGCAGTTGATGCTAGTAAAGAATTGGTATAAGTCCCTAAAGAACAGTTCTAATAGATGATGTATTATTTATTCCATTAGCATTATTTGCTCTTCAGCTCCCCAGTGCCAATGATTTTAGTATAATCCTTACCTTTTATAAGCAACAGATCTGAAATAATAAGAAAGAGAATTTCTATGGCAAAAATAAGAATCAACAGGCATAGTCAAATAATAACTGCTGGCTGCATTCTGATGAATTTCTCTTAATTTCTTTCCCTGTTAAGAAACAGAGAAGGAAGGTTGCAAGTGGTTTATTTCTGGCTACAAGTATAATTAGGATGCTCCACCAAGTGTCATCAGCATTTAAATGAAGAAGGTCATTTCAGCATAAAAAATAAACTTCTACTCATTTGTTTCCATTCTCAAATGTATTATGAATATGTCTCATCAAAGAACGAAAAAGGAAAATTAATATGTATTTCCCCTTAATTGTAGGGAAGTGCCTTTCACATGGATGGCCTCTCACTGGTGTTGTCTATTAAAATTCTGGAAGCTGTGGAAAGAGAAAAGTGATAATGTCACTGGTCCCTGTGGGGTACATTATTAACACCTTGGCATTCTGGGGATAAGGTGAAGGTACTTTGATGTAGACCAGTTTTGTTTTGTCGAATTTCACCACCACTTTAATAGTCTCAGCTGAGTCTAGTGACAAGGCATATTTTGACAGACTTGTAGATAGTTTTACATACATTTAGCCCATGATACCATAAATAGAAATAATAGACTATTTAAATATAACTGCTTATATATCAGATATATATCCGAATAACATCACAAACAATAATATTTCCTTTGAGAATAGGAAAATGGTTGCTCTATAATAGAAAGTTTGGGAATCACAAGCATTTGGATCTGTTAGGGGTGGAGGTTGTGGGGAGGTATTTATTCCCTATAATTTTTCCTTCTTTGGTTATAAAGTTCATTAGTGTTACACTCTTCATTCCCTTTCTCAATTCTCCCTGGGGAGGGGGAAAGACTTATACTACACAATTGCTAAATTTGTAAAGAACCAATTTAGCATTTTCAGGTTAGCTCTGCCCTTCTTCCTCTTGGGAGTTGGGAGAAAGCTTTCTTGATCACTCTAACTGACTATGGCAGGAGGGCTGCCAGTTCTGTGCTATCTGTAACTATGTGGGTAATTCTGTCTTACTCTAACATGAAGGAAACTCACTCGCTTATATATAAAGGCATGTCTCCAACTTTGCACTGACCAAAAATAAAGTTGATATTTTTGAACTTCATCTCTGTCTCTTCGTTTTATTTTTGAATTTATCCAGAATCTAGCTATGGGACAGGGATGCTATGTATTTCCCTCCCTTCCTTAAAGATCCCCAACATTTCACCCATCGACCAGGAGCTCTGAAAAATAAAACAGACGAGTGAGACCCAAGAACAAATGTACATGTGGTAAGGCTTTGGGAAGGGACTACCAAGATATTTAATGCTAGACTTGGAATTTACTATTTTGGCTAGGCATTTTGAACTTATATTTTTCCTTTCTTTGACTTATTTTTAGATGTATATGAGACTAGTTTTTATTTATTTTTCATTTTATATTTATATTTTTTTAACTTTTTTATTATTATACTTTAAGTTCTAGGGTACATGTGCACAACGTGCAGGTTTGTTACACATGTATACATGTGCCATGTTGGTGTGCTGCACCCGTTAACTCGTCATTTACATTAGATATATCTCCTAATGCTATCCCTCCCCCTTCCCCCCACCCCACGACAGGCCCTGGTGTGTGATGTTCCCCAACCGGTGTCCAAGTGTTCTCATTGATCACTTCCCACCTATGAGTGAGAACTTGTGGTGTTTGGTTTTCCATACTTGCAATAGTTTGCTCAGAATGATGGTTTCTAGCTTCATCCATGTCCCTACAAAGTACATGAACTCATCCTTTTTTATGGCTGCATAGTATTCCATGGTGTATATGTGCCACATTTTCTTAATCCAGTCTATCATTGTTGGACATTTGGGTTGGTTCCAAGTCTTTGCTATTGTGAATAGTGCTGCAATAAACATACGTGTGCATGTGAGACTAGCTTTTAAATACTATGACATAAAAAAGAGATGTTAAGTCTTTGGGAACATAATATTTTGATGTCATTGGGTCAAAATAGGTTATAGCAGCTTCGTCCACATGTAAATGACTGGGTTTTTTAGAGACCAGGACTTAGGCAAAGGGTGTTGGCCTTGATTAAGGACTCTGGCCTCAGTCAAATCCTTGGTAGCCTTGGGGACCTAACAATAGGGACAAAATAGGAAGCTCTCAGCAAGTTGCAGGTGACCCAGTCATTATATAGAACAAACACAACTTTTTGAAAGTAGTTGTGGTCAAGGCAAAGTTCAGTTGTTACAGGTCTTTTCAGACTTTGCAGGCATTGTTGGACAGAATATTTGCTGATCTAGAATGACAGGGCGTTGAGTTCTTCTAGTTTTACTAGTACTATTGAAGCTCTGCCTTTAAATTGTTAGTGCCAGGCCTGTGTAGGCTTCCTAAATTATTCTTGCTTTTACGTTTTGAATTATTTTCAAAGCCCAAAAAGGAGAAAACGTCAATATTAGCTTTGGATTTGTGAGGCTTGTCCACAAATTCACTTTGATTCTAGACTGGTTTTATTTATAATTTTATTATAAAATTATAATTAAAATGAGAAACATTCTCAGGGAAACAAGTTTTGGGTGCCCAAATATGATTTATATAAAAGGACATAGCAGCAACAATAGTAGCCCAGGAATGAACACCTGCTCCTTAAAGAAAGACAATGCTATGACAGTGCATACAGTCCCTACCCATTTCTAGAGGTAGTAGAAATCCAGAGGTTTTGAATATACTTCTGAGTGACCAGAAAGGCACTTTAGCTAAGACCTGGTATTTTGTACTCTCAAGAATGCAAATTTCTGAACTTTGTGGGAAAGCAGCAGTGGCTCTTTGTCACTCTAAGAGAGAAAGCAAGATACACAGGTGGACCCTCCCTACCCCAGACAGGCAAATCTGTGGTGCCTAAATTAGCCTCTTGCGGAAAGATCCATCCCAGTGGAATTTAATTGTATAGGTTAAGGATTGCAGACAACTAGCATGGATTTATCTGCATCCTTTTCCCCTTTTCTCAGAGAACACTGAGTCACTGCTTTGGTCTTTGGTAACATTGGCTTCTGGAAAAATAGTTTGCAAGAGATGATTAATATAGGCACTAGAGATCAGTTTGTTTTTTAAATTTGGTAGGCATGGAGCCAATGTTATAATAATCTCTTATTTCTTATTCATCCTTTGGATTCCTTAAAGTCAGGTGCATCAGAGACTTGACATTACAAATTTTGAAGCCCTAAATGAAGGAACTGCACCTATTTCTGTGATGTACATCTCAGAAGGCAGCTGCTGAAAGAAGACCAACTTCACACAGGCATTCAGAATTGCCCTGACTAGGACTAAGCTGAATGATAAATTTGGGAGGATAGTTTGAGGTCTTAATTACAATTTATAAATTTTTTAAACTTCTAACATTTAACTCCAAAGGGGAAAATAATTTGATATTGAACTTAAATTTATTTGAACTTCATTTTGGCTTTAACTTGAAAAGAGATTTCATCTTTGAACTTCAGTTTTGTCCTGGGATTTGTATAATACTTTATAAACCCTTTATATTCAGATCTGGGATATTTTGATGGTGTTGGCATCTTGCTACTAGAGAAATTTAATGCTTTCTTCCTTTTTGTCATTAAATCTCATTGAAAAACCTCTGGCATGCTGTTGAAAAATGTAGCTGGACATAATTTGGAAATTGAAAGAAAATAGAGAATGAATTTTTAACTTTGGATTGAGACTGGCCTTAAAGTTTATATACATAATGTAATGTACATATCAATTTCAGGGCATTCTAGAGGCAAATTCTACAGTGGTCCAGGAATACCAAGGTAATCCAGTGAATTTGATTTAGGAATTTGGAGAACAACTTCATGAAAATCAGAGTAAAATTATCCTGAAACTTGTGCATCTCCTCCTCTGAAGGCTGAGCATGAGTTTAATGGGTGAAAAGAAAAATTAATCTGGGGAATATAGGGGTGAATGATTCTTCCCCACTCTGGATGTTTCCTTCCATGTGTAGGCAGAGACATTAGAGTTATCAGGAATCCTCTCTGTGACCTTTCATTCACTCAGCCCTAGAGGAAGCTGACTGGCAAATTGGGGAAGGCTAAGCCTGGTGTGGTCATCCCCTCTGCTCTATTTTAATCGTGAGCATAAGCTACTTTCAGGAGCAAGCCTTCTCCTTAGTTTGCCCTATAGTCTAGACAGAAGGTGAGGAAGGAAAGTGGAGTGTGGAGGGATGAGAGTGAAAGGCCTGCCCCAGTCCTGTGCATGCAAATCCGCCGAATGCTGGGATTAAGTATTAGCAAGCACATGTGCTCTAATTTAACTTTCAATAGAAAGATTATCTCTTTTCCTCTATCTGCTACTACTTGATTTATTTCTCAATCTGCTTCAGGGAAAGGGACATGATACTCTTTTTGTTTTTCTTTTGTTGGCAGAGTCTGACTCTGTCACCCAGGCTGGAATGCAGTGGCGTGGTCTCGGCTCACTGCAACCTCTGCCTCCTGGGTTTGAGCAATTCTCTTGCCTCAGCCTCCCGAGTAGCTGGGACTACAGGCACACACCACCACGCCCGGCTAATTTTTGTGTTTTTATTAGAGATGGAGTTTCACCATATTGACCAGGCTGGTCTCAAACTCCTGACTTCAAGTGATCCGCCCACCTTGGCCTCTCAAAGTGCTGGGATTACAGGCATGAGCCACCTCCCCTGGCTGGGATATGATACTCTTAAATTGGCTCCTGAAGACTTAAAGTCTCCCTCTAGGACCAGTACTGACTTCTATGATTTGCTAGTAATGTGATCTGGCCATGTTTCTGAAACTTAGTTTGCTTATTTGTAATGCTAAAACATAAAAAAGAGAAAGATTAACCCAGTCTCAGACCGAACTGGTCATTTGCAGGCCTCTGATTGAAAGCAGCAGCCTTGGCTTTCTGGATTCAGTGTCCCTCCTAGGAGAATGTACCGGTGGGCCTCCCACCTTGTTGGGAATCCCAGGGCTGGAGTATGCTAAACTCCCGGGTCTCTGTGTGTGCCCAAGCGGCTGATCTGCTGGGACTCCACACAGCTCTGTGTATCTGACCAAAACCCTGGTAGCATGGGTTTATGAGGGAATCTCTTGATCTGCTGGTTGCAAAGATCCATAGGAGAAGCGTGGTTTCCTGGGCAGGATCATATAATCACTCATCACTTCCCTTGGCTGAGGATAGGAGTTCCTTTGATTCCATGCTGCTCCCGCTTGTGCTGTCGCCATACCTTGCTTTTCTTCGCTTTCTGTGGGTCGAGCTGTTTGCCTATGTCAGTCCCAATGCAAGAACCTGGATATTTCAGTTGAAGGTGTAGAATTCACTCTTCTCTTCATGAGTACCACGGACCGCATCTCTTTCTAAATCGCCATCCTGGCCTCTCCTGAGATTATTCTTTAGAATAAGAATGCTCCCAACACCCCTACCAGCAAATGCCATTTCTAGGCAGGATGGACTCAACAATTTATTGCAATTTGTATTTTGAAACCAAAAAAATTATAAAATAAAATAGAACAGAACAAAACTGGACTGAAATGAGTTGAGTTGAGTTGGACTAAGCTGAGCTGAGCTGAGCTGGATTGGATTGCATTCTACAGAGATTGTATCACAAATAGTCCACCTGAACAAATAAGGTAAATGAGGCTACAGGATTACATAACTTGCCTATGGTCACTTACTTTATTAGTTGGAAAAAAATCCTGTTTCACTGAACCCAGCAATACACTCTTCCCACTATACTGCTTCTGATAATTTGCTCGGTTTTGAAGCAATGTTTTCATTTGTTTGCTAGTTTTATTTTGTTTTCATGCCTAGACTTTTCATCTTAACTTAGTTTTATAATTAGATAGAAATCACTGGAAGAAGGAGAAATGTAATATTTAAGAGGTTCCCCCTGCCCCACCCATGTAGGAAATCACTTTAGGCTTTTGTATAGCCAAGTTCACCTACTCTGGTTCACCAACTGGGCATATCATAATGTGGATAATGAAGAGACTGCCCAAGAGATCACAGACCCAGGATTAGCATTCAGCACTTCAAGTGCACATTTTAAATTTTGCATAATGAGAAAATTCAAGCCGGGCAAGGTGGCTTACGCCTGTAATCCCAGCACTTTGGGGGGGCCAAGGCTGGTGGATCACCTGAGGTTGGGAGTTCGAGACCAGTCTGACCAACATGGAGAAACCCGGTCTCTACTAAAAATACAAAAAATTAGCTGGGTGTGGTGGTGCATGCCTGTAATCCCAGCTACTCAGGAGGCTGAGGCAGGAGAATTGCTTGAACCTAGGAGGCAGAGGTTGCGGTGAGCTGAGATCGCACCATTGCACTCCAGCCTGGGCGACAAGAACGGAACTCTGTATTAAAAAAAGAAAAAAGGGAGAAAATTCAAACTTGTATCAAAGAAGAATAATATAAAGCACCTACATATGCCCATGACTCAGTTTCCACCATTACCAACACATGGCCAGTTGTACTCCATCTATGTTCCTGACCTGCCCTAGATTACATTGCAGCAAATCTTAAACATCAAACCATTTCAATATGTATTTCCAAACATAAGGATTCTTTTTGTGATACAACCACAATATCATTACCTTTCTTCAAATACTAAAAATGACTTTAAATCATCAAATATTCTGTCTCATATTTTTAAGGCTTATTTTGCTGAATCAGAATAAAAATAGGGTCTATTGCAATTGGTTATCACTGTTTTAAACTACCGGTTTTCTTCCCTCTTTCTTCCCTTGAAATTCATTTAAGAGATCAGATCTTTTGTTATTAATATTTTTTATGCCCTGAAATTTGCTGATTATATCTCAGAATTAATATGCCGCTCTGTCCCCAGTATTTCCCACAGGATGTTTCATAGGTGGCAGTGTATAATTCCATCAGGAGCCATGTAACCTTGTGTTGTCTCTTTTTGTGATGTTAAAGTTTGTCTGCGTCCCCACCCAAATCTCACCTTGAATTCCCACGTGTTGTGGGAGGCACCTGGTGGGAGGTAATTAAATCACGGGAGCAAGTCTTTCCCATGCTGTTCTTGTGATAGTGAATAAGTCTCATGAGATCTGATGGTTTTAAAAAGAAGAGTTCCCCTGTACAAGTTCTCTCTTGTTGCATGCTGCCACCCATGTAAGATGTGACTTGCTCTTCTGTGCCTTCTGCCATGAGTGTGAGACTTCCCCAGCCATGTGGAACTTTATGTCCAATTAAACCTATGTATTTTGTAAATTGCCCAGTGTCGAGTATATCCTAATCAGTGGAGTGAAAACTGACTAATACAGTAAATTGGTATCAGGAGAGTGGGGCATTGATGAAAAGATGCCCAAAAGTATGGAAGCAACTTTGGAACTGGGTAACAGGCAGAGGTTGAAACAGGTTTGGAGGGATCAAAAGAAGACAGGAAAACTTGGGAAAGTTGGATCTTCCTAGAGACTTATGGAATAGCTTTGACCAAAATGCTGATAATGATAAGGACAATGAAATCCAGGCTCAGGTGGTCTCAGGCGGAGATGAGGAACTTGTTGAGAACTGGAACAAAGGTGACTCTTGTTATGTTTTAGCAAAGAGACTGGTGGCATTTTGCCCTGCCCTAGAGATTTGCGGAAATTTGAACTTGAGAGAGATGATTTTAGGGTATCTGGTGGAAGAAATTTTTAAGCAGCAAAGCATTCAACATAAGACTTGGGTGCTGTTAAAAGCATTCAGTCCTTCAGACCCCAGAATTGTAGATCCACTGACAGCTTCTCCATGTTCCTGGAAAAGCTGCAGACACTCAATGCCAGCTCATGAAAGCACTCAGGAGGGAGGAGGGAGGCAGTACCCTGCAAAGCCATGGGGTGGAGCTGCCCAAGACCACGGGAACCCACCTCTTGCGTCAGTGTGACCTGAATGTGAGACATGGAGTCAAAATAGATCATTTTGTAGCTTTAAGACTTGATTGCCCCATGGATTTGGGACTTGGATGGGGCCTGTATCCCCTTTGTTTTGTCCAATTTCTCCCATTTGGAGTGCCTGTACCCCCCATTGCATCTAGGAAGTAATTAACTTGCTTTTACAGACTCGTGGGTGTAAGTGACTTACCTTGTCTTGCATGAGACTTTGGACTGTGGACTTTTGAGTTAATGCTGAAATTAGTTGAGGCTCTAGGAGACTGTTGAAAAGGCGTGATTGATTTTGAACTGTGAAGATATGAGATTTGGAAGGGGCCAGAGGCAGAATGATATGATTTGGCTGTGTCCCCACCAAAATCTCATGTTGAATTCCCACATGTTGTGGGAGGGACCCAGTGGGAGGTAATTGAATCATGGGGGCAAGTCTTTTCCATGCTGTTCTTGTGATAGTGAGATCTGATGGTTTTAGAAAGAGGAGTTACCCTGCACAAGCTCTCTCTCTTTGCCTGCTGCCATCCAGGTAAGATGTGACTTGCTCCTCCTTGCCTTCCACCAAGATTCTGAGGCTTCTCCAGCCACGTGGAACTGTAAGTCCAATTAAACCTCTTCCTTTTATAAATTGCCCAGTCTTGAGTACATCTTTAACAGTAGCATGAAAACGGACTAATATAGTGATCATTGCCTGAATCTATTCACGATGATATTCAAATTCTACCATTTTTCTACATTTATTAGATAAAATACAGATTTAAAAATTTATTCTTGTCACTTACTTGTTGTATAGGAAAAGCACAACAAATGCTTGATTTCCCCCTAATATATTGCAGTTACCTGTGGCTAACACACCCCAAAACTTAGTACTTTAAAACAATACCATGCCAGGTGTGGTGGCTCATGTCTATAATCTCAACACTTTGAGTGGCTGAGGCTGAAAGATTGTTTGAGCCCAAGAGTTTGAGAACAGCCTGGGTAACAGAGCAAGACCCTATCTCTACAAAAAATACAAAAATTAGCCAGGCATAGTGGCTTGTACCTTCCAGCTACTCAGGACACTGAAGTGGGAGTACCACTTGAGCCTGGGAGTCAAGGCTCCAGTGAGCCATAACTGCTCACTGCACTTCAGCCTGGGTGACAGAGGGAAACCCTGTCTCAAAAAACAAAACAAACAAAAACCCAATACCAATTATGTTACTATTATCTCTCACAGTTCTGCATTCAGGTAGTTGATTCACACTTGGAGTTTCTCATATGGTTGCAGTCAGACCGTGACTGGGGCTGAAGTCATCTTGAAGGCTCATCCTTACTCACCTGTATGGAAGATTTCAAGTGGGTTTGTCATCTGAAACACCTACACATGTCCACTTCCACTCTAGCCAGTGGCTTTCTCCAGCATAGTGGTTGATTTTTAAGAATAACAGCTGTATCATATTTTATGACCTAGTCTTGGAAATCACAGACCAAAATCACAGGTCCACCAAATTTAGGGGAGGGAGCATGGACCACACACCCCAGTGGGAAGAATGAAAATTTACATTGTACGATCACATGAGACGGTAAATCTTGTGGCTATCGTCTTGGAAAATGCAGTTTGATACATTTCTTTATCACTTTTTGCTAAAATTCATTGTTACAGCATCCAACAAAGTTGATCCAATCCATTTTATCTTTATTATTATTATGAATTCATGGAAATTAATACATTTTATATATTCCAATCATTACAGTTACTGTTTCCACTCATGTATAAATTCATTATCTTGACAAGTGAAAGACTCGTTAAATTACACCTTAGTTCTTTTGATACAACTCCACAGGTTTTGAAAGTCTCTTTACTTCCTGGCATGGCATGATATTCCAGGCTCATCTTGAACATTTCTCATTCCAGAAACAGAATCCTTCGTTTCTCTAAAAGCTGTGGTTCCTTTTAGGATAAAATGCAGTATGAGTTCCTTCCTTCTGATATTTCAAATGCAAATTCAGAGCTACAGAGTTTTTACTCACCTCATTGATCTTGTGTCCCTATCTCCTTCCCCCATGCTAAAAATACTAATTACCAGTAATACCAACATAATGAAATATATGTTCAATTCCACAAAGGTAGCAAATAATCTCAGAATAAATACCAACAATAAAAATAGTAAAAGTAATTTTTATACCCAAATTTCCTATACCCAAAGTTTTGTTTTTCAGGTATGTCTGTCTCATAATGAATAAATAATCAAACTATGCTATGCCAAAGTCACTTGAAATAACTCTTCCCTGTGTGGTTGTGTCACTACCTCCATGCAGTTAGATTTATTTGCTCCTTTTTGTTAAGAATTCCATTTTAAAGATTTAACGTAATTAGTAATGTAAAATATTTACATAGTGACAAAATCAAATCTGCAAAAGAAGATACATTCAGGAAAATCTAACTTTTATTTCTGTCCTTTCCACTTCCTCCTCCTTTCCCCATCAGTAACTTTGTATTTCAATGTTGATTTATTTGCAGTATGAAAAAATACATGTGTATTTTAATCTCACCTCCTTATTAAATTAGTAGATGCGTACAATACATGCCTTCTCCTTTTTGCTTTTTTCACCTAATAATAAATTTGGAGATAGTTGCACAGCAATGTATAAAAATATTTCTCCTGTTCTTTCAGAACTGCATGCTCCTTTGTTTGACTGTACCATTGCTTATTCAACTGGAACCCTACTAAGGACATATGAGTTGTTTCCAGTCTTCTGCTATCACAAATAAGCCTGCAGTGAATAGCTTCATGATTATCTGTCTTTGTATTTTTTGCAGTGTATTTTAGGGGTGATTTTTAGAAATGAGATCTTATATTCACATACAATTTTGCTGTGTAGTGCTAAATTTCGTTTCATAGGTGATGTAACAGTTTGCTTTCCCATCAGCAGTATTTGACACTACCTAGCTCCCTCAGCCTTACCAAATATATTATGTTTTAAAAGTCTTCATTTTTGCCAATCTAATAGGTTGTACTTTAAAAAAATCTACCTGTGCTTCAAAGAGATACATTTAGATATGGAACATGAAAATAAGTTACCATCTTAACTAAAGAGAATTTAACATCCTGTGTTTTAAAAAAGAAAGGCAAATATTTTTTCTCTTCTCATGACTATTCAGCAATAGGCATTTTCTTGCATTTCATTGCACATTATCTAATTAAACAAATGTCCTGCAGTTAACAGAACAGAAAAAGAAGTTGTTTCTGGAATGCATTTGACTGGAATTTATCCTCATATACACACCTTGTCAGACAACTCCCAGTTTGAGATATTACTTAGTAAAACTAGGATGACCCAGGGCTAGTGTCTAAATCGGCAGATTGTCATCCAGCCTCAAGGGGTGTGACCTTCTCCCTGCTTGATGCACCTGAGTCAGTGTGCTGTAACCATGCACAGAGACCTAACAACCTTCACCAGCCAGCTTCACAGCCTTTTCCTGACAAGTTAATTTTCTCCCATTTTACTACTTAACCTTCCCATAACCCCAATCTGTGCTAGGTTTGATGATCAGGACTTTGCTGACCCCCATGGTAATGCAGCATTTCTACCTAGTTTGTCTTCCATTTTTAATGAATGAAGAGAGAGGGAAGAGCAAGGACAGATGGAAAAACAAACATTTTTATTACATGTATTTTTAGGTATTTAGCAGCCATGCACCTCTTCTACAGTGATATGAAATCCCAAATTGAACTATAGCTTTCTATTTGTTTTCCTCTTCTATTCTCTACTTTAGCTTTTGTTCAGCATTGTTTATTTCTGCTTTCCCATTCTTCTGTTCCCAATTATGCTCAGGCAAAAAAATCTCCTTTTTCTGTATCTTATTAAAAATTAGTTTTTTATTTTTAAGCTGTTGGATAAAATACTAGCTAAATGAGAATAAGCTGAGTCATGTCTCTTTAACTGTTTAAAACAATAGCAAGCATTTTCTCAGGTATGAGCTATTTTAGGTTACACTTTTAAAATAGGGACTTTCTTTTAAAAAGCTTATAAGAACTATGGATGCACATTATAATAAGAAACTGAAATTGGGGGCAGAAAACACATTACCAAGGTTTATAACTCACTCATAATTCTTTTTTGGTCTTGTTAGAGGCATTTAGTTTTTTTTTGCATTTGACTTTAAGTTTTGGGATACATGTGCAGAATGTGCAGGTTTGTTACATAGGATACATGTGGCCATGGTGGTTTGCTGCACTTATCAACCCATCATCCAGGCTTTATGCCCTGTATGCATTAGGTATTTGTCCTAATGTCCTCCCTCCCCTTGTCCTGCATCACCCGACAGGCCCCAGTATGTGACGTTCCCCTCCCTGTGTCCATGTGTTCTCAATTCCCACTTATGAGTGAGAACACGTGGCGTTTGGTTTTCTGTTCCTGTGTTAGTTTGCTGAGGATGACGGCTTCCAGCTTCATCCATGTCCCTGCAGAGGACATGAATTCATTCCTTTTTATGGCTGCATAGTATTCCATGGTGTATATGAGCCACATTTTCTTTATCCAGTCTATCATTGATGGGCATTTGGGTTGGTTCCAAGTGTTTGCTGTTGTAAATAGTGCTGCAATAAACATACATGTAATTCTCACTGAATTCTAGACATAGAATTGAATGCTAGTTGTCCTGGAAGTACAATCTCTTTATATCTCATGGCATGCAACATTTTGCTTCAAAAAATATAAAAACTTTTTGTATTGAATATTACAGGATTTGTCTGATGTCTTGTAGGCCAACAGATTGTTCTTACATTTGGACAATACTGGTTGTAAATGAACTCAAATAGAGAAATACAGACAAAAGTATCCCAACTCTTTTTTTAACAGAAGTTTGTGGATATGAAAAAGAGTTAACTAAAGTCTTGCATACTTGCTTTGTTGGGAAACATTTTTAATGACAAAAACAACCTACTGTGTCCTGAAATTCTTAAATCAATCACTTAAACAAACAAAAACACTTAACCTTTCTTATAGTTTCATAGTCAAACATTGTTCAGCTAATCATTTTAAAGAAATACCATTTACTATGTTTTCATTAAAGGAAAACTTACACTTTAAGACATGTGCCTTTGAAGATGGGAGAATAGAGAATTATTTTTTGCTGTTCATTTTTCCAGGATTTGAGAAATACATTTGTGGCCTGAGAAAAATAAGCTTTATTTAGCTGGACAAATGTCATCAACAATAATATCAGACAGGTGTTTGTTGTATGCCATATAGTTTTTTGCTCCTCTAGGGTCAGGGGAAGTATTTTATCTTTTTAAATCCATCTCACATGTTCAGATGAGGACAAGGTATAGATGAAATAGGTCATTAAGTTTGTAAGTTATTTATTTTCTCAAAGATTTGAAAATACTTGTAAACTATAACTCATTTCAGAATAAGTTACACATTTCTACTCCTTCTCCACCCTCTCCTCCACTCTAACAAACATACACACATACACAGACAGACAAAATGGCGTAACTGAGGGTAGCAACGGTGGCCTTGAAATAAATTGCAAACTAAGAGCTTTATGCTATAAAGAAGGTCAAGGAAGCCAAAGAAAAAGAAAAAAAAAAAGTCACTTTGGGAAAAAAAGCCTCTGAGGAAGCAGAAAATGCCCACAAAGATAAGAAACAATAAAAAGTACGAACACTCAAGCTCTTGAACAGGGTTGCTATCAGCCTATTATATGGAAGATTTAACACACACTTAAGCAAATGGTAAAATCTGTCTGTCTATCACATCAGTTATGACAAATTAGGGGACTGGAGCAGTAGCACCTGGAAAATGACCTTTCCAAAACACTGACAATCTCAACATGACATTGTCACCCAGTGAGTAGCTTAAAATGTGAAAAAAAAAAAACTCTCAGAAACTCTCTCTCTAAAATCTCTACCTATCTCCTATCTACATCTCTGCAACTTACATTTAACAGACATCTAGAATGAACGTACACTTTATATTTTAAAGGCTTTTTTTTAAATGAAGTGTGAAATTCTGTTACAATATCTTGAGTAGAACTCAAACACTTGTAGAAAAATTATATTTACATAAAATTTAATCTAGATGTATGTTATCAAAACAGTTTGTGTGCAGAGACAACCAAATGACTATGGTACTTGCACATTTGCTCTGTTTGGTAATGCAATGGCTGCCTCTCTTTTATTTTATGTGTTATGATCAGTGCGATTACACTCCTATACAATACTCCCTCCCCATTTCCCCTGCCGAGACACACATATATGTATACTTACACTCACTGGCTTAAATTGATTTTGCTGTTATTGTTGCTCTCTGATGTCCTAAGGATAGATTTTCTTCTCTTTCACACATGTATCTTCTGATTATGGTACACATACATTGATTAGAATTAACAGAAGCCACTTGGATTTACAAACCCATAGGTTTTAAAGGTTTTTTTTAAATTTTTTTTGGCTTGTGGGACCAAAAAGATAATGCAAACATTGTAGCAATGTTCTTCCTGTGAATGGTTGCATAAGATGATGCAGAAGACGTAATACCTCAAGAAGAGATGAAGTACGTGGAGTAAAAGCTTTCATGGAGAGCTCTCGGTTGATGGTGTAAAAATAAAAGTGATTTACTGAATGCACTTTAACTCAAACATGTATATTCAAATGTACACATTCTTTAATAAATATTCATGATTTAATTTAATATTATTTCATTGCTTTTTAAATGGCCTTTTTTTTTTTTTTTTTTTTTTTTTTTTTTTTTTTTTTTTTGAGACGGAGTCTCGCTCTGTCGCCCTGGCTGGAGTGCAGTGGCGGGATCTCGGCTCACTGCAAGCTCCGCCTCCCGGGTTCACGCCATTCTCCTGCCTCAGCCTCCCAAGTAGCTGGGACTACAGGCGCGCGCCACTACACCCGGCTAATTTTTTGTATTTTTAGTAGAGACGGGGTTTCACCGTTTTAGCCGGGATGGTCTCGATCTCCTGACCTCGTGATCCGCCCGCCTCGGCCTCCCAAAGTGCTGGGATTACAGGCGTGAGCCACCGCGCCCGGCCTAAATGGCCTCTTACAACACAAGTTAATGAAGTTGTGAAGCATGAATTCATTTCATCTAATAACAACTCACATCTTTGAGCATTCCAATGTGCTCTTCTGCAAAGTGCTAATTTCCTCATGTGCATTATCTCAATCAGTTTTATTCATCTGCCTTTTATTCCTTCTCTTTCCCCTTCTTTCACCTAAAATCATAATTTATGTTTGCTTTTTAGGAGAAAGATGACTCTTTGGACAGGTCAGAGCAAACATGGCAGATTTGCAGCTCATAGAAAAGATTAAATCAAGTAACTTCAAAGATAATTTAAAGCCTGGTATAGTTCAAGGTATTGAAGTGATAGAAGTCAGAAGATGGGCAAGAAAGGTAGCAATGCCTAGGCAATAGCCTGAAGGATCATCTAAATTCCAAAAACCATTACTGTGACTTTTATTTGGACCAATTAATCTCATAACTTCACCTCCCAAACACCTCACTTACAGCATAAATCTGTTTAAATAGTGTCAGTCCCTTGTTTTATGCCACAGTGTCCTATTTTCCTTGCAAATGGTGATAATTTGTTACACTAGGTGTCTAAAGATTTTCTCACATACAAATACATGTTAAATGTCATCTATATTCCGATATGGGAAAATTCCATTCAATTGTCTGCATATATTAGTTTTGCTCAAATGTTTAAGATTTCTGATGAGAAATTTCTTTAAATTTAGTTTGTCTTCCTTTGTTTCTTGACAATCCAGCAGATTGTAACAATAGGAGGCTCTCTCATCATGGAGTATAAACAAATTAGAAGATTATATTAATGCTGGCTTTTGTTAAAAAATTACTAATAAAACTGGTTTCAAAGTACATGTTAAAATTGACTTACTACTATGTTTTCTATATCCATGGAGTTTGAAGGATTTTTTATTATGGAGTATCTGTCAATTCTTTGGATCATCTAGTTTTCATACTCTCATTTAACATTAAAAATTGTGAGAGAGAAAAAACCCTTTTTTCACCTCACAGTCTGTACTTTTTATAGAATCCTGAGGATAGAATTCAATGGAACATCTGCTGTAGACGAGAATTTCTGTAAAGTAATGGATCCTTTTGTTTCTCTTTTGTTATAAAAAGGTCATGTTGATTTGTAGATGAAATTATTTTATATTCATTATATCATTAAGCATGTTGGAAAAATAAGAGGCTATTAGTGTTCCTAACTGCTTCCAAAATTCAATGGAATAACCATCTTGCTGAGTACATTTTCCATTAGGCATGACACAGCAGTTAAATGCAGAACTGCACTCTAAAACGGCCAGTCGACAGCCTGTGAGTATGTGCACCGAAGCAGGAAAAGCATAATTTATGCTGCTCAAGAAAGAATTTATTTGGTTTGATTAAGTTGGACTCTCATTTGTGCAATTTAATCAAATATTTTAAAGAAGGATTAATTTTTCTCAAGTCAGCAGCTATGTCATTAGGCTAGCCCCTGAATGTTTGGTTTGTTGGCTTTCCAATAATGATCCAGCTAGCTAGTCCTTATCCTTCTTTGTCTTTCAATACAGTGTATCTTTACCTCCCTCAGAGGGCAGCTATGTGTTGATAGCAAATATTTTCCTACGGTAAAGCTTCACTTTTAATGTATTTGCTAATATGCTATATTTCTTGATTTACTTCCTCAGTCTCTATGCATACCACTTTTTCCAGTTGAAATTAACATAGTTTTTTATTGCAATACATTTTCTTATGTCATCTCAGCTACATAAATGTTTTAACAAACAAATTTTTGGAAAAACTATTTAAAAATTCCAACAGCCCTAAAATTATGTCTTTTTCTAAATATGTTTCTATTAAGGAAAGTCATGCGGGCTTACCTTGGTCTAATTCCAAATCAAATTTTTAATCTACTTAAATGTACCCTAATGTAATGATTTAGTTATCTATCCATCACTTGTGCATCTGCTTAGAAATGGGCAGGTGGTCCCTTTCAGAAATACCATTAGATAATGATAATGATTGCAATTAGATGATAATGATCTTGGTCATTTACAACATGCAGAGTCATTTGTATAAATGATTTTTTGTAAGTATGGTTTATAGTTGGTAGGGAACCAAAAGCTACTTCCTTCCTAGGTTACAATTCCTCTAAGTAGATGAGCTAAGTTAGGCATATGGGTTTGAGAAAGTTTATTGCATTTTCCTATCTAATAAGACAAATTGTGTAATTCTTGTCATGCCGGTGGGCTGGGGCAGACTTATACCAAACCCAACTGACACCTCCACCTCCCATCCAAGCCTCTGCCACGTGCTTTCTTCCTGGTTGTCTGGAGAAACCCAGTGACTACCCAAGCTCTGCTTATGGTCGTAAAGGCCTGGCAACCACTGCAACCACCGCAACCCCTGCAACCACTTCATCTCCTGAAAACACTTCAGCCCCAGCCTCCTCAGTGGTGACATCTGAGCTTCTCGACCACAGAGACTGTGGTTTCCTCAACAGCTGCCCAGAGAATCCTTGTCAAATAACCCAGATGTGCAGATGAGTTAACATGTTGTGGGTCAGACTTTGACCAATGAGAGACAAGAAGGAACAGGAGCAAGCAAGTATATTTTCCTTCTTCCTCTCTGGAGGCTTCATGTATGATCCAGGAACCAATTGTGTTTTCTTGAGAAGCTGAGGCCAGCTTGGCAATGCAACACCATGTCTCAGTTTTCCCTTCTTTCTTGTCTCAATTCCCCTTTTTTTGTAGTTGTTTTTTTTTGTTTTGTTTTGTTTTTCTTTTTTTTGGCTTTTGCCTTCCCAGGTAATAAGCCCCAATACAGTTTTAGCATATAAGTTCTGTCTCAAGCTACAGTTCTAAGAAATTCAGGCTGAGATGGAGCTCTTTAAATAACGTTCACATGTGTTTCCCTTTGCTTATCCCAGAAATTGTGACATTTACCAATTTCCTAAAATGACTAACCCCAATCTCCTGCACTCCCCACCAGATATAAAATCAATTAACTGACATGTTCCAATAATTGGTTTCTGTCTAGTCTCCACATATTCCAAAATGAGCTTCTGGGACAATAATGTAAGACAAGAAGGTCATTTTAAATGTCTCATATATTATGAATTATAGCATGGCTATGTTACTCAGGTTACACATGATTTTGAAAAATACAATATAAATTTTTAATGAGTTACAACATTCTCATATGCAATGTGAAAAATACTGGCCAACTAAGCATGCTTCTTTGCCTCATGTGAATCAATTCCATGGTACGTACCTTAGAAATATATTTGTTTCTTTAATAAACATAATTAAAGAAAATACATGGTTTCACATTTTACAAAGTATTTTTATACACAAAATTCAACTAGATACATACAGTTAACCTGAGACATAAAGAATATCTATACTAATGCTATTATTCTTACCGTTTACATGAGGATAAACTGAGGCTCAGAGAGGCTGAGTTTCCAGAGTCGGCAAGCAGCAGAAACGGGATAGAAAATTACTTTTCATTCTAGACTCTTTGATCTCTATACCCTGTCTTGCTGCTATACCACATTATATAGGGAGGAGAGGTAGACAATTTTAAAGAGTAATTTGGACATATCAAATTTCTTGAATAGGAATATATTGCCTAACTACAAAAAAGGAGGTTTTCTCACAACTTACATGGCAATATATAATATTATTTTAGACTCACACAAATGTGTATGCAAATTTAATTTCTACAGTTTTTTTTCCCCTAAGACATGAGAAAATTTAAATATTTAAAGAAAATCTGTGGCCAACTCTGGTAATGTCCACATATCACGTAACAGATAATACTGCCTAAAGGTAAAATTGTTTGCCTCAGAAACGCCTTAAAGCATCCTTATATTACAGCTGAATTTAATCATTGGATGGATACTGAAAAAGGTGACTCCTAAGGTCCTAAGATTGATCCCATTTTGGGAAAAGTGTTTGTTCTTGGATAAATATCTGTTTATACCCGAGAAATGATGGTAAGTTGGAACAAATGGGCACTTTTCTGAACAGAGAAAAGTTAATGATGGGAATCCTCAACAAATAAATTCACTTAACATTTTTTTATGATCTCAAAAGGAATTCCATAGAGAAATCTATGTATTTCAGATTCACGGAAAGCCCTTCCAGGGGGTGAAATGTAAAGCAGTCAGAGAAATACAAGAAGCCATGGTAATATGTGGGTTTCACTTTACGTAAAACTAAAATAACATTTTCGGGGGGGAAATTGACCCAAAGGTTTAGAAGGATTATTTTTGTACCATCAGATACGTTTCATAGTGAAAATGCATTGTAAACTATGAATTTTCTCTTCTGTGAAGGTATGACACTAATGTGCTGCTAAAGTAAAGCATAACAACCAAACACTATGTTTTATCAGGAAGGGAAGCAAGAAACAAAGCAGCAGAGTATCTCAGACCCTTAGGAGAAAAACTCCAGCAGGTCCTCGTGGTGACTTCTTGAAATTTTGCTACCTTTTCCTAGTAAAGCACAATCTAACTTATATGTTTGCAAAATCAACTTTCAGTTATCAGGCAATGGACAAATTTTTAATTGAAAGAATAAAAGTGTACTTTTTTTTGTTGTTGTCATAGAGTCTTGCTCTGTCACCCAGGTTGGAGTGCTGTGGCACTTTCCTAACTCACTGTAGCCTGGGAGCCTGGGACTCCTAGGCTCAAGTGATCCTCAGCCGCCTGAGGAGCGGGAACCACAGGTGCAAGCCACCATACCCAGCTAATTCTTGTAGAGACAGAGTCTGGCTATGTTCCCCAGGATGGCGTTGAAATCCTGAGCTCAAGTGATCCCCTCACTTTCAGCCTCTCAAAGTGCTAGGATTAGAGGCATAACTCCCCCATACTTGGCTGAAAGTGTATGTTTAAGAAGCAGTTTTACTATAAATGAAAGGCTATTCTACCTTAGTTGTAATCACTAAAAATGACATAAGCCTGAACTTTAAAATGGTATAAGATATTTAAAAGTTATTATCAGGCTCTAGGAACTATCAGAGCCTTTCACACACTTTTGGTATCATATATGTATTATGTATGGAAAAGAATCATCCCTTTCCTCTTAAATATCCTTAGCAACTAAATATTAGAATGACTCATGCACCTAAATGTGAATAAACAAAGTTTCTCAAGAAACTGCAATCACTTCTACAGGAAACAGTAAAATATCTTATTTGTGAAAAGTGTACAAATAAATTAGTAAAATAAGGAATGCAGGATCCATATATTCAAGCAGGATGTTTATCCAATTTTTCAAGATACATCTCCCAAGTATATTTTCATAAGGAAATGCAAGCTAGATAATAGTAAAATTAGATAGTATTTTCTGTACTTAGACGTTAAAGGAGATTTCTTATTAACATCCAAGTATGGATGTTAATGTTTATGTTCTAACGGATAAAATAAAGAAACACAACAGACATTGATTTCACACTTATATAAGAGCCAAATATGAAAGCTCTAGGCATGGGGGCGGGGGAAGTCCCTACTGCACTCATTTATTCAGACATCCAGGCTGATGGAGACAGTGATATCATCATCTTCTGGTTTCTGAGGTCACCCTGGCATTAGCATCCAGGCACCAGAAAGGGAAAGAGAAAGGTGTTTTCTGACTTTAATCAGCATTTATCACTTCCGCACATGTTCCATGAACTAAATCTCAGACATATGGCTGCACATAACTTCAAATAATATTTTCAAACACTTGGAAATTAGATGGGAAAATGAGATTGCCTTCTTAGAGTAAAACAATTGAATCAATATTTACCATAGGTTGTGGTTTTACCCCCAATTAAAAATAAAACTCTAATTAATAGGCTCCAATTTTTTTTCCTAATGCAACATTAACTCCTAAGTTAAGGAAAATCAGGCAGTGTTAGTATATTAAAGCTGTGCCACAATTTTGGTTAGATCTCTTTCAGTTGCAAAGAATGGAGACTCATTCAAGCTACTGCAATCAAAAGAAACAAATTATGCAGATACATGGGACTAGAACTGGTACTGGAAAAAGTACCAAAGTCAGGAGAGCCCTACCAATGAGTTGATCTATTTTTCTCTTGGGGCTCATGATTTTTTTCTCTCATTGAATAACTATATCTCTCTACGTAATTGTTACTTGCTCTCCTCTCTAATGCCCCTTACAATGTCTCCCTCCTCATAACTCTGGCTCCTTCTGGATTCAATCTCCACGGCCTTTAATATATCTCATGGCATCATTTCTGATCATCTAAATTCCAAAGAGGAAAGGAGAGAGAGACCCAGCTCATCTTTTTGGGTCAGGCCAAATCACTGCCTCTTTCATCTCAGACCAGTTGACAGCTCCTGGCCCAATTAGCTGTGGACAGGTGTGAGTCACATATACACCTCGTGGTTTCTAGGCAAGGGATTACCAGGGTGGAGGATGGGCCTATTAATGAACATATCTAGCACAGGCACTGAATATAATATGAATATATCTAAACAGAATGACAACCAAAGAACCAACATTCAAAGAGAACAGATGTCCAACTGGATATTACATATTCACTACTCAGAGTGGAAAAATCCCTGGCAAACTAACTTGGAGTTTTCTATTTCCACTGGCAAAGTTATCTGTACAGTACAAAAAATGTCCTGCAAGTTCTCTTAACTTAAAAGGACTCTTAGCTGAAGGACTTTAAGTAGAGGTTTATAATCTTTTTTCCAAAATCTCTTAGTGTTAGATACATTTAGCATCATGTATTTTCAGATTTTAGATAGCCAAAATAGTCCAAATACCATATATTATGTACCAACCCCAGCAGGATCTCTATGAGTGCTATGTAATCAAACATATTCGTATTTCTGCAGTAAAATAGTCAGTTTTCCAGGTAAGAGCAGAGTTTGCTTCTAAATGAGGTATTAATTTTTTTTCAATTTTCAGAGTTTTTTTTAGTATTTTTTTTAATCACAAATGAGGGATTGTACACTTAACTTACCATCTCCATGTTAATGTTTTACTTCTGTTTTTTCCAAGATGCTTAAATATTCTCTGCCTTGATTTTATATGTACCAGAAGAATCTTTTGATTGTTATTTAACTCCTTTTGTTGAATGAACATAAGAAAAAAAAGACTCTGTGTGCATTTCCAGTGTCCAATAATTCTGACAGTTATTAATCAGTAGATGACTTGCTTTCTTCTGTCAGTGGCAATTTTGTGTACAGATTACTTACTGTGAATCTTTCTCTCATAATTCAATCACCCCAGGCATTACTATGACCCATTTTTTTGGTCTCTGGACCTGACCAAAGGACCTAGCATTTGGTGAACAACTTGAAGTTCTGTGGGTTAGGTCTAGATCTCTGTGGTAATTGCTACCACCAGGTTTCCAAAGATAGCTTAGTAGCTGATATAACTACTGTACTAAACAACGACATCTCAGCCATGAAAAGGCACTATTACAGTGATGCACACCATAGATCTAAGAACTCAGCTGTATGCCAGCTTATACTTAAATTAGCAACTATTTCGTTTCTTTTTTATTAATGGCAAGGGTTTCTGATCAAGATGACTATATTTTTTTAATTTTATTTTATTTTCCATTTCAATAGTTTTTGGGGTACAAGTGGTTTTTGGTTACATGGATAAGTTCTTTAGTGGTGACTTCTGGGACTTTGGTGCACCTGTCACTTAGGTAGTGTACACTGAACCCAATATGTAGTCTTTTATCCTTCACCTTCCTCTCATCCTTCCCTGACTGAGTCCCCAAAGCCCACTATATCATTCTTATGCCTTTGTATCCTCATAGCTTAGCTCCCACTTATAAGTGAGAACATACAGTATTGATTTTCCATTCCTGAGTTACCTCACTTAGAATAATGGCCTCCATCCAAGTTGTTGCAAAAGACATTATTTCATTCCATTTTATGGCTGAGTAATATTCCATGGTGCATATATACCACATTTTCTTTATCCAATCATTGGTTGATGGGCACTTAGGTTACTTCCATATCTTTGCAATTGTGAATTGTGCTGCTATAAACATGCATGTGCATGTGTCTTTTTCCTACAATACCTTCTTTTCCTTTGGGTAGCTACCCAGTAGTGGGATTGCTGGATCAAATAGTAATTCTGCTTTTAGTTCTTTAAGGAATCTCTACACTGTTTTTCATAGTGGTTGTATTAGTTTACATTGCCACCAGCAGTGTAGAAATGTTCCCTTCTCACCAGATCCACAACAACTTTTTTTATGGCCCCTGTTGCAGGAGTAAGGTGGCATCTCATTGTGGTTTTCATTTGCATTTACATGATAATTAATGATGCTGAGCATTTTTTTATTTTTTTGTTGACTGTATATCCTCTTTTGATAATTGTCTATTTATGTCCTTTGCCTAGTTCAAGGACATTATTGTTTTTTTTCTTGCTGTTCTGTTTGAGTTCCTTGTGGATTCTGGATATTAGTCCTTTGTCAGATGCATAGTTTGTGAATATTTTCTAGCACTCTGTGGGTTGGATGACCATATAATATTACCTGATACTTGATTACTCATTTCCTCTATGAAATACTTATGAAAACGCAAAAGAGATGCAATATTTGATAACTAGAAACTAAACACTAGTTAGCAATATGTCAGATACCAGAAACAATTTCCTCTAACAAATGGCCCCATGATGCTCTGATACAGAAAAGGGGAAACATGCAGAAATAATGTGGTGGGTTTATACCCATACACACAGAGTATTGGGAATTCAGAGGCAGAATTATTTTTAAAGATACCCTAACTAACTTCTTATAATGAATATGTATAATTATAAATGTAAATGAAATACTAAAATTTGTACATTATTCCCAGGAAAAACAGCCAACACATTGAGGAATAAACCTCAAATTATAATATATCTCAGTAGCTCTCCACAGCACCAGAAACTTTAATAGGTATGAATGTAAATTTCCGTATTGCTTCAAAAATAAATGGAAAACATTATCAAGCAATTATATAAGTTAAAAAATAGAAGCTACAAATGTTGACAGAAGTTTATAGAATAAGATCCTAGGGTTCTCACTTGAACATCCTTTCAGAATGAGCCTCCTGCACAATGAATCTACTTAAGAAACAAGTGCAGTACAAACTTAGGTTACAGAGCACTACTACCTAACTGCCAAGGCAAATAATAGGTTCACTTTACTCTGTGGCATCAGGCCACTTCTGAAGAACTGTTTCTTTACTGGTATACTACATTTTAAGAGGGACTTTTTATTAACTACAGCATATTTCAAGAAATTTAATACAAATTATGAAAATCCTACGAGATAGCTGAGACTGTTTTAAGTAGCAATGCATCCCACTAGTAATTGATGTTTTCTCAACAGTTAGAAAGGCCTGGGGCTGGATCCTGACTCTACCTCCATACCACCCAGGGAAGCTAGGAAGGGTTATTCCAGTTCTCCATACCCACTTGCTTCACTGTTAACTTACGACATCAATAGTATGTGCTAAACATGATCCAGTGATCACTGGAGAATTGTATGAACTAAACCATGCATAACATTTAGAATATTGTCAGGAATGTATTTAGCTCTCAGAAATATTAACTATTACTACTATGCAAAGAAGAAACAACTTTTTGAGGAGAAATTAGACAAAATAGCCACCATCTAATAGTTGTCAGTCCACTGTGTAAGACAGTTAGTTAATATTATGTGTGATTATGGAAAGAACTAGGGTCACACAATGGCTTTTTGAGACACAGGTTTAATAAAAGATAGAAATAATAACATTCTAAAGACTAGGCCTATCCAGAAATGTAAGGACAGGACAAGCTCATTGAACTAAGGTTACCATCAGGAGGTGTTCAAGTATCTGCTAGATGCCTCTCGGTCAAAGGGATTTGATATGCTTTGGCTGTGTCCCCACCCAAATTTCATCTTGAATTGCAGCTCCCACAACTCCTGGGTGTTGTGTGAGGGACCCAGTGGGAGATAATTGAATCATGGGGGTGGTTTCCCCCATATAATTGAATCATGGGGGCGGTTTCCCCCATACTGTTCTCTTGGTAAATCTCATGAGATCTGATAGTTTTATAAAGGGAAACCTGTTTCACTTGGTTCTCATTCTCTCGTCAGGCACCATGTAAAATGTGCCTTTCACCTCTCACCATGATTGTGAGTCCTCCCCAGTCACATGGAACTGTGAGTTCATTAAACCTCTTCTGATTTATAAATTACCCAGTCTCATGCATATCTTTATGAGGAGTGTGAAAACGAACAGAGATTGGAACAGTTTGGAGGGATCAGAAGAAGACAGGAAAATATGGGAATGTTTGGAACTTCCTAGAAACTTGTTGAATGGCTTTGACCAAAAAAGGTGATAATGATATGGACAATGAAATCCAGGCTGAAGTGGTCTCAGATGGAGATGAGGAACTTGGTTGGAACTGGGGTAAAGGTGACTCTTGCTATGTTTTAGCAAAGGAACTGGTGGCATTTTACCCCTTCCCTAGAGATTTATGAAACTTTGAACTTGAGGGAGATTATTTAGGGTATCTGGTGGAAGAAATTTCTAAGCAGCAAAGTATTCAAGAGGTGACTTGGGCTGTTAAAGGCATTCAGTAAACAGAGCAAAAAGTTGGGAAAATTTGCAGCCTGATGGTGCAATAGAAAAGAAAAAAAAACCATTTTCTGAGGAGAAACGCAAGGGAGCTGCAGAAATTTGCATAAGTAACGAGGAACCAAATGTTAATCGCCAAGACAATGAGAAAAATGTCTCCAGGGCATGTCAGAGACCTTTGCAGCAGCCCCTCTCATCAAAGGCCTGGAGGCCTAGGAGGAAAATATGGTCTCCTGGGCCGGGCCCAGGGTCCACCTGCTGTGTTCATCCTAGGGACTTGGTGTCCTGTGTCCCAGCTGCTCCAGCCATGGCTAAAGGGTCCACGGTACAGTTTGAGCTATGGCTTCAGAGGGTGCAAGTCCCAAGCCTTGGCAGCTTCTGCATGGTATTGAGCCTGCAGGTGCACAGAAGTCAAAATTGAGGTTTGGGAACCTCCACCTAGATTTCAAAGGATGTGTGGAAATGCCTGTGTGTCTAGGCAGAAGTTTGCTGCAGGAGCGGGGCCCTCATGGAGAACCTCTGCTATGGCAGTGTGGAAGGGAAATGTGGGGTGTGAGCCCCCATGCAGAGTCCCCACTGGAGCACTGTCTAGTGGAGTTGTGAGAAGAGGGCCACCATTCTCTAGAGCCCAGAATGGTAGATCCACTGACAGCTTGCACTGCACATCTGAAAAAGCCACAGACACTCAACAGCAGCCTGTGAAAGCAGCTGGGAAGGAGACTGTACCCTGCAAAGACACAGGGGCAGAGCTGCCCAAGACCATGAGAACCTACTTCTTGCAACAGTGTGACCTGGATGCAAGACAAGAAGTCAAAGGAGATCATTTTGTAACTTTACTGCCCTGATGGATTTTGGACTTGCATGGAGTCTCCAGCCCCTTTGTTGGGGTCAATTTCTCCCATTTAGAATGGATTTTTTTTTTTTTTTTGCAATGGAGTCTCTTCATGTCTCCCAGGTTAGAGTGCAGTGGCATGATCTCGGCTCACTACAACCTCCACCTCCTGGGTCCAAGCAATTCTTGTGCCTCAGTCCCCCGAGTAGCTGGGATTACAGGCACCGGCCACCACATCCTACTAATTTTTGTATTTTTAGTAGAGACAGGGTTTTGTCATGTTGGTCAGGCTGGTCTCAAACTCCTGACCTCAGGTGATATGCCCATCTAGGCCTCCCAAAGTGCTGGGATTACAGGTGTGAGCCACCGCACCCAGCCTAGAACAGCTGTATTTATTGAATGCCTGTACCCCCAGCGCATCTAAGAAGTAACTAACTTGCCTATGATTTTATGGACTCATGGATGGAAGGGACTTGCCTTGTCTTAGATGAGACTTTGGACTGTGGACTTCTGAGTTAATGCTGAAATGAGTTAAGAGTTTGGGGGACTGTTGGGAAGCCCTGATTGATTTTGAAATGTGAGGACATGAGATTTAGGAGGGGCCAGGGGTGAAACGATATGGTTTGGCTATGTCCCCACCCAAATCTCATCTTGAATTATAGCTCCCATAATTCCCACATGTTGTGGGAGGGACTTAATGGGAGCTAATTGAATCATGGGGGCAGTTTCTCTCACAGTGTTCTCATGGTAGTGAATAAGTCTCATGAGAGCTGATGGCTTTATAAGGGGAAACCCCTTTCAGTTGGTTCTCATTCTGTCTTGTCTGCCAGCGTGTAAGATGGGCCTTTTGCCTCCTGCTATGATTGTGAGACCTCCTAAGCCATGTGGAACTGTGAATCCATTAAACCTCTTTTTCTTTATAATTACCCAATCTCGGGTATGTCTTTATCAGCAGCATGAAAACAGACTAATACAGGATTGAAGGAATTTCTTCATAAGAAGCCTGAACTTCCTTATGACTAATTAACATTTGTCCTTTCCAAATACATTACAAATTCTTTTGAAAGAAAGGTACATGTGTCTGTATTTTTGTATATTTCCATATAAAAGTAGTATTTAAGAAAATAAATTCTTGTTAAATACTCAATTTAAACGTCAAGTAGTCCTTGAAATGGCTACATTTGTTTGGATGGAACAACAGTCTGATAAATGAGGTCATCACTATATTTTATCTATTCTATTACATATTTTTCACGTTAACATTTTTGAAATTTATAGTCTTTTTACATATGGTACATAAAATAATGGTCCATTTTACAATGATGGCATCTTAGATTGATGAAATCTAATAGTTTGTGCATCTGTGATGTACCGGGTCCTAAGTACTTTATAGGCATTATCTCATTTAATTATCATGCTGCTAACGAATGAATGTGCCCCTCCAAAATTCGTATGTTGAAATCTTATTTGGAGATGGTACTTTTGGGAGGTAATTAGGTCATAAGAGCAGAGCCCTCAAAAATGGTATTAGTGCCCTTATAAAAGACTCCAGAGAGCCCCCTCACCTCTTCTGTCATGTGAGAACATAGAGAGAAGACGGCCATTTATGAACTGGGAAGTGGCCTCCACTAGACACTGAATCTGCCAGGGCCTTAATCTTAGACCTCTCCAGCCTCCAGAACTGTGAGAAATAAATGTTTGGTTGAGCTGCCCATTCTAAGTATTTTTGTTACAGCAGCCCAAACAGACTGAGACACATGGTAACCAAGGGTAGATATTCTTATCCTCATTTTGTAGGTCTGATTTAGAGTTAAAGAAAAACATTGGCCAGAAGTAGTGGCTCACACCTGTAATCCCAACACTTTGGGAGGCCAAGGTGGGCGGATCTCCTGAGGTTGGGAGTTTGAGACCAGCCTGACCAACATGGTGAAACCCTGTCTCTACTAAAAATACAAAAATTAGTAGGATGTGGTGGCCAGTGCCTGTAATCCCAGCTACTCAGGGGACTGAGGCACAAGAATTGCTTGGACCCAGGAGGTGGAGGTTGTAGTGAGCTGAGACCATGCCACTGCACTCTAACCTGAGCGACATGACGAGACTCCATTGCAAAAAAAAAAAAAATCCATTCCAAATGGGAGAAATTGACCACAACAGGGGCTGGAGACTCCATGCAAGTCCAAAATCTATCAGGGCAGTAAAGTTACAAGATGATCTCCTTTGACTTCTTGTCTTGCATCTGGGTCACAAAATTAGCTGGTCGTGGTGGTGTGTGCCTGTAATGCCAGCTGCTCAGGAGGCTGAGGCAGGAGAATCGCTTGAACCCAGGAGGCAGAGGTTGCGATGAGCTGAGATTGTGCCATTGCACTCCAGCCTAAGCAGTAAGAGTGAAATTACATCTCAAAAAAAAAAGAAAAGAAAAAGAAAAATGTTTGTGATCACACAGCTAGTAATGATGGAGTCAATTCAACTGACATGTGTCTGGTTGGAAAGTTCATGCTATTAGTCAGTTCACCGGCACGCTCTTCTAAGAAAGGTTTGGATAATTTTTTTTTTAATAAAGAAAAAATTTTAAAGTCTCAGAGGTGCTTCTGTGTATTTGCTAATGCTTCTCATGCTTCTTAGATATCCCTCTGCTGGTCAAATCCTGCAGCCTCAGAGCCATACTGCACTTGCAGCAGCTGTACCATTTAATGTTGATTCTCAGAGCTAATCTAACATTAGAACGCAATTTAATGTTGAGGTGATTCTAAGAAGCCAGAACACTGTCGAGGAAGGTTGTCTCCTTTTTCAAAATGAGACATAATGTCTATTTCATTCCATTTTGATAATATTTTAGTACAGACTAAAATTCCCGATAGTAATCTCTATGAAAAGCAAAAATTATTTCCCCATTTAAATAATTTTACCACAGCCTTAAAAAGTCCAAATTGACGAGATAACTTTCACCACAGAATTTTACAATGAATTAGAAATGTCTTTTTAAAAAGTTTGTGTTCATATGATAATTTTTAAAACTATTATTAAACCTCAGTATTTTGGGAAATATTTGAAAGAATAACAGAGGCTACAGGATTGATGACTAAGTGCCTCACAACACTACCTTAATATTTGTTATGGTAAGAACCATGACATTCTTATTTTTACAGCTATTTCAATATCAAACTGAGGCAATAACAAATATGCTAAACTAGATTTAGAACCAAAATGAAGAGCTCAAGAAAAAATATCATAAATGTTACCAATAAGAATCTATTTGGTGAAGCTACAACATATCTATTGCTATTTTAACATGCACAATCATTACGTTCTAGGTTGTTCCCAAATTACTAATTCAAAACATACTGAAGGGCTGAAAATGACTGCACATTAATGGCAATTCAATATGAAGTGAATAAAATACAATATCGTCAATTTTCGTCATCTCTAATGTTCACTTTAGTTACTCTAGATGAAATGTGCACTGTCAAGATGCTAACCAATCTTGAAATAAGAACTCGGCCTGTATTTCCCTATCCCATGATTGCTCCCTTAGTCCCACATCAAGTTCTAATTTAGGAGTCTTTTCTTTCAGAGATTCTACCTAATCACTGGCAGCCAGAATGATGCCACTCTGTTGTCAACAACTTGAACTTGTAAAAAGAGTTTCCAGTCTTATAAAACTGTACAAGTAGTATATATATATGTAGAGATTTTATAGGTAATATACATTAATTATACCACACTGATTCACCCAAAAGCATTGTGTTGTAAATCTTCCCATAGAAGTCCATAAATTCCATCTTTTTTTTTAACTGACCCAAAGTATTCTATGGTATGTATGTACCATAATTTATTTATTTAACAGCTTTCTTTTTATATTTATCTATGTTGTTTCCATTTCTCTTTTGTTTTTGTATTTCAAATAATACAGAGAACATTCTTGGATGAGATATATTGTATATGTGTAGGAATTTCTCCAGAGTAGATACTTTAAAATAATTATTGGAAATTATAGATGTTTAAATTTTTTTTCACAGAAACTATCCAATTACTCCGCAAAATTGCTATACCTTGGCTGGACATGGTGACTCATGCCTATAATCCCAGCATTTTGAGAGGCCAAGGTTGGAGGATTGCTTAAGCTCAGAAGTTGAGGCTGAGACCAGTCTGAGCAATATGGTAAAACTCTGTCTCTACAAAAAATATAAAAATTAGCTGGGTGTGGTGGTGCATGCCTAGAGTCCCAGGTACTTGAGAGGTTGAGGTGGAAGGATTGCTTGAGCCCAGAAGCTGAGGCTGCTGTGAGCTGTGATTGCACGACTGCACTCCAGCCTGGTTGACAGAGTGAGATCCTGTCTCAAAAAAAAAAATTGCTATACCTTTAGTCAACCACCAGTAACATAGAGAGTACTTGTTTCTCCACACAGTAGTTAACACTTTGTACTTAAAGACTAAATTTGATGACAGTCTGATAAGTGAAAATGGTATCTCATTATTTTAATTTTCATTTTCCCCATTGCAAGTAATTAAAAGTTATCTTTTCATGTGTGTATTGATTTACTCTTCTCATACGACTTTTGACTGTTCATATGCTTTCCTTATTTTTTAGATATTTGTTGAACTTCATTTTGTGTTGTATGCTGTAATGCTTTCTACCAGCTTGCCACTTATTCTCTAACTTTGTGGTATAGTTTGTCTTTGGAAATATTTTACCATGATCAAATTTATCAATTTTTATTCATATATTTCCCCTTATCTTTTTGAAAGAATTTCTTTCCTGCTCTAAGGTCACGGACACAGTTTCCCATTTTTCTTATTTTTATGTTTTTTCTTTTTTTTTTTTTTTTGCAAATAGCAAATAGTTTTTATTTTTACATATATATATTAGGTGAATCTGGAACACATTTTTGAGACTCTTCAAATGTAGGATTCCAAGTATTTTTTTCCAAATGGATAGAAAATTATCTCAACTCCATTTATTAAGTAGTCTATCTTTTATTAATTGATCTGAAAAAGATTTTTTGGTATTTAGCTTTCTATATGTCAATTTCTGGATCAGTTGTGTTCCATTAAATATCTCAACTTATTATCTATTATATTTTTCAACTATGTTTTAATATTTAATATGACATCTGTTATTCTTCATCAAAACTATTTTTACTATTCTGTTATTTTCTTCTTCATATGAACTTTAGAGTTGACTTTCAGGTTCCATGAAAAATATTGATGGAAATTCCACAGCTATTATAGTAACATTAAAGATTATTTTGAAAATTAAAATTTTAGAATACTAAGATGTTACATTCATGAACACATTATATTTCTTCATTTATGAAAATCTTCTTTTAGTTCCTCTAGCTTTAAAGTTTTATGTTTCCAGCATTAAGCCAGAGCACAAGGTTTATTCTTACAATTTTATGATTTATATTCTTATTTGAATGTTTGCTATTTGTAAAAATAATGATTTTATACTTTAATTTTACATAACATCACTTTACTGATCTATTTTACTATTGCTTCAGTTATATTTTGTTGATTCTGTTGGGTTTTTCTAGGTAAAGGATAATATTGTTCACATAGAAAGATGCCTTCATATTTTTCTCTCCAATATTTATATTTCATTTTTTATTGTTCCTATTGCAGGTCTAGGGCCTCAAGTAAAATACCATAAGATAGAGTGCTTTTCTTGTACCTGAATTTATAAGGTCCTTGTAGCTTTGAGATGTGGTATATGCAGTATTTGAGTACATTGCTGATGCTAGTGCCAAACACTAACTTTAAATCCCAACTTCACCAATTACTAGCTGCGAGACCTTGAGCAAGTTTTAAGCTCCTTGTGCCTCAAGAATAATAATGCCTATTTTATAGGGTTGTTGTGAGGATTAAGTGAGTGAATATATGAATACTGCTTGTAACAGTGCCTGGCACATGTGCTATGTAAATGTTAACTATTATTATTCCTATTTTGACATTAAATATGATGTTTGATATGAGTTAATGCCCTCAGGTCTAGACACAAATCTGTGAAATTTGGACTATTATCAAATATTAGCAGAAAGAATTGCATTGCATTAACATTAGGTTTCAAAGGTTATTAATATCTTAAACAGAGTGCATTGAAGTAATTTTGGGGTGGTATCTAAAAGAAAAGGAAGAAAAGGAGCATGTGTTCATTGAATACCAGATATGATCCAGAAACTGCCTGAGACTGACTGAATTATTCCTCATAACTCTCTAAGATACAGAGCCACAATTTGACTTTTAAAATGAAGGTGAGGTTAAGCAACTTGACCAAGGTTAGATACAAAGTTTGATGCAACATTTAAATTCTGGTTGCAATTCTACAGACTAAATAAACTCCTAGGTTTTGCAGCTTCTACCAACTTTGCAGATGGCTTTAGACCTGTGGATCTTTCTTTTCCCTTCATGTTTATTTGAGAGGTACTGAAGAATAAAAGGCAGAGGTGTTCTTCCTGTTAAAACATAAGCTCCCTGCAAGCAGAATTTGAGTGGCTCTCAAAATGCAGTGGCCAGAATAGTACAAGGTGTATAGTAAAAGCTTAAAATACTTTTAAAAATTTTTGGTTGATAAGAACACATACATGTTTATGTCACCTACACTGAGGATTCTCAGATACTAAGTTACCAAAATAATATTACATCATTTTCATTCTGAAGGATTATTTCTCTGTAATTTTCATCTCGATAACAGTTTTATATTCTTCAGCTCTGAGTACACAGGAAAGCTGTCAAAAACACAGGCATCCGACAAGAAAATTTTCCGAGCTTTAAACTTGAAATTTGTGGTTATATGTAGATCCACCTTGATTTTCCAGGGTGTTCACCTACCTATTTACAGCAGAAAAATAGCAGTTGCTTCTTTCTGGAAATTATTTGTTAAAGTTCTTTATGTTTAAAATGATTTATGTTTAAAAACGATGAAGTTAGTACTTAATATTGGTATGATATAAAATAAAATTCTAGTAAAGGTGCTTTTTATTTATTTAATAATAAAATATCAATTACATCTGTTGATAATTATAAAATCATTGAGATTGATATATTTAGTCATTCCAACTAAATATAGGAAAAACCTGAAGCACAGAATTGTTAAATAATTTCCTGAAGGTAACTTAGCAGGTAAATGGTTGGTGCCATTCAAACCCAGATGGGATGACTCCAGAATCCTCACTCTTAACCACTATGTTGTGTTGTCTTACATAATAGTTAAAATGTCTTCATTATGTTGCCTTCCTAAATAAATGTTTAACACGTAGAGGGATATATCTCACATCATTACTAGTGATTCTACATTTGCTTCCAGAAGTCCAGCTAAACATTTGGAGAGAAACACATTACTCTACATTTCTGTATACCCACAGCAGATTTACAGCAGGTATTGTTAATATATTAAATTGTACTTTGAAGGACTTCCATTTAAACCTCAACTTCCCTCAACTTCCACCTTCAGTAAACTTCATTTATAAAAAAAGATGAAGTCATTTATGCCTTTTTAGTTTTAGTATTTTCAGTGTATTGTCCAGCTAGTGTGTTCATTGCCTTACATAATGACATTTCTTCAAAGCATGTACGTGCTGCTGCTTTATTTTGCATGGAGGAAATTGAATTGAATCCCCCTCTTGGAATGAACAATCACTTGGCAGCATAAGTTATTTTAATGGACATCTCTTTACACTGAGCCTTTGCCATCTGTTTCACCCTCTAATTACAAATGCAGGAAGAACACAATTCACAATTGTGTCTGTAAAGGAAAGTATAAGGGACTCGAATGCAGGTTTATATCACTGCATCTGTTCAGTGTTTTTAAATCCAGGAGGAACAAGAGGGCAGGAAACTTTTCTTTCCCTTCTAGATCCAATTAGCACAGACAAGTAAGAATTCACAGCACTAAGTTACCAAGATCGGTTCATCTAGTGAAAATTGGAAAACTACCCTACTAATCCAGATCTGTGTTTACTTTACATTCAATTGTTTTTCTCTGATACTAGCACTGGTACAGAAATTAAAATTATTTTAGGGACTAGGCAGAACATTCACATGAATTTAATTAAATGAACAGCTCAATGACAAGTGCGATTCAGAATCAAGACACTTGTCATTTAGGTGGAATTAATTTAGTCAAAGGAAAAGGCAAAAGTGTTTCCTTACCTGTTCACAATTTTTTGATAAAGCTCACAAACCTATGGATGGATAGGAATCTTAAATCTAGGTCATTTGGCAACTGAGTAATGATGCTTCCTGGGCCTGGTGCCTGAAGCTAGAAGTTAGATTCACACTCTAACAAGGAAAAGATATCAATGAAACCAGATTGCGTGTGCGTAACTGGGCTACTCACTTCAGATTTTGTAGGTTCGATTTATTACAGCAGTATCTTGTGTCTGGTGGCTTAAATGTCTTTTCTTCTTAATTATGACAGCTGCATTCTCTTGATACATCAATTAGCCCCTGAAACGGAGAATTGTCTCATACCCATAACCAGCGCAGCTATTATCAGTGTCAAATCCTTTCAAAATATACTGAGCTAGGTAGAAATAATTTAAATCACTCAACCAAGTGGGCACTAATCACTAAGGCACTAGAGTATCTCATTTTTTTCGGGCTACTAGAATGACATTATAGGAACTGTAACCTGGTGTCAGTCCCATCCTCTAAGAAATATACACTGGGAGATTCTAAGTAAAGCATAGAGAAGAACAGCAATTATAATTTTTTTCACTGTTGCACTAAAATTAAAACTCATAAAATCACTTAAGATTAGGGAAATTAGCAAAATTGAATAAGTGTGTCCATAAACACAAATTTTCATTTGCTGTCATATTCATGTTCTCACTGAACAAAGGAGGAAAGAGAAAAAATGTAATTCTGTTTTCTACCTAAAAGCTAAGAATTTATTTTTCTTTTTTTCCTTGCACATAAGTGCATCTTCCTTTTAAATGCCTCATATATAACAGGGTCACTCTACTTATGAGCCAATAATGTGGAGATTATTAGTCCATATTCCCCAGGTGTTATCTAGGGCAGTGATGCTGTAAAATGGAGATGGGAGCCATACATTGACCCTGTTAAAGATAATAATTCAATGATTTACAAGATACGTCACAATGAAATCAACTGAATTCATTGTCTCACTAAACAATGCAAACAGGGTTAAAATATTATCCTCCAGTGATTTGAGCTTGCATTGTCCCCATTACAGCTGCATTATTGGGGCTTCAAAAGTCATATGCAGGTATACGTAATTGATATTATTAAAACAGAATATCAAACCCTTAGTTTTTACATTACTTGTACAATAGAATCAGAAATCAATTGAGTGCATTTCATTTATTTGCAGAAAATTTACATGCAGTATTTTTTTTCTTCTATTTCCAACTTATCCAAATTGACTTTCATGACTTCTTCCCAGTAAATCTAACATCCACTTTAGTTGTAAATGCAGTCTGCTTATCCACCCTTAATTCACCACCCCAGCCTCCACGCTAATCTCTCCTCACACCAAGATCCCTGCCCAGAAAGTTCATTAAGTGGCCTGGGAAAAAAAGTTTATTACTGAAAACGATAAGGGAGAACTTCCTTTCTCATACCCTGGAAATGTGCAAAATAAAGGATGATGATGAAGCAGCAGCAATGCTTTCAAAATGCAGATGAAGGGTCACTTCTATTCAGTTTGTCCTGATTAATAGATGCATGAATCATGATTCATTTTATTCGTGACTGTTAAAAGTATATTTTAGATCATAGTACTATTTTGTTTAAAATTCTTCAAGAGCTTTTCACTGCAACCAAAAGAAAATACAAACTACTAGGCTGACTTCCCTGATTTTATCTCTCTCTTATTCTTATCCCTTTCACTAATCTCTAGCCACTTTGGACTTTGTACCTTAAACATGTCAAGTTTTTTCTCTGTTGGGCTTTTATACTTATTGCTTTATTTGCTTCACACACTCCTCCCCAAGATTTTTACCCTCTATCATTTTCTTATCAATCAACTGATAACTCAGAGAGCATTTGCTAATAAATCTACCTACAAAGCAGCCCTCTTGTCTCTATAATATTATCATTTTATCTGTATCATTGCACAGCACCTAAAACTGTTCTTTTTACTTGGTTACATGCTTATTTTCTCTTTTTCCTGGCTAGAGCATAAACTGTTTAGAATAGGGACTCTGCTCCAGTCATGCCAATGATTAGTAGGTGTTCTATATATATTTGCTTACTAATTGTTGATTTACCCCTCAATACTACAACTACTCTCATGCTTTCCTCCCCAGTTATTTTCTTGATTGTACTGAAAATCATCCAGTAAGTGGCCACACTGAGATAAAAATCCAGACGGAATCTAGAGTACTGACTCTTAAAGATAACATTATGGCACATTTTTAAGAGTAATACAAGGGAAATGGAGTGAATATTGCAGTATTTATGTCTATCAGCACTGTCCCTCTGAATTTTCTGCAATGATGGAAATGTTCTATAAATCCAGCTGTCCAATACAGTATCCATTAACATATGTGGCTACTGAGCACTTGAAATGTGGCTAGTCAAACAGATAAAATGGGGTTCTTTGGGTGTAGACCCCCATAGACGTAAATATTAGGGCATCTGAAGGCAAAGGGGCTAATTATTTCTTAAGGCTAACTAGTACTCTACAGAATAAATAATAATAGAGACATAAGAAATATAATATAGCAAGTTAGAGAACCAACCATTTAGACTTTAAATGCTAACTTTAGGTTGATAAAAATCATTGGTTCTATTTGAACCACGAGAGCACCTTTCTCCTTTTCAAATTTGACTGCTTTTAATTACTAGAATCTAGGTTATAAAAGTTGTTAGTATTTCTATAACCTGAGTTTTTGTATCACAAAATAGTATTAAATTGTCAAGATCATTATTCTATTTTTATACAGACAACATAAGAGAATACTTAATTATTCCCTATTACTGGAAAAAAGGTAAATTAATTTTTAATGTATTAAAATAAGAACAGGAAGAAGGAATTTTATTTCTAAATAATTAGATGGACATTGTTAAATAATTTTTATTCAGTATTTGCTGATAATAAAATCATTTAAGGAAATATGTTCAATACTTATCTGTAAAAATTGGACATTCTTTTGAATATTTTCTTCTGCAATTATTTTGAATCAACCTTTAATGAGAGAGTATATTTTAATGCTAATATCTTCTTCGTATCACACATCCAGTAGGTGGCAGTCTTTCTTTTGAATTAAGAACCCAATAGAATAAAAGTAAGGATGGACGGATAGATGAGCTAAACAAACCCCATCATTCTAAAATGTACTGTGCATTTTCAGCTAAATGGTGAAATGAATATCTGGTCTTCCAATCCAGTAGATTTTGCAAGACTTGAAGCTGAAGTAATGCCTTGTTGTTGACAATAATATAGGTCACCGGGACACCTGGGAAAAGGGAATAACTAGGTTGTCTGGTCTGACTGGAAATTATTGCAGAGCTCTGTCGTGTTTTCAGTGCCTCAGGCCATAGGACAAATTTGTAGCTGATCTGGGAGTAAGTTCAAGAGTCAAGATGATGCCAAAATATAATTTTTTTCATCAAATCTCTCCTGAAGCTGTAAGAAAATAACAGTGATTTAAGCTTTTCATCTCTTTTCATTATCCATTTTTAATGTCATGGAGACATGACAATACAGCAAAATAAAAATGTATAAAGAGATAAAAAATAGCAAACAGTGAGTGCCACATACTGCCTTTTGAAGAGTTTAAAGCACATTTATGGATATCATCTCACACTGAGAGATGATATTTAATTTTTCAAAGCCTTACTGAGTAACTTTAACAATATTTGAAATATATACAATTGGTTACTTTTTTCTGTCTGAAAGAAATCAACATTCTACTCATTTTTTCTTTCTTACTGTTCCTACTTCAAACTTGGTTGGGTTGTAGTTTATCTTTCAGAAGGGGAGGTGCATAAGTATTTCCACCTTTATAAGGGTTGGTTTTTTGTTCCTAACACCCCAGATTTCATGTTTGTTTCATTTTGTCTATCTCATTTCTAAAACATTCTTTCTGGAGTAAGATAAGATAAAAATCAATAATTCAACCATTGTGGTTAGATGGCCTACCAGCCTTCAATTCCCAACACATTGATCACACAAATCCCTTTCTTCATGTACTTAGTTTTTTTTATTATTATTGTTCACTAGACCATAACACTGAGGTCCCTCTGGTGAGAGATATGTTTTACTCATTGTTATTCTACCCACAAGGTCCAGCATAAGACTTCTATATGGTAGGCATTCATGCAACATTTATTTAATGATTGAGCAAATTAATGAATATTAAATCAAATTTTACTTTCCTTTGGGTTTATGCCATGTAAAGTTTCTAAATTTTTTCCCATAATATGTAGGAACTCATTTCCGTACTTCAACAGCTAACATTCCTAATACTGAATATTTCTGTTAATGTTAACTCCAAATTTTTTCTGATAACAGTAATGCCCTAAGCTCTTAACTTTTTCTATAGACACCCCTTTAACTGATTAAAAAAAAAAAACTTCATGAAGCAAGTAAATACATGTTTCATGTCAATTTTACTACATCTTAAGCCACTCTTTGCTCACAAACTGGTTCCACATGGTTGCCGGGAGAAGAAAAGAGAGCAGATAAGGTAGTCAAGGATTAAATATCCCAATAGCCAAGTACCACAGGGCATGCTACAATGTCAGAGGGGCCCAAATTCTGTGGTAAGTCAGGAGTTCAGATATACATTTCTGGAAATACAAAAAGGAATTTTTAAAGCTACTTCCCAAATGTTCAAATAAAATTAATAAATTATTACTATAAACCCAAGAACCACTTACTCTTCAGACTATATTTCATTTCTCACCAAGTTTTCTCTGTTAAATATGATTACCTTGTCCAGTTTAACCTCAAAAACTACCTTTCTAGATTTTAGTATTAATCATTATTACATTAAAAATCTTTCATTATTGCCATCTCTGTTCGATCTTCACATAGTTAAGTTCATGCCTGTTCAGCCTCTGTAAACAGAAAACTATGGTCTCCTATGAGTATCACTCTAGCTTCCAGTGTACAGAAAGGAATTCATCCTTGTAGTAAAACTTCTAGTTCAGTTTGTTTTAATACATAAACGACTCATTATTTAATATTCTCTCCTTTGTTACATACTTCTAGTCTTGACTCCTTCATTTGGACCCTGTGTTAGTTCTGAAAAACAACCTTTCTGCTATTTGTTTCTTCATCTTGATCTGTCTCCAAATTACTAACCTCTTGACATCAATTTTGCTATAAAGAAGTCAATAACATTTGAAGGGAATAGCTTAAGCATATTACGACACACATATTGAGTATCTGGGAAATATTATAAGATTTAGCTGTAACACATTCATGGAACATCTACTATTAATATTATTAATATTATTCAGATCAATGGCTTTGATTGCCATTTGTATGGAGATGATTAGTGTAAATCTCTCTTCTGGATTCCAGTCTTCACGTACCAAAGTTTCTGAGATAGTTATACAATTAGTTCCAATTGTATTCATCTTTTTTTGGTTGTGGGCTACACAGAGTTGAAACAGTTAAGTTTTAGATTTGTTAACATAAATGTCTTAAGCAATGGCAAATATGTGAACATGAAAATAATTTTTCTGGGCCAGGCGTGGTGGCTCACGCCTGTAATCCCAGCACTTTGGGAGGCCGAGGCGGGTGGATCTTGAGGTCAGGAGATCGAGACCATCCTGGCTAACACGGTAAAACCCCATCTCTACTAAAAATACAAAAAATTAGCCGTGCGTGGTGGCAGGTGCCTGTAGTCCCAGCTGCTCAGGAGGCTGAGGCAGGAGAATGGCCTGAACCCAGGAGGCAGAGCTTGCAGTGAGCAGTGATGGAACCATTGCACTCCAGCCTGGGTGACAGAGCAACACTCTGTCTCAAAAAAAAACAAAAAGAAGAAAATAATTTTTCTGGACAATGTGTAATATGGATTGTATTAGTCTGTTTTCATGCTGCTGATAGAGACATACCCAAGACTGAGTAATTTATAAAGAAAAAGAGGTTTAACAGACTCATAGCTCCATGTGGCTGGGGAGGCCTCACAATCATAGCAGAAGGAGAAAGACATGTTTTACATGGCAGCAGGCAAGAGAGGAATGACAACCAAGTAAAAGGGGTTTCCCCTTATAAAATCATCAGATCTTCTGAGGCTTATTCACTGTGGCAAGAACAGTATGAGGGAAACTGCCCCCATTTTTCAATTATCTCCCACCAGGTCCCTCCCACAACACATGGGAATTACGGGAGCTACAATTCAAGATGAGATTTGGGTGGGGACAAAGGCAAACCATATCATGTATGTTAACGGAAAAAATAATATATTCAAGATAAATATATTTTTATTGTAATACATTATCAATATTAATAGATACCCTCTTTATTAATTTGCAACAAAAAATTATATATACATTAATGATAAAGTTGTGTGAACTTCACTGGGTATAATGGTGCTAGTAATAAAGACTCATTTATTTTGAAACTAATCATATGTTTTAGTTGCAATGCTGAGGTCAACGGCACAGTGCTTTTATGTTGATTTAATCACTTTATCATTGTTAGTTCACCTATAACTTAAACTTACATCCATGTGACAATAATAAAAAAAAAACCTTTTCCAAGTGATTTGAGTAAAGTTATAGGGTGGATCTTTGCTCATTTTACCCATGAGTGAATGATACTAAAAAAGAAATCTTTTTACATGACATAAACTGGTTTTATTTATTATAAAATGTTTACTCTTTGACTTAAATGTTCTACGTAGAAGTCAATATGGAAAGTTGTATATTTTTAAGTCACTATAAATGTTCATGTGCCCGTTAGCATAAACGTGAAGTATAGTTTTACAAACATTATATTTAATATGTCACATAACTTTTAAAATGTATGTTGACATGCAGTCAGAAAACTGAGTTGTTTCTAGAATCTATTACATTTTAGTTATGTGACCTTTACTAATTTACTTAATATAATATCTCTGAGTCTCAATTACTTCTAGAATAGAAATAATAGTATCCTTCTTAGAAGTTTTATAAATATTAAATGGGAGCATAGACACAAAATTTAATAATTTTTAGTCCATATAAAATTACTCTTCACCCAGTGTATGGAGAGTATTTTAAGTACTCTACATACAGTTTGAATATACTATGTTTCTGTATATCTCAATAATATGGTTTGGCTCTGTGTTTCCACTCAAATCTATGTCAAATTGTAATTCCTAATGTTGGGGGAGGGACCTGGTGAGAGGTGATGGGATCATGGGGTCAGATTTCCCCATTGCTGTTCTTGCGATAGTGAGTAAGTTCCCATGAGATCTGCTTAAAAGTTTGTATCAATTCCCCCTTCACTCTCTCTCTCCTGCCACCATGTGAAGACGTGTTTCCTTCCACTTCACCTTTTTGCCACGATTGTTAAGTTTCCCAAAGCCTCCCAGCCGTGCTTCCTGTACAGCCTGCGGAACCGTGGGTCAATCAAACCTCTTTTCTTCATAAATCACCCAGTCTCAGGTAGTTCTTTATAGTGGTATGAGAATAGACTAATACACTCAATAAAACGTGAAAATGTAAAATATGAAAATAATAGTACCTGCTCCATAGGGTTGTTTTAAAACAATGTGCAAACATGGACTCAATAAATAATAATTGGTAAATTTAACTTATAATTATTGTTACAGAAAGCTCAATCCCCATGTGTTACACAGTGGGACTTTGTTATATTTATATATAAACCAATCAAATAACATATCCTGAAAGAAAACTCCATCGAATAAAAAATAGATATAGGCTGAGCACGGTGGCTCATGCCTGTAATCCCAGCGCTTTGGGAGGCCAAGGCGGGCGGATCACGAGGTAAGGAGATCAAAACCATCCTGGCTAACGCGGTGAAACCCCGTCTCTACTAAAAATACAAAAAATTAGCTGGGCTTGGTGGCGGGCACCTGTAGTCCCAGCTACTCAGGAGCCTGAGGCAGGAGAATGTCATGAACTCGGGAGGCGGAGCTTGCAGTGAGCCGAGATCACGCCACTGCACACCAGCCTGGGCAATAGAGCGAGACTCTGTCTCAAAAAAAAAAAAAAAGATATAATAGAGTTTGTCTACATACAGTACTAATCTACATTGTAGTGAAATAAGAATGGTAGGATCATTTTTAGTAACTTATAAATGTTTATCAATATTGGTGATTGTCAAAGGCCAAAAGGATATGGTATAAATCTAGTTGCTAATTTTCCTGCACACCTTTCTCCCATCTGCTTCATTCCATAAAATATTTTACAGAAAAAAAGGATTTCTCTGGACTTTTTTTCAATCTAATGATGGCACAGATTAGGCACTGATTATCTGCGATGCAAAAAACTGCCTGGTGAAAGGTTATATATTCCATTTAATGTCTCTGCTTCGAAAAGAAAATGAAAATATTAATCGTTTGACTTAAAATTATTTCTAGAAAAAGAGGGGATGTTTTTCTAATATTTGCAGTTATTACTTAGATTTTTTAAAAGGCATTTTTTTTCAAAGCAGAGGTTTTGAACAAGGATATTTCAAATAGTGATAGTAATTGAATAGTTCAAGCCTAGTAAAAATACCAATTGTGAAAATAATATATGGGTTCATTTTCTAAAATTCACAATTTTTTCAAAAATATTATGGTATTATTGTAAAGTACAGTCTATTGGATATCTAACTTACAATGTGGCTTTTATTTTGCAGCTTAATTATAATTGACAAAAATAGATTTTAATTTTTTTAATCAGTGTAAACCAAATTGAGACAGAAACAACAGGAACAATCCTAATTGTTATAACATAGCCACACAGAAGAAATTAGATTTTGAAATCCAACTTTTAGAATTAGTTCCAGCACAAAGATGTGTTTATAAAAAACTATAAGAGAAAATGTCATTTACAGGTAGTTAAGGCAAATCTCAGTATTGGCATGGACACTTCTTCCTTGGATTTTTTGCAATGATCAACTCTCACAGCTTGTTTATACGCAATCTCCATAAAGCTCACTCTTAACTTTTCCAGGCACAGAGACATTCTTAAACAATCTTTTAATCAACTATCACAATACTAGCTCTATTTTAAAGCATCCATATTCATTATTTAGAGAACAATTAAAGGACTCATTGGGATATTTTTATTATTTATGCCTTATTTTGTAATGAAATTTGTATTTCCTGCTGACCTATATTTTAAATAACGGAAAAGTTCTAAAATAATGCAAGTCAAACTAATGATTGTTATTATTTCTGGTAATTCATTACTTTTGTTTGTAGATAATTCTTTCTCCAGATAAGGATACAGAGGATGTTAAAAAAACTATTAATTCCATAGCTTTTTTCTTATTTTATAAGAAATTTTGGCAGTAAATATATATGTTTACCCAATGTTACCTAAATAATCTGATAAGACAATGTCTTCACTTTTAGGAAAATAAGCTTAATGGAATGTTGGTTAAGAGATGCAGCGTCAATAATTTAGGTTTATCGCTACTCTTTCTGTAACCTTGCTAAAAAGCAGTAAGTATATTAAATCCAGAAGGATGTGGAAAATGAGATAATATATGGCAACAGAAGACAGATGTCAGCAATTTTTTGTTAACTAGAAAGTGGATGACTTAGTGGAATGGAGAATGCTTAGAAAACATAGACCAATATAAGCAAGCCAGTAAGTACCGAAGAGCCCTGGATCAGTTCCTTAGAATATAAATGTGGCAAAGTCTTAATGGACTTTATTTAAAAATTGAAGAACTGTAGTGTGTTATGCAACGTGTGTTACTTAGCTTAGCTTGTAACCCCGGTACTAATTGAGAATGTCCAAGCCAATGGTGATCAGCTAAAATACTAATCAAGAATGTACAGTTGAGCTGTGAGCAGCTAGCATTCTACGGAAGGCCCTACTCAAAATGTAGCTAACACAGTTGTTTCTGTTATCCATATATTAATTAATATCCAAAGCTCGATAGTTAATATACTAATGTTAGTATAATATGTTGACTAGTTTGAGAAATATTGCATGTAAATTTTCATTATTGAAATTAAATTTTTTCCAAGATAGGATCATTGTATAAAAGTATTTTAGAGACTCTCTTCTTTCTTGCATAAGCCAGATATAAGAAGCCAGCTAGATCTATTTCCTTTAAGTGGAAAGATGCCTTGGGCTGAATTCCTAAGTGGTCCTGTGTCCAGCTGTGAACTCCAGGGGTTTAGAGTGTTTTGTTTGGTTGACAAATTCCAGCTACGAGGGCAACAAAATTCTGCCCTGAAATCTTGACGTTTGCCCAAATCCACCCTCAAGCAAAGTGGTAATAACAACCATCTAAAGGAACTAAGAGTTGTGTTTCCTTGAGTCAGCCAAAAAGATTATATAAACTCTTCCTTTTGCATCTCTCGGTGTAATATATCCAATGTCGGGATCAGAATGGTATGGGACTTCACAATAAAAACAATGGAGATTGGAAGACAATGGTATAATGATTTTAACAGTATAAATATAAAGGTTTAAGTCTAAAAGATAATTATTTCTAACTTAGAGGTTTCTATCCTGATGCAATGCAATCACAAATGAGGGTAGAATAAAAATTTTAAAACACGCAGGGGTTAAAAAAATACATTTCTCAAAACTTGCTTCTCAGGAAGCTAAGGGAGAAAGTGCTCCAACAAAATAAGGGAAAAAAAATAAAAAAGAAGAAAGTATGGGGCCCCCCAGCCTGGGCAACAGACAGAGAATCTGTCAAAAAAAATAAAAAGAGGAGACAGGGCATTCAACATAGGAGAAATGCAAAGGGAATGATACTAAAAGCAAAGAGGATCAGACTGAAGGGAAGTGCCAGGATGCCAAGGACGTGGCAGGCCTAGGTAGCAGCCTATTGAGACTGGACCAGAGGAAATTAATCTGGCATTGTGCACAGCACATAATAAAATCATGATAGCCAGGCTATGAATGACCAATCAGGCTGCTAAGGAGGCCCAATCCGTGTGATACAGACAGCTCAGATGAGATCAAAATGGATCATCACAGTGACATCAAAGTGGTCTCTCTGTTAAAGCACTAGGAATAATGTTGTCAATCATTTATATGTTTGGGGGTGGCAAATATTTCTAAAGCATTAAATTCAAGTTATGCATTTAAATTACAGAGCTTATCGCTAGACAAAGATGCAGAAATAGAAAAAAAACAGACTTAACATTATCTATATTCTGGCAATACTATTCAATTCAGTTTAATACCAGGACATTTCAGATCCATAATTGCCTTTTTTCTTGAATGTGGGCTTTAAAAGTCCATAAACCACATGCACGATCTATTGAGGTGTTGGTACGCAGAACCATGATACCTCAAGGTAGAAGGCACTTTGCCATGCTAAGTGCTTTGAACTGTAGGAGACTGGAAGGGCCTCAGAAGCAAGAAGTTCTCTGTGACCTTCTCCTGTTCTCCTTTTTCCTTTCTCCGTTTCTTCTCCAAAGCAGGTCACAGAACTAGAATTCCTCTTCCCCAAGGAAGATCCTAGAAAGGAGAACTCCTTTCCCCTAAAACAAGCCATAAAATCTAGAAATGTCACTCTATGATTTTCTTTCTTCTCCCCTGAAGATCCGCATGTGACAAGTGTCCTAACCTATACCTAAAGAAAGAGATGCTACGCTGAGAGGCTGAGAAGAATCTGAGCAAACAGGCCTTGCTGGGTTCCCCCCAGAATTCATTACCATTAGATCATACCCTTTTTAGCCAATCTTATTTCTACACAGCCATCAATTCTTTACTGCACATAAGCATAAAAATACAGTTTTTCCTAGGTCTTTGGGTCTTCATTCTGAAGGTTCCTGGGACGCATAAAACTTGGATTAAATAAATTTGTTATGTTTTCCTCTTGTTAATCTGTCTTTTGTTATAGGAATGTCAGCTGTGCACTTTGAAATGGGTGCAAAAAAAAATATTATACATTTTTACCTTTACATAGTCTTCAGAAAAAATATGGATAATCATAACTTCTTTTCAGTTAGTCTCTAATATACTAAATGTTGTTTGTCATATTTAAAATATGAGAAATAAAATTATTCTGTATATATTTTCAATTTAAAGAACCCTATTATGTATTACTTCATTGGGTCTATTTTCTGGGTTTTGTCGTTGAAATATCTGGAGTACAATAAACAGAATATTTTTCAGATGCATTGTAACTAAAATAATTGAATAAGAATGCTAATGTAATTTTTCAGGAAGTCATTGTCAATTTATCCAAACTTGGGTCTTTCTGCTCTTTCTGCCTGTTTTTTGTTTGTTTGTTTGTTTTTGGGTTTTTTTGGTTTTTTTTTTGCTCATTAATAACTGTATTTTAAACTAAGGTGTTATAAAAGAGAACTATTTTATAGCATTTAATTAATTTTAATTTTATTTTCAGTTTTTACTTGTTTTAAATAATTTATTGTTGACAGTTTGAGGAAAATATTAAGTGTCAGAGATTCACATAAGCTATTGGACAGAATGAAGTTTTTGGATTATCTCTGACTCCAATAATCCTTTCTTTGTCAGCATCTTTGTTTTTACTATTTTTCATTCTCATATCGCACAAATTGGGAATTCACTCAAATAGGTATTGATGTTTATACCGCATTTTTCATCCTTATAAGGGTATGAGGATGTATATTTTTCTTTATAGAGATGGATTGAATTCATCTTTTTGAATTATCAAGCAAGGGCTATTTCAAAACTATAAGATCTTCTCAGACTTCTTACAATAACCCTTATTATTCATGAAGTCACAAGCTCAGAAACCAAGAGAACTCACACTGACCCTGTTATTACCTCTAGATATAAATAAGGGTGTTTTGCAATAACTGCCTCCACCAGCCCCTACCAAAAGTAGGTATCATAAAACAAAGAACAAAGACATACACCACAGGTTGCCTTACACATTAGCAAAAACTAAAATGGGTTTTGATATATTGGTTTAGCCTGAATGTCCAAAAAGAGAATATTCTAACTCACTGTGGATAGGAATATAAAAATATCTCAAAAGAATTTTGGCTATATAATATATATAGTGGAGAATATCTATATGCATATGGTTTGTATTATACCATTGTTTTTAGAAGCAAAACTGGAAACAAAGTATCTATTTAGAAAGGTTAAATAAACCAGTACATCTAAACAATGGAAAACTATGCTATAACTTATTAATATTAATAAAATGAAAAAGTAGATTCATCTATATTCACTCTTGTGAAAGAAACTTCATAATATATTGATAAATAAACAGATACAGATCAAAGAATATATTTTATTCTGAAAGTATACACCAGAGTTAATACCTATACACTCGACAGTGATATTTCACATATTAGTTTCCCTATTTTTTCTAATTTATATCTATAATTATCATTCATTATTTAAATAATTTAAGAAAACATTATGCTATCAAATGGAAGAAATTAAATTTATCATGAAGTCTTTATAATTGTAATATTTTTCAAAAAGCCATAATAATTTTATGCAAAACGGTATGCTTTCTAAAATGTGCTGAAGATTTTACAATGGTTTTTAAAAGATAGTGCAGATGTATTTGTAAGTGAACACAAATATCCCATCCTTCATTCTTGATCTCATCCTTTGTTACTGAAGACTTTCAAGTATGACAATTAACATAAGAGCATAGAGAGAACTTCCAGTTGTGATGGTTAATACTGAATGTCAGCTTGATTGGATTGAAGGATACAAAGTATTGATCCTGGATGTGTCTGTGAGGGTGTTGCCAGAGGAGATAAACATTAGAGTCAGTGGGCTGGGAAAGGCAGACCCACCCTTAGTCTGGGTGGGCACAATCTAATCAGCTGCCAGTCCAGCTAGAATATAAGCAGGAAGAAAAATGTGAAAACAGAGACTGGCCTAATCTCCCAGCCTACATCTTTCTCCCGTGCTGGATGCTTCCTGCCCTCGAACATTAAACTCCAAATTCTTCAATTTTGGAACTCGGACTGGCTCTCCTTGCACCTCAGTCTGCAGACAGCCTATTGTGGGACTTTGTGATCATGTGAGTGAATACTTAATAAACTCCCCATTATATATGTATCTATTCCATTAGTTCTGTCCCTCTAGAGAACCCTGGCTAATACACCAGTATTATTGTGCTAATTCTACTTTTTTAGAAGGTCAAGAAACCTTTAGATTCTGTGATTTAGAGTATGCTGAATTTATTGCTTTGTTTTACTAATTGACTTTCTTTAAATGTATGAGTATGGGTATGAACAGGTGTATAGTAACTATAGATTGAGCTCTTCAAAATCTGAGTCCTATTCAAACAGCCACCGATCTATATTATTTGATGACTTTCAAGCTTTCATTGTTGTACATACCAAAAATAAAAATGAATTACAGCTATTCTTGAATATTCGGAGAATTTTCAGAAATTAAAGAAAGCCAGCTTTCTCTGCTATCTTCAAGTGGCATTTAGCCTTTTGTTTGTTTACAGATTAAGCTGAGAATGTAACAAACCCAATGGATCATTTTCCCAGAAAAATGTTCTTATGCACATACAAGAACAATTTTTACATACAATTTCAAGTGTCCACAGCATCCCCTGAAGCACATGTTTGTAATGGATAAATTAGTAAAACTAAGAGAGAAGTGATTCCATCTTCATATTCGAAGGGGCTTCTAACAAAGCAGAATTTCCAACACTGTGCATTGCTTCAGTAAGTCCTTGGTGAGGATGATTAATATACTTTGGAACCAGATTGAATGAAATTGTGCATAAGGAATTCTAACTTCCAAATTGAAGTTTGACAAGATGGCCTCAGAGAATACGCTGTTATTTTATTATTGGATGTAAGCAAAGATAGCATATTTAATTTAATAGATAGACTTTCAGAACATGAAAGTAATTAAAACACACTGTATTACTATCTGCCACTCTCTATTTTCTCATCACAAAGGCAATACTAGTGTTTGAGGTCCTCTCCCTTGATCCTTCTTAGGACCTTTGTTTCAAGATGGTGGGCTGACCACAGACAACTATTTCTTTCCATCTCTAAACCTATTCAATTGATAGGAAAGATAATCAGGAAGGGTAAAGTCCACAGCAACGAAGAAAATAATGACAATGAAGTCAATGGGCAAGAAAATCATACATTCCAGAAGATGAAAAAAGATAAAGGATGAAGCAGAAGTGACACTGAACTGCAGACTGGAAAAATTGGGAAGGAAGCTGCAAAAGACAAAGTCAAGGATAAATTCAGCCTGACTAAGGAGACTCTTGAGTGGCTTTGCCTCAGGGACCCAAGGTCAGCAGAGAGTAGATGTCTCCCAGGACTTGGATGAACTATATCCTGCTACCTGGCACTTAGCTATGGACAAAAATCACAGGGCTTTTCTCCAAAGAAACTGCATCATCTACCTCTGGTTAATCAGTGAAATTCTAAATAAACTGTAGAGCACAGTTTTCCTTATTCCAGCATTAAGAGGCTTTTTGGTTTAATGGCTACCCCCGCCCACTAACCTTAAAGTGAAGCCTGCTGAACTTGACCACACACAGAGCTTCCTATTTATTCCTTCTAAGTGTCAGTATAAAACAAACATTCAACATAAACTGCAGGATATCTGCAACATGAAAAACATACAATAGAAACCGATAATTTGTGTAACATAATGATGAAAATTTGTTCAAAGTCAAATATGTTTTCTCAAAGATTAAAGAAGATACAGTATCCACCAAATAGGAATGAAAGGCTATGAAAAAAAAATCTAAGAAAAAGAGTGCTTTTAGAAATTAAAAGAAAATGATTGGAGGACTAATTAATTGGAAGATAAAAGTTAAAAAAATCTCAGATTTATAGAAAGATAGAACAAAATTCAAAAAGACCTAGTCAGAATCCATAACATCTAAGAAATGATCCCCCAAAAGGGTGAAAATGAACAAATTTTAAAATACAAGGCAAGTTTAATAACTTAATGTTAGTTTTAAGTTAAAAAAAAAAGAAACAGTGTTCATAGCTGAAGTTTCCCAGTGTTCTGGAATATGCTGAACAATGATAAGGTACCTTAATAGGGTTTTCACAAAGTACAGAATGGACTCAAATGAGGTTGTCATCAACTCTATCCTGGAATTTTTCAGGGTCACCAAATAACATATAAGTAGACTACTAGAATATGACTGAGAATTCAGGATTAGAAGAGACAGAAGTAAGTGATTCTAGAAAAAGGGAATAGCACACGCAAAACTCTGGTGTGGACAAATGCAAACTGCCTGCTGTCCTATGGTAATCTTCGGAATCTGTAATAAGCACCAGCTCATCAGGACAGATGTAGCAATCAATTCGGACAGATACCAGCTCTTCACAACCAATACAGCCATACCTGACTAAGTGTCATCCCTGCTGTCACTGAGAGAGAAGGGCAAGTTCTTTAGTTTAAGAAGAACAAAAAGGATGAATAAAGGAAGCAAAAAAAAAAAAGATGAGGTAGATTTGCTGTTTTAAGGCATACGGTTTATGGAGTGAGAAGACCTACTGTGCTATAAATTCCTGCCCTTTGTCCTCCAGAGTCTATCCTTTGTCTATGTATACATGTGTGTGGCGGGGGAGGGGGGAGCCTGGAAGAGGAAGATGAATTAAATATATATTTGATTTTAAGCTCAAGATAAAGCTTAATATGTTTGTACTTCTGGGCAAATGCATTGTTACTTTCTGGGCAAAGACTTCATTTTAAGGCAATAGAGGGCTGATTGACCTTTCAGTGGAGGAGGTTTTCATGGTAAAGTCTCAGGGTTTCTTGAATACCAGAGGGGGCAAGAGAAGAGTTAAGGGTTATAAGGAGACAGGGGGTACTGAAAACAAAGATTCATTAAAAGCTCACCTTGGTTCAGGTACTATAACCTAGGACATACAGATATGGATTACTGGGATGATAAACAAGAAAAAAAACTGAATTCATAAGAGCCATGAGAGGAGTAAGTTTGGAGTGATAGGAGAAAGGGGGAAAAATTAATCTATTCTTAGAAATGACTCAACCCAACAGGATCTACAAATCTAAGGAATGTAAGCTACAAGAAACCAAGAGCTTTTTTACTTCTTATTCATCTGAGAGTTGCACAAGTTAGGTTTGTTAATTTCTAATGAATTAATTGAATGGGTGATTATGCTGATTATGTTTTATTTTGAAATAGTAGTAAATTTACTATAGCCAATTTATTTTTCATATTTTGTCAAAAAATTTTGCTTAAAGTGTCTCTATTTTTCTAATTTAAATTCATGCCAGGTGCAGTGGCTCACACCTGTAATCCCAGCACTTTGGAAGGCCAAGACAAGTGGGTCATTTGAAGTCAGAAGTTCAAGACCAGCCTGGCCAACATGGTGAAACCATGTCTCTACTAAAAATACAAAAAAAATTAGCCGGGTGGTAGTGGTGCATGCCTGTAATCCCAGCTACCCGGGAAGCTGAGGCAGGAGAATTGCTTGAGCCTGGGAGGTGGAGGTTGTGGTAAGCCAAGATCATGCCACTGCACTCCACTCTGGGTGACACAGTGAGACCCTGCCTCAAAAAAAAAAAATTCTCTGCTGCATGTCTCTGCTTCAGTTTGCAGAATCTCAGGCATAGTGAATAAAACTCATTCCAGTTCAGGAAATTCCATTTTCAGGCTGGACTCAGTGGCTCACACCTGTAATCCCAGACTTTTGGGAGGCTGAGGTAAAAGGATCTCTTGAAGCCAGTAGTTCGAGACCAGCTGGGAAATTAAACAGGACCTGTCTTTCCAAAAACAAATTTAAAAATTAGCCTGGTGTGATGATGCACACCTGTAGTCCCAGCTACAAAGGAAGCTGATACAGGAGGTTCGCTTGTGGCTAGGAACTTGAGGCCACTGCACTCCAACCCAGGCAACAGAGAGACCTGTCTCTGAAAGAAGAAGAAGAAGAAATAAATTCAATTTTCAGAAAATGGCCCATTAGAAGTCTCCAATTAATGAAGTGATAAATTGAGTTGTGCATTAAAAGTTACCATAAATTTTATATTTCTTATATAGCAACATATTTCTCTAACTTAGTAATTAGTCTATTGATTTGTTCATAAATGAAATTTGAGACACAAGCAAGGTGAGTTGTTACATGTTAAATCAGTTATTATAAAATCAGGTTTTTGTCAAATTGTACTTATCTAAAAGTAAATAAATAATTAGCTGATCCTTCACACAGTGTTTTCCAATGTCCTCATTACTGTCTTCTGCACAAACCACTAGGGGGCAAGACAGTCTAACATATTAGAGTAGACCTAATTGTATCCAACAGAGGGCAGTAATACACAAACTAGGGAGACAAGTCAATTACATTACATTTCAGCCATTCGCATCTGCCATTTCCTCTGGGGATTATAAGAGGGAGGGAAGAAAGGAAGGAAGGAAGGAAGAAAGGAAGGAAGAAAGCAAGGAAGGGAGGGAGGGAACAACCCTCTCAATAAACAATTCATTGGCTGACTTTTCTGAAATTGTTAAACAAGTGAATTTAATAAACAATTTTTTCTAGATTTAAATAATTTAACTTTGAAGTGAAAAACCATAAGTTAGAAGATAAGTGTTAACAAATAGAAACAATAAAATGTGAAAATCATTTCCAATGAAAGGGAGCAAGTGTTAACAATTTTATTTTTATGGGCAAATGCAATATCATGTTACTTTTAAAGGATAAGTAGTGAATCAACAGCATAAATAATTATTTATTAGACAAAAAACAAGAGCTGAGTATCAGTGAAGTGTTAGACATTCAAAGTCATAGTCAAGGGATTAGCAATGTCTCATAAACATCTTGAAGAAGAAACCTCGGTTATGGGGAAAAGTCAAGAGTCAGAAAGCCTGGGTTTATTACTGACTATAGTATCTGATGGCTGTATGATAAGTGGTAGGTTGGTCAATCTACACAGGCTTCAGTTGCCTCATGCAAAGTTACAGAACTTGTAACGTAAATGGTTTCCCAACCTGGCTGCTCATAGAGGAAACCTTGCATTGTCATTCTCCATACCTTGTGAATTAGCACTGACTCTCCAGGAATGAAACTCAGCAACATCTATACATACATATACATATGATACAATTTAAGATCATATTATACACACATGCAATTCTAGATAATTCTGATGGTCTGTCATTATTATAACTATTGGGCTAAATGATGGTTAAGATTTATATTTTCTCTATAAAATTCTGAGTTGATGACTATTTGTGCATAATTACAACTAGTATTTTAGGATATAAGATATTTTTCTCACCCAGCACTAAACACATACACACACCAAAAACTCCATCACATTAAAAAAAACAAATAGAACTTGACAGAGTTCAAGATGTGCTATCCTAAAATGTGGCACCTTGACATATGGAATATTTTAAGTTGAAGGAATTTGTGAAATAGATATGCAGGAAGATATCTCTGACTTCTCCTTCACTTCTCCCCTAGAGAAGGTCATAGGGCTTCATGTGAGAGGTGGCTTCTCAATACCTAGAGGAAAGGAGCATCCTTACCTCCAAAGACACAGATCACAGGGACACCAAGAGGAATCTGAACAAAAAGGCCCAAGTTCCCCTGGTTTATTACCCTTAACTCATACTCTTTCTTCCTTCTTTCCTTCCTTCCTTCTTTCCTTCCTTTTTTCTTTCTTTCTTCCTGCTCTTTTTTTTTGCCTTATGCTTTTCCATGATTCTCTATTCTTCCTCAAACCTATTTAAAACACTTCCTCAAATCTATTTAAAAACACTCAGGTTTAATTGTTTTTTTCAGTCTTCACTTCTTTATGAAGGCTCCTGTGTCATGTAAAAAATAATATTAAATAAATGTGTATGCTTTTCTCTTGTTAATCTGTCTTTTGTTATAGGGGCCCCAGCCAATGAACCTATGATGGGTTAGAAGGAAAATGTATTTTTTTTCCTCCCCAACAAATTAAAAAATAAATCAATTAGAAGACAAAGTTTCCAAGAGTTCCATTGAAACACTGGCACTTTTTCATTTCTCCTCAGAACTTTCTTTCTTTTTTTTTTAACTGAATAGTTGTCATTATTACTTTTGATGTGATGTGGCTGCAACTGATTATATGCATAAACACCTTGACATTACTATTATTGTTGTTGTTGTTATATCTTGTATTAGTCCGTTCTCATGCTGCCAATAAAGACATATCTGAGACTGGGTAATTTATAAAGGAAAGAGGTTTAATTGACTCACAGTTCCGCATGGCTCTAGAAGCCTCAGAAAACTTACAATCATGGTGGAAGGAGAAGCAAACACGTCCTTCTTCAAATGGCAACCAAGGAGAAGTGGTGAGCAAAGGGGGAAAAGCACTTAACCATCAGATCTCATGAGAACTCACTCACTATCACAAAAACAGCATGAGGGTCACCACCCCTGTGATTAAATTACCTCCCACTGGGTTCCTCCCATGACATGTGGGGATTATGGAAACTAAAATTCAAGATGAGATGTGAGAGGGGACACAACCAAAGCATATCATAACTTGAATATGTAATGACTAATCACCTCGGGAACAACTTCATTACATATAGTCTGACTCCAGAGAAAGTTGAAGAATTTCTCTCCTGTGAATTATGATGGCATCAGTACAATTGAAATCCTGCTTTAGGAAAAAGCCAGAAAGAAACAAACTTAGCCCAGTAGTAATATATGAAAAAAACTGAAATGAATTCTTTTTTTTTTTTTTTTGGAAGTAATAATCTTTTTTTTTTTTTGATACTTTAAGTTTTAGGGTACAGGTGCACAATGTGCAGGTTAGTTACGTAAGTATACATGTGCCATGCTGGTGTGCTGCACCCACTAACTCGTCATCTAGCATTAGGTATATCTCCCAATGCTATCCCTCCCCCTCCCCCCACCCCACAACAGTCCCCAGAGTGTGATGTTCTTCTTCCTGTGTCCATGTATTCTCATTGTTCAATTCCCACATATGAGTGAGAATATGCGGTGTTTGGTTTTTTGTTCTTGCGATAGTTTACTGAGAATGATGATTTCCAATTTCATCCATGTCCCTACAAAGAACATGAACTCATCAGTTTTTATGGCTGCATAGTATTCCATGGTGTATATGTGACACATTTTCTTAATCCAGTCTATCATTATTGGACATTTGGGTTGGTTCCAAGTCTTTGCTATTGTGAATAGTGCCGCAATAAACATATGTGTGCATGTGTCTTTATAGCAGCATGATTTATAGTCCTTTGGGTATATACCCAGTAATGGGATGGCTGGGTCAAATGGTAATTCTAGTTCTAGATCCCTGAGGAATCGCCACACTGACTTCCACAATGGTTGAACTAGTTTACAGTCCCACCAACAGTGTAAAAGTGTTCCTATTTCTCCACATTCTCTCCAGCACCTGTTGTTTCCTGACTTTTTAATGATTGCCATTCTAACTGGTGTGAGATGATATCTCATTGCGGTTTTGATTTGCATTTCTCTGATGGCCAGTGATGGTGAGCATTTTTTCATGTGTTTTTTGGCTGCATAAATGCCTTCTTTTGAGAAGTGTCTGTTCATGTCCTTCACCCACTTTTTGATGGGGTTGTTTGTTTTTTTTCTTGTATATTTGTTTGAGTTCATTGTAGATTCTGGATATTAGCCCTTTGTCAGATGAGCAGGTTGCAAAAATTTTCTCCCATTTTGTGGGTTGCCTGTTCACTCTGATGGTAGTTTCTTTTGTTGTGCAGAAGCTCTTTAGTTTAATTAGATCCCATTTGTCAATTTTGGCTTTTGTTGCCATTGCTTTTGGTGTTTTAGACATGAAGTCCTTGCCCATGCCTATGTCCTGAATGGTAATGCCTAGGTTTTCTTCTAGGGTTTTTATGGTTTTAAGTCTAACGTTTAGGTCTTTAATCCATCTTGAATTGATTTTTGTATAAGGTGTAAGGAAGGGATCCAGTTTCAGCTTTTTACATATGGCTAGCCAGTTTTCCCAGCAGCATTTATTAAATAGGGAATCATTTCCCCATTGCTTGTTTTTCTCAGGTTTGTCAAAGATCAGATAGTTGTAGATATGTGGCGTTATTTCTGATGGCTCTGTTCTGTTCCATTGATCTATATCTCTGTTTTGGTACCAGGACCATGCTGTTTTGGTTACTGTAGCCTTGTAGTATAGTTTGAAGTCAGGTAGCATGATGCCTCCAGCTTTGTTCTTTTGGCTTAGGATTGACTTGGTGATGCGGGCTCTTTTTTGGTTCCATATGAACTTTAAAGTATTTTTTTCCAATTCTGTGAAGAAAGTCATTGGTAGCTTGATGGGGATGGCATTGAATCTATAAATTACCTTGGTCAGTATGGCCATTTTCACGATATTGATTCTTCCTACCCATGAGCATGGAATGTTCTTCCATTTGTTTGTATCCTCTTTTATTTCATTGAGCAGTGGTTTGTAGTTCTCCTTGAAGAGGTCCTTCACGTCCCTTTAAGGTGGATTCCTAGGTATTTTATTCTCAATGAATTCTTTAAATGACTGGTAAATCACTTTCTATGTGAAAGCTTATCTTTTTCAATCTCCTTCCACGTGAAAGGACTCACAAGTTTAACTTTAACTTAGATATAGCAAAGAAAATGTTCTTGTAAGTCACCTAACTACCCAATTAAGTCCAGTGACAGAAGATGTAAAATGACTTCATTTTTGGTGAATACATTATGTTTTTGGTACACAACTTGCTCACAAGGACATGCCAATCTATGTGTTATGTCACTTATCTGGAAGCAGTATAGATTCTTGTGGGATTGTAAACATAGCAAATGACAGAGGAGATGAGATACCTCATCACAAATGAATGAATAATAACTTAGAATCTGAGGTGATATTGAAGGACAATCAGAGGCAATCATATTCTCTGCTAATCTGCTGTTTTGGTCACCACATTATATTTTTAAATCAGACTACATAATTTTCCCTCAAGAAAATAAGAATTTATTATTTTAGTAATTTCATGTGACATAGTACGTCCTGTTTCTGTGGAAGAACAAAGTAATTCAGAGATCAAATATTACATAAATGAGGTTTTTGCAGTTATCACATTTTTCTAATTGTTATTACTTATCTCTTCCCCATTTCAATCTCTTTCTCTCTAATGGTGTTACAGAGTGATCTTCTTTTAATTTTGGACTAGCACTTAAAATACATATTTCTATTTCAAGATAACTCTAAAAATTATTCTCCTATAATGGCAGCAAAAATATGATTCTGCAATCGCAAAAAACATTTTCATGTTTTATTTTAAAATTCTAATTTAAAATAAGTACAACTTCTAAGAAGCTCTTTTACCAGCTATTTAGGTTCATTTTAAATACACATGCATTTTTTATTTGAGGAAGCTGCAATGTTATATTCCATGTACTTTTCTGGAAGCATTATGCAAGTCAACTAGCCCTAAAATGTTAAGTACTAAAGCAGTCCAAAATATACACACACACAAAAGTTAAATTAATTGGGATAAATAACACTCCTACATGACATCTAATTTATGTCATATCCTGCTGCAACTGGAAATACAACTGAAATTTTTTAGAATTTCATAAGTGATTAAGAATGTGGACTTTTTACCCCTGTCAAGTAAACTTAGGAAATGTGTCCATAACTTGATAGTTCTGAATAATCTTACTTAATATAATACCCACTATTAATTTTGCCATTAGGAAAATCAAGCCTGCAAGAAAGAAATCCAATATTCAAGAGTATGTCGCTGCCTGAACTATATATGGCATATACCTTAACTTTTGCTGTACTAATAACCAACTTCTCCAGAAATACCTTTCATCATTCATTTCTAGGATTTTATGATACACCACACCAACTACAATGTTTCTCTACCACAGAATCACACTCTGATTTAACACTCCATGGAACCCTATTCTGAATCATGAATCAAAAAAAGAGAATGTTAATTCTCTGTCTCCTGGAATTTATATTCTCTTACTTCTCTTCTGTCTCCTATCTTTTCTCTTTTCCCTAAACACTTGGAGAGAACAATTCAGAAGCTCCTCAAAGATAGAGAAAATACAAACACATTTGAATCTGTTGATGAGATAGATTATCTTAATTCTTGGCCAAGTCTGGAAGGCGAGCCAAAGTGATAGGAACAATATATTACTATAGTTTTGGGAAAGCACTTTTAAGACAGTGTTGGCAGAAGAGATGTAAGAACATTAAACACCTCTGTGTACTCTGCCTTGCTGTCTAAAATGTCATCCTTAATATGCCAATGTATTGTGCACAAATAAGAAGCTGTTACATCATTTTATGTTTTAAATATAAGGAAACCGATATAACATGGTGAATTGAGAAAAGGCACAGTATGTGTCCCAGTATCAAATCTTTTCTACCTTTCCTTAATGTTTATACAGCAGAATAATTTTGTAGTTTAAAAGTTCAGAAAGACTCTTCAGATAGTTTGGGTCATCTATTTCCAGATAGTTTGGATCATATATTTTATTAATTATTGAACTATCATAGAGGGAACGAAACTTGTGTCTTGATGGTGGTGAAGTTCTTGAGCTCTGGAATCAGGCTGCCTGGGCTAAATCCAAGCTCTTCCACATGCAAACTGAGCAACATTGGGCAAGTTACTTAATTACTCCAAGACTCGTTTGCTTCTCTGTAAAATGGAAACAAAGTAACTGATCATAAGATTATTGTGAGCTAAACCACTAAAGTACTAAATGTAGTGCCTGGCCATCATTGTTCAATAAACATTATTACTTGTATAATTTTACTTTGTTCCTCTGTCAAATATCTGCAATCAAAAGCAAGGGATAATGCCTTAGTGTGTGGGTCAACCGAAATCAAATTGGATAATCAATTGTGAGTTGACTTTAAGTCATGAAATACTATGACTTTGAGGCCAAAACACCATCAAATAAAGGAGACAGATGCTGAAAAAGGCAGGGCCATAGGTGCCAAGGGAGTATTGCCGAAAGGGGCAGTACCACTTTCAAGAGAGTATTTTTAGCTCTTCTTTCTCTAAGTACCAGACATGTGACCATGAGCAAGCTTGTTTAATCTATGAGGCTCAACTGTTTCATATATGAAAAGAGGGAATAACGCACACATATCAGACCCTTATCCTGAGAATTAAGAGATCATCTTTGGAGGATTAAAAACAATGAATTTTAAATTGGGAAAGAAAAAATGTCTTTCACTTTGAGAGACGCAGAAAAAAAAAAAACCACACATCAAAAACCTCCATGTTCAGCCTGAACTCCCCTACTTTCCAGAACTTTCCATGTTTCTACAGTGTTATCTGCCCCCAGAGCTATATTGGTTACTCTTGCCTCTTTGTTATCCTCAGACATACCATCCTGACCTGTCTCAAAATTAATTATGAGTCCGTGGCCCATAGAAATGAAAGATTTGTTTCCATAGTCCCAGCACCTAGCTAAGAGAAAAACATAGTGAATCATATTCAGCAAAGTAATTTTTAAATAAATGATTGAATGCTTAAATGAAGGAATGTATTCTCTTGATATTAAAAATAGGACATACTATTTCTTGGGATAAGTGACCAAAAAAAAAAAAATCCATATCACTATTTACCAAACAAGTTGACTTCTCCATGTATATCTCCAGTTGCATGATTCTTGTTATTGTCATAGTTAGAAATGCCATGCTAACATTTCAGAGTCAAGCACACATCTCTTTTGTTGAGTGGATAAGGACTCCAGCCTGCTGGTGGGGCTGAAGCTGCACATCCATCTGGAAAGAAAACTTGGAATCCTGTGGTAGGGCCAGAAAAGGGGCATTAGCTTCATGAATGTGGCACTCATACAACTGTTGGAACAAAACTGGCGGTGAATCAAACCCTGAGCTTGTCTGCTTGTCTTCCTTGGAAGAGTTTATGCATTACATTGGCTACAACAAGAGACAGGCAAGGACTTTAAGACACAAGCAGAAGAAAAGATAGAATGTCATTTAAATCACATTTCCAGACTCCTTTTCAAGTGAAAACCCAGCAACTCCGAGTGGATTTATGCCAACAATGCTTAAGCGTTTCTGTACATGATCAGATCACTCTCATGTCATCTGGACTACAGTCACATGTGAATAGTAGAAGGCTGTACTGTAGGGGATACTGTAAGCAGAGAACCAGTCTTTTCACTCAAGCAGACAGATTTGTGTGGAGAATTCTGGTTAATTCATAACCAATTATAAACTGAAGTATTTAACAATTCTTGATTAAAGATTCAAAATCTTTTAATTCTTTGCCAATAAAATACAGGGTTTCACTGTTTCAGTAACCATGCTTTCGAAATCATGGAAAAAGCCCTACTCCACAGCTAGATAAAATTTTAATATTTTAATCAGCTAAACTGAAAAAAAAGAAAAAGTCTTAGTGCTCATGTGTATGAAATGCTTTATACACACACACACACACACACACAGACATATATATATGTATAAGTATATATGCAAAATATTATTCCTCTGAACTAAAAAGAGACAGGTTTTATATTGAATAGTGCCTAAAAATTTCAAGCCAATTTTGGAAGGAAAAAAAAAAGGAATTTCAGCTAGTCAAATGTAATGTAAGAAAATGAGTTGTGCTTTTCCTTTAATACATGATAAATTATGGCTTTCCAAATTCTAGCTCTTCGACATTTGACAATACTGATTCGTATAAGCCATGAATTATTTAAGGATACTTTTATTAACCAAGAAGGCTTAGTAACCTCTCCATCTAACTCATTTCTTCCTTCCAATTTAATGTTAACTAATAAAATTCCATTGTATGATATGTAAGAGTCACAGAGTTATGGTTAAATAAAAAACCTATTAAGATTCTGTTAAAATCTAAAAATTGGTCAAAAAAAAACATGCCAATATACTCAACTGGCAGCCTTTACTCAAGCCAAGACTTCTAAAGATGGAAGACTGGGTATTAAACATCTTTCAATTCCCATCACTTAGCACAGGCCTCTACACTTAATGAAATCTCAAAAGATATTGGTCAAAAGCATAAAGGCTGATTACAAATTTTAATAAAATAAAAATGTTCTCAGCTTATATATGCTAAATTTTACTAAATAAAATTGTACTAAAATAAAAATTTCCTCAACTTATAAAGGCAGAAGCAACACTGACAGAATGTTAAGTATATCCCTCTGTTCTTTCAATTTTCAATTTTAAATACTCCACCATAAGGTTGAAATGTATGTTCGCAGTAAGCCTATCTTAAGCGAGCAGAAAAAAAGATTAAAGGGTGGAAAAGCTACATGAGATCATGGGTGCATGGATGAAATGAAAGTAGACATAAAGAGGAACAAAGTTCCAAGCACTCCAAGGAATAAAAAAAAGTAAATAGCAGAACAGAGTTTTACAATGAAATCAACTTTATACATTTATAAGGAATTTCCTAAGGGATTTTTAAAAATCACAATCAATGAAAAGATCTTTAAAGAAGAAAAAAGAAATTAATCACTTTAATTCAATCCAATAAAAGCTTTTCTTTATTTTCTGAGAGATAGATTCCTTTTTGAGGCCCTCCAAGGCCAGGTCTCTATAGTCAGCATAAAATTGAAGTTGAGCAATTATTTGTTGAATTTTAATTTAAACAGTGGTAGATCAGAATAATTTAGGTCAATTATGATCAAGGATTCATGTCAGTTTGATAGCCTCCAGGATGTGAGTTAATGATCCCCTCCCTCAATGTGGTAGTGAAAAGAACACTCAATAAGCAGTCAGGAGAACTGCATGCTTTTTTCAAATTCACCATTTAACCAGCAATTATTAATCTCTCTGGGTCATAGTTTTATTTTCTGGTCACTACAGATAATATTTGCACAATCAAGTTATTTTGATGAGCAATGAGACACTACATGTAAATGATTTTGTAAAGATAATTTTGTAAGTATAATGAATCCCTTATGAAAACTCGCTCCCTAACCAACATTGTATTGGTTGCATGAATTATTTTTAGTAAGACATTGTAATAGGTATACCTAAAAAGCAAAGTCATTTGATAGCAAAATATAAAAGCTAATGTATTAGAGAGAAAAAATATGAAGCATTTTTTTTGAATGCATTATATTTGAAAATGCATTAAAGCACTTTTTGAAAATGTGCTCTTTGGAAAAATTATTTTCTCAGCAGCATCCAGATTGTTTTAGGGCATATAAATACATGTATGATGTAATGTTATTAATGAATAATGTATATAATTTTTTTCTTCATCCATAGTGAGTGACCTTATTTTTCGATGGAAAGAAAATTAGAGTTCTTTCCAATTTACTAGGGTTAAAATTCTGTAAAACCAGCCTTCTAGAATAGTAAGTTCAAATTCATACCCCATAAACATGCTCTCTTAAAAGGTGAAAATGTCATTAGGCATTTTGTGTGCAATTAGTATTCAGAAATGCACAATTTTTGCTTTTGTTATCATTAGGGCTGATAATAGTTTATACTCTAAGCCATGCAAATATTGGCAGTAATATCAGACCTTGTTTAGAAATTCTGAACATATGTGAAACTTAACATAAATAAAACTAGAGGAGATAAATCCACATAAACCCAAGCCCCAAACCCTTTGAATTTTCCCTGAATTTTCACATCATTTTAAATCATCTACACAGGCAGTACTTAAACAACAACGATCTGATCAAACTATAAAGCTTCTGCACAGCAAAAAAAACTATCATCAGAGCGAACAGGCAACCTACAGAATGGGAGAAAATTTTTACAATCTATCCATCTGACAAAGGGCTAATATCCAGAATCTACAAAGAACTTAAACAACTTTATAAGAAAAAACAACCCCATCAAAAAGTGGGCAAAGGATATGAACAGACACTTCTCAAAAGAAGACATTTATGTGGCCAACAAATATATGAAAAAAAGCTCATCATCACTGGTCACTAGAGAAATGCAAATCAAAACCACAATGAGATACCATCTCATGCCAGTTAGAAAGGCAATCATCAAGTCAGGAAACAACAGAGGCTGGAGATGATGTGGAGAAATAGGAACACTTTTACACTGTTGATGGAGTGTAAATTAGTTCAACCATTGTGGAAGACAGTGTGGTGATTCCTCAATACCATTTAACCCAGCAATCCCATTACTGGGTATATACCGAAAAGATTATAAATCATTCTACTACAAAGACACAAGCATACATATGTTTATTGCAGCACTGTTCACTAAAGCAAAGACTTGGAACCAACCAAAATGCCCATCAGTGATAGACTGGATAAAGAAAATGTGGCACATATACACCACGGAATACTATGCAGTTATAAAAAAGGATGAGTTCATGTCCTTTGCAGGGACATGGATGATGCTGGAAACCATCATTCTCAGCAAAATACCACAAGAACAAAAAAACCAATAAACGCATGGTCTCACTCATAAGTGGGAGTTGAACAATGAGAACACATAGACACAGGGAGGGGAACATCACACACCAGGGCCTGTCGGGGGCTGGAGGGGGCTGGGGAGGGATAGCATTAGGAGAAATACCTAATGTAGATGACGAGTTGATGGCTACAGCAAACCACCACGGCACGCGTATACCTATGTAACAAACCTGCACGTTCTGCACATGTGCCCTAGAACTTAGAGTATAATTTAAAACAACACAACATTATCATAGATTTAAAGAAATTAAAGCAGAAGTTTTTTTAGGCCCTTTAGTGAGAGCTACAGCATTTTCCTTTCATCCTCATTGTTGCCACTGATGCTCTTTGTGTTTGCTTTAGGCAAGGGATCTATTAAAATTTTCTTTAGATTTAATCATTGAACATAGTAATGAAATGGGAATGCATGAAAAGTGAGTTTGACATTGTCCAGACATAGCATATCTTTTTATAACAGAGTTATAGGAAAGTTTTTGGACAGTAAATATCATTTCATATGATTAGATGAAAATTATATTCTATTTGGTTTTTTTAATGTGATAAGACTTTTGGGTTTTTTTCCCTCCTATGTCGGCATAACCAAAGAAAATAACTATGACTTCACTGAAGGCATTAACAATGCTAACTTCAGAGTAGGGTTCTGGTACAAAAATACACGCTAATATTAAAGATTGATAATTTTTCATTAGCAATTCAATATGGATGTGTTGCTAATTAGAAAAACCAAAATTTAGATATTAAAATATGCATATTATTATATCTCATTCAACCTAGGATTTCAGAATTCTACTTTAAAAATAAATAAATAAAGGTAATTTGGGGAATCTCTTTTGCTATGAAACTGGGAAAAGACTCAGAGATCCTATAGATCAGCAATTTAATTTTACTCATGAGAAATTTTTCTAGCTGTTAGCATTGAGAATCTGTATCTGCTAGATCACAAAGTTTAATGCTCTTTAGTTGCTCTCAAGTATACAGAAACCTAAATTTAACATAATTTTTTCCCAAAACTGTTTTAAATGTACTTAGGACATGTATTTTCAAATAATAGGTCAGGTGCAGTGGCTCATGCCTGTAATCCCAGCACTTTGGGAGGCTGAGATGGGCAAATTACTCGAGGTCAGGAGTTCCGGACTAGCCTGGCTCAACACATGGTGAAACCCCGTCTCTACTAAAAATACAAAAATTAGCTGGGCATGGTGGTGGGTGTCTGTAATCCCAGCTACTCGGGAGGCTGAGGAAGGAGAGTCGTTTGAACCTGGGAGGCAGAAGTTGCAGTGAGCCATGATTGTGCCACTGCACTACAGCCTGGGTGACAGAGCAAGACTCTATCTCAAAAAATAAATAAATAGATAAATAAATAAATAAACAACTGTTAATAATTTTATAAAAAACAAATAAAAAGAAAATTGATATTTACATCATCCTTTATAAAAAAGACATGAAACTATGGTTATACACCTCATAACAACATTTCAGTTCATAATGGACCACATATGTGAGCATGATCCATAAGATTCTAATACTGTATTCTTACTGTACCTTTTCTACGTTAGATACGTTTAGATACACAAACTATTCAGGGCAGTAACATGCACTACAGCCTGGGAGTAGTAGGCTAGACCACCTAGCCTAGGTGTGTAGTAGGCTATACAGTCTAAGTTTGTGTAAGCACATTCTGTGATGTTCAAACAATGACAAATTGCCTAAAGACACATTACGCAAAATGTATCCCCATCAAGAAGTAAGGCATGACTGCATTAGAAATTTCCTTTTTTCTGTTCTCTGAATGAAAAATGTATTCCCTGGCACCTATGAGTATCTCTGGCTTACCCATATTCATTTGCATACTTCTTTACAATGTAGAATAATTGTTTTCAATGTTTTCTGAAACAGTATTTCTGAATCTCAGAAGTAAAATACCATAAGAAAAATATAGGCATGTGGACCCATCATTCTAAGTAACAACTAGACTCATGGATGACTAAAAATCAAGATAGTGGCCAAAGAATAAGTGGAGACTTGAAATCAAAGTGGGACAAGTAAAGGAAGGAATGGAGAAGAAAGAAATCCCACAGAACCTAACAAAGAGGGAAAATGGCTTATGACCCCCATTTCTCAACTTTCTACTTCCTTCCTTTCTCAAATCACAGCAGCATACAACTATAGACGATCAGGCAAAAATCTATGAGTGATCTACAATAATGTCTACAAGGTATTCCACCAAATGATACACTATAATATATTTGAATTATTTTCTATTGTTTGACATTTGCATTTTATACAAAACTTTGAATATATCACTGAGTATGCCTATATGAATAATTAGTAGAAGTAAACTAGATAAATTATCAAGAATGAAAATTTTAAGGCTTTTAACCCAAACTATTTGTCAGGTAGATTGCACTAGCAGAAAGTAGCACATAATCTACACACTGCCTTGAAATCTTGCCAACTTTAGCTATCAAAATAAAACACATCTATTTTATCTAATTTTAGAAATAAAACTGACTTTCATTTCCAAAAAGCTAATGGTTTATTATTTTTCCTGGCTGTAAAATATACATGTTTCTCTAAAAAAAAAATTAAACAATCAAATTCTTACAAGGAAAAACAAAATCTCCTAAATATGTCAATTCAGAGATGTTTGTGATTATCACTGTGGCAAATCTTCTTCAAAACTTTATCTAAAACATTATCTATCTATCTGTCTATTATCTATCCTAATATGCATACACAGAAATTCTTTGTGATCATACTATAATGCTACTTTATAACAAAATTTTTCACTCTACAAGAAGCATATATTTTTTCATGCCACTAAATACACACGTACATATATATATACACACACACAAAGTATTTTAATGTGTAAAATAATCTCTGCTTTCCATATCTCTACACTTAATCAGTTATCTACTATGGGAAATCTAGGTAATTTCCAATATTTCTCAGTTATAAAAATAACTTTGTGTTTATATTTCACACACTTTTTACATACTTGTTGATGTGGTTTGGCTCTGTGTTCCCATCCAAATCTCATGTCAAATTATATTCCTCAGTGTTGGAGGAGGGGCCTGGTTGGAGGTGACTGAATCATGGGGGTGGACTTCCTTCTTGCTGTTCTTATGATAGTGAATTCTCATGAGATCTGATTGTTTAAAAGTGTGTAGCACTCCCGATTTTGCTCTCTGACTCTTGCAGCCCGTGTGAAGATGTGCTTGCTTCCCCTTCACCTTCTGCCATGATTGTAAATTTCCCGAGGCCCTCCAGAAGCAGAAGCCTGTACAGGCCATAGAACTGTGAGCCAATTAAACCTCTTTTCTTTATAAATTACCCAGTGTCAGGTAGTTCTTTACAGCAGTGCGAGAATGAACTAATACAGAAAATCAGTACCGGGGAAGTGGAGTATTGTTATAAAGATATCTGGCAATGTGGAAGCAACTTTGGAACTGGTTAATGGGCAGAGGTTGGAGGGCTCAGAAAAAGACTGAAAGATGAGGGAAAGTTTGGAATTTCCTAGAGACTTGTTAAATTGTTGTGACCAAAATGCTGATAGTGACATAGACAGAGATGTTTGGCTGAGGATGTCTCAGATGGAGATGAGGAACTTGTTCAGAACTGGAGTAAAGGTCACTCCTGCTATGCCTTAGTAAACAGACTGGCAGCATTGTGCCCATGCTCTAGCAATTTGTAGAACTTTGAACTTGAGAGAAATGATTTAGGGTATCTAATAGAAGAAATTGCTAAGCAACAAATGCTTAGAAAGATGTGTCAAGGCTGCTTTTAAAAGTCTACATTCATCTGCATAAACAAAGAAATAACCTGAAATTGGAACTTATATTTAAAAGGGAAGCAGAGCATAAAAGTTTGGAAAATTTGCAGCCTATGTAGTAGAAAAAAAACAAAACATTTTCAGGGGAGGAAATCAAGCCAGCTAAAGACATTTGCAAAAGTAAAGATAAGCCAAATGTTAATAGTCAAGACAAAAGGGACAATGCCTCCAAGGCATTTCAGAGATCTTTGTGGCAGCCTCTCCCATCACAGGCCTGGAGGCCTAGGAGGGAAAACTGGTTTCCTGGGCCAGGCCCAGGGCCCCGCTGTTCTGTGCAACCTCAGTACACAGCACCCTGCCTCCCAGCTGCTCCCACTCCAGCCTTGGTTAAAAGGGGCCAAGGTACAACTTGGGCTGTTGCTTCATAGTGTCCAAGCCCCAAGCCTTGGCAGCTTCCACGTGGTGTTAGGCCTGCAGGTGCCCAGAAGACAGGAGTTGAGCTTAGGGAGCCTTCACCTAGATTTCAGAGGATGTACAGAAATGCCTGGATGTCCATACAAAAGTCTGCTGCAGGGGTAAACCCCAAATGGAGAACCTCTACTAGGGGCAGTGTGGAGGGGATATGTGGGGTTTGAGCCCCCACACAGAGTCTCCACTGGGTCATTGCCTAGTGGAGCTGTGAGAAAAGGGACATTGTCCTTCAGACCCAGAATGGTAGATCCACCAATGGCTTGCACAGTGAGCCTAGAAAAGCTGCAGGCACTCAATGCCAGCCTGAGAAAGCAGCCACAAGGGCTGTACCCTGCAGAGCCACAGGGGTGGAGCTGCCCAAGACCTTGGGACCCTATCCCCAATGCCCTTGCATCAGTGTGACCTGGACATGAGACATGGAGTCAAAAGAAATTATTTTGGTACTTTGAGATTTAATGACTGCCCTCCTGGGTTTCAGACTTTCATGGGGCCTGTATCCCCTCTGTTTTGGCCAATTTTTCCCTTTTGGAATAGGAACAATTACCCAATGCTTGTACCCCCATTGTGTCTCGGATGTCTTGATTTTTATTTTACAGGCTTATAGGCAGAAGGGACTTGCCTTGTCTCAGAGGAGATGTTGGACTTGGACTTTTGAGTTAATGCTGGAGTGAGTTAAGACTTTGGGGGATAACTGGGAAGGCATAATTGTGTTTTGAAATGTGAGAAGAACATAAGATTTGGGACAGGCCAGGGACAGAATGATATGGCTTGACTCTGTGTCCCCACCCAAATCTCATGTCAATTTATAATTCTCAATGTTGGAGGACGGGCCTGGTAGGAGGTGATTGGATCATGTGGGTGGACTTCCCCCCTTGCTGTTTTTGTCACAGTGAGTGAGTTTTCATGAGATCTGGTTGTTTAAAAGTGTGTAGCACTTCCCCCTTTGCTTGCTCTCTCTTGCCAGCCATGTGAAGATGTGCTTCACCTTCTGCCATGATTGTAAGTTTCCTGAGGCCTCTCCAGAAACAGAAGCCTGTATAGCCCATGGAACCATGAGCTGATTAAGCTTCTTTTCTTTATAAATTACCCAGTGTCATGTAGTTCTTTATGTCAGTTTAAGAATGGACTAATACACTTGTGCAATTATCTCTTTAAGAAAATATATTTCAATAAGATCCCTGGGTCTAATGTCATGAGCATTTTAAAGTTATTCTCCAAACAACAATAAATGAACCTTTCCTTTAGAACATCTAATCTGCAAAAATGTCTAATGGAATTGGTTGTAATATAGACAGATTTGATATTTTAATATTGGGCAATCAAACGTGTGAACATTTAGAAAATCTGCATATATCCATAAACCAATAATTTCTATATGACCATTAAATAATGTTACATAATTTGACATAGATAAATGGCCCATTTAATGTGCAAGATAAGCCAACAGATTCAAAAGGAATAGTTTTAAAGCTTATCAATATGGCTTCAGATTCCCCATTGCAACTAACCTTTAAGAAACTACCACTTGCCAACTTTTGGTGTAATATCAAAGAAAAACATCCAAAATTATAGGAAAGGGGTGTTAAAATATTCCTCCTTTTTCCAACTCCATACATAACTGTGTGGTACCAGACATTTTATATATACTTCCACCAAAATAACAGAGTGCAACCAATTGAAGGCTGAAGTAGACACGATAATCCACTCCCTTCTATCAAGCCAGATGTTAAAGAAACTTGCAAAATTGTAAAGACAACATCACTCTTCACCTGAAAATTTTATTTCGAAATAAAAATTATTTTTTATAAAAATAAGCCAGTGTCCCATGCTAATAGGCAATGGAATTATTATTGTTATTTAAAATAAATTAACACATATATGTGTAATATTTTAATTGCTTAGCATTAATTTATAGTATGATAAATATCAATAGATAAAATGCACATAAACAAAAGTCTTTAGGACCCTCAAAAAGTTTTGAGAGTGTAAAGGGGTCCTGAGACTAAAAGGTTTGAGACATTTAACCTTGTCAATAGGAAGTCACTCAAAGGAGCACACCTCTTCAGAATCTGATAAACCTTGAAAAATTCAACAGACAAAACATAGCACTTCATTTAAAGGATGCTCCATAATCTCTTCTTCCATTTCCAAGGTTTGGACAATTTTTCCTGACAGTATTTACTGAGAAAAGAAGCCACATTTTACTGAGATTTAAAATGTGTGTTGGAACTCAGCGTTTAAAAAAATAAACAGGATCATGCCTGCTTTACATTATAAATTTAGTTTTAGGACTATGTAGGCAGGATGAGAATTCTGATATAAATTTTTGTAATACTAAACTACAGAACTACAAAAAAAAACAACAAACACAATAAATTTTTGGCTTTAGAAAATCTGAAACCCCAAGTTTAAAAGCAGTTTGTTACCAGTTGTAATGTTCTTATAGTAAGGCATGAATAATAATTATTTAAAAAGGGCAGTGAAGGCACAAAATGTATCCATGATAGACTTTTTGAAGGAGATATTTGAGAGAGAAGAAAACAATTCCCCTTTTCCCTTGACAAATGCAGGACATCTGGTCACTTTAATGAAGCATATGGGTACTAAACATTAGCTGAGCATTCCTTCTGTTGTTCTTACAGAAACTCTAGAACTCAAGAGACTACAATTTCTTATTTTAAAACCAATATAAAAAAAGGAATTTATTTGTATTACAAATTCCATGGTATATTGAAGGTATAAATCTGACTTTTAGGGCAAGTCTACCATATTTAATATGGCTGGAGTTTATATTTTATGACAGACTAGTAGCCCAAGTTATTAGGGTATGAATCCCCAATAGGCATGAATATTAGAGATTCTGAAAACAAAGGAGTTTAATACATTTTATTTAAAGGTAAGCAGTGTTCTATGGAGTAAGTAATCAGAGACAAAGAATACAACTGAGCAAGCTAAGGAGTCAGTCATTTAAATCTTAAAATTAAACCTGAAATCAGGCAATCAATCTTTGATAGAATGTATAATCAAATGATGGCTGTATACAGTTAAAGCAATGCAAAAACTACTTATTTGACAAATAGTTTAGGTAAAACGTTAAAAGTGACTGAATAATTAAGGTATATCCACCCTCCCTACAAGTCGCCAGCCTCTTGAAAAGACACATCTGGAGAATCACTAGAGGCTTTGGGGATGTTTAGAATTCCTTCAGTTCCTCTTCAGTTCCTCGTGACTAGTGAGCCAGAAGGTGTCTCAGGAGAAAGTTCAAGACAAAGAAATAACTAAAAATGTCATTTTATTCAAGAAAGCTATCTCTGTCTGATTTACAAAATGCCCCTACCTTTTAAAAAAACAAACAAACAAACCTCCTTCATTGGTTGTATTGTGTTTTGTTTTGTTTACACATAGCTTGAATTATAAATAGTGGCCTAATTTTAAATTGTCACAGCTGAGATGGCCAGCTAGCTCAGGTAAACAAAGCACTATCTCAGGATAACCAAAGCAAAGACCAAATGCTGGTTTGCCAAAGGGATAAAAAAAAAAAAATCAATTCCGTGGGCCTCTCTCTCAGATGCTAACTTTAGTGGAAAGATTCTGTCTCTCCTCTCTTTCCCCCACTACAGTCCCCTTCTCCTCTCTTCCTACTTCCCCTCCTATCTTTTTTCTTCCTCCTTTCCTCCCTCTGTACCCCTCTCTTTCTTTTTCTTTCTTCCAGTTTATGTATGTTGATAAAGAATATGAGAAAGGGTGTATTGTTTCCCATTGTCAGATTACACTTGCCCCTTCTAATAGAACTAGCACAAAGAATTAGAAACCAAGGGGTTGGCAGTTTCTGCCTGGCTTGTGTGAGCTGTTTTAAAATGTGAGCATAGAGAGAAAAATTCCATTTCTATGAAGGAGTTCAGCCTTAGAATAATCCTCAGGAATGCACACACACGTGTGCGTGCACACACACACACACACACACACACACACTTACTTTGGGGAACAAAATTTTAATCTAGTCAATAAAATGCTAAGTCAGGAAATATACTCTTATGAACGAAAATTACAGTTTCACGAAAAAAATTCTTTTCAAAATATATATTGCATAGACTTTAGTATTTGTGGTGCATCCATAATGGGCAGAAATTTCTTTGAAAATTGACATCTGTGAGCGGAATATCAACTCTTCCGTCTTTCTGTCTCCAAACTCCTTTCTCACTGCAAGAAATAATTTATTTAATTAATAAAAAAAATGGTCTTTAAAGCATGGGAGTGGCAGGACTTTCTCCAAAAATAATCTAGAGATACTATTTTAGTTTACATAAATATCTAATTGTTCATAATAAATATAAGAATCACATTGATTTTTCCTGTGCCTGTCCTTACATTTTAAACTTTCTTAATTTTAGTAAATCTAAACTTACAAGGTTATATCTGCAATATCAAATTAGGCCACAGCAAGCCACCTACCCTCTACAACTACCCATTTTCCCAATACATGCAAGACATATGAACTTAGTGATAGAGTTCTTTAAAAATATTCATAGAAAAATTACATATATATCTATATATATGTACCTTTCTCCTCCATACTGCTCAAACCTTAAAAATATAGAAAGCACTTTAATAAAAATTCAAATAAAATAATTTAAAAATATGACATATTAACTTCTTTCTTTAATATTTACTCCTGTCAAACATGCCTTCCACCCCAGATTAATGTAACACCCTGCCCATCTTGATATCAGTTTTACTTTGTCAGGTATTTTTTTTTTTTAATTCTGTACAGATCTCTTCTCCAGGTGCTGGGAAAATACTAGACCTAGTTTTACTAAGGTAGAAGAAATCTTAAGCATGTGTCTTTTATCTCTGGACTTCAGCTAAAAGAGTGAGAGCTAATTAGAAAAATATACATGTAAAAATACTTATTTGGATTTGACTAAATTAGAGACCAGGGCTGAGCTAACTGGTGTCTAAAGGGATTGTATGCATCACCTCTGTCTTGTTAGCACGGGGTTCTCATCAGCAGTTCACCACCTAATAGCCTCACCTCTTTGAGCATACTCCTGAGGTGCACCCAGGTAAGGCTGTCAATGCTGGTATTCCAGGCCTTGGAGGTTATTTCCAAGCCAAGTCTCAAGCTGGAGCAAAGTTACAAATCACTTCCCTAAGTTCCAATCTCCACACTCAAAAATGAGGTTCATCACTTGGTGAACAAATGTGAACCTGAAAGAGCCAGTCCTTCATGATGGATCCCAAGTAGCTAACTGGGCCTAAATTTAAAATAGAGCCAAGTGGCCATTTGGTGAGTAGAGGTTACACATATTCTTTGAGTTGCCCGAAAACCCTGGAAAACTGTACGTTTTTAACTTTGAGACTTTTCAGTGCTCACCTGAACCAACCAATCAATCACAGCTTAACTGCCTCAACCAATCAGATCTCAGCTTATTGACCAATCAGAACTAAACAAGTGTCAATCTTTCATTTGCATAAACAGATCTCACTGGAAACCTGGGTAGAAACTTTTGCTATAAGATCTGAACTCTCTGGCTGGGCATGGTGGCTCATGCCTGTAATCCCAGCACTTTGGGAGGCCAAGGCAGGTGGATCACGAGGTCAGGAGATCGAGACCACCCTGGCTAACATGGTGAAACACAGTCTGTACTAAAAAAATACAAAAAAATTAGCGGGGCATGCTGGCGGGCACCTGTAGTCCCAGCTACTCGGGAGGTTGAGGCAGGAGAATGGCATGAACCCGGGAGGCGGAGCTTACAGTGAGCCCAGATTGCACCACTGCACTCCAGCCTGGGGGACAGAGCGAGACTCCGTCTCAAAAAAAAAAAAAAAAAAAAAAAAATCTGAACCCTCTCTTTGTTCCCTAGAAACATCTTCCTTTTACACAGAAGACTGTGGTCTTCCTAATTTGCAAACTGTTCACCAGAATAAAGTCTTTCCTCCAAGTTCTTTTTCAGATAACTTTTGTCCACACCTTTATTTAACCTACTTTACAAGGCAATTATGAGAAAAAAAAAAACAAACTTTTTTTTTAATAGCTCCAAGTTCTTTAGAGATAAGTAGCACATGGGTAGAGGTTATAGTAATAATTGCTTCTAAGTACTTGCTTCTTAATGCTAACAATATATGTCAATATTTTTTCCAAAATAAAGTTAAGAATGCTTGGAAAAATGAAATCTGGTGGTGTGGAGGTTACCAGAGCAGAAACATTGCTACTAAATATGTTACAAGTTTCAATATGCATTTTGCAGCTTTATTTTCCTGACTATAAAAATTTTATCATGATGTTTCTCACTCCACCTTTTGTGGATAATTTGATAGGATTAAGTTACGTAAGTATGTAAAAATGCTTTAAGCAAACTAAGCAAATAAATATCATACAAAATATAAGAGCTATCTTAACTGACAATGCAGACCAAGTTCTTATGCATAATTTCTGTAAAGTTGGTAGAATTTTTGCACCATTAAATTGATGCACTGGTCCCTGGTTCCATCTATGAAACCATTTCTTTTTCATAAAGACAGAGTGTTATTAATCGTCTGATCATTTAAGGATTCTTGAGTTTTAATATGAATTCTAATATTGCCTCTCTATGGAAAGCATTTATCTGTTTTTTTATAATTTTATTAAAAAAATAAAGACTGCAATGTCTACCTCTCTTAATTACTGTTATGTAAATTCATAAAGTTAGTTAAGACTGAAACACAATGTTCCTTAAGTCACAATGGATGCTGGCTGATTCTAGACAAAAAACAAATTGTTTGCAAAAGAAACACATTATCCATACCCTTAGTATGGACGCTAAGGGTATATACATAAGGGTATAAAAAAAAAAAAAAAAAATATATATATATATATATATATATATATATATATATATATATATATGGAAGGATTCATTGTTGAAAGATGATCATTTAAAGATTCTGGTGTTGGAAGAACATCCTTCAAATGCATGAGAGTAGTCTGAACTTGTATTTAGCATACATGAGATAGGAATTTCATTTTAATATTGGCAGTTAATATATGAAGGTTAAAAGTAAGATAATCAATAATTCAAATTAAAGTATCTATCTCTTAGATTCATTTTATGTGTCACCATTTCACACTTTCAACTTTTGGTCATTTATAAGTTTGGTGAGAACATGTCATATAGGTTAGTATATCTGTCTTCAGAACAATGGAAATAGGGAAGTAACTGCTCCCTGAGGAACAGTTCAAGGTAGTGCCTAACATGGTCCAAGATGATCAGTCACCACACTGCATTTTGAGTCCTCAAGGACAATTAAATGTTGCTGTGAGAAAAGAGTAAGCAAAGCAAGTAGCTTGTGTTTTAACAGAGAATATGAAATATTAAAAGGTTATTGATACGGTTTGGCTGTGTGTCTCCTCCCAAATCTCATATCGAATTGTAATCCCTTTGTGTCAGGGGAGGGACCTGGTAGGAGGTGATTGGATCATGGGGGCAGATTTCCCCCGTGCTGTTCTCATGGTAGTGGGTTCTCATAAAATCTGATGGTTTAAAAGTGTGGCACTTCCCCCTTCACTCCCTCTCTCTCCTGCTGCCATGTAAGATGTGCCTTGCTTTCCCTTCACCTTCCACCATGGTTGTAAGTTTCCTGAGGCCTCCCCAGCCCTGTGGAACTGTGAGTCAATTAAACCTCTTTATTTTATAAATTACCCAGTCTCAGGTAGTTCTTTATAGCAGTGTGAAAACAGACTAATGCAGTTATTGAGGTATAATTGAAGAACAACAGACCTCACATAATTTAGAGTATATAATTTGATGATAAGTTTTAGCATATGTATTCACCCATGAAGCTATTGCCACACAATATAAAAAATATTTCCATCATCCCCCAAGTGTCCTCTTGCCCTTCGTAGCCCCTTCCTTCTGCCTCTACCTGCTTTCTCTCACCAGACAACCAATGATTTACTTCCTGTTACTGTCGATTAATTTGAAATTCATTGAATGATATGTACATTCACTAATATAGTATACTCTGTTTTATTGCCTGCATCTTTCACTCAAAATAGCAACTTTGAGATTCATCAGTGTTATTGAGTGTATTAACCGTTTGCTCATTTTTACTGCTGAGTAAAATGTACTCCATTGTATGGGTATACCACAATATGTTTATTCATTCCCATGTCGAATATTTAGGTTGTTTCCATTTTGTAGCTGTTACAAATAAAGGTTCTATGAGCATCCACATGCAGTCTTCATGTAAACATAGGTTTCATTTTGGTTTGGCAAATACCTAAGAATGAAATGGCTGTGCCATATGGCAGATGGATGTTTAACACTTTTCAAAGTAGTTTACTATTTTGTATTCTCACCAGATGTGTATTAAAGTTGCAATTTCTCTAAAACTATTTTGTGTGGTCAACTATTTTTATTATTCTTAGATACTCTGATTTAGCAGCAGCTAAAATCTCTGTTCATCATTTTCAGCCATCTAGCTTTTTCTTTCTGATAAGTTTCTTGGAGTCCCCCTGGTGCATATGTAGTTCAGTGGCAGTTTATATGACAATTTAGGGATTCTCTGCTTTTGAATTCATCCTTTTAAGAACGTTCTCCTCAATTGTCAACCACTCTGAAAGCCTCAAACTCTATCCTCTAATACCGAAAACTAGTAAGACTATGGCTTTCTGCTTAAGTTCTGCCCACCCCATGTCATAGATTAACCCTTAAGCAAAAATGAACATGGATGTCAGCCACGCTTCAAGGATTGAATTCTAACCAAATTCTTCCCCACATTACCTTATAATACATAAATATTCATTTAAAAGTCATTCTATTTGATGATGATGCCCCAACTCTTTAGATAGTGATATGGTTTGGCTCTGTGTCCCCACCCAAATCTAATCTTGTAGCTCCCATAATTCCCACATGTTGTAGGAGGGACCCAGTAACATATGATCGAATTATGGGGGTGGGTCTTTCTTGTGATACTGAGTGGGAATCACAAGATCTGATGGTTTTATAAGCAGGAGTTGCCCTGCACAAGCTCTCTCTCTCTCTTTGGCTGCTGCTATCCACATAAGATGTGACTTGTTCCTCCTTGCCTTCCACCATGGTCGTGAGGCTTCCCTAGCCATGTGGAACTGTAAGTTCAATTAAACCTCTTTCTTTTTTAAATTGCTCAGTCTCGGGTATCTCTTTATCAGCAGCATGAAAATGAGCTAATACAGTAAATTGTTACCAGTAGAGTGGGGTGCTGCTGAAAAGATACCTGAAAATGCGGAAGCGACATTGGAACTGGGTAACAGGCAGAGGTTGGTACAGTTTGGAGGGCTCGGAAGAAGGCAAGAAAATGTGGGAAAGTTTGGAACTTCCTAAAGACTTGTTAAATGGCTTTGACCAAAATGCTGATAGTGATACAAACAATAAGGTCCACACTGAGGTGGTGAAATCTGAAAGATAGAAATGAGGAATTTGTTCATAACTGGAGCAAAGGTGACTCTTGTTATGTTATAGGAAAGAGACTGGCAGCATTTTGCCACTGCCCTAGAGATTTGTGGAACTTTGAACTTGAGGGAGATGGTTTAGGGTGTCTGGCAGACAAAATTCCAAGGCAGCAAAGCATTCAAGAGGTTACTTGGGTGCTGTTAAGGGCATTCAGTTTTAGAAGGGAAGCAGAGCACAAAAGTTCAAAAAATTTGCAGCCTGACAATGCAATAGAAAAGAAAATCCCATTTTCTGAGGAGAAATTCAAGCTGGCTGTGGAAATTTGCATAAGTTATTAGGAACCAAAAGTTAATCCCCATTACCGTGAGGAAAATGTCTCCAGGGCATGTCAGAGGTCTTCATGACAGCCCCTCCCATCACAGGTCCGAAGACCTAGGAGGAAAATGTAGTTTTGTGGGCCAGGCCCAGGGTCCCCGTGTTGTGTGCAGTCTAGAGACTTGGTGCCCTGCGTCCCAGCCACACCTGCCATGACTAAAAGGGGCCAAGGTACAGCTCAGACCATGGCTTCAGAGGATGCAAGCCCCAACCTTTAGCAGTTTCCTTGTGGTATTTACCTTGTGGGTACACAGAAGTCAAGAATTGAGGTTTAGGAACCTCCGCCTAGATTTTAGAAGATTTATTGAAACACCTGAATGTCCAGGCAGAAGTTTGCTGCAGGAGCATGGCCCTCATGGAGAACCTCTGCTAGGACAGTGCATAAGGGAAATGTGTGGTCAGAGCACCCACATAGAGTCTCTACTGGGGCACCTCCTAGTGGAGCTGTGAGAAGAGGGCCACTGTCCCTCAGACCCCAAAATGGTAGATCAACCAAAAGCTTGCACCCTGTACCTGAAAAAGCCACAGACACTCAATGCCAGCCCATGAAAGCAGCTGGGAGGGAGACTGTACCCTGAAGAGTCACAGGGGTGGAGCTGCCCAAGACCATGGGAACCCACCTATTGCATCGGTGTGACCCAGATGCGAGACATGGAGTCAAAGGAGATCATGTTGAAGCTTTAAGACTTGACTGCCCTCCTGGATTTCGGACTTGCATGGGGCCTGTCATCCCTGTGTTTTGGCCGATTTTTCCCATTTGTAATGGCTGTATTTACCCAATTCCTGTACCCCCATTGTATCTAGAAAGTAATTAATTTGCTTTTGATTTTACAGGCTCATAGGCAGAAGGGGCTTGCCTTGTCTCAGATGAGACTTTGGATTTGGACTCTTGGGTTAATGCTGAAATGGACTGAGACTTCGGGGAACTGTTGGGAAAGCATGATTGGTTGTGAAATGTGAAGATAAGAGATTTGGGAGGGGCCGGGGTGAAATGATGTGGTTTGGCTCTGTGTCCCCACCCAAATCTCATCTTGTAGCTCCCATATTTCCCACGTGTTGTGGGAGGGACCCAGTGGGAGATGATTGAATTATGGGAGTGGATCTTTCCTGTGCTATTCTTATGATAGTGAATGGGTCTCATGAGATCTGATGGTTTTAAAAATGGGAGTTGCCCTGCACAAGCTCTTTTTGCCTGCTGCCATCCACATAAGATGTGACTTGCTCCTCCTTGCCTTCCACCATGATTGTGAGTCTTCCCCAGCCACGTGGAACTGTAAGTCCAATTAAACTTCTTTCTTTTGTAAATTGCCTAGTCTTGGGTATGTCCTTATCAGCAGCATGAAAACAGACTAATACAGGTAGCATCTTTTTTTTCCCTTCCAAGTTCGTTACATTTTACATATAGTGGATTTATTTTTCTCACCATCCATTACCTTCTTTATCTACTATAGAATAGTTTAAGTTTGTACCATTTTATTATATCTGTTCATATAAAAGTCACTAACAAGTAATTACTCACCAGGATAAAAAGCCTGTTCACTCTAAGTTGCAAGTAAAATTGTTAACCTTGCTTGTCTTTTACTAGTTGTCTCAATTTCAAATTTCAACCTCAACCTACGTTTAATTTTTAAAAATGTTTTAATATTAATAAAATAAAATATTTTTATATTATTCTTTCCAAAAGATAATTCTTTTGACACCTAAATATGATTTAAGGGTTTTCATTAAGATATTTATACTTAAAACGAGCAATAGGCAACACTCTGCATTTGAAAAGTAAAGTTTTAGTAAAACTGTTATAGGTACACACACAAAAAAAATTAGGTAGTAAAATTGTAAAGATAACATTTTCTATGTATTTCTCCAAATCATAGTTTAACTGCTCCTCAAATAAATTTTTTCTGCTCCATTCCCCGATATTGTTTAAAGAGACGCTATTAGAAAACAAGAAAGAAAATTCTAGCTAAGGGAACATAACTGGTGACTGCTCTGAACCTGGCTTCCTTTCTGGAAAAATAACTCTTGTGCCAATTAGATCCTGGAATTTCCAGTGTTTTTGTAAGGCAAAAGGGTCAAGTTGGCTCAAATGAATTCTGCAGCCAAATTCATAGGAAAATGTGTCACACAGGCTTTCCAAGTGCATATCAGAAGTCATAACATGAAGTTGGGCTACATGTAGGTAAAGAATTTTATCCAGGACTCAGGAAACAGATGTGTTGCCTTTTGGGCAGTTGGTAAAGAAATAGCTCAGGAATCCATAATATGAACAATCACCCGATGCTTTCATTACACTTAGAAGAAGCCCAAACATGTCTTCATACTTTAGAGTGATCACAAATTTTACTGTTTTATTTAGTTTCTAAAATACTGAAATTGATCAATAATCGCATCTCAGATATATTTTTTAGTATTAAGAAATATTAAAGTCACATTTTCCTGCTCCCTTAATTTTCAGTGATTTATAGATTTATCAAAAAGAAGTTGAAAATTGAAAACACTTATGCAGTTTAGTCTCCAATAAAAATCACCAAAATGCTCACAAATCAATATGTATTTATTGACTACCCATTATGTGCAAGGCACTGTGCCCAGGGCGTAAAGAGTCAGACATACAGAAATTTAAGTGTAATACAATGGAATAAGTGCCACCGTAGAAGCAAAAACCAAGTATAATGACAAAAGAGAAGGAAAGAATTTACTCTTCTTGAAGGTATCACAGAGGAAAGGACATTTGATAAGAGTTTGAAGGATGAACAGGAGTTTGCCCATACACAAAGTCATAGAGGGCACTCACTACATTCAGAGAGGACAGCAGTAACCAGGTGATGAGAGAGTAGGGGAAAGTAGCCCGCAATGAAGCTATGGCAAAAACAACAGGAGCTACATCAGGTAGAATCACCTGTAGCCAACTAAGAAAAAAACATAGTCACATTGGGGTTTTAGATTCATTATTCAGGTCATTTTTTTGAGAATAGCTTTGAGGAAGACAATATTGGCAGTAAAGAGACTTGCTAGGGATTATAGTACTCTGGGTAAAATATATAAGAATCTAAACTAGGACACAAAGGAAGTCCCAAAAGGAGGTTCCTTTTGGAGGGAAGGAGGGAGAGAGAGAGAGAGGAAGACTAGGGAAAAGGGAGGAGGAATCAAGTCCTACCTTCTCATTCCTCAGATGAGGAAACAGGTTCTGAGAGATAAAAGTGGCCTTACCCAATTTACTGAAGTAACATGTTAGAGTCAACCAGGCCAGAGCAGTTTTCATCTTATATGGGAAAGGAGAGTCTCACTTATAGCATTAATAAGGAACTTATGAGAGCATCGGCAGAAATTTACTGACTTTGCTGACTTATTTAAAAGAGTGATTTTAACCTCAAGAAAAGCATGTGTTACTGATTGGAATGTAATGTTACTGGCAATGTCTTTGTACACATTTTCCAAGACTTCATGATGTTGGCTTAAACTTTTCTTTCCTTAGACCAAAGCCCACGTTTGCTAAAATTCTATTGTACTACACTATGAGATTCTTCTTCTTATATGTCTATGTGTCTGTATATATCTTGATTATTTTAAAACTTTTTGGGGTTTCTATCCCATCCCCAAAACTTTCTAATAGATAAGATACTATAGATAGCCTACATAAGGTAATATATTTTTAGCAAAGACCATTGTTAGTCACGTTTGTTGAAAACACTCTTTATGTACAAGAAGAACCAAATGGGGATATATTTTCTCATGTCTTACTCATTTAAATGCCAAGCCTAACTGGGTTAAACACCCTGAGTCAATGAGGCTAACTGTTAAATAAAAACATGCTCTAATGCTTTAAACCATGCCTTGGAAAGCACTTAGAATTGAATCAGAAAATTTAAGTGGACTCATCACAACACACATCAATTATGAAATTGATGCAAAATTGTTGTTAATATTATCATAATTTCCAGGTTTCTATTTCTGGCCATGACAAAACCATTATTTGTTTCCTGGACTAAAAGTTTTGACATCACTTTTGATTCTGCCTTCTTTTTTGTCCATTATGAGTAATTTACTAGCAGTCCATTTACAACCTCTTCTATAAAACTTCCTTGATCCTCCTAATAGTAATTAATTTTCCCTCATCTATATTCTCTTAATTATTTTACCTTTATTATAGTGCTTATTAAACTATAACTTGTATTATGGCTGTAAAAATATCTGTCTGCTCCATTGAGAGCAGGGGCCATATCTTATTAAATTTTTTAACCCCTACAATGCCTACTTCTCCACTTACGTGAATATAACTACCCAGCATAGTGTCTAGCATGTAATAGACATATACGAGGGAGTTAAACATGTTTTACAAACTTTAAAGATTTTAATTGAATATTATCATCAGAAAAATCTCCATAAAGCATTATTAACATGATGTTATACAAGTTCTCCACTGCCCACTCCATCAAGTGCAAACTTCTTTTTCTTTTGCTTTTTTAATCTAACATATTTATTACCAATTCCTAAAACAAATCCTCTATTCCAGGTATGCTGGAATCTCAATTGACGTCAATCCTCATCCTTCAAAAATCCCTACTCTAATAGTTTTGGCCTAAATAGGGATGCCCTCTTCCGCTCCTTTCCAAATCTTACCTAGATTCTAAGTTCGGCTTTGGCCCTACCTAATCTAAGATAACTGAATAGATCACTTTGTCATCAGTCCAATAATTACCTCCTTTTCTGGCTTTAATTCCTTTAGTTAGAAGACATAACTGTTAAAATTAAATGAGACTATAGATACATAAGACCAGGAAAACAGTAAACCATTAATTAGCAAGATGCATAAAAATGCAAGAATTGCTACATTAAAGCATTCACAATAAGCATTACTGATAACTATGAATTTAAGTTTCTATGGGTTAGAACTGCTAAAAAGACAGTGTTGCCAACAAATTACATGCTAATTATGGTTATCTACTATTTTGAAATATCCTACAACAAAAACAAACTTATTACTGCCCAAGAAGAAAAAGAATTCAACATTTATTCAGATAACATTATGTTAGCTGCAATTCAGAGAACTCCTACACATTCTTTATCTTGTGTGATAATACGCTGCTGTTTTTTGAGGCAGTTTTAGTTTGCCTAAAATTTTTCATCTTCAACTAAAGAGCCAAAGGTACAAGCTAAGGGTGTGATTCATCCTGCTATTTACACAATAATGCTGCATGACAAACCAAAACTCAGTGACTTACAACAGCATTTATTCTCACTCACAGGTCTTCAGGTCAAAGGTGGTTCTTCCAATCCAGCATGTGTTCAGCTGGGCTGCTCTGGTCCAGGTCACAGACTTCTTACGTGCATCTCATTCTGTAGCCTAGGCTGAAATGGCATTGATATGGTTTGGATCTGTGTTCCCACCCAAGTATCATATTTAATTGTAATCCCCAATGTTGGAGGTGGAATCTGGTGGGAGGTGACTGGATCATGGGGGCAGATTTCTCACGAATGGTTTAGCACCATCCCGTTAGTGCTGTCACGATGATGAGTGAGTTCTCGTGAGATTTGAATGTATAAAAAAGTTTGGCACCTCCCCCTTCTCTCTTGCTCCTGCTTTCACCATGTGGCATGCCTGCTCCCCCTTCACCTTATGCCATGATTATAAGTTTCCCCAGAAGCCAAGTAGGTGCCAGCATTATACTTCCTGTACAGCCTGCACAACCATGAGCCAATTAAATCTGTTTTCTTTATAAATCACCCAGTCTCAGGTATTTACTTATAATAAGGCAAGAATGAAGTAATACAGTCATATTCTTCTCATGGTGCAATTCCAAATCTGGCAAACACATTTAAGGCATCTATTTGTGTCCACTAACATTCTGTAGACCATAAAGTATCTGAGATAGTATCAATCTACTTAGAAGTTTATTTTGCAAGGTTAAAGATCATGACCCATAACACGACCTCAGGAGTTCCTGAGAACATGTGCCCAGGTGGTTGGGTTAGTTTGGTGTTTGGTTTTAAATATTTTAGGGAGACAGAAGTTTAGGCATAGACATAAATTAATAAATGTGAGTTATAGATTGCTTCAGCCCAGAAAGGTGTGATATCCTAGTGATGGCGGGGGGAGGTATAGCGCTTCCAGGTCATAGATAGATTTACAGATTTCCTAATTGGCAATTGGTTAAAAGGGTGAAGCTCTGCCTGAAGAGGTGAAATCAGCTCTGAGTTAAAGTAAGAGGAGAGTCGTGCAAGCCAAGGTTCTTGTCATACAGATGAAGCCTCCGGGTAGCAGACTTCAGAGAAAAGTGAATCTCTCTTATCAAAGGGTCAGACTCTCTGGAGAGACCTAGTAAAGGAAGCCGAATCTCTACAGAATGTAAATTTCCCCCACAAGAACAGCTGATCTTTAACCTTGGCAAAATAAACTTCTAAGTAGATTGATACAATTTCAAAATATGTCAAAGATACACATTTCGGGGTAAAATACTTTGATTTCCTTTTAGGGCCTATTTTCTGCCATGTGACGTCATACCTGGGTGGGATTGGAGTTTGTATCTTATTGCTACAAAGAGTCTGTTCTGCCAGTCTTAGACTTTCTATTTTAAAGTTAATGTTGGTCAATTGTATGCCTGAACTCCAAAGGAAGAAGAGTATAATGAAGCATGTCCAATATCATCTACCCACCTTCCTGTCATGGCCTGAACTAGTTTTTCAGGTTTTATCAGGTCCCCTTAGCCAAGAGAAGGGTCCATTCAGTGAGCTGGAGGACTTAGATTTAATTTTTGCTTTACAATTCCATCAGCCATATCATACCTGACAGCCAAGTCCAACATTAACAGGGAGTAGATATTTGATGAACGATAAATCCAACTACTGCAGAAGGCTAAAACGTTAGGTGAGCACAACCTAGATCAACAACTGAAAAACACAGTTGATCTGTGGGAATAATGATTGCTATTACAAGCTTATGACACACCTAGCCTCTACAGTATAGCCTATTGCTCCTAGGCTACAAACCTGTACAGCATGTTATTGTACTGAATTCTGTAGGCAATTGTAACGCAATGATAAGTATTTGTGTATCTAAACATATCAAAACATAGAAAAGATATGGTAAAAATACAGTATTATTATCTCGCTACTACTACTAAAATTATTATTAAAATACCACCATTGTGGTATTTTTGTGGTTTCAGTCAACTATGCAGTCCATAGTTGGCTTCCGTATCTGGCTTGGAGATGCTGACTGGAGTTGGGATTCTGCAAACTGTGTCCTTTTGACCAGTTACTGTCTTGTTAGATTCTATGACTAAGGGCATTAAAAGTGAGACTACAAAGTAGGAGGAGAGGGGAAAAGACTTCTTTCTTGTCTATTCCCATTAGTCTTCCCAGCAATGGTTCGGCAGCAACAGTTGGTTGATGGTATTTTCTTTCCCCACTCCCAGAATGATGCATTCCACCTCAGTGATAGTAGCACCAACTGGGCAGTTCCATTTTTCAGGAGTCACTTTCAATTCTGTAGAGTCCTCTTAGAAGCTCCCTGGTTGTGAAAATGAAGCAGCATCATTGTCTGGGGTAAATCCCAGGGTTCGTCGTCTCGCACCAAGAAGATTAACCACACGGACATACACACACTGGAGTGGGTTAAGGAGCAGAAATTTTAATAGCAGAAAGGAGAGAGGAGAGCAGCTCCCGCTCTCTTGTGAGAGAGAGGCATCCAAAAGGGAAAGGCTGCAGATCGCAGCAGATGGTATAGGCAGCCTTGAGGAGGCGGTGTCTGATTTGTAGGGCCCACAGATTGGTTTAACCAGGTGTGATGTTTACATAGGGCATGGAAAGCCTGGTTGCCCCACCCTAATCTTATTACGCAAACGGCCTTTCCATTTGGCCAGTGCCATCTTGTCTGCTCTTTACTGTACACATGGCTGGCAAAAGGAGAAGATGGAGCCACCATTTTGAACATGCTTACTCCCAGGTAGTATATTTGTATTGGCACAACTGCTAGCATTCACCTGTGCAAGCTTCCAGCTTGCTTGTCTATGTCTGCAGTTCGATTTTACAGGCTGCTCTTTATTAGAAAAGAAAATGATTTTGGGGCTGCTTTTCATTAAAAGGAAGACCTTACGGAGGATTCCCATGCCCTCACTATCTGCCTAAGTACTTTCTTCTTAGCTCTTATATCAAAAACACCACTCTCTTCCCTTTGTCTCTTCTGTTCCAGGGGTAGTAGCTCTCACTGCAGTTACTACCTCCATAATCTCAGAAAGTTCTGTTGGACAGCCATGACACAAGACCTTGGACCCAAGGTCAATCCAGGGCACTGGTTCCCAAACTTGTCTGTACATTACAATTACTTGAGGAGCTTTTCAAACTTCCAAACATCAGCCACAGCCTAGACCAGTTTATTCCCAACCTCTGGGGGTGGATACAGGCATTCCACTTTTTTCTTTTTCAAGCTCCCCATGTCATTCCAACTTGCAAACAAGGTTGAGAACCACTAACCTAGAGGTCAGGTTAAACAAAACGACAAGCTAACTAGCATTACATACTTTTCTTTAAGATTGCTATTAGAGAATAATCACTACTTTCTCGATCTCTCAAATTCCTACTGCTAATAAAAATGGGAACTACTTTTATCTTTTTAATGTTGATCTACCTATATTTCTGTCTTTGTATGAAGGCCTAGAATGAAAATGCATTCCTTGAATTTATTTGGAACATTAAAGAAAACTCTTCATCCTTCATAGAGAAAAAAGTACTAACAGGTATTTTGGTTTTCTGGTAGGCAGGTTGGTTTGTTTAGAATGGCTTATAAGTGGCATTTAAAGGTGCTGAAACAGCTGCAGTGCTCAAAAAAGTGTGAAATTCTTTTCTGCTCTTGTAAACAGTAGAGAAAATATCACCAGCATCTGAGGCTTTCCACTGAATGCCCCGCAATCAGCTAAAGGGAAGGCAGAGCAAACCATTGCAAAGTGGTCTGTGAGCAGACAGGAAGATGTGAGCAATATGGCAAAATGCTCACTTGAAAAGAGGATTAAAATAGAATGTAACTCTTTATTTGAATTACCTGGCAAAGGCTAATTTCTGTCCATAAAAAGGTTTGAATGTTTGGGAAACAAGAAATCAGAATTTAAAGTGCCTTGATTTGATTTTTGTGCTTTATGTTACTCAAAATGAAAGAAGAATAAATGCAACGGGAAGGAAGGGAGATAAAAGCAAAAGGGCAAACTGTAGCCTTCTTCCATGTAAATGAGTTATTTTTCTTAATGAGTACTGTTCCTGCAAGTAATTAGCTGAATATGGAATCTGAATGAATGAATAATGCTAAATAAAATAAAAATTGACCCCAGTCCGCAGCTGTTTATTGAAGTGAACCCAGTATGAACCTCTCTATGGCTGTGGCCTCACACGCGAAGTGAAATGAATCACCAGTTCAGCTCAGCTAATTCAAACCAAAAATGCAATGCTTGATTCAATTATCAGAATGTTTCAGGAGAAAATTATTTTTCTTGTGTTTTCCACTTCATTTGCATATATAGCTTAAAGATAATGTATTCACAGACACATCTCTTTATATATTTTCCATAATTTTCATACAATCAGAGTAAATATTTGAGGAAAAAATTACCCAGAGCTTATCTACATTTTATTATTTGTCATTTCTTTGCATTGAAAGGAAAATGCTGCCTATAGTTTGTTTTCAGTTCTCCTTATATTCATTCATAGACTCATTAATTCACTCATTCAAAATCATTTACTAAATTCTTACCACGTGGTAGGCATCTGGATTGCTTCCAAGTGCAACAAAATGAATAAAGTATAGATGTGGTGAAATAATTTATCGATATAATTAACTTGTATGCTAAAGGATTGTTCTATTTTTTTCCCTTTCCCACTTTGTAGGCAGTAGCCAGACTCAGAGTATTTCCTTGCCTGGAGGATTTTTATTGGCCAGAGGTAAAATAGTAGCTGCTTCCTTCTCAAATTAAAATGGCACCATTCTATGGGATGTAATCTATCAGATTACAGTATATATTGCATTTATCAATGAGGTCTAACCAGGAGACAGAAACAACATAGTAATTTGAACTGGGAAATTTTAATATAAGTTATAATGATAATTTTTTTTTTTTTTTGAGACAGGGTCTCACTCTGTCACCCAGGTTGGAGTGCAGTGGCACAATCATGGCTCACTGCAGGCTCAAGGTCCCACGGCATCCTCCCACATCAGCCTTCCAAGTAGCTGGGACCACAGCTGCACACCACCATGCCTGGCTAATTTTTGGTACTTTCTGTAGCAATGGGGTTTCATCACATTGCCCAGGCTGGTCTTGAACTCCTGGACTTAAGCAATCCACCTGTCTTGGCCTCCTAAAGTGCTGGGAGATTACAGGAATGAGCCACCACGCCTGGTCAAAAAATAATGATTAACTATAACTATGAAGTGACTATAAAGAGAGAAAAGACAACTCTCAAATAGAGGTCAGCAAATTTTTTTCTGTAAAGAGTCCGATAGTACGGAGCATACGCTTTCTGGACAATTGGGTCTCTGTTGCAACTATTTGTTTCTGCCATTACAGCATCGAAGCAGCCAGAGACAAATTATAAATCAGTGTGCATGCCTGTATTCCAGTAAGTCTTTATTTACAAAATCTAACAGATGGTATTGAGGACCCCTGTTCCAAAGAATTCCCTGGGACCCAAGAAAGGAATAACTTGGCAAGGGGGCCGTCTTCCTGAGGCTGGGATTTAAACCTATTCCAGAAGATGTGTTTGGAGCGTACTGGATGGTGGAGCCACTGGCTGCATTGCCTGGGCCAGACCTGGTTCATAGTCGATGTATAAACAAGAAGCACACTTCCTCAAGCAGGGGGAGCTTGGCGGGAGGGCACACTGAGGCAGTGGGGCTTTGGCAGGCAGTTTCCTGGCAGGCCTACAGGAGGCCTAGGCACCTGGCATCCACATCAGGGGGGCCACAGTGAGGTGATTACTGAGCTAAGATGGGGCCTTGAGTTTGCAGGAAGTCAGGCAGCACAGTCTGGGTGCATGGCTGGGACAGTGCAGTTTGGCAGCAACGCAGAAAGAGCAAGAAGCAAAAAACCTGCAACTTACTGGAACCGTGAAAGGAAACTCCTTCCTCCTGCCACGGCCCTCCAGCGCCCTCTACTGACAAACTTAGCATCATGCTTACTACAGAGGAAAGACTTCAAAGAGTCTTGTCTGTTATTTCAGAACAGGTAATATAAGGGTAGATTTGGAGCTGAAAGGCAATAAATTGATAACTGTCACCATGCATAAAAATTCTTAATAATACCAGAAAAATTCTTCCATAATAAAGCATGTATCTCAGGCCAAAATTCCAGGTGGACTTTCTAAAATTGTACACATTCTGTTCAACCCTCTCCTTTCTCCGCATAAGAAATGGTAACTTCATTTGTTTACTGTAACCAACCCCTTCTAGGTTGCATCAAACATCGAGAAGTTTTACCTTGTGCCAAGGTACTGGGGAGAGGATAAATCATCTGACCCTCCAGTTGTCTGTTCACACAGGTTTCACCGAAAATGTCCAGTGTATCAACCTGCACAGTCATTCAGCTTCAGTGGGACCTGTCACGATATTTGCCAAAGCTTATTTGTGTCCAAGATTAGTTCCCCATTTTGTTGTCATATTTTAAGGTTTCAAATCTATGCTTTGAAATAAATTCAAAGTTATATTTATGGTTGCATAAACAAATCTATTTTCATTTAGAAAATACATGTTTCAGTAGGCCATGGAACACTTTGGGGAAATGACAAAGCTAAATCCCATTTGGGAATTATTAGGGTACAGGATGACCTGCTTCCAGTTCCAAAGTATGATCTCTGAATGCCTTGTCTTGCCCCTCAGCTGCCCTACACACATACTAATAGAAGTACTGCCCCAACAGCCACAGCATCATGCACAACATTTTCTCTCCATTTAACCCCAAATTCACAGTACCTGGCTAGGAAAACTGAGCTCCCTCTAGGAATAAACCCATAGTGAGAGCCAGACCAAAATCCCTGGAAATAAAGATCCAAGTAACTTACACAGGGAATAAGAATAGCAATCACTACATGTCGGCATGTGTTTCTTTTTTAACGTACCAGGAACTTTCAAAAGACCTTACATACATTAACTCATTTAATCAGCATAACATTCCTGTTAGGAAGATAGGGCTGTTATCCCCATTTTACAGATGAGGTAACTGAGGCACAGAGAGTTTAGGTGACTTGCCTAAAGTAAGTAGCAGTGATATATGGAATTGAGGCATCTAAGCTTTAACAGTCTTCACAGATGACTCTGATATCCAAATAGGCTTGGAAGACACTTATAATGAAATATGTATATTTGCACTGTACATTTAATTTTATCAACATGACTTCATGTTAAGTTCTATCAATATGATAATTGATTGATTGATTTGGTTTTATAAAATTATAAACATGGAAAAAAAGTGCCCATTTCAAATTTTACAAAAATGTTATCTTTAATAACCTTTTTGCTTCCAGGTTAAAAATGGAAATAACTGTGATGGTTTTCTTCTTATGCTTGGTATCCCCTTCACTCTCCAGAGCTCTTTAGCTGGGTGTCCTATTACATGATTCTCCTAAGCGGAATATCCAGGAGGGGTTGGGACTGAAGTTGCTGACAACATTCTTGCAGCCAGTGTCCATCAATGGTAGGATTCCGGGAGCCTAAGATACTGTATCAAAGACATCTCTCTATCTGCATATATGTGTCTGTGTGTGTGCATTGTTTGTGCTGTTATAACAAAATACCTGATACTGGACAGTTAATAAGAACAGAAACGTATGCCTCACAGTACTGGGGATGGAAGTCTAAGAACAAGTTGCTAGCAGGTTTAGTGTCTATTGAGGCCTGCTTTCTGCTTCTAAGATGGCACCTTGAACGCTATGTTCCCACAGCTGAAGCTGGAAGGACAAAAAAGAACATAGCTCGTTCCCTCCAGCCCTTTTACAAGCTAGCTAATCCCATCCATGAAGGCTCCCCTCATGACCTCATCATTTCCTAAAAGCTCCACCTCTTCACACTATCACACTGTTTATTCAGTTTCAGCACATGAACTTTGGTGGTCATTCAGATCATAGCACGTGTGTATATATCTCTATCTATCTTAGTGATTACAATTTATTTCCTCTTTAGAGTAAAATTCCTGCAATATCCCACTGTCTAAGTTCAAAATGAATAATAATTGTTCCACTGTCAAACAGAGATTAATCTTTTAAACATTAATTCTGTATTGCCTCAGATACCACTTAATTCTATTACATTAATTCTATATTGCCTCAGATATCACTTAACAATGATTGTTTTCTTTCTACTTCTAAATGAATCATAAAAATAATATATAACTAGTAGAGCCTCTAATACTTTCTAATTTTCTAATGCATAGTTACATGTGTTCTGAGTTTAAGGTAAAAGATAGGTGCTTCAGAAATAAATGTGGAATGATTTTACTTTTCAAAGGGAAATTTGTTTTCTAATAGAGGTACTCCAGGCAAAATAATCATAGACTAAATTTTAGATGTGTATATTTTATCCACAATTATTTTTCAAACAACATTTGCATACGTACAGCCCTAAATCAAGCCACAAGAAAGCAAGCTCAACATGGTCCCATGGTCTTTGAGCCTACAATTGAAGCCACAAATCCCAGATGGAACAAACATAAAATTGCAATAGAAACTGAGATCAAGCTGCAAAATTAACAAAAGTCAATATGACCATACCAGTAAATATGCATATAGTAAATGGTTCAAAAAAATTATGTTTATGGAAAATATAACAAAAGAAATAAGTAATTGACTAATGGTAATAAAAGAGAAGTATAAAAGCTATTAATATATCCTAGTAATTGTCAACTGAAATTAAAAATTATTTCAACCAGTAAATAATAGTGTCATCTTGGATCTTCGTTCTTTGAGGCAATAGTAAAGATGTTATGTTCCCTGTTCCTTTTTGGCATAGCTATTTTTGTTGTAAGCTTCTCTAAAACATGAAACTCTTAAAACACTTTATGTAAAACCTCTGAGATTAGAAAGGGAGATAAAATAACAATAATATCCAAAACAATCAGTTTAATAAATATTAAGGCTGACGTAAGAATTTTATATACATTATCTTATTTGATCCATTTAAATCTCTGTGAAATGAGTATTATTATTATAATACCTATTTTAGAGACGGAGAAGTTGCAACTAAAGAAATTCAATAACTTGGCCAAGGTCATAGCTGGCAAGTGGAAAATCTGTCATTCAGTCTCAGCCAGTGTTACCCCAAAGCTTGTGTAATCACTGCTCTATTCTGTATTCAGAATGCAGAACCCTGCCCATCCTTTCTCCTAGGATGTTTCCTATAATGGCACTACCATCAATCCAATTCTACAATAAATTGGATTTCAACGCTGAAGCCAGCCTTGGAAACCTGCTCTTCCTTACCACTCCATTCAAACCATCTCCAAGTCCTTCTGTCACTTCTCCTTACTTCCCTGTCCCTCCTGTAGCACCATCTTGGTCCTAGGCCATTATCTTGAAGGAGGACGGTGGCCACAGACTACTGACTGGTCTCTCTTCTTTTGTGCTTGTTTTTCTCTAATCTGTTCTCAATACAGTAGCCAGAGCTATCTGTCCAAAGCAGGGTAAACAACTCAGCTTGTTTAGAACTTTCTGGTTTTGGCATTGAATGTCCAAGTCCTGGTAAATGCCTCAATCCCAACCAAACCTAGTTCTAAGTATAAATTAGATTATTGTACCTCTCTTGGCTAGAACTCATCAATGGTTTCTTTTGCTGTTGGATCAAAATATTTCATGTGCATACTTATCTTCATGACCTTGTCCCACTCAACAGTCCTTTCTGACCTGATCTTAGACCCTCTCTTCCTCACAATGGCTTCCTGGTAAAATCTCTTTGTTTCCCCTGATCCTAGGGCCTATGCACATGCTGTTCTTTCAGCTTTTAATGCTCTGTCCCTAAATACCCACCTCCCCACTCCCTGCCCCAACATCCATACTGGCTTTGCCTTGTTAACTCCAGCTCCATATTTGGATCTTTCTCAGGGAGGATTTCCCTGGGGCCTAACTAGAATCCTCATAGATAGGACTTATTTCTTGCTTTATTGTCCCCGACTCAGCTTTTTTATGAAGTTATTTGCTTAACGTCCATTTCCCCCACTAGCTTTAAAAGCCATGTGGCTGAGACTGTGTCTGTTGGGTTCAATATTATATCCTAGCACTTCCATGGAATAAGGCATCTAAGTAGGTGCTCATTAAAAATTTGTGAATGGACTAGGCATGGTGGCTCATGCCTGTAATCCCATCACTTTGGGAGGCTGAGGCAGGAAGATTGTTTGAACTTAGGAGCTATAACCAGCCTGGGCAACATATTGAGATCCCAACTCTACAAATAATAATATATTAGCCAGGCATGGTGGCATCCAGTTGTGGTCCCAGCTACTTGGGAGGCTGAGATGGGAGGATTGCTTGAGCCAGGGAGGTTGAGGCTGCAGTGAGCCATGATCACACCACTGTACTCCATCCTGGGAGACAGAGTAAAACTCTGTCTAAAAAAAAATTACATGAATGATAGGTTACTAGATAATTTTTTTAATGACAATATTCCATAGAGAGAGAGTGCAATTGCATTACAAGAAAGTTTCTTATCATTGCCTTTATTTATATTCTTTTTCTACTAACATTCCCTGAGTGACCTCTTCTACCCTGTAGCTTCAAAGGCCATTTACGCTGATGATTCTCAAATCTGTGTCTGTAGCCCTTATGCAATGGTGTGCTAGCCTATATAGTAACTTTGTGTGAATTAAAAGTTACCCCCATTTACATGTAAGAAAAAGAATAACCTTACATATTATTGCATGAAGGGGTGGGTTGCCCCTCCACACCTGTGGGTGTTTCTCATTAGGTGGAACGAGAGACTTAGAAAAGAAAGAGACACAAAGTATAGAGAAAGAAAAAAGGGGGCCCAGGGGACCAGTGTTCAGCATACGGAGGATCCCACCGGCCTCTGAGTTCCCTTAGTATTTATTGATCATTCTTGGGTGTTTCTCGGAGAGTGGGATGTGGCAGGGTCATAGGATAATGGTGGAGAGAAGGTCGTCAGCAGGTAAACACGTGAGCAAAGGTCTCTGCATCATAAACAAGGTAAAGAATTAAGTGCTGTGCTTTAGATATGTATACACATAAACATCTCAATGCCTTAAAGAGCAGTATTGCTGCTCGCATGTCCCACCTCCAGCCCTAAGGCGGTTTTCCCCTATCTCAGTAGATGGAATATACAATCAGGTTTTACACTGAGACATTCCATTGCCCAGGGACGGCAGGAGACAGATGCCTTCTCTTGTCTCAACTGCAAAGAGGCGTTCCTTCCTTTTTTACTAATCCTCCTCAGCACAGACCCTTTATGGGTGTCCCTTTACGGGCTGGGGGACGGTCAGGTCTTTCCCTTCCCACGAGGCCATATTTCAGACTATCACATGGGGAGAAACCTTGGACAATACCTGGCTTTCCTAGGCAGAGGTCCCTGCGGCCTTCCTCAGTGTTTTGTGTCCCTGGGTACCTGAGATTAGGGAGTGGTGATGACTCTTAACGAGCATGCTACCTTCAAGCATCTGTTTAACAAAGTACACCTTGCACAGCCCTTAATCCATTTAACCCTGAATTGACACAGCACATGTTTCAGAGAGCACAGGGTTGGGGGTAGGGTTACAGATTAACAGCATCTCAAGGCAGAAGAATTTTTCTTAGTACAGAACAAAATGGAGTCTTGTATGTCTACTTCTTTCTACACAGACACAGTAACAATCTGATCTCTCTTTCTTTTCCCCACAATTGCACAACATGAACAGCTTGTGGGCACTTTCTACATAGACGTACACATGAGTGCACACACACATGCATACACACATATACACACACACACCTGCCCACTCATACATCCTCCTTCCCCAGATGCCAAGCTCTCACTTGCCTCTAGCAGTATGCATACTTCATACACTGTTTCATGCAGATAGGTGAGGTGACAACATCAGGTTCAGTGTCGCAAGGAATGAGAGTCGAGAATCTGAGCTCTGAAAGAGAATGGAAGGTGGCAAAAGAAGCACCCCAAGGGGGACCCTGAGCACTACTGGGAGAGGGTGTAGCCACACGCACATGTGATGTTGGTTTGGGCATGAATGCATGCTCTCCTGGGTGAGTCCCTGGCCTGTTGTGTGTGTGAGGGAGGGATGTGTATAGGAGACAGCCCCCCATCACTGCTCTAGGAGCCTCCAGCACCTATATCCATGATGTGAATGGTGCTCCCTGAGACAGGGTGCTCAGAGGCAGTAAACAAACTAAATGCCTGTATGCCGGACTTTGTGTTTGTCTTTTCCAGTCTACATACCAAAATATCACACAGTCTATAGCAGTCTTTGCTTCAATGTATGCAGGGGCCTCAAATGTAATTTCTTTAAAAATATTAGCTTTCTATAATCTAAATCTCAATAAGGGTGCAACCCTCCAACCAGTCTCCTATTCAGAAGCTTGAACAAGCCCATTTGCCTTTCTTTCATCATCGACATCCAGTTAGATGCCAAATTTAAGTTATGTCTCAGAAAGCACTCTTAAAAGTGTATTTTTTCTATCTTTGCTGCCACTGCTTTTCAATTCAAACCTGCATCATCTTCCCAGAACTATTGAAAAGGTCTCCTGATATTTTTTCACCTATATATCTCACATTGACTCCAGAGAAACCTTCCTTCTAACATATTTTTGAGAACTGTTGGTCAAAGCTCTAGTTAGATAGGAGAGATAAGACTTTTGTGATCTATCATACAGCTTGGTAACTATAATTAAGTGTATCACAGATTTTAAAATTGCTAAGAGGGTAAATTTCAAATGTTCTTACCATAAAACAATTATAAGTACTTGTGGTGATGGATATATTAATTAGCTTGATTTAACCCCATTCCACATCGTATACTATTAATAAGAAAAATAAAACAAAATAGTGTTGAAGTGTTGGGGTGGCGCAAATTTTTGGGGGTGGTATGGAGAGAGAATGGGCGATGTTTCTCAGGGCTGCTTCGAGCGGGATTAGTGGCGGTGTGGGAACCTAGAGTGGGAGAGATTAAGCTGAAGGAAGATCTTGTGGTAAGGGGTGATATTGTGAGGTTGTTAGAAGAAACATTTGTCGTATAGAATGATTGGTGATGGCCTGGATATGGTTTTGTATGAATTGAAAAACTAAATGGGATAAGAGAAGGAGAAAAACAGGTATAAAAGGTCTAAGAATTGGGAGGACCTAGGACATCTAATTAGAGAGTGCCTACAGAGGTTCGGCATAGTCCTGCCAGCAAAGATTATTTATTTACTTCAAGAATTAAGAGTGGCAGTTTGGGGATAGCATGAGGAGATATCAGCTGTGATGGCTTGGATAAACAGTGTAAATCAGCAATGTAAACGAGAGCAGAGCATGTATGAGTAGTTGAGAACGGTGAATAGGAGTATGACTGGACAGAAGATAGTAGGGATGACACGTTATTTGGGGGCACAGTCCAAGTTGGTCTGGTGTCTGGAATGAGACTGGGACCTAATGAAAAGGAGCGTCTATACAGAAGCTCAAATGGGCTGTACCTTGTAGCATTCTGAGGACAGGTCTGGCTTCTGAGAAGAGAAAGTGGTAAAAGTATTGTCCAGTCCTTTTTAAGTTGGTGGCTGAGCTTGGCGAGGTGTGTTTTTAATAGACCATTAGTCCGTCACTGAATACTAAGAGCCTGAAAAAATGCTTGGCTGATTTGACTAATAAAGGCTGGTCTGTTATCAGACTGTATAGAGGTGGGAAGGCTAAACTGAGGAATTATGTCTGACAGAAGGGAAGAAATGACTGCGGTGGCCTTCTCAGACCCTGTAGGAAAGGCCTCTACCTATCTAGTGAAAGTGTCTACTTAGACTAAGAGGTATTTTGGTTTTTGTGACTTAGGCCGTGTTGAGTAAAGCTAATTTGCCAGTCCTGGATGGGGGCAAATCCTCGAGCTTGATGTGAAGGGAAGGGAGGGGGCCTGAATGATCCTTGAGGAGTAGTAGAATAGCAGATAGAATAGCAGATGGAACACTGAGAAGTTATTTCCTTGAGGATAGATTTCTATGATGGAAAGGAAACGAAAGGTTCTAAGAGGCGGGCTAGTGGTTTGTACTGTAGCATAGCCTGCCTTTGCTGGTGTGTGGTGATTAGGCCTGGTGGAACTGCCATCAATAAATCAAGAGTGATCAGGGTGAGAAACAGGGAAGGAAATGTGGGGAAACGGGATGAACATCAGGTGGATCAGAGAGATGCAGTCATGAGGGTCAGGTGTGGTATGAGGAATAATGTGGGAGGCCGGACTGAAGTCCAGGCCAGGAACAATGGTAATTGTGGGACTTAACAAAGAGTGAGTACAGCTGAAGGAGCCGGGGAGCAGAAAGTATATGCATCAGGTATGAGGAAGAAAATAGATTTTGGAAGTTATGAGAAATGTAGCGAGTGAGTTGAGCATAGTTTGTGATTTTGAGGGCCTCTAAAAGTATTAAAGCAGCGGCAGCTGCTGCACGCAGACGTGAGGGCTAGGCTAAAACAGTAAGGTCAAGTTGTTTGGACAGAAAGGCTACAGGTGCGGTCCTGGCTCTTGTGTAAGAATTCTGACTGCACTAACCATGCCTAGGAAGGAAAGGAGTTGTTGTTTTGTAAGGGATTGAGGTTTGGGAGATTAATCGAACACGATCAGCAGGGAGAGCACGTGTGTTTTTACGAGAATTATGCCGAGATAGGTAACAGATGAGGAAGAAATTTGGGCCTGACTGAAGTAATGGGGTCTGTCTGTGAAGCCTTGCGGCAGTACAGCCCAGGTAATTTGCTGAGCCTGATGGGTGTCAGGGTCAGTCCAAGTGAAAGTGAAGAGAGGCTGGGATGATGGGTGCAAAGGAATAGTAAAGAAAGTATGTTTGAGATCCAGAACAGAATAATGGATTGTGGAGGGAGGTATTGAGGATAAGAGAGTGTATGGGTTTGGCACCATGGGGTGGATAGGCAAAACAATTTGGTTGATAAGGCATAGATCCTGAACTAACTTGTAAGGCTTGTCTGGTTTTAGGACAGGTAAAATGGGGTAATTGTAAGAGAGTTTATAGGCTTTAAAAGGCCACGCTGTAGCAGGCGAGTGATAACAGGCTTTAATCCTTTCAAAGCATGCTGTGGGATGGGATATTGGCATTGAGTGGGGTAAGGGTGATTAGGTTTTAATGAGATGGTAATGGGTGCATGATCGGTCGCCAAGGAGGGAGTAGAGGTATCTTATACTTGTGGGTTAAGGTGGGGGAATACAAGAAGACGACGCAAAGGAGGCTTTGGGTTGGGAAGAAGGGCAGCAATGAGATGCGGCTATAGTCCAGGAATAGTCAGGGAAGCAGATAATTTGGTTAAAATATCTCGGCCTAATAAGGGAACTGGGCAGGTGGGGATAACTAAAAAAAGAGTGCATAAAAGAGTATTGTCTAAGTTGGCACCAGAGTTGGGGGGTTTTAAGAGGTTTAGAAGCCTGGCTGTCAATACCCACAACAGTTATGGAGGCAAGGGAAACAGGCCCTTGAAAAGAAGGTAATGTGGGGTGGGTAGCCTCCGTATTGATTAAGAAGGGGACGGACTTAACCTCCACTCTGAGAGTTACCTAAAGCTCGGCGTCTGTGATGGTCTACAGGGCTTCTGAGGCGATCAGGCAGCATCAGTCTTCAGCCGCTAAGCCAAGAAGGAGTCAGTCAGAGAGCCTTGGGCCAGAGTTCCAGGGGCTCTGGGAGTGGCTGCCAGGTGAGTTGAACAGTCCGATTTCCAGTGGTGTCCCGCACAGATGGGACACGGCTTAGGAGGAATCCTGGGCTGTGGGCATTCCTTGGCCTGGTGGTCAGATTTCTGGCACTTGTGGCAAGTTCCTGGGGGAGGAGGTTCTGGAGGAATGCCTGGCCGCTGTGGTTCAGGCGTTTGGAAGTTCTTGTGTGCTGGAGATGTGGCTGGGGTTTGTCTACAGTGGAGGCAAGGAATTGCAACTTTTTTTTTATTATTGTACACCTTGAAGGTGAGGTTACTTAAGTCCTGTTGTGGGGTTTGAAGGCCAGATTCTAATTTTTGGGGTTTTATTTAATGTCGGGAGCAGATTGGGTAATAAAATGTATATTGAGAATAAGACGGCCTTTTGACCTTTTAGGGGCTAGGGCTGTAAAGTGTCTCAGGGTTGCTGCCAAATGAGCCATGAACTGGGCTGGGTTTTTATATTTGATGAAAAAGAGCCTAAACGCTATCTGATTTGGGATAAAGAAAAAGGAGCATTAACCTTGACTATGCCTTTGGCTCCAGCCACTTTTTAAGAGTAAATTGCTGGGGCAGGTGGGGGAGGGCTAGTCACAGAACGAAACTGTAAGCCGGACCAGGTGTGAGGAGGGGAGGTGATAAAAAGATTATAGGGTGGAGGAGCAGAGGCTGAGGAAGAATTGGGACCTAGCTTGGCCTGGTGAGGAGGGGAGAGATCAGATGGGTCTGTAGAAAAGGAAGATTAGAAAGACTCAGCGATGCTTGGGGTTGGGACTGAGGGGACAGGTGGGAGGGAAAGAAGGAAGATTTGGGATGAGTTGCACTGGGCACAGAGACTAGGAAGGGACTGATGTGTAAAAGAATGCCTGGACGTCAGGCATCTCAGACCATTTGCCCATTTTACGACAAGAATTATTTAGATCTTGTAGGATGGAAAAATTGAAAGTGCCATTTTCCGACTATTTGGAACTACCGTCGAGTTTGTATTGGGGTCAAGCGGCATTGCAGATGAAAATGAGATGCTTAGATTTTAGGTCAGGAGAGAGTTGAAGAGGTTTTAAGTTCTTAAGAATATAGGCTAAGGGAGAAGAAAGAGGAATGGAAGGTGGAAGCTTGCCCATAGTGAAGGAGGCAAGCCCAGAGAAAAGAGTAGAGACATGGAGAAGGGGTAGGGGTTTCTTGCCCTCCAGAAAAGCAGAGAAAGGGTTGGGGCATGGAAATAAGGAATTGGGGCACAGAGATAAGAGGTTGGGGTGCAGAAATAAGGGATTGGGGCACAGAGATAAGAGGTCAGGGTGTGGAAATAAGGGATTGGGGCACAGAGATAAGAGGTCGGGGTGTGGAAATAAGGGATTGGGGGTTCTTGCCCCCCTAGAAAAGCGGGACTTGCTGCTAAGGGTGAAGGAGAAGGGGTTGAGGGGTACTTGCCCCTCCCCTAGAAAAGCAGAGAAGGGGTAGAGAAAAGGAGAGAAGGGGTTGGGGTACTTGCCCCTTCCCCAGAAAAGCAGAGAAGGGGTAGAGACAAGGAGAGAAGAGGTTGGGGTACTTCCCCCTTCCCCAGAAAAGCAGAGAAGGAGTAGAGACAAGGAGAGAAGGGGTTGGGGTACTTGCCCCTTCCCCAGAAAAGCAGAGAAGGGGTAGAGACAAGGAGAGAAGGGGTTGGGGTACTTGCCCCTTCCCTAGAAAAGTGGGACTTGCTGCTAAGGGTGAAGGACCAAGGCAGGCATCCCTGCGTGGTCTGACACCCTTGAAACGTGGGTGAATAATCAGAGAGGTGCCCCTGCAATGATTAAACACCAAGGGAAGACTGCCTTCCCAGTCCGTGACTGGTGCCAGAGTTTCGGGTCCACAGATGAAACGTGTCTCCTTTGTCTCTACCAGAAAACGAAAGGAATTGAAATTAAGAGAAGGGAGAGATTGAAGTGTGGTGCCAAGAATGAAAGGAGAAAGAGGTTGAAGGATAGTGAGGGAGGTTGGAGAAGAGAGTAAAAAGAGGCCGCTTACCGGATTTGAAATTGGTGAGATGTTTCTTGGGCTTGTCAGTCTGAGGACCTGAGGTTGTAGGTGGAACTTTCTAACGGAGCAAAGAGCAGGAGGACGGGGGATTGATCTCCCAAGGGAGGTCACCTGATCCGAGTCACGGCACCAAATGTCATGCGCGTCCGTATGAAGAGACCACCAAACAGGCTTTGTGTGAACAATAAAGCTGTTTATTTCACCTGGGTGCAGGTGGGCTGAGTCCAAAAAGAGAGTCAGCAAAGGGAGATAGGGGTGGGGCCATTTTATAGGATTTGGGAAGGTAATGGAAAATTACAGTCAAAGGGGGTTGTTCTCTGGTGGGCAGGGGCGGGGGTCACAAGGTGCTCAGTGGGGGAGCTTCTGAGCCAGGAGAAGGAAATTCACAGGGTTAATCACTCAGTTAAGGTGGGGCAGGAACAAATCACAATGGTGGAATGTCATCAGTTAAGGCGGGGCAGGGCCTTTTCACTTCTTTTGTGATTCTTCAGTTACTTCAGGCCATCTGGGCATATACATGCAAGTCACAGGGGGTGCGATGGCTTGGCTTGGGCTCAGAGGCCTGACATATACCTAATCATAACATCACTTTGTTGTGTTATGGTATAAATATCTAAAATTATAACTTGTCAATTTACAATAAAATTTAAAGGTCCAAAAAAGCAAAATAAAATATCTTTTAGGCTTCACTCCTCAAGTAAAACACAATAACAAAAACAAAAAACAACAACAGCAAACAAAACCTCTTGCTTCTTGTTGGATATTGAATAAAGCTTTATGGTTTGCCAAACAAAGCTCTTCACAATCCAATGCACTCTGTCTTTCAAATCATCTCTTCTCTCTCCCTCTACTGCCTCACTGAATGTTTCTCAAGTCGTGGACATACCGGGTCCTTTCATGATACTGCCTATACATAAATTCTTCCCATTTCCTAAAACATTCCCGCTCACTCCATTTTTTTTTATAAGCTACAATTTATCTCTCAATACTCAGCTCAAACATTAGGTCATCAGTGAGACTTCTCTAGTATTGTTGAAAGGACTCTTGCACTGGTCTCCCTGCTCCCATAGCTCCAAAATATTATTACACCATGATATCATAATTTATCTGTTCATATCATTTGCTCAAAGCTGTGAGTGCCTCAAAAGCAGAGTTGTTAGTGTACTTATTTTTTTAAATATCTCCTCCCATTCAAAATGTTTCTTCTGAGTGTTGTATAAATATTTCTCAAATGAATGACTTGATATAGTAAAATCAGCAAGAAAATACAGTTTGTAAGGAAGTTAATGAGGTTGTTTTGTATAAATATTCATGTATTATAAGCCATCAGAATCTCCAAACACAACACACAGCAATCTCCCTCACACACACAACAGGCCAGGGACTCACCCAGGAGAGCATGCATTCATGCCCAAACCAGCACTACATGTGCGTGTGGCTGCACCCTCTCCCAACAGCGCTCGGAGTCCCCCTTAGGGTGCTTCTCTCAGCCACCTTCCATTCTCTTTCAGAGCTCAGATTCTCGACTCTCCTTCCTTGCTACACTGAACCTGATGTTGTCACCTCACCTATCTGCATGAAATGGTGTAGAAAGTATGCATACTGCTACTTTCTAAACCACTTATATTAATCCAGATTCCAATTTTTTAGCCAATAGTGGGCTATGTATTTCAGTAGGTGTTTATTTAATTTTCTTATAGGATGAAATCTCTCCCTTAAGCTTCTCTGATTTCTTTCCTTCATTATTCTCCCTTTTCTCTTTTTCTGGCCCTTCATAATCTATTTCTGGGGCTCTTGGCACATTTCCTATTTTATTTCTCACGGGTTTAGATCCACCCATTCCACGTATGAATGTAAAGGAAGAGAACGCAGAGAGAAATGGTTGCGGGGGTATAGATCAGTGACAATAAGCCAAGATCCCCTGCCAGGTTGCACTGTCTTTTTTCCCACTGCCTTTAATTTGATAGCAGCCAGGTACCAGGAGCATCATCAAACCCATGGCAACTCCGCCTGTCCTTCTCCTTACCCATAATAGCAATTCCAATCACCTGCAAAGAGATGTCAACAGCTATGTTAGTAGTCTTTGTATATCTGTTAGATACAAAAAGGAGCTGGACTTGTTCTATGGGGTCCCAGAAGACAGAACCATCACTGATTTTTGGAAAGTATAGGAAAACAAATTCCCTAATAAATGAAAGCTACCTGACAATGGAAGAAGAGGCTTTGTGAGGAGGTGAATTGCCTTGTCACAAAATTTGTCAAGGAGATTCAGGAAGAAGAGACCTCTGGGATCACCCATTCTATGAATGCTACTTGATATAAAGACTTCTTTTTCCTTTTTTCTACTTTTTACCCACATTTCAAGAGATTCAGCTAAGATTATGAAAGCTGTTGAAACAGATAGTATATGCTTCAGTTAGCCAGTCTTTATGTCCCTTAATCAATGTTACTGTAATAAAAATGCCAACTTCAGTAGAGATGGCTAGACAAGTCCATGTTGACTGAGCCCCATGATGTGGAGTACTGATCCACTAGTAGACTTAAACAGTTATTGTATGCGTTCCTAAGGGACAAAATTTATTTATTTTAATCATTAACTTTATGTTCTTAGATTAAATGACATATTCCTTTCTTATGTCTCACTTGGGCACAATATTTTCTTTCAAAATATTAAGGCATAGAAGTGAAGCCCCACAAAATCACTCCTAGAGTGATTTACAAATTGAAAATTGTAGTACGTTATTGGGGGAAATTAATTTTTAAATAGATTTGCTTTTTATATAACTTTTGAATTATTTAATTGTCAAGCTTATTCTGAGTTCACATCTCATTAGTGCTAACTGGTATGGCTTTCAGATTTCCCTAATAGAAAAATTCTTGTTAATTTGCAATGTCTGACACAATAATGAAATATTTCAGAAATTAGATCTGCAACTCAGATTTATGAGTGAATCCTCAAATGGTACAACATGGGACTTTTTCCTTTGTTTATGAACCACTTGCAGTATTGTAATGTTATATTACCATGAAAATAGTTCAAGTTGTGTTTTTGAAATGAAATCATATATGTGAGAAATTGCACACCGAGAGGGTTGTATTCATGAATAAATGGTTTATTGTCCATGACTTCAAATGGTGGGTTTAATGCTTAGAAGAAATATTCACATTTTACCTCCTTTGAACAGTATGAACTCGTATAAATGCTCACTTACAAAAGTAAGCTTAAATTTTATACTTGAAAATACATTGTTAAATTTTCAGATTTCAGCCCCTAAAACCCAACAAATTTTAAAGCTGAATTGCTTGTGACAATGTGAGATAGGATGAATTAAGGGGAAACTACTGAGTTGAAAGGAAGATCTTTCAATCTGGTCCATTTTCACTATTAATTAACTGTGACCTTGCATAAAGCCTTTAGCTTAATCTTTAAAATGACAGAGGAAAAAGGAATGGGATTATATAGACTCTAAGATTTCTTCATAAGGTTTTTTGACTAAATAGGTATCTAACATCACTCATGTGCAGTCAACCCTTGGGCTTTTATATTCCTCTTCCTCTTAATATTTACTCTAATATTAATTTAAATCTGAATTGTAAAATAAAATATAAAACAGTACACAAAAATTAATATTCAAATAGTGATTCACTACAAATTGACAATTCTTAGTACATCCTTTTTGCACAGTAACATTTTCACCCTACATGAAAATGGTATCAATGTTCTCAAAGTTACAAAACATGGCAGATGTTTTATTCATTTATCCACTTCTTCATCATAAATTTATCGTGCAACTGAGAACACATTATAAGAGGCAATGTTTGGGTGGTTGTGTTTCTGTCAAGAATAACTGGCTCCAGGGCCATGGTTTGAAGTGTGGCTGTCTTGGGGACCCCTTCCCCCACACCATACTGATGGCCTTCCCTGGCTGTAAACACCTTTTCACTGCCAATTCATCAGCCAGGGCAATTTTGAGACTTCTGTTCCCCAACCATTCTGCTTCTCTTCAAAAAGCATTTCAGACCTCTGACCTAGGGCACTGTATTCTAGACAATGGCCACTCAGCTCTTTCTATGGGGATGCCAGTCTTAACCAAAGAAAGACATGAATGACATTTTAGTCACTAAAAAGAATAGGATGTGGAGTCAAGATTGAGGAGTCAGAGCCAGTTCTACCAGTTTCAACAATTCTCTCCTTGTCTCTAAGAACTACTTCCCGAATATTCAAAATGAGTATTAATATCTACCTTACACTTATTGAAAAAAGCAAGTAAAATTAATAAAAATACATTTTTGAAACTGTATGGTGGTATATAATTTATTGTCCTATCTTTTCTCCCTCTCAAGTAGTCTCAATAATCATATGCTCTTTTCTTTCCCTTCCTTCTTTCTTTCCTTCCTTACTTCCTTTTCTTCCTTTTTTCCTTCATCCTCCTTCTCTCCCTTTCTCCTTTTCTTCTTCCCTCCTCTCTCTTCTTTTTCCCTCCGTCTCTTTCTCCCTTCCTCCTTTTATCCTTTTCTCCAAGACATTTTTTGATTTTCTACTATGTATCCAGCCACTTTGTTCCTAAGTAGAGTATAAAGATGGATAAAACTGGTGAAAAGCATGAACTCTAGAATCAGACTGCCTGAGTTCAAATCTTAGCCCTGTCATTCACTGGCACGTGCCCCAGAGTAGTTAGTTAACCCCAATGTGATTCTATTTCTTCTTTAGTAAAATAGAGATAGAAGTATTTTTCCATGCAACAGGCTTAGCACAGTGCCTAATACATTGTCAGTCTTCAAAAACAAAGAATGCACAGAGATGTTGAGCAGGGAAATAAACATACAAGTAACAAACTCTATTTAGAAATATTGTGAAAGTTTTCACAAAAGAGAAGCCCTTGGGATGGGTTTTGAGAGATAAAGAAGAGTAGCAATAGACTAAAAGTAGCAATATTTGTTCTTAAATTAATAAATTGAGTAAGTGGGGAGACATTTCACTCATTCATTCATAGAGATGTTTATTATGTGGGGACCAGACTGGGCACTGAGGATATAAAAATGAATATGTTATTTAGGAAGTATTAATAATGTTTAGGAGTGGTAATGATATAGTGGTAATGCTATAAAAGAGGTGTATGTATATTTATCTTTTGGCTATATATACTAAAAGATGATATAAAAGTGTCTGGGATTTGCGTCAGCATAACCCAGGGTGTGAGGAGATCAAGTGCGTATGAGAGTGTATAGAAGAAACAAGATTGGACAAGAGTTGATAAGCTGCTGCTCCAAATTCATCCTCTATGCTTTTATACATGTTTGAAATTTTCCTCAGTCACAACTTTTATAAAATGAACAGGAACAGGCTCCCTTTACCGTCAACTGTGGCACATATGCCTTGCAATGTGATGTTCACATAAGGCTATTTTAAAACAAATAGTGGCTGGGAACCCCAAGGTTAACGAAGGATGTTGAGGTTTTCAGTGACTCTCTATATGGATGTTTTTCTTATTCATCACATTAGTTGCTCCCTTGATAGGGACCTTGGAATACTTCCTTTTTTAGTGTGAAGTAAATGAGAGAAGCAGGTGGAGATCTTGTAACATAATAGTAGGCAGTTTCCTCATTCTGGTAATTATATGGCACTTCCATTGAAGCTTCTGGAATACTAACATTCTTTCAAGAGATACATAATCTATCACTTTTCTGTAGAGGGATTCAAAATTGGAGACACAAAAGTGAATTAGTCATTATGTTGCCTCTCCATAATGAAATAGCTGATGTGCTATTACCTCACATTGCTGTCTCACAGCCTTTATGATTTTACCTGCCTCCTGAATGTCTGTGTTTAATACCTTTCTCCAGATGTCTTAATTTGCATTTAATTCCTGCTTGAATCTAGTTTTATCTTTTGCTCAGATTTCTAAGGTCTTTAGGCCCATTCATTAGTTTCTCTATTTCTATAGTTGCTTGCCAAGCCACCAAATTTAATATCATTAAAATTTTCATTGTTGTGCTACAGTCTTTTTTTCCAGATCATTAAATAGAAGCAAATATGTGGGAGAAAGTGTAGGAGGGAGCTGCAAATAGCATTGTATTAATTAACTAAAAAAAAGAAATGTTTTAATTTTAAAAGACATAAATTTCTGTCTAGATGATGATATAATGATTCATCTGAGATTATTCATATATTGCTTCTTATATCCACCTCTTTCTAAAAGAAATGTAAGTTAGGGCATGTTTACCAAAAGTTTCACTAAAATAGATTAAAAGGTAGAATCGAGGCTATAAAATAAATAGCAGGAAATATTAATGGTGGCTGATTTCATTGCTTTGATGATTAAGCACAAAATTGGACTACCCTAGAGTTACACAATAATGTTTGACTATCTTCTTTTCTTAGAACTAGTTATCAAAAAAACATTAGTTTTTATATGTGAACAGATTAAAACTTTTTACCTCTGTAGTTTACTAGACCAGCATCCTAATTAAAATTAGACACTGATGCCAATTTAATCATTGAATCACTTTATTTTGTTATTATTAAATTCAATTGAGGTAAAATATATATTGAATAGCTTTGGATTCTAGATTGAAAATGATAAAAAGGGAAATTGCATGTTAGTACTTTCTTTGCATGTATCACTATATATATAAAATGTAATCAATACAATGAGTACTATAATAAAAAGAATATATAAACTCTTATGGGAACAAGGATTAGAGGAGGTATTAATTCTTCCTTGTGCCTGTAAGTGTGAAGAAGGCAGAAAAGAAGCCATTCTGGCTTCTACCTCAGCTGATGCCATGAGGAGAAAAAGCAAAGCCCCAGACAGAGTCCCCAGTTGGCCATCGAGCCATAGCTTGCTGTACCAGTCACCCCAGCTGAAGGCCCAGTCCTCAGACAGCGGAGACAATCCGTCCTCCCCACCTTCCATGCTCTGTGCAAATTCCTCACTCACAATAACTACCATAGAATGGTTGCTGTTTTATCCATTCATTATCTTATTACATTTTTTGGAGAGAAGAAGGATTGTCATACAATAATAGACAACCGAGAAACTGATCAATTTCAGGACTGGATTCCTGTAAGATCTTCCTCATCCCTCTGCCTATGCTTTGTCTCTGTTGGTTTCCACATTACTCTCTACGCTGCAGAGGAATCTTTGAAGATGCATCTCTAATTACATAACTTCCTTGGTTAACAGACCTCAAGGATTCCTCATTGCTGTCAGAATGAACTCTAAATCTCTTCATATGACTTCACAGGTCATTTACAATCTCACCCTTTTCCCCATATGCCCCCTCAATTGTATAACATATCCCAGCCGTACAGACAACCTGCAGTTCTGCCAGATGTGCCACAGACTTTTCAGCCTGTGAAGGCGCCCGTGCCTCTGCCTGAAATATTCTTCGTCACTTACTCCGAACTTCCCACCTTCCCTTTCATCTGGTTAATTCATATTTATTCTTCAGATTTCAGTTGACATATTTAATCACTTTTTCCTTTAGGTGTTGCCTCCCCAGAAACAACACCTGCAAACCCTGTGTTGTGAGGATCCCTAAAATCCCTCTGCACCTCGATTGCTCCGAAAATATCATCATCATGGATTTACTCTTCAACTTTTCCCCATCCCACCGCCAAGACTAAATTCTGCTAGTGGTTGACACCCATAAAAGCTGGCATACTTCTACTATTATATCAACTTCTGCCATGTTCTTAGTAAAATATCTCCATGGAAGGCCAAGGAATCCAGTTTCCAACCACGATTAACAGATTGTCTCCTATTTTTGGAGGATACTGCTCAAGAGTATTCAAATTTGTGTGGCAATCCTATTTAATGCATATTTATTAGAAACTAGGAATAAGAAAGCTAATTCTTTCTGAGTTTTCATGGAGAAAAGATGTCCAAACCTGGGCTGAATAAGAAGCTCTGGATCCCCGAGATTCCTTTCATATTCAAAGCTTTCAAGTTGCCTCTTTATGTGAAGGTGGTAACTCATTATTTCTTCTCAAACCTATAACTGCATGCCACCGAGGAAGAAGAAATGGAAGCAGTGATAGGACAGGATGATGCTTGAAGCAGAAGGTACGGAAGATCACATGACTTTCAGCTGTTCTATGTAATAGGCCTGGACAGAGGTATCAGGTTCAGTCTGCGCTTATAGAACCTTAGGAAAAGACGCTAAGCAGAATCAGGGAGCATCTCTGAGAAACAGCCCCAGTTCATGGCTGGCCTGGATTTGTTTCCTCTTGAATTTCCATTGGCAGAATCTGCAGCTCTCCTCACTGAACACCTAACTATTTTTGTCTGGAGAGGTAAATTCTATACTTTTGTGATTTTTATACTAAGATTTCCAATGAATAAAGCTATAGTTTTCATAGTTAGTCTTTATTTTTCTTATTCTTATGGCCAAAGGTTTTTATATTTTGGCCTTTCTTTGGAACTTTCCATGTTTCCTTTTGGCTAATAACTTTCAGCCTTGTTACCCTTTCCCCACTACCCACAGTTCCTTCAGTACTATCCCCCCAGTTTCTCTTTAGCTTTTTTCCCCCAGATAACATTTTCAGCTTTGACAAATTTACATGAAGTCAAAGGGCCCCCACAGGTGTTCCTGGACTCCACTCTGGAAAGCATTGCATTAGGGATCTGGTCTCTTGGCTCCTTGTCATATTGCATTGCAAAACAAGATTAGTTGCTGTGACATAGCATGAAGCAAAAGCAGAAAATGCTTCATAAATAAAGAACAAAACTATTGGAAACTTTGCCATTCCAGTATAAATGAGGAGTATCCAATGAGAATACACTTCTACAGACTGCATTTAGTTGTTTCAGAATTTCTACAAAATGAATTTATTTTTCTTATTATGGTATTTCTTTGCAGTTGATGGGTCCTCAGCAGGCAGAGGAATGGTATACATAAACATGTCTCTGCAATCCTGTAGAAATGTGAATCATAAAAAGCTATGGCATACATTCTACTCTTCTGTGTCACAATAATCAACAGTAGACAAATTTTGTTTGAAATTCCAAAACATCGACTGATCTTCCAGTAAGACACACTAGAATAGTCTTAAATAATGGTAGAAATGAACTTTCCAATTTCTTTACAATAGAAATTATTACATTTAATACATTTTTATGAATCCCTGGTTTTATGCTACATGTGCATCTAATAACAATAAATGTTGTCCATCTACTATGGGCTAGCATATGAAGTACTTTGAAAAATCTAGAAACATATTTGACATGATCCCTACTTCAAGACCATTAGTTCCTGATTAATCAAACTGTAAAAGAAATTCTCAGGAGAAAAAAGAGAAAAAATGTATAAGATTAATGCTAAAGGGTAATCAAAGATTAAATATCTGATGGACATGCCTGGAATTATACCCAGAAGGAAATAATTTAAGATTCATACCTCTAAAATTAAACAAATTAAAGGATTATCATTTCTGCCATTCTACAAATATTTGTCAAATGCTTATACTGAGCACAGAGTAAGATTAAGAAAGATAAACAAGAGCTCAAGTTAGACACGGACAGGTAGGGAAGGCTGGGGTATTTCTTTGGTTGAGGTGGTCAGGGAAGTCTCCCTGGAAAGGCATATGCACTGAGAGCCAGCAGCTGCAAAGGAGCTATGAGAAGTAGGAAACAGGAAGACAATGACCTGTGCAGCATGCGAACTAGTACAGAGCTCCCTCAATGCCACATTGCTTTTGGTTCCTAACATCGTGTGTTTTCACCTCAATGCCTGAAATACACGTTCCCCTCCTTTTGCATACCTTTCATTCATCCTCTTAGTCTACACTCAGTTGCCCTTTCCTGTAGGAAGACTTTCCACTTTTCTTAGGCTGCATTTCAGGGCCATTCTTTTCCCCTCATGACTATCTCTCCAATTTTACATGGCCTATAAGACCATCTCCTCCAGTTAACTATGAATGATTCAGGAGCCTTGAATGGGCTCTTAAAACTGTGCCTTGAATAGGTTTCTACTCAAGTAGCCTATCAGAGCTCAATAACTACAGTAGACATTTCAATGGTACCCAATATCCAGTCTTTAATTCATGCAACAATTATTTACTAAGCACACACTATATACTACATATTCTCTCTTCTTCTTCTTTGCTCGTTGAATTCTATTTTGTTTTGAGCAGCAATTTCTGGCCAAAGGATTTTATTTTTAATTAATAAAAAATGCTGGCTGGGCGCGGTGGCCCATGTCTGTAATCCCAGCACTTTGGGAGGCCGAGGCGGGCGGATCACGAGGTCAGGAGATTGAGACCATCCTGGCTAACACGGTGAAACCCCGTCTCTACTGAAAATACAAAAAATTAGCCGGGCGTGGTGGCGGGCGCCTGTAGTCCCAGCTACTCGGGAGTCTGAGGCAGGAGAATGGTGTGAACCTGGTAGGCCGAGCTTGCAGTGAGCGGAGATCGCGCCACTGCACTCCAGCCCGGGCCACAGAGCGAGACTCCATCTCGAAAAAAAAAAAAAATGCTGAACTAAATCTCCCAGCCACTCTTGCACTAGATGACAGCATTCTGGTGATAATATATTAACAGAAGGCTACTAGGGGATTGGGGGGAAATTCTGCTTTCCTGATATATTAATGTATGGCTCTATGGCTCTCTTCTTCATGACTTCCTTCTTCTATCCTAGAATACATACATACATGAGGCTGAATTATAAGGGGGAAAGCTATACAATCAAGATAAAAGAGGAAATATCTAGGAATCTGAGTCCTTGATTATTTCCTGAATCAGCCATACAAGCCTCATTCTTTTTCATATGAGAAAAATAAAACCCTATTAGCAAAACCATTTTAGTTGGGTTTCTGTTATATACAGTTTAATGCAACCCTACCTGATAAAGAATCTAGGAGGATAGAGACAGTATGGAGAGGAAGCTGATAGTTACACCCCAGATTTACAAATTATCAGCCAAACAACCTGTGGCAAAATATTTAGTTTCTCTATGCCTCAGTTTCCTTATTTATAAAATAAGGACAATAATAACAGTGAGTTCATAATGTTGTTGTAAGAACTCAATGAGATTACATAAGCCAAGTTTCATGCACGTTGTCTGGAAAACAATAAACAATCAAGATTAGCTGTTATTATTATTATTCAGTATTTGCTTGTTGAATAAGTGAATGAATAAGTAATTTTTTCTCTTCAGACTCTCTAATGAAGTTATCACCTTTGGGAAAGAAATAAAAGAAATATGTGACAACAGAGACATCAAAATCAATAGATGTTTAAATCAGTGTGTTACTGATTTTACAGAGTACTTTTATTGAAAGTAAACTTTTTATTTTAGAACATCTTTAGGTTTTTTACCAAAAAAATTTCAAAGATAGTAAAGAGAGTTACCATATACCTCATATCCAGTTTCCTCTATTATTAACTTCTTACATTAGTATGGTACATTTGTCACAACCAATATTGATACATTATTATATATTAACTAAAGTGCATTACATTATTTAGGCTTTCTTACTTTTTATCTGCTGTCCTTTTTTTGTCCCAGCATCCCCTCCAGGATAACATTATGTTTCGTGATCATGTCTCCTGAGGTTCCTCCTAGCTATGACAGTTTTTCAGACTTTCCTTGCTTTTGATGACCTTGAGACTTTTGAGGAATACTAGTCAGGTATTTTGTATTAATATTAAGTCCCTCAGTTGGGATTTTTCAGAGGTTTTTCTCATGATTAGACTAGGGCGATGTGTTTTGCAGAGGAAGACTGCACAAGTAAAGTACCATTTTCATCACAACATCTCAAGGGCAAATACTGTCAAGATGACTTGTCACTGTTGATGTTAACCTTGATCACCTGGCTGAGGTGTCGGGTTTATGCACTATGAAGTTACTATTTTCCCCTCTTTCCATACTGCAGTCTTTGGAAGAAATGCACTATGCACAGCCCAGATTAAGGAGTCAGGAGTTATGCTCCACCTCTGTGAGTTGCCCTAAGAGGTGGGCATCCTGAGTTTATTATGGTTATGATGAGGTTTTTATAATGATTATAATCACTAAAGTTCCGGATCTTTTTCACCAAGACTGGGGGAAAAACGTAGACTCAAGAAAGGAAAAAGTGGATATTTAACAAGTATTGCTGACTGAATGAATGAATGAATCCATAATACAGCAACTGGAAGTTATTGGTTTGTTCAGTAAAGAATTTCAGAACAAATAATGATCTGAGATGTTTTCTTTTTAGTGCTCCCAAAGGTGACCTTATAAGAGTTAGAAATAGCCACTGTATTTGAGTCATATGCATCCTATTACCAAATGATTTCTAGGGCAGCAAAGCCTACGAGTTAGACCATTGCGTTCTGCCACTAGACACACATGTTCAAATCCAAGGTCCTCCTCTTTGCCATTCAGTGTCTCATCTCTAATACAATAGTAGTACCTACCTCCTGGGAGAGCAGTGAGTATTGAATATGTAAACATTTGGAAAGCCCTTGACATACTGTCTAGCACCCAGTAATTGCTGTGAAACATAAATTTGATCCTTTTTGCATATACTATATTTATAGGTTTTTATATTTCAAAAATTAAAATGTAAAAGGTCTAGCAAGAGGGGATGATATCTTAAGCCTACGCAGTTTTTTAGAAAAACAATTAATTAGAAATTAAAATATATTTTAAAGAATGACAAGCATCTTAAAAGCAAGTAATTTGTTTGATTTTTGTTTTGTTTTGCATTGTTTCCCCTATAGAAACAGCTTATTTTGATGCTGAGGATAAATGGCATAATTTGTGTTTGAACTGTTTCTTTCCTAATTGTTTTTCCTCTTTAGCTTTTTTATCCCTTACTTTGTGCAGAACTTTCCTATTGGGTCACTAGTGAGTAAGACCTTTGAATAGACAGCCAGTATATTCACTGGTACACTCTATTTATTTCAAAGTGTTGCTTTTCTCACTTCGCTCCTTTGCACCTAAAGTATTTTAAATTTGATTGCCGGGGAACTACCCTCAAATAGTAGATCCAGTATGGGAAACTGGACTTGTTTAACTTTTGCCATTAAGAACACTATAAAAATGGAGCAAGCAAAAGGTTTCTTTCTTCTAAAAACAGCATTCTCCTGGAGTCAGATAGGTGTTAAATATTTATCATGCTCTCTCACTTGCACTTACAATTTCAACTTCACATTGAGCTTCATCGTAAGTCATGAAAAGTCCTAACTTTCTGGGCTAAGATTCATTTATGAAGGAATCTTAAAGAATTCTACCACCAGACGCTAAAGAAAAATAGGTCATTGTTTGTGATTGAGTACTAGTTGGAAGACCCAGAGGGAAAATTTGACAGGAATTAGTGCCTTTTCCAACGTTCCCATAGCCAGCTGGAGATAGCGCTGACTCATCATTGGGATCAGAACACAAGGTTTTCAAGACCTCCTCACAAGGCCTTACTCAACAAATGCTTTTTGTGGATATAGAGTGGCCCAAAGGAGAGAATTTACTGCTTCATGTCTGAGTTATAATCAATTCAGGGATTATCAAATAAAGAGGGATACTAAAGAAAAAACGGTATCAATAGATCATCTCTTTCTATTCACAGTCTTTTCAATTTGATTCTCTACTACCTTCTAACACACACTAAGATTCATTAATATTTAATACTATGAAGGCCCCAAAAATGTGTGATAAAAAATCTTTGAAGCATGCCTAATCTCCCATGCTCTGACCTCCACACACAGCACGTGTTTTTGTGCCCAAAGAAGCATCTTATTTAAGGTGTTTTTTCTCTAATCCAAAGCTATAATGTGGAGACTCTAAACCTAACTGCATTTTAAAAGAATGTATAAATGAATCTTTTAGTTCATTTTGTACGTCAAAAGTGGTTCAATCTAATAATTATTGTCATCAACACAATTAGGGCGCACAGAAATCTGAAATTCAAGAAATTAATATTGGTACATAGAAAGCCTCAGGATTCATTATTTGTATGTAATGGGAAAGAACTATTTTAGATTATGCTTCTCCTCTCCTAACGCAAAGCCAGCAGTTGTACTGTCTCCATCATTCAAATTCAATTCCCATTCACACACAGACATACCACTTACAACACAAACACACACACACATACACACACACCTGCAACACTTAAGAGATGATTTTTCATACTCCATTTGTGCAATAAGAACTTGAGCTAGTTTTCAGAATATATTAGAAACACGTAAACCTTCTTTGAAAATATGGTTGATGAAGACTCCATGGAAAATCTGACTTTGAACAAATGCAGTGAGAAGTCCAGAGAATCTTCTGTAATATTTATTAAAAGCCTTGCCCAGGGAAACAACTACTGCATGCCAACCACGTGGGGCATAATTGATAAGGGGTGTAAGAGAAGCAGAGTAAAACATGCCAAACCGATGGTGAAAAAAGAGAGTGCAGACCAAATCAAAGATATTTTTTTCTCTGATTAGTTCTGGCTAAGGGTATCATCAATTCCTTTTTGAGAAGTTATTAGGAGTTAAGACATAATCTGTACTGTACATGTTTTATAAATTATAGCATGGTCTTATAGGGAATCAATGAAGTTTATGCAGATAGACAAATAGACATGTAAGTCTAACTAATCATTCCCATCAAGATTCTAGTGGCTGAAACACACTTGTTGCTCTTTAAATGTACATCTTAGGTTACCTACATATCACAGTAAAAAGGACATTACTAATCCACCTTCACAGCCACACAGATAATTGGGTTTTCTGGCCAATGGCAGCAATCATCAGTGTTATATTAATTTCCTATAGATTATAGGAGGCCAAATGAGGAAATGGAATAGAAGGGATAGAATTTGAATGATCACTGTCACTGCTGGTTTACAGCCCTCTCATGTGTGTAGTTGAACCATTATAAGAAAAGTATAAACATTGTTTTCACTTGCCACAATCAACTCATAAACCCAAGTGAGTTTTTCCACCCCAGGCACTGCAGACAGAAGGGGGCATTGCAGCTCTATAAAATACACTGTGGATTTTTTTATTTTTATTTTTTTAATTTAGGTGTACTGAACTACCACCAACTACAAATTTGTGAGGGTCTGTGGTTTAACTCCAATCATAATAAAAATATGGAACTCTATATTCTACAGAATGAATTGAGTGACAGCAGAGAGACACAAGAGCTATAGTTAAGACACTTTTCTAAAAAAAAGTAAGATGATAGGCAAGAGACCTTTGGCAACTTAAATTTGATTTGGTAATAGATAAACTCCACCCTTTCTATACATTTGGTACCAGTGCTATCTCCTCTTCTGAAATGTAAAGGCAACATTTCTGCCTTGGGCAATTTGAAACCATAATGAATTCATTTTATTCTTCTTGGATATTATTCATTGGGGTGAGAGTTGCAAGAGAGGAGAACAAGAGTAAAATATCCTTAGACAGGCAGTTTCAATGATGTGGTTCCAACAATGATCATGCCAGATGTCTGATGGCAAGTCCTATTATTGTGATACTTCCCGCCCAATAAGAAGTTTGGAAAGTCAATAGATGCCCTGAAACTATTGCTTCCAAAGCTCAACTTAGAGTTCCTCCATCTCTTTCTGACCCTTGGTGTAGCAGTTTAATCAGATGTATCAGAACAGACAGCTGTGGTTCCCTTTTCGTTCTGAAAATAATGAGACCAAGAGTCTGTGAGTCTCTCCAACAGACAAGACACCTCCTCCATTGACAGACGTCTCCTTCCAGCTGCTTTTAACAATTTGAAATTGATTGAATCTGCAGGCTTTGAGGGATAATAGCCCCTCTTAACATTTTGAGAGGTACACAACTTGAAATGTTTCATCGTATTTCATTTCAGTGTTTCACACCGCTCTTCATTTAACCATCCAGGAAATGTAAACAGGACACTGCTTCACACTCCTGAGAGCCTGTAACGTTAAAACTTGTTTGCATGACCCTCACTGAGTAGCCTAATTAATCATCTCTGGGTGGTAGACTACACAAAATCACATTAGTCAGTTAAGTACGCATTGCCTATATCAGCAAATACTCTGCAAATATATTTTTTGGAAGTGGTGAAGGTGGCTGTCTTGCTCTTTAATGTTTAAATGTTTAGCATTTATGTTTTATTTGACTGCTAAAATTTCAAATTTCCTATAAGCAGAAGTATACATATAACATGGTACCTGAAGCACAATTTAAATCAGAATCATGTCCTAATTGTAACAAATTTCTGAAAGGCAAATAGTATTAGCTTAGGTTTTTTTTCTAAGGCAATACTAGAATCCATGTTCATCATTCAGACGTCCATAATCATTAGCGGCTCTTACTTGGCTACCTACCAAGAAGTATTCTTTGTGCATCATAAACTCTTTAGACAAGGTTTCCTAAGGGCTGCCTATAATCCGAGAATATTTAATTTTGGGTTTCAGTTCCTGCAGTGTCATTACAATGCCCAGTCTCCTATCTCTCTTACTGCCTTGTATTTATTCCTAACTACAGCACAAAGATTAACTGGATAATTGTTTTTACATTCTCCCTGGATTCTTCAGGATTAGATTCCATAGAAAGGGAACCCATTAAACCTTTCGGGTGCAAAAGCACAAAGAAGCAAACAAATAACCATTAACCCTCCCACCACCCCCAGATCCCTGCCAGTAATTTTATAATATGTGTTCAGCATATGTACATCAGACAACAGGAGCTTCATGGAAGAAAAGTAGAATATCACTCTTATTCTGATAATTAGACAAAAGGACACAGAAAACGGCTACACTAGCATACATGACCCAGATGAGAACTATTTTAAAAACCTTTTTTTCTAAAAAAAAAAAAAAAAAGAGAGAGAGAGAAAGAAAAGCCTGCCAGTTGTACATGTATTTCTGACTTTTTAGAAAGGTTCTAGCTGTATGAGATCTGGAATCAAAACCTAATGTGACCTACATAAAAGAAACGCTCTGATTCCCTAATTAAACCAAGCTGTGGCTGCAGGCTCTGCAAATAGCTGCCAAAAAATCATCCAATCAATCTTTCGACTGTCCTCCAGGAATGTAGCAAGGAGGGTGGAGAGGCCGAAGATGGCCGCGAGGATGCGGAGGCCAGGGAATGTCCTTGTTCATATGCTTGCCCCACAGTGAGGGTCCTGCATTTCCAGCACACAACACCGAGTACAGTACACGGAGCTGAGAAGCAAGGGGACCAGCAGGGGCTGAGCAGAAAAACAGACTAAATGTTTTAACAGCTGCTCTTTTTTTCTTTACCTCTTTCGCCCAAGGATCTGATTTCCTTCTGAAGGGGTGGGCTTTCTATGGGCCACGGGCTCTGCTCAGCAGGCCTGTTTACTTTGAGAAGCAGAGTTCTCCTTTCCTCTTCGACAAGAGCTTGCTTTTGAGGAGAGAAAAAGAGTGGTTAAAAAAAGGGGGGAATTTTTTACAGAGTTCATATTAAAGCATAACCAGTCACAGAAACTGCAGTTCATCTGAATTTTAAGCAGAGACTGGTAACAAATGAAGAAAAAAAACTCACATTCTTCCTTCTGAATGTCTAACAGGAAAATTGTTCTTCAGGAAAGATGGAATGTCATTCCTATGTAACTTCCTCTTCTATTTCAGAGTTCTTCGATGATGCAGAGGGTATGTTAATTGAGAAGGATTAGAAAAATAATGCAGCTGCTAAAAATTGGAGGCAAATAACTTACAGAGAAGCAATAAAACAAATGGCAAAGGTGCTTTCTATAAGCCAAACCTCTGGGGCTGCCAATATCAGATAAAGGGCAAAAACTCTCTTTGAAAAGAGCAGTTATTTATTTTCTTTGCTGAAACTTCTTTGGTTTTGCTATAGAGTATTTCACCACACAAAACATTTCATGAGAGATGTTGTCTTTCTCTTTGGCTCACTGCATAATGGCCATTCATTTAAACATGTACTTGCACTGGTAACACATGAGGTGGTTTATTTCATGAGAAGCATATATTATCATTGTGTGAAATTTGAGTAATCAAATATAAATCATTATTGCAGCCACTACCCAATTATTCCAGCTAATGTCGGAAAGCCAGACAAAAGTTATCTCCTACTGCATCCTTGTCAGACTTTATTTCAGTTTGTATTTACTGAATCCATTTATTTCTGCAGCACCTCAGCTCACTCTCACCAGCCACAGGTCAGGCTGCTAAATTCCTCACTGTTTCATACTCATACCATGTCTCTTCTCTGTTTACGCCTCATCCCTTTCCTCTTGAGTTTCTAAGCTTCTAGCCTTCTGAGCATTACCACTCTAGGCTGATTTTTGCAAAGTAGCCTCCTCCTTGTTATCCTCCTGACACTCCCAGTTCTAAAACATTGCATCCCTATATTCTGCACCATTCCCATTTATGTTAGATTTCATTCTCTTTTGAATTGTCCTGTATTTGGCTTCATGCATCATATTCCCTCAACTACATTGCAAACACCTTGTAAAAAGAAACAATACTCAGAGTTCTTTCTGAAAAGTTGAAAAATCCTTTAGCATGGTACAGTTTTTTAGTTCCTTAGAAGTTGTGTCAGTCTTGTCACTGAAAGTCCCATGTCCCAGAAAACCCTTTCATCTCAGCTGGGCTGGTTGGTAACCCTATCCACTAAGCATAAATGAAAGATTCAGGAAAAAAAAAAAAAACCTGTGACTAACTGTGGAAACATTAAATAATTATAATGTTTTCAATATTTTTATATTTAAATGGAAAAACTAAAGGTCATCATCAAGTGAATTAAAATATGACAGAGAAACCTAATCAGTATGTACTATTTACAGAGATCTATTACACATGAAATATATAAACAAGAGGAAGACAAAGGCATGGTTAATATAAACCATCGAAGAAGATGGAGTACTGGTTTATACTAATCTCAGAATTCTGTCCTCTCCTCTATTTATTCTACTTCTCTACTAGCCAATGCGAACAGTGAGAATGAAGAGATGATTATCCTCCAGGCTCCCCTGGCCAGAATAAGAATAACTAAATTACCTATACTCTTGGGTCATGCACACATTATCCTGCATCTCAACAATTTGCCTTTTGATTTTTCTTCTACTGCCTTAATCTTAGTGTTGTATTGCTGTGAGCTTACTGGGTGTACTTTAGTCCCCATGGCCTGTTAAGGGATTTTATAACAGCTTTCAAGTCACGAGAATTTTTTTTCATAATATTACTCTAGGAAGTTACTTGAGCTCGGTGGACTTGATTAATTTTTCTAGTTATATAATTAATAATAATCATATTACCATCCTACCCATGTCAATGTTTTATCATTTCAACAGTACAATGAATTTGCTAAATAATTAATATATTCACAGAATTATTCTCGAGTGTTTCCTTTTCAAGAAGTTTTCCTAGCCCTCTGGAAGGGGTGAGGGAGATGGGCAGGTACAGACAAAGATGAGAAAGGCCCTGCCCCTGCCCTTAAGGGGCTCGTAATCAGGTGGAGGAGGTGGGTGCAAACAACATCATGAAATGGATCTGAAGACAGATAGAAAGATCAGTGAAGGTATGACAAGGATTATGAGTAGGGAGTTAGAGATCAATTTTGACTAGAAAGCTCAAGAAAGTGTAAGAGAAGAACTGATCAGAAATTTCAAAAAAATGCATTTGTGACAAAGAGAACCCCATGAATATATAGATGAATAAAGCCATAGAAGCAGTGGAATGGAAGATACATGTATACAGTGACAGTAGGCAGGGAAGGGAAGTAAGGATATGTGAGAGACAGAGGGAGACCACAGTGAGAGACAGAACTGGAAAGGTGGGTCAGGTCTAGAATCAGGGGGTCAGAAAAGTGACTGATGTTAATTGAGCTTTCACTAGGGGCCAGACACTATACTAAGTGATTTGCAGAAGTTATTTCATGTAATGCTTATTTCAACCTTGAGACAGTTATTTTTATCTTTATTTTACAAATAACAAAACAGGCTTAGAGAAAAATAATAATATACTCACATTCACACAGCTAAAAGCCACAAAGCCAGGATCCAAACCCAGATCTGTTTATCTCCAAACTCAAGTAAGTCAAACTCTTTCCATTTTTTCACATGATTTGGATTTTATTACAAATACAAGGAGTTATTAAAGATTCATGAATAAGGAAAGAAAAGGACCAGGAAAGATATCTGGATTAATTGTATGAATGTGTTGGCAGGTGCAGAGATTAAGATGAAGAGACAAAAGACCATGAAGATTAGCGCCAGGCTAGAGTCACTGAGAAAAGCAAAACATTGGAGAGAGATTTCAAAAGTAAATCCTAAGTTTAAGATGTAGTAGATCCATTTGGTTTATTGGTCACAAGTCACAAATGATTTTAAGGAACAGTGCCTGTGAGAACACTGGTGTCATTTATCAAAGTCATAGTCTATCTGCCTTCCTAGAATACGGAAAATGGAGATTAAACTTTCTCCTTGACACATTTGTAGATTTTTTTAAGTACACAAATCAGTATTAGGAAAATTACTTTGTTTCTGTTAAACAGTAGAGTAGTGCCTCTCAATTCAATAGTCATGGGTATTTATTTTGTGCAAGACTACTAATTCAAGTGAGTCTCATTCATAGTGAACAGTATTTTGGGTTTTACCAGTTTTATAGATGGGTTTAATCCAGTCTGCACCTCCATAGCTAATGAAATGCCTGGTTTACATAGAGGAAGGTAGAATCCATGACAATGGATTCAAGATCAAGTTGTGATTCAAGGAGCAAAAACGTGGTATGGCTTCCTATCTATTTTGAACATGTTACTGAGATAAATTGATTTTTGGCTGGATGCGGTGGCTCACGCCTGTAATGTCCAAGACTGAGATGGGCAGATCACTTGAGGTCAGGAGTTCGAGACCAAACTGGCCAACATGGTGAAACCCCGTCTCTACTAAAAATACAAAAATTAGCTGGGCATGGTGGCGGATGTCTGTAATCCCAGCTACTTGGGAGGCTGAGGCATGAGAATCGCTTGAAACCAGGAGGTGGAGGTTGCACTGAGCTGAGATCTCCCCACTGTACTGGGTGACAGAGCGAGACTTCGCCTCAAAAATAAATAATAAATAAATAAATAAATTGATTTTTAATATTGCCAAAGGCTGATGAAATCTACAATATAATAAGATAAATGCTTGGCCAGGTGCGGTGGCTCACGCCTGTAATCCCAGCACTTTAGGAGGCCGAGGCAGGCAGATCACAAGGTCAGGAGATCGAGACCATCCTGGCTAACACGGTGAAACCCCGTCTCTACTAAAAATATAAAAAATTAGCCAGGCGCGGTGGCAGGCACCTGTAGTCCCAGCTACTCAGGAGGCTGAGGCAGGAGAATGGCGTGAACTGCGAGGCGGAGCTTGCAGTGAGCAGAGATCGTGCCACTGCACTCCAGCCTGAGCGACAGAGCGAGACTCCGTCTAAAAAAAAAAAAAAAAAAAGATAAGTGCTTTAAAATTGTTAGCACATTGGAAGGTTCCAAAAGCATAGTAGAATCAGAATTAATTGAATAAACTAAATGTTGAAAGAAGTGTCTTAATATTTAGAACTCTTTATCCATTGGTGGTAGAAACTTGTCAGAATAGCTTCGATCATTGCAGTACTGTGGCTCAAAGATAGATTGGATAAAGTAGTAGAAATACTCATAGTATATATTCCATCGGACAAAGAGCAGATGGCTGGAGTGGTCTCCAGTGCATGTCTGCTCTTCTCTATTACCATGTAATGTTTACCTGTAGAAACAATGGTCTCTTCCAAGCCTAATGATGATGATAGAGGTGATAATCCTAATTTATTAAACACCAATTACATGCTAGGTACTATACTAGCTATATCACATATGTTTTCTCATCTTATCTTTAAAATGATCCTCTGATGAAGACACACTGGCTCCTTACATAGAGTAAGAACATAAGTTGCGGAAGTTTCAAAAACTTGCCCAATGTCACTTGGCACAAAAAGTGGCATATCTGGAATTGAAATACAGGCTTATCAGACTCTAAAGCATGAAATCCTTATTCTACTCCAGGTAGGCTCTCAGTCCTAGCTGCATATTATAATCACCTGGGAAGCTTTCACAAAATTTCAATGCCCAAGCCTCTCTGCTAGAGATTGATTTAATTTGTTTGGGGTAGACCCAAGTATAAGCACTTTTTAAAAATCTCCCCAGGTAATGGCAGCCAGTGCTGACAGTCACAGTTGTGTACCATGCTAGCAATCAAAGTGTTATGAGTCTTTGGGAATGTTATTTGAAGGGGAAATAATAACCTTCTTATGTCCATTCTTTTCGCTTTCCACCCACCTCTCAAATGCACACCCTACTTTCAGGTTACTGAACAATAAAAAACTTTTAATTATTCAGTTTAGTTAAATAACCTAAAAGGTCACAGATAATATTCAAGCTAGATCTTGGTCCCCAAAGAGAAGGTCAAGGTACTAGGCATCAAGTATTTATTAGTGCATCTTCAGATTTTTCAACACAGAATTCCAGGCAAACGTAATTCTGTCTTTAGGAAAAGCATGATGTTAGTGTCTACATGCCATTTTTAAAAAATCTTAATGCATAAAATGTGTCTTAATATGTCTGAGTCATCACTCAGACTTCCCATTCAAGAGGTGCAAAACCATGAACAAAAGAACAAGGGAGAGGTAGAGGAGAATGATCAAGCGAATAAGACTAATAGGCAGATCAGAACGACAGCAGCAAGTGGCTGGTGAAACACTCACGACCCCAGGGTTCTAGGAAGATTTGACTGCATATTTTGGTACCAATGTTATGGAGAATTTTTCTCCTGTTCTAGAAGGAGAATAGCTTCTAATGAATATACCGTTCTTAGTATTTGTTTTTATAACTTTATTTTTCCTCAGTGTCGGAAGCACTCATTTCCTTTATTTGCCTTGCTTTTTCTTCAATCCTTTTCTCTTTTTTCCTTCCTCTTTAAATCCAAACCACAAACATGCTCTGTTCAAACCTGTGTATTTTCGAGAACACAGACACACCCAAGCTGATGAAGAAATCGAGAGACAGGGCTAGGAATGATTTCTTAATGCTTCACTAGGTGCCTGGTTCTTTCTTCTCCATAGCTGTTTCACTGTCAGACAAGTAAAAGAGGAACCTCAAAATGATGACCTCTTCCCCAGCCTTCTGACAGTCAGACTAGGTGGCAAAGACAGTGATGCACCCCAGAAACTCCCTGGGGTTCTAGAGACCATGACAACCCTTCTCCTCCCCTCTGGGACTTTCTTTATCCAGAAGAGAGCCTGACATTTTAGCCATACAACTCAGATTTTACACACAATTGCTTAAGAGGAGAACGTATACCAGAAATCAGAAACATGGAGTTCGGAGAAAGAGTTCAATAATTGAATTCAGGCTGATTATTTATCTGCTATATGGACTTGAGAAATTGTTATTTAAATTCTCAAAGCCTCATTTTCCTTATCAGTGAATAGGAATGAAAACATAACATGCTTATATGGGTTGATATGAAGATTCAAAGGGATATGTCTATAAAACCCTGAGTATACTCCCTGTTCATTTGTACAAAACGTATTTATTAAAAACCTAACTGAGCCAATCATGATTGGAGGTGCTTAGGATTTATCACTGGATAAAACAGACAAAACAACTTCCCCTTGTAGTGCTTACATTCTAGTAAAGGGAGACAGCAACAAAGGGAGCAAAGGAATAAAATGCACTAAACCTTACATGGAGACTAAATATATATTATATGTCTAATATACAGACAGCTTTCAGTAAGTGTTAACAAAAATAAAGTATAATGCCTCAAATTATTAAAACACTTGCTAGGTAAAAATATCAAGTATGTTTTCTCATAACCTCATTCTATAGAAGCTTATGTAACAAATACATTAAGCTAGATATAAGGAAATATTGCATCTTCTAAACTTTTAAAGAAGTGTTTGAGACAAAAATCTAAGGTTCAGTAATGTTGAATCGGCTCTTAGATTGACGTCACAAAAAAGAACCACATGTGCAATTACACTAAAACTATTCCCCAAAGCTTGTATAACTCTTTGGGTTGAGGCCGTTGGGAACCAATCCCTAGCTCTAAGAGACTCCATCACTATTTCTGCTTGAGCCACACACAGATGTGGGCAGCTAGCTAACACTGTGTGTGTTGTGCTATATGGAATTCCTTGCTTAGTCTCACAAAGACCTCCCACATTTTCAAGGCATTTAAAGTTTCATCTCATCAGCAAGCATGACCTTGTCTCCATCACCTCAGTAAATGGATGAACGTTGCATCAAACACTGCCCTAATCTTTTGCATGATTTGGAAAAGTCTGGTTTGTAAGCTAATAATAAACAATGTATTTTCCACTTAAAAATCAAATTTCATTATATCCATGAGCATGGCTGTGTGAACGCAGTGGACTCCCTATAGAGTCAGAACAAGGTTTATGAAATGAAATGACCCCTAAAAAGCCATGGTCCAAGGCATCATGGAAACATAAGCTGGTCACATACAAACAAGCTGGGAACTTTTGTTTTTAGGAGGCCTCTACAGGAAACACTAAATCTGCTGCTAGATTTCAGCAGCTGCATCTGGCAGGCTGTAGCATGCATTGCTTTGCTGTTTGGCTTACTTTCTGGCTGGCAGAGCTCTAAGGAGGATGTTAGCAGCCAAACAGGTTTGAGCTGTGAAACTATGAGTTCACGTTAAACATAGAATTTACATAAAATAAACTAAGTCTCAGTAAATAGGATTTATCACTTCTAGGAAGGGAATATGTGTCTTCGTCTTTTTTCCCCCAGTATTAGCCTCCTAAATGTTTATAACTTGATTTTTTCCCATGTATCATATACCCACTCCTTCTGCCTCGTTCCAAGAATACTAAACTTTACAACCTCTTTTGTTGGGCAGGCAATATCTCTGTATTTTTATCTTTAAAACAGATTACACCTGGGAGGGGCAACATAGCACAGTGATTAAAGTTGAGTATTTAAGCCAGAATGACTTAAACTGCTTCGTAGGTGTGAGACTTTGAGCAAGTTATTTAAACTCTAAATCTCAATTTCACCATCTATAAAATGGGAGAGATCTGTCTCATATCTCTGTTGAGAGAATTATGAGATAATGTATAAAGCATTTAGCATACTTCCTGGCACATGGGAGAGATTTAAGAGAGCTTGCTTTCTTTTTGGAGGATTAATTTGTGAATAATTGCAGAGGGGATCATTGCATGTGGTTCTAAGTATATGAACACATTTGCATGTAAGCTGCAGTAGGTATATGTATAATACATATGTACCAGATTGAAAGTAGTTCGGTGGTTTTAACATAAAATGGATATAATTCTGATTGAGGGGGCCATTCTGTTCTTTCCTTCCCAGAGCCCCTTTGAACTTTCTGACCCTATATTATTTTGCAGAGGCAATGACTGGAAATTCCCTTTACATCCTACTCAACCCTCAACAATTCTATCTTGTGTTTTGCTTGTGATTTCAGGAAGACACTTATCTCTGTGCCCAGGAAAACACTTTAATTTGCATCAGTCCTCTAGAGTGTTGACTTTCCAAACAAGGTTTAGAAGAAGTCAGCTGGTTAAGAAAAATATCTAAGCCAATGAAACATTGGCTTTAAATTATTTTAGATCATGATCAAAGTAGTCAATCACCAAGAAACTATAAAAGTCATTTGAAATATATGTTCAAGATCCCAGATACACCTATTTTTATCCTGAATTACATAGGCTCAACAATTCAATTTATTTTTTAAAAATTCATTGAATATCTGTTTGCTCAAAAATATATTTCTTTATGACTGCAAAGATATAATGAAACTTAAGTTTACAAAACACTGTAGTTAAAAGGGAGATGATCTCCTTAAGTCTGTGTGAATAAGAACTTTTTCTCTTACAAATGAAAGAACGCCAACTCAAACTTGTCTGTAGGGGAGACAAGTGTTTTGTTGGATCACAAAACTGAAAAGTATAGCAGTAGACTGACTTCAGATATAGCTGAATCCAGGTACCAAACTCATTGTCATAATGGTCATTCTGTCTCTCTTTCTCTCTGTCTCTCTCCACCCAAACCGCATTTCACATCTCTGCTTTCTTTATTTTGGATTCTGTCTCAAGCAAATTCTCTCCATCTGGTGGCAGAGATGGTCCCTGACAGCTTCATGCCTTCATGATTATTTCAGCTTATGTATTTTGAAAAATACAAAAGGGCTTGCTTTCCCCCAGTTCTATACAGTTTACAAATACACACTATTCCTTTTTTTTTTTTTTTTTTTTTTTGAGACTGAGTCTCGCTCTGTCACCAGGATGGAGTGCAGCGGCCAATCTCGGCTTCAGCTCACTGCAACCTCCACCTCCCGGGTTCAAGTGATTCTCCTTTCTCAGACTCCTGAGTAGCTGGGATTACAGGCATGCGCCACCACGCCCAGCTAATTTTTGTATTTTTAGTAGAGACGGGGTTTCACCATGTTGGCCAGGATGGTCTCTATCTCCTGAGCTCGTGATCTGCCCGCCTCGGCCTCCCAAAGTGCTGGGATTACAGGTGTGAGCCACCGCGCCCGGCCACAAATACACACTATTCTAATCCTGCATTGCTCATATGCTCAACCCAGGGGAGTCACAGACCATCTCTGTCTGGGAGTAGGAAGCCCTGCAGTAGCGGAGCTGATGGCCACTGACAGTGACTGAGAGTCCTTCTGGAATACACTGGAAGAGGGGCAATTCCCCCAAAAAAGAATGCCAGGAAGACAAAAAGAAGGTGATTGCTACTCAAATCCTTTTTTTCCTAGATAAGAATACCAAACTACGGCTTAAAGAGAATAAATGACTTGCCTAAGAGTAAACAGCTGCTGATAATCTAGAAGTAAAATTCAAGTTTCATGACACTTTCCATTACATTACACGCTTCCTTATGATAAGGAGGAGAGAACAATACACAACTCCTGAGCAGCTGTATACCAGAGTGGCTAAATGCACAGCCCAGACATCCTGGTTTTAATCCTGACTCTTACAGCCTGCCAGGTCTGTGTGCTTGGAAAGATAATTTATCCTTCTGTGATTTAGTTTCTTCAGGTGGGAAACAGGGAGAATAGCGTCTGTTTCATTGTGTGGTGAGGAACAAATGAGTTATCAAACATAAAGAATTTAAAACAGTGCCTGGCACATTAGTATGTACAAGTGTTTGCTATTATGATGATGAAATGCTTACAGGAAGCAAAGCACTTTGCATACATATTATGCCATGTAATCTTCATGGAAGTTTATGAGGTAGGCATCAACATCCTCACCTGACAGAACATACTGCATCCTTGAGAAATTTAATCACATGTTCAAGATTTGACAGCCGAGGTTTGAACTTCTGTCTGACAACAAATCCTGTGTTTTTAACATGATACTAGTATAAATGTCACAAGATGTGTTCAAAGAAAATGCTGTATATGTCTAAAGGAGATAGCTAGCACGTCCAACTGAAGTGTTAGGAATCTGATATCAAGAAAGAAGAAACTGACCCAGCTTTTGGCAGGTTGTATTTAAATAATTTAACTCAACAAATATTCATGTGAGCACCTACCTTGTCAAAATACAGCAGTGGGCTAAACCTATAACAGCTTGTTGACTTCAAATTTGAGTTGGAAATGAGTAAGTAAGCAATTTAGGCAAAAGGCTCTAGATGGAAAGATACCAAAAGAACAGGGATGTGGTGTTGGAGAAGAGATCTGGAATAGTAGTCAACTTGGACTTGTGGGATGCACTATGCAAACAATTAGGGAGAAAAGGAATTGGAAAATACTGGGTACTCCTACATTATGGAGGCATCTGGAACACTAAAGAGAGGCTCCAGCTGGGCGTGGTGGCTCACACCTGTAGTCCCAGCACTTTGGAAGACCCAAGTGGGTGGATCGCCTGAGGTCAGGAGTTCAAGACCAGCCTGGCCAACATGGTGAAACCCCGTCTCTACTACAAGTACAAAAATTAGCCAGGCATGGTGGTGCTTGCCTGTAGTCCCAGCTACTTGGAAGGCTGAGGCAGGAGAATTGCTTGAACCTGGGAGGAGGAGGTTGCAGTGAGCCAAGATTGTGCCACTACACTCTCCAGCCTGGGCAACAGAGCGAGACACCGTCTCAAAAAAAAAAAAAAAAAAAAAAAAAAAAAAAAAAAGAGGTTCCAATGCATTCAACCCAGTGGACAGTGACAGATTACTGAGAGGGATGGAAAGAGGAAAAGGACAATAATGCAAACTCATACACACACACCCCAAAATACAACCTGGAAAACCACCCCCAACCCAGATTCGAATGACATTAGTTGACCAGCTTATTGAATGATATTTCTGTTTAATAAAAAGAACAAATTTACTTATGTTAATTTTTGGTAACGTTGCAAGCTTTTCCCAAAACAAATCACTTGAAATGCTATTTCTGTTTCTAGCAAAATACCTTTTCTTAATGTTTTTCAACTTTGCATTTGGTTCTGTTTGCCTCATGGAAAAGATCCTGTTTGAAGTATCACTGAAATATCTGCAACACCTACTTATATTGCTATTGTCATGAGTAAAAAATGAGAAAACGAGTAAGGTTTTACCATACATAGCGGTGCAGAAAAAACATTGTCAACTTTTAATATATTCTTCTGCAGATTAAAGGTTGTTAGGTCTTGTGGATTTGTAAAAAAGAGAAAATAGATGTTGTCATGGTTCTTCACAACAGTGGCAGGGAAATAAATGAGATTTTTGGCTAGAGTATATTTCCAGAACATTATTATAGCAATGAAGACACACTATGACCACAAGAAGATTTTTTGGCCTACCAAAGTATGCGTTTAAAGATGGGAAATATTCAAGGGATAAGAGTTGTGGAGTATCTAAATTAAATTTTAAACTTAACACATTTAGCCCCTGTCCTCTCATTCAATCAATGGTCAATTTTAATATGTTAACAACGTGAGTCTGGATGTGAGAATGTAATGCTTCGATGCACTCATTCCTTTAAATTTCTTACATGTCATTAAAATGTTTAATCCACAACAATTCCAGCTCACTTTGCAAATGAAGAAATCCAGAGATGGTTGCTTCAGGTCACACAGTTGGTAGGCACCAGGGTCTAAACTAAGGCCCAGGATCTCTGACTCTCCAGGCTGCTGTACAGTTTTATCAGCAAACATTCATTTTTTCACAACAAGTACTTAAATGTTTTCGCATATTTAACATTAATACAGAGGCCGAAAGATAAATAACTGCTACTCAAGGTAACCTGTCTTTGTTTGTTTCCAGCACTCCAGGAAATAATCAAGAAAGTCTAGCTACATAAAAAACATTAAATGAATAAACAATATGCTTAGCAATTCTGACCCCAACTTTTTATCTCATCATCAGGTACTAACAAACAGTTCTGGGACCCACATAGATCCTTGGTCCCCACTTTAAGCAACACTGATCTAAATTCTTGTAGAGTTGGCCATGGAAATCCAAGCACACTAAAGATTTTGCAGTATCCAGAGAGAAAGGATAACAATACTCAAATAAGCACTATAAATGATGACTTCAAAAGGCTCCGTGACAAGGATTGACACTCTTCTTATCTATGAAATGATTTTTCTTTGTGAGTTGAGGAAAAACACATATTCTAAGAATGAGGTTAATCTTCCTTTACCCGGCACGTGTTACTCCTGCTTAACATGAACTTTTTATTCCCTACAGCTCCCCCTCCTCTTCTGAAACCACTACACACCTTATACACGTTATGTACAGAGAGCCATGGGCATGGATCAAGAGAGAGAGACAGAATGCTTTTGCCTAAGCCAGGCATCCCCTACAATGTTAAGGTTGGCTTCAAAAATGGAATGGAAAACAAAGTTTTATGTTGAATGAAATATTCTTTTCGAAGATTTTATTCTCTCTACTCTTGGGAAAGTTCCTGAATAAAAAATACAGAGGTAGCCGTCACTCACCTCTATAAATTGGCATTGAACAGGGTAGGTAAAACACAGGAAGCAAAGCTATGTAAGAAGGAATACTTAGAGCTAATTACAAGCAAAATTTATTCTTTGTCTGCCTAATGCCAGAGTATTCTATCAATTCAGTTTAAAAACAAAACTAAACTAACACAACTTAAAACACCTTCTTACATTCTTCCTTTAGAGGGGGTCCAGAAAAACAACATAGCTTCAAGTATATTCTTAATGTATATGTGTCCACACTGAAAACTCTTTTGAAATTCTAAGAAAACTTTGGAGACACTTAAACCATGACACATTTTCCAGGGAGTATTTCAGGAATTCTTTAAAAAAAATATTTTGATAAGATGTAAAATCAAACATGTCTTCTCCCAAATGACCCAGAAACTTTTACCCAACTATTGCCCAGTTGTGATTCTATTCATTACTGAGACACAATTCTGAAGATTTAATTTTACCTCATTGGGAACATGCACTTTTAGAAGACAATTAAAAAGGACACAAAACTTTGGAGCCTAAATCACAGAAGAAACAAGAGCTACACTACTTAAGGAAAGGGGGAAGAAGAAAGGCTACTTCTGTTTGTGATGCATTAACATAAATGGCTGAACTTGAATTACTAGCAAACTGCTAATATATTAGTAACCAAAAATTACTTCTAAGTAAAAGTCAAATTATGTAAATATTTGTTTTATATGTCAATATAAAATACCCAATAAAAACACCCAAATATGGGTTATTAATTTTAAAATGAGTGAGACCTGTGCAAAATTTCACTCATCCTTGTTCTGATATCAGGATTAATTTCTAACAGGTCTGCTTATATCTTCTTTTAATCAGGAATAAAGACTTAGCATAAATAATAAAATGATGTTCTTCACTTTGCTAGCATTTCATATTTTCAATACAAATAAGTTCTGGCATTATTCGAAACAGAGAAAGAAAACTAGAAGCGTAGTCAAGTAAATTATGGTAATAAACTTGATGGCATATTATGCAGGTATAAGATTATATTTATGCATGATAAGGATTAATATGCAGAAAAAAATTATAATACTAATTGGAAGATACTAACTTTGTATCTACCGCATTAAAGCATCATGAATATTTTAATGTTTATGTAAGGTTGACGAGATTTCTATTGTTTTCTATCTTCCTTTTTAGATATGTAGTTATGGATTATAATGTGTAATGTAAACCAAAAGAAAACATATATTATTTGAGCTAATGGGTTACCTAATAACATTTGTTTAAATATATTTTAACCTAATCCACATTTTCTCAATAAGTTGGAGTAGCATTTTAAAAAATAAATATGATTAGTTTAAAATCTTTTTCTAATGAAGCCGTGTTACATTTAAATTTAGTGGGCATTTTTATGGCCTACAATAGCATATGAAGTTTTTATTTACATGAAGAAAAGATGAACACTTTTTAATGAGTAGTTCCAGTTTTAGAATAACTGTGAAATTATTCCACAGGAAATAGTGCATTCTCTATTCAGCCTTCACTCTGCCAAAATAAACAAGCTGAAGAGTAAAAGCCCTCCCCAAAATGCCCCGTAGTTAATAGACATACTTTAAATTTACCTACCGAGGACCACAAAAATCAGCTTTTACATCACTCCAAGTAAACACAAATCTATTTTCCTAAGCACTCCAGTTAAACAGTAAAACACCAGGCAGAGCTACCAAATATTCATTCCAGAAAACAAAGCCCATGAAGAGTGTAATTATTTTGTTCTTTCTTTAAATCTCCTTGCCAAGAATCTGAACTGGATTAAGTATTCAACGCCAAGAGATTAAAGATGTATATCCCTGTAGCTAACACTGCACACATCTCCACATAATCACTGGGATTAACTTTCCAAGGAAGTAGATCAAAGCTTTATTTCCTTGTGGGTATCTGATAATAAAAGCCAAAGCTAAGTCAAACTCTCATCACTTTTGCATCTATACTTAAGCTACTGGTTCAAGAATAATCAGAATATGTAAAAGATAAGGTCAGTGAGAAGAAAAGAAAACAAAAACCCACCCTATTTCACATTTACCAGTGACAATACTAGACAGGTAAACAATGAAAAATAAACAGGAAATTATTTGAAATTTTCAGAGCATAATAATAATAGTAGAGAAATAATAAGCCTTTGTAAAATGTGAGTGAACATTTACTGAAATCACAATATATAACTATGTAAACTAAAAATAAATCATCCCAGCTATTTTATGTCAAATCTTGACAATGAATTATGATGAATCATTGCAATTAGCATCTTTAACTGCAGCAAGTTTGTTGCAAACTAGATGATATAGTTTTTTTAGTTCCAGCCCATGTTAGGAAAATTGGCTGCTAAATTGAAGAACTCGAATTTTCTCTACAAATTAATTGATTTATTGTACTTATTAGTAAAAAATTTAGGTATTTTAAAAATAAATAAAATAAAATCATATAACCAAGTTGTGGAGTAGAAGTTTACTTTGACTGTGTATTCCTGGATACTGCTTTTTCCCTGGTGGTTGAGAGAGATCCACAGAGAATTCCAAGGGGAAGAATCTGGCCTTTTGTTATAAATATTTCTATATTTCTACCAGGAAAAACTCTGGAGCTCTCTGCTGCTAAGTACATCACAAACATTAAGCCATATTTGATGAATCAGCCTTCTGTTACATTTTAAGAAATAGATTTATGTTTCCATTGTTTCAATTTCCTTACTCGAAACACCTTTATCAGCAACATTTGTGAGCAATAACAAAAATAAACCAATATTGAAGAGACAGAAATATTCCAAGAAGGAACTCCTAGAGAGACAATTGTTTCCTCTGGGCATGTTTAAAGATTTTGAATCTTCAGAAGATTTATCTTTTGCATAGACTAAACAGTCTAACTTAGGAAAAATGACCTGGGCTTTAAAACATCTCTAAAGCTTAGAGACATTAGGACTAGTATCAATGAAATTACAAGACCTTAAGACAAAACAGAAAATCTTCCAAACTTTGGGTGTATTTTTATCTCACTCAATTTTATTAAAAGATGTTAAAAAAGCTACCAATACAAAATCATTCTGTATGAAAAATATTTTTGTAATAATGCTACTTTAATGGTCATTCATAAGCATGTAATTACACTTTTCGGTAACACCTAGGATATCCAGAAAAGTTAGTCACTCAATTACATCTTTTCTGCCATACATTAATTATATAATATATATTTATTTTATATTTTCAAATATCTAACATGATAGTATTTACATTTCCCTCATATTAATCACCCCATTATCTTACTCAATTTAAATATTTCTAAAATTAATATTACTATTGAAAAATAATATATCTTCTTTTCTGGAGGTATATTAACTCTTTCATGCAATGACGGGCATATGAAAATTTTCTTTTCTCATAAAACTTCTAATAGAAAAATGTGATCTAATTATATATTTTGGAAAACAATCATATTGCTATAAATTATAACTGCTGCTCTGGGAACAATGTAAAGAGAAATCTAATTGTTTATGACAGTGTTAAACTCTTATAATAAGAAAAAGTACATAATCGGTTAATGGTTCATGATTTCTCAATTATAACTTAATAATTGAATTTACTCGATCAGATTTTTACATGGTGAGCCAAACTCTACAAGGTGATGGGGGAAAGCTAGCCTCCAGGGAGCATGTTGGTTACTAAGTTTAACCACATGATCATGAAATCATGAAGCTGATCTCAGGGAAAGTAAATCATTCAATTTCTCAGTACATAGAAAAGAAAGGAAGCATTTGGCTTCTATCTAGGGTTTGATTCATGTCTTATGTCTCTGTCTATTGGCTTGTAGGGGTAACTTGCTGGAAAATAAGAGCTTTAAAAAAGGCAGTCATATAGAACTAGGCCAACGTGCTAAGGAAAATGAAACAAAATTGATGGTAGAATTTCTCGCTTCTTGTTGGGTGATGGGAGAAACACAACTGGGCAGTTAAAAGGCACAAAAGTCTCCAGACACACCATCTTTTATGTTGGCAGTTCAGTCTGGCATTCATGCCTTCTCTAGCCACTATCTACCCTCCTTACAATCTAGATTATACAAAGAAAATAGTAAAGCCAGAGAACGTCTCTCCAGAAAGAAAAATAAATCTTCCCATCGCTATGATCAGGCCTCTTTAATACTAGAGTTCAACCATGATAATCACAGGAAGGACAGATTTCAATTAATGACAAACCCTACTAGCAACAACACCAATAGAACCAACATTGACAGCTACCTGTTATTGAAGGTTCACTCTATCCAGGGCACTGAGCTAAGCTTTCTCCTCCATTATCTCATTTCACCAACAATCAACCCTTTGAAGTGCAAATCATATCATTTCTCTTTAGAGCAGAATGTTGAGAGACTTTGTATAGACAACTTCCCAATATTACAGCTGATATTTAAATGGAGACCATTGAACCCAGAGGTCACTGAGCTACGCTGTCTCTGAAGGCAGTCACTATCATACCATTAAACTAGTGGGACACTAAAATGAACACTTGTAGATTTTGCCATGAGCTTCTGCTAATTGTTTCTTCAGGTTTAAAAACTGCATAAATATACACACACATACACTCACTTAATTTTTTGTATTAATTTTTGTTTGATTATTCATTTTACCTTTTGGATAAGTCCTCTCAGAATCATAAATTCCCTTATGTATTTAAAATAAAATTTTATTTGTGATAACCACTTTTATGTTATTCAAAGCAATGCTTCCAAGTCCCACTTTTCACATTGCCTTTTCCCATTTTCCAAATCAGCTCACCTTTGTGTATGCCCTTATAACCGTGTCATTAGCTATAATAATGATTGATCTATCCTCCTTCCAGCCTTTAGCCATCTGTGCAAGCAAAACTTTCAACCGAGACATTTTAAGCATTAAACATATACTGGAGCTCTGTTCAATAGATCTTTCATAAATCCCCAGCCCCCAGCCCCAGAGAGTAAGAAAAGTCAGGTCATGAGCAGGAAGTAATGGAGACAAGGCAGTTTCTGAGCTGAAACACAGACTCAAAGCTGGTTTATTGTTGTCATGACTACGAGTTCCACATGCCTAAAGTCACTGGTTTCTGAAAAGAATGATGCAGTGTCTAGCCTTACAGCTGGACATATAAACCAAATTAGTCTGCCATGCCTCTACCTGCTTTGTGGTTATTAGTGAAAAGAGCAATATATCACACAATCAGTCATGCAGCAGTTAAGCTCTGCACACACTGCTTTTTCAGATCTGTAACTCATTTTTCTTCCAGCTCCCCAGAACAATAACTTGAAATCTGCAGGGAAAAAATCAAAGAAATTTTGACAGATATTTTAAATTTTTGAATGGAAGATAAACCAAAAAGCAATTTATAGTGTTTTTTTGTACTAACACCACCTTAATTTTAAATCACGCAAAGAGTAACAGGATTTCATAAATTCTTTATAAAGGAGCTCAAAACTTCACTGATTTGCAAAAGACTTAAAAAAAAAAAAGAGGGTGTTTCAGAAAGGAGAACCCTAGTTTGCCTGCTCCAGATGTGAAATGAGAGCCTTGAGAGCTGGATTCTATTCCTTGCTCTCCAAGTGATTAATTGAATGACCTAGGGGAAGTAATTTAACCCAGCCGTGTAAAAAGAAAATATGCATTTACCCACAAGAACAGGGTGTCTAAGTTGGATCCACACCTGCACCACTGACATCACTGCCTCTTCTGAAGCACTCTTAAGATGCCCTCCCTTGCTTGTATCCCTCCCTCCAGTCTACCCTCATTTGTCTCCACCTCCTGCTTTAAACTCTTCCAATCTTATCAAGCTCATAAATATTTTAGATTCCCTGCCTCCTTCCTCCACCTGGTTCTGTTATATCTCTAGTATGTACTCAAAGAAAGCTCAAAACTGTAAAAGATTCAGTCTGTCTTTGTCATCTCACTCTCCTGGCCCCAGTCCATTTGGGGCTCCTTTTTCAAACTCTTGGCATATTCATGCTGTCCACATGGCTGTTGGGAGTCTCACTCTAAAGTATCCAACTTGGACTTGCCCTCACTAAGCAGGTATCTGTGTCGTAAAACTTCCCTATATTCTCTCTCCTTTCTCCTGTCAATGGTCAGTTTTCATCATCTCTCCCTATTTAATACGCTTTGTATGGCCAGTTCATCCTAGGTGGAAACAGGTATGAGGAGTGACAGTGGAAACCATTGCTCCAATGAGCAGTCAAAGGTAGCAAGACTGGAAGCAGAGTTGCTTCTTCGGCAGGGACACATAAAATTAGGGGTAAATGAGTGGGTGCTGCCCATACTACAGTATAATCTCATGTTGATAATAAATTTAATATGCTAATTTGTTCCCCTTTGTAGGTAATATACTCACACTTTAGAGGAGCCATCAGCTTATATTAATAGAATGAGTATAGTGATATAGTGATAGAAATTTCAAGTATTATGACAGCCAGCGAGTGACACCTTTTTGAGCCTGGAAAGTTGTTTCTTGGGCACTTGGATCTTAGGTAGTTGGATTGCGTCAAGTCTACAAGTATTTGAATCCAGGTGAGCCAGAATTATCTGCGACTGAGAAAAATGCAGGATAGAAGACAATTTTAAAGCACTGTGCGATTGCATGGAGTCAGCCAAAACAGGAGTTCAAACCATATCTCATCGTATAATCTGTAAAGTCTCTTAGAGAACGTTAGGTACCTGTTCTTTGGCCAGTGGGCACAGTATAGAACAACAGATCCTTTGAGGATCCCTATACATGGTTGATCATATACTATTGAGGATATTTTGCTAGATTTATTTACATATTAGAAAAACTTTTCATTAAAATGCACAATGACTCATCTGATTTAGATTTGTGTTAGTTTTTTTCCCCAAGTACTAAGAAACAACTTTAATTTAAATAACCACTTTACGATGCCTCCAGGCAACTGCAGCACATGTTTGGTTATTGATGGTCCTGTAGAGCTTTAACCAGTTATAGAACTCTATAGAATATATATTTTTTTCGGCAGCTTGGCTTTCCACACAAAGGTAAAGATCTTGAAAAGTGTATACAAAGTTTTTAATATCTAGTTAGATGACCCATTGTATGTTTCTAAATATAAATGTGAACATACATATTTGAAAAATCTACCTATATGACATTAAAATACAATTAGATTTTATTTGAAATAATTAAAAACTAATTGGTCACTTAATAACATTAAGTGACACATAAGGAAAATGAGTTAAATAATGTTTCTTAATGAAATAATATTTATTCTTAACATTAATTACCCTAATCATGGCCTTAAACATGCTTTTTGATGATGGCTGGGTCAAAGAGGTCGCCAGAGTTAGGGAGGACAGTAGTAAGGAAACACACCTGCAAACATCAGAAACATTTTGATGTATACTTTCACTTATAGAAAAAGAACAAACAAAAATTCGATAATTTGGAAATACCCTGAACAAGTAAAATTAGCAAACCTATAGCATATTCCTTATTCAGGGATGGGCCATTGTACTATACCCCTAAACAGTCCATTATTATATCCCTAGATTACTTTCTATGTTAATGGAATGGAAGTCTCCAACTTCCATTCCCTAGTCTTCTACCTACAAGTATATACCATCCCTCTTAACAGGTCTCACAGAGGAGCATAAGACTTAAGAGCCAGAAAGTAACTGATAAATCGACAAGAAGTAAGACTACCTATGAAAGGCAGGGGTTGTTGGAGACTGCCAAGAACATTAATCCATCTTCATTTCCCTAATGTTCATCTTTATAGTCAATCTCACAGTATGCTATGAAAGATAAGACAATGGTTAGGTTTTTTTAAACATTTTTAGGTTAGGTAAAATTTCTGCTAATGAATGAGAATGGTCATCATTTAATCACCATTATCAGAATCAATACACCACCCACATCAGCATCCCTAGATGTGCAAAGGTCTTCCAGTACTGCATGGCTGTGCAAACACAGAATCTGTGATTCCGTGGTTCCCTTCCACCAACTGAATCATTAGGACTACAGTCCTGCAAGACAGGTGCCTTGAGGCACCCAATTGTCCTTCAGCATCATGTCCTCTTTCTTTGTGTCAACATGGGAGTAAGAAGGCCAGGTGGTCTGAATAATGTCCATAAAATTCCATCCCCTATTTTCCCATGTGACCATCTTGCTTCCTGGTTGCTATGGATTTTATCTGTGATGTGTAGTATCTGATTCTTGCTGATCCATTTGTATACAACACCATGAGGAATATGTGCAAGTCACTGTTACATCTGGGTAATCCACAAACCTCAAAATGTTTCTCTCTTTTCCACCATGGTCAATTAACCCTCCATTCCAGCACTCTCTGCACCTAAGAGAGCAGAAAGAAGCATATTTTACACACCAGGTTGAGGCTCCACACAACCATCCTCTCATCTTCATCAAGAAACTGTGATCTAGCTTTATTGTTGCTGCTATAGTTGGTTTCTCGTAGCTCCTTTTTTTTTTCTAAAGGTCTCCAACACAGGTTTAAAGAGAACAGAGCCAGAAACTTTAAGCCCTGCCTTGAGGCGCCCAATTGTCCTTCAGCTTCATGTTCAATACTCAAGCAACTGCTTCTCAAATCTCTCTCTGATTAGAATGAAAGTTGTTTCCCAACAGCTGAAGGATCATACTCTTCTTGTGCCAACCTAGACAAAGCCAGTCATTTATTTTTCCTGTCAAACTCTACCAGCCCCAAGATATGTGATATGAACCTAAACTGCAGGGTACACAGCTTAGACCTCAATTTAAGAGCCTAATATGACAGGCAGAATTAATTGCACCTAAGTGGAATGGAAAGAACACCAGAATTAAGAGTCAAAAAACCTGGGCTTCCTCTGCCAAGTCTGCCCATAATCCTGCATACAAGCCAATTCACCTCCCCATCTCTGCTTCTTAATCCAAAATTGACACTTTTGTCTAAAACCTTCAAAATATTTTGAACCAAATTAATTATTTAGAAAATGAAAATAGAAAAATGTCCTGCCTATCTCAGATGATTTACTAAAGTATCAGATGAATTAGCTGTATAAGAGCTAAAACAGTTATTGAGCATCTTGTGACCTCTGATCACACACTTGGAAAAAGGAGGAAAATGGCACTAAACTAGATGTTGGCTAAAGTTTCTTCCTAACCTATAATTCTGTGGTTCAATTAAAGTAATAAATATGCAAGCTCTTCGAAATGTATACTATTATTAAAAATATGCATAGCATGTTTTTATTTTGAATTGACTATCTGAAAAATCATCAATGTGAGCATAAACTAAATTTTCAGCACTTAAGGTATATTTTTTAAATTTCTGGAATAATAAATGACATTCCCTATTTAGAGTATGAGTATATCCATTTTAGAGAAATGAAAGTATAAAATTATCCATTTCAGTAATCCTCTAATTCCCACAGAGAAAATGTAAAGCTACTGCCATTTAATATATAGAGAGCACTTCACATTTTCAAGACTTTTAATTAGATACTCCTCACATAAACTTGAAGAGTCAGAGTTAGTCACCCTCAGCTAATAGATGAGGAAAGTAGAATATAGAAAGTCAGGGGAATTGCCAAAGATTTGAGGCCTTTTAGTAGAAGACAAGATTGAAGAAGGATGTAGACTCTGAGGATTGTGCTTAAAGCCGGGTCAGTGCTTCCCGCCACAAATCTTTGTATTTCAGCCTCCTCCTATCACACAACACACCCAGGAACAGAAACAAAGAAACAAACCACTGCCCTAATGTTTAAAATTTCATATTTAATTTTGTTCTTATGTATAAATGTAAGATTTAAGTGTCATCCATTCATTTGCATTTAAAAATAAACTTTAGTTCTGAAGTTAACTTAAAATTTTAGTTTAAAATCTGCTGTCTTTATTCATGTAGCTGGTTTGTTAAGTACAATGCAAAAGATAAACTTAAGATTCTAATTTTTAAAATTGTTTCCCACTTTCTTATAATTCTACTTCATGGAGGGAAGTTTGGGGTTGTTCTATTTTGATTTAATTTGCTTAGTTTTGTTTTGTTTTTTAATAGTTGGAGAGATAGGGAAAAGCGTTTGCCTCGCCACTGGGTCTGGCAGGCTCCTGTCTTTTCTGGTCACTTTCAGGCAATAAACATCCCTATGATCACATTACATTGCCAACACAATCTCAAGGCAGTAGTTTTAGGTTATCCAGTTCCAGATAATAATCAGAATTATGAGTACCAGTAGATGTCCATCATCTCCCTCCTTCCAGCCAAGGTTTTCTAGAATGGAGACAGAGCTAGCGTAATAAAGGAGCAAGAGAGGAGAATTCTTACGTGGCTAGTACCTGGCCCCACTGTCTGGGACTGGCAGATGTGTAAAGTTAGGCCTGAGGAGTGCTTCTAGCCTTTGGAGGTTCTCACGCAATGTCCCTTGTGTTGATTGGGATAGGGTAAGTATGCTGTGGTAAAAATAACCCCTTAGAATCAATGGCTCAAAACAACAGTTTATTTTCTGTTGACTCAACATGTGCCTCCAGGGTGGCAAGCAGGCTGTGCTTACTGTAGTCATTCGGAGACTTAGGCTAATCAGGATTCCACCACACAAGACATGATTCTAAGATCACAGTGGCAGAGAAAAGAGAATAACGTGCACGTGCTGGCTCTCACATGAAAGCTGAACACCACCTCTGCTCACCTTTCATTAGCCACGCTGAGTTTACTAGGGCAGATATTTATAATTCTCCTGAAAGGCAGGGCACTGAATATAGGAAAATAGCATTGCAGACTACCACCAGTCTGGCTTCAGCTCCCATGGTACAGGATGTTTTCTTCAGTTAGACATCTTGATCCTCTCTACAATTCTGATTTCCCAATGCCCATCCTCCATAAACTCTCACTTCTCTGTTATTTCATCCTCTGGCAGAAACAACTCTAGGCCAAAATTCCTATCATGGACTCTATACCTATGGCCTGGATTTCACGTACTTTTGGCCAGCCCTCTTAGAGGACTACCACTAATTCACCAAATAGAAGCAACTTCCTCTCTTAATCTGTCCTGATGGTAGGAGAGCTCACCAGGCAGCCAGCAGCAGAAATAAATACCCCCACAACTTCAGGTGTCACATACTAAAGTTCTTATCTATCCCACCTTGAGTGGGAGGTACAGATTCTCAGGGCAACAGTTCTCCCCAGTAACATTTCCTTGGGGATTTACTGGAAATTCTCTTTTCTTGACTTTCTCTAGACTTCTGTATTCTTAAAGCATTTGACGAGATTAGAAGTTATGGAACCTGGCAGGCTGTGGTGCCTCACGCATGTAATCCCAGCACTTTGGGAGGCTGAGGCAGGTGGATCACGAGGTCAGGAGTTGGAGACCAGCCGGGCCAATATGGTGAAATCCCGTCTCTACTAAAAATACAAAAATTAGCCAGGTGTGGTGCCGCATGCCTGTGATCCCAGCTACTCGGGAGGCTGAGGCAGAAGAATCACTTGAACCCGGGAGGCGGAGGTTGCAGCGAGCTGAGATCACGCCATCATACTCCAGCCTGGGCGACGACAGAGCAAGACTCCGTCTCAAAAAAAAAAAAAAAAAAGAAGTTATGGAACTAGTTCTTGAGAGTTTTCTTTGACAATGTTGTATATGGTCTGTCACTCACTGAGTATCTGATATCCATCTACCATGTACTGACTTCTCTGTCAAAATTTCCAAATCAACAGTCTACCCTGCCCTCTTATCTTTATCACAGAGGCTGTTTGGCTTAGAACAATTGTTGATGGTCGTGTCTGAACTATAATATCCCTCCACTCTATCTCTGGTAAAATTCCTACAGCACCCATCCATCCACTAGTGTGGACATGGTCTCAGTTGGGGTCAATCACAGTGTCTGAGTCCCCTGGTCTTAGTAAGTGGTTGAGGGATAAACATGTGACCTGACCAGCATGAAGCAGGGCTTTTTTTTCTTTCTTTCTTTTTTGCTGAAGGGGAAGGAGAAATGTTTCTCTTCCTCCTCAGCTGTCTAAAGGAGGAAGAACAACTGCTCTGCCTGGGAAGGCAGTGTTGGAGGGAGCACAGCTACCATGCCTCCATACTACAGGAGAAATAACCACTCTACCTGGTCAGAGCTTCATGCTCATTGGGCCATGGAGTCAGATTACCACTCTTAAAAAGAAGTAATAGACTCTTGCCCCGGATCCTGTTTTCTGTCTTCCAGATATCTAAGAAACACAATGGTCTCTTTTTCTTCTTTGCTGCCATGCAAAGTTAGGGTACATAAGATCTAATTTCGAGAGATAAGCCTGACCAAAATGTCTCTCTCTTTCTCTCATTTCTGTTAGCGAAGAAGCGCATGAAGCAGGCCTTCAATCCTCTGTGAAGCTGGGTAGATAGGCAGACAGTTAATTATGTAGAAGCATAGGTAGTTCTGAGACTAAATTTGAGGAAGGAGTAAACCTATTCTACAGTCAGTCCATTGTTTTGCAGTGGTTGACTTTATGCACTGATCCCAGTTGTTCTAACAGTTGTTACCAGTTATTCTCTTTCAGATAGAACCCAGAAGTTAGGAGGTGTGAGTAATTGGCTTAAAGCACCAGAGGATTTGCTAACTAGAACTGGAAGAGAAAGAACTACTTTCTTTTCAAACAATGAAACTGGAGGAATGTGAGTCTGGAGTTCTACCACACACAGAGAAAACCCATCTGCATCAGTGAAAAAATAAAGCCAACCCACACATAAAGGCAGAGAGTCTCGAAGGTGATGACCTCCAAGGCCTCCATCATCCCTAAGGACAGCTCTGCACCTATACGACCTGCAATTGCGTTACAAGTACCAATAAACCACCTTTGTTTGCTCATGCTAACTGGAATTGGGCTTTGACATCAGCAACTGAAAAAAAAAATCCTGATTGATACAATTCCTGACTGCTTCTTAAGACTACTGACTCCTTCCTCTATATCTTTTCAGCTGCCTATTCCATTGGCCCAGTGCACCAGGGATCTAATAAGAATATCATTTAGAGCCAAACTACACTGGGAAGGACATGTACTCACCTCCGCCAAACACATGCTTACTGGCATTTCCTAACTAGTAATAAAATAGAATAAGTAGATGTACATACTTAGAAGAATAAAGTGGAAATGCACAGGGAAATCTACTCATCCAGTTCACAGCTGTGGCCCATATCCCTAGCACTAAGCAATATTTGGCTCCATTGTTCCCTTTATTGCATTTGCTTCTTGAAAAAAAATCTTTATGGTTCATGTCAGCTCTTAGAAGTAAAGCCAAAGACCATGTTTATACTAAAGCATCTTTTTCTAAGGATTCAAGTGCAGGGGGAGAAATCTTAATATAAGTAAGGAAAGAATTATATGGATCTTTATTTACCAGAGATAATTATTTTATAACACACTCAGAATGCTCTTACCTTCCTTATGCCGCAGATCCTGGTGTAAAATTACAAAACCATTATATTTGGTAAAGAAAATAAGAAATTTTAAGGGTTGTTAACCCATCGTGTTTTTATCACGAGGAAAACCTGTGTAAAGTTATATAGCATGGGTCCTTCTGTAGTTATGATGCACTGAGAAAGTATGTAGTAAGTGGAGGTCCAACCTGGTACTAGCAAAACACAAAGCAGGACAGAGATACTCCAGGACATAGTGATATTATTTTAAAATGGATGTTTAGATGTGGGAGAGGCAATAAATAAAATGGGTTTCTGTAGCTCTATTTCTTTATTTTTATATTAGCTAAAGAGTCTGCTTATATACATAAAGTATATAAAGAAGGTAACAGCTACAATGCTTTGATGCTTTGGCAAAAACTACCCAGAGTGTAAAAGGACCCTGTAAATAAAAGCCTTACCTATGGGTTGCAGGTGCTTACTTTTCCTCAGGACAGTATGAGAAAATAAATAAGTAATGTGCATATAGCATATAATGACATTCTGATGAATGTATTTCCCTCAAGGCTCTTTTAAGCACCTGTTGCCGTACAGTGTATGTTTCTTTGTTCTGGGTGCACTAAATGAGTAAATCATTTAAGGGGTCTGAATCGAAAATTTCCAATATTTTATAACAATATTTTATATGCTGTATAGATGCCAAGTCATATTATTGAAGGAACAAAGATGTTTATTTTGTAAGAAGGAAGGAGCACCTAGGCTATCGGAGATAGCAGTAATCTGACATGTAATAAGGCTGTGTCCTCTTTGCCCTGTTCTCCGCTCATGGTTCTCCCTCTGTGATTATATTGGCATGTGTGTTTTCAGACACAGCAGAAGACGGGAATGAACCGCTGGAATTTCAGGTCCACCATGTACAAAATGGGGCCAGTCAGTGTCACAACCTTCAAATTGTGTGGTGAAAAATTATGCATATTTTTGAGTCACTTGATTTTAAAAACGATAAAGATAAAATGATTGGGTTTTAAAATATTCTTTGTAATTCCAACTTTTTGTGAAATATATTCTTATCTGTAGAAACAAGATATTGAGGTAAGGGGTCATTTAAAGTCATTTAAAAGATGTACTGCTCAGAAACATTCTAAGACCAATAGGGCTCGCTTTAGTAAAAAGAGAAAAATAAATCCTAAAAATATTAACAGATTTTAACTTGGGTTCTAAGTTAAGACAACATAATATTAAACATCTCATAATATTCATCAGATTTTTATTAGAATTAAGGCCTCAGACAGGCAGAATCTCTACACAATATGTGAGCAGGTTGTGGGTACATCAGTACTCACAGGTTAAGTTTGTTTTGTCTTTTTTTGTCTTTCTTACCACCAGCAGAAGAGATAAAATTGCAGTGAATTTGTATCCTAATCCAACCTAATTCCCTTTCTTTACCAGTAAACTGTATTAATTGGTTTTCTGAAACCGAAATATTAGGACTACCAAGTGGAAAATAATTTGTTGTAAGCCTTCTAAACACTGTGATTGTCTCTAGTGATTTTTCTTGCAGGAGGAAGAGCATCCACGAAACTGTCTGCACCCTGAATACAGCCTGTAAAATTACCCTGTCCTGGCCAACGTAAGAGGGGCAATCAGCAAGTGGTCATGATTATCAACAAGAAATAAACAATGAATAGATTAGAGCCTACAATACTAAGCAGTCTTACTGCAAATACACTGCACTTTGCCACTCTAAGATGGCACACATTAAACTTTCCATTGTGGATGAATTTACATCTACAGCTTTAAAGGAAGAGTCTGGAGAAGCATAGCAGCTTCTGGGGCCTCTCCTCTTGGGCAACGCTTTCCATACACTTACATGTTAGGCATTCAAAAGAGAAGAAAGGAAGTGACAGGGTGTGAATAATCCTGGCGGAGATTTTCCTGTGGCCCCCAAATTTTGTAAATATAACAAAATTGTTTGAAAACAGTAGCAGCAATCACCAGCCCCAATCAAAATCATTTCTGGCGGCAAATCATTTCAAAATATATCTGTTATTGATGAACAGTGCTCATTTTACAAATTGTTTTTCAAATTTTTAATTAAAATAACATACAAATTTCTGTGCAGTAGGATAAAGAATAGTAGGTTTCATTTGATCAATGCCTATTATACATCAGGCACTGCACCAGAAACTTTGTAGGAGCTATCTTAATCCTTGTAAGAATTCTATAAGCAACTGCTATTTTGCCCATTTTATAAACAATGAAACTGATAACCCTACCATGTTAAATAGATTCCCCAATATCAAGCATCCAGTAAGCTATGAATATTTAAGCTTAGGATGCTTGAATTTCAAATCTTGGGATATTAAATTTCAATATTACTTATATCTCAGAGATTAACAAGATAACACACACTTTTTTTGTTTTTGTTTTTGTTTTTTTGAGATGGAGTTTCACTCTTGTTATCCAGGTTGGAGTGCAATGGTGCAATCTTGGCTCACTGCAACCTCTGCCTCCCAGGTTCAAGTGATTCTCCTGCCTCAGCCCCCCAAGTAGCTGGGATTACAGGTGTGTGCCACCACATCTGGCTAATTGTGGTATTATTAGTAAAGACAAGGTTTCACCGTGTTGGCCAGGCTGATCTCAAACTCCTGACCTCAGGTGATCCATCTGCCTCGGCCCCTCCAAGTGCTGGGATTACAGGCGTGAGCCACCACACCCAGCAGATAACATGCTATTTTCAATGAAATATTTTTTCAAAGAACCTGTTAAAGATACTGTTGAGTCTGCCTACAAATGTGAAGAAAATATCTCTTCTTTTGCATCTTGAGGTTCCAATGTCCGTGCCCACACTTAGCTAGTACTTCTCAGTGCACTTACCTCCCTGAAGGTGAAACCAGATGGCTCAAGAGCTGTAGTTCAGGCCAGTTACCTTCACTATTCTATCATACAGATTTCTCCAGAGAACATTCCTTCTCCCACCCTGGAAAAAATAAGGAAGTTAAAACATAGCCTAAGTATTACAAGACAAATTTATAAAGTTTTATATGGTGCAAGATTTTTCAAACATTTATGAGTGTATTTCTTCTCATAATTTTTCCCTGTAAACATTATGGCCTAAGAATAGTTTCAAGAAACTTTTGAGAATCACAACTATATATTTTATTTATTATCACAATACAGTGAGAATATGGCAATAATGGTTAACGAATTGAGCAACATCAGAGGCAGATACCATTTTACTCAGTTTGGAAATGAGTGTTTGAATGTTCACAGGTAGGTCTAGAGCTTGATATTCAGCTCCCAGACTGCATACATAGTAATGACATCTTGTTCCTAGGTTACATAGCAGTGACTAATTTCAGTGCAGCTGAGTCATTTCCTTTAGGATTGGAACAGATTACTTTCTCTTTGGTTAAGCACAGGTATATTAATGTGTTTGAACTTGGGAAGAAGGTTTTATTAGATATAAAGGTGATAAAAGAGAGAGAGAGTCAGAGAAAGAAAGAGAGATGCTTACAGTGTGAGAGGATGAGGAAACATGACTGATAAAGGAGCACAGATTTGTGTTTCAAACCCAGAGTTCATTCTGAATGGGATACATGCTCACTGAAATGGTAAATACATTATTTGTTAACACTTGAAATTATCAGTTTTCTCTTCTTTTTTTTTTCCTTTTTTTTGAGAAATTGAATTTGATTAAATCAAATGCACTTATAATGGGGTTCCATCATGTTGATACAAGAATTGTTAGGGTACATGGAGAGAAAAATATTTCTTGGATTATTCTCCCTGGTTACTAAAGACAAGAGTCAATGTCAGAGGAAATCCACTGTGACCAGGACCCCGCTGGATTAGTTTCTTAGGGATGCTGCAGCAGAGTACCACGAAAAGGAGCCTTGAAACAACAGACATTTATTCTCTCACAGCTCTGGAGCCTAAAAGTCCAAAATCAAGTTGCCAGCAGGGCCTTGCTCCCCTCTGAAGGCTTAGGGGAGATGATTCCTTGCCTCTCCCAGCTTCTAATGGTCCAGTCTTTCCTTGCCTTTGGCAGTCTACCTCCAGCCTTTGTCTCCTTCTTCCTGTGGCCTTCGTCCCTGTGCATATGTGTCTGTGCTCTCTCCCCTAAGGACACCGTGAGCCACTGGATTTAAGGCCCACCGTAAATCCAGGATTATTTCATCTGGAAATCCTTAACTAATTACATCTGTAAATACCTCACTTCCAAATAAAGTCACATTCTGAGGTTCTGAGTGAACATAAATTTTGGGGGACACTATTCAACCCCCTGCACACCCTCAGACATAAGGAAGAGATGCAGGCCCTTACTCTGTCTCCCACTCTTCAAACAGCTTCACAGATCACAAACACAAAAATATGTCCACACATGCCAGGGGCACAAACAAAAATGTGTATGTATTAAAGAACGCATGAGCACCTCTGTATCTCAGGGTCTGGCACGCAGCACCATCACAGCACAACCTGTGAGCCTAAACATCTCTTCTGTGACTCAAACAAATTAAGCCCCAAGGAAATGTTTTTCCTAATCTACTGCTCTATGTTCCTAGGACAGAAGGCATCTATCTACAAATGCCATGATTATGTGGGTTGGCAGAGAGTGGTTCTGAATGCAAAAAGAGTGTAAGTGGCAAAAACAGTTAAGAAAGAGAAGACAGAGTTTCCCTCAGGGGTAAGACCTGGGCGTGCAGCAAATTCAGGTTCTCTGGCACTGTAGTGGTAGTCGCCGGCCCAAGTTAGAGGCCAGCTGAGAAGTCTTCGTGCCTCAGATTTGCTGACCTACAGAATGCTTCAGTATCCTTATTTTTGTAGAATGTATAAAGAATGTCTTTCATGTTGGTTGGAATCTGGCATACCTAATTTAGGTATCTGGCCAAAAAGAATACATACTACAGCAGAAAAATATGAAGAATATGAAGCCCAGTAGCAAACAGACCAAACTCAAGCCCAGGAGTTATGCAGATCTCAAGATAGAGATTTTGAAACTATGGCTAAATTACATACTCCAGTAACGGTGGATGTTGTTCATTGTTTGTCACCACAAAAAGGACAGATTTTTTCTAGATATGACATTTGGTTCGGGAGGGCACACAAAAGCCATTCTACAGAAGGAGTCAGATATTGTTCTGTATGCCTTGGACACAAACCCGACAGCTTATGCATTAGCTGAACATCTTTCAGAGTTGTATCCTAAACAAATCCGAGCTATGCTGGGCCAGTTCAGCCAGGCAGAAGCCTTGTTAATGAAAGCTGGAGTGCAGCCAGGGACTTTTGATGGAGTTCTTATGGATCTTGGGTGTTCCTCCATGCAACTTGATACTCCTGAAAGATTTTTCCCTTTGGAAAGATGGCCCCTTGGACATGAGGATGGATGGTAGCAGGTACCCTGACATGCCCACTGCTGCTGATGTTGTGAATGCTTTAGATCAACAGGCACTTGCTTCTATCCTCAGAACATACGGGGAGGAGAAGCATGCCAAGAAAATCGCTTCAGCAATTGTTCAGGCACGCAGCATCTGCCTCAGCAGCTTGCCAACATCGTCGCAGGTGCATTTCCTCTCTCTGCTATTTATGCACGAAAAGACTTGCTATAGCGACCTACCCATATTGCCACCAAGACTTTCCAGGCTCTTCGCATATTTGTGAACAATGAGCTCAATGAACTCTACACAGGACTGAAGACAGCTCAGAAGTTTCTGAGACCTGGTGGTCGCCTTGTTACCCTCTCCTTCCATTCACTACAGGATTGCATCGTCAAAAGAACTCGCTTGAAATAGCATGACAGAAAGGTTTAACCTAAGTGTTAGACAGTAAGTGATGAAAACATTGCAATTGAGTTCAGACCACGAAAACACAGAAGGCGGCTCTATGAGAAGAGCTCTTTTAATGTGGGAATTGATATACAAGAAGGTACTTAGTCCATAAGATCAGGATGTACAAGATAACCCCAGAGGGCGCTCAGCCAAGCTTAGAGCCACTATCAAATTATAAGTTACCATCATCTTATTCTTCAAATTTTTTCTGCAGTTTCTCTAGTCTTTACTCATGGTATGTTCCTGAATGTCTTGATATAGGTTTAAGTATGGGACAGTCTAAAAATTGATAACATTTAGCATTTTTTTTCCTCAAAAAGAAACTGTGGAAAATATTAGCATGACAGAGAAAGTTCCACTCAGGGAGTAGCATCTCAAGACCGGAAAAATGTATTAATTTTGCATCACATTGGACTCTTGAAATGCAATCCTTCCTCTGGCCAGGAAATTTTTTTTAATAATACTATGTTGTGTTTATCTAAATACGTAAACTCAAGCTGTCAAAGAGAAAGATATTATAATCATATCTGCATGTCCTACATTTTGAATTTAGATGTTCTAATTTGCGCTGGGTGTGGTGGCTCACGTCTGTATTCCCAGCACTTTGGGAGGACGAGGCAGGTGGATCATGAGGTCAGGAGATCAAGACCATCCTGGCTAACACGGTGAAACCCTGTCTCTACTAAAAAATACAAAAAGTTAGCCGGGCGTGGTGGTGGGCGCCTGTAGTCCCAGCTACTCGGGAGGCTGAGGCAGAATGGCATGAACCTGGGAGGTGGAGGTTGCAGTGAGCCGAGATCACGCCACTGCACTCTAGCCTGGGCGACAGAGCAAGACTCTGTCTCAAAAAAAAAAAAAAGATGTTCTAATTTGCAACAGTCTTTCTCTGGCTCAAGTAATGATGATTATGGAATGAATTTTAATGTCCCTACTTGTGAATAATTACTATAGCTTTCTCAAATGTAGGCTTTTTACAAATTTTATATTTTAAAATATTTGTTTAAATATGTGTTATACTGATAAAATTTCATTTTTCAAATTATTGTCTATTACTTTTAACGGATTTTTCAGTATGATATGGCCATTTTGTTCATGTATCTCAAAGTAAAAATGTAAAATCCTTACAGAGAATTGTTTCACAAAACTCATATTTCATGTCAATTGTATCTAATAATAGATCACAATGCCTTTAGTAAGTAATAAAGTCTCTTATTAGAATCTTGTATTTTTAATTGAGCTAATCAAAATAATTCAGCCAAATCTATTTGAAATAGAAAGCTATCTATTTAATATAGTAAAATCAACACTCCCTTAATGTTGTTACAAAGATATGGTAACTGTAATAAGGGTAAAAGTTTATTCAGGAAAAGAGTGCTTGGTAGAAGATTCTTTAACAAATTGATGAGATTGATTCATAATTCACATGTTAACTTTTTATGTGTAATATGTACTTCTAATTTATTCAGTTATTCAGTGAGCACTGAACTTGTCATTAGAAAAGCAAAGGTAAGTACAATATACATGGCCCACAATACATGTCCTGTAGAGGTTAGTAGAGGAAAATTATGTTAGTTATAATCACAAAAATCAATACAAAATGGACACAGTGGTAAATACTACAAATAGGTCATGCATGGTACTGTAAGAGCATCTAGTAAGGATTTTATCTGTTGTCAGAAACCAGGTATGAGAACATCATACTTGAATTGTGACCCGAAGGATGAGTTGGAGATAATTAGTCAAATGGCACATGGGGTATGGAAGGAGGCATGTTGATGAATGATACATATAAATAAATACTCTCTTAAATAGTTAACCTTGAAATCATATTTATATGCTATTAATGTGGTTAGTAAACTTTTTTCAAATACAGAAAAAAGATTCTCCATTATGGTTACAAATTTTAAGTTGGTGAATCCAAGTGAATGAAATATCAGCATAACTGTATGGGCAAAATAGATAAGAATTAAATACATGAATTTACCTCAGACTTATTTTATCTACCTCTGTAATATTTAACTTTAGTACCCAGGCTTGTTTACTACTTCTGCTTTACAGGCTTTATTTAAATCTGAACAATCCTACAGGGAAATGAGGATTAGAAAAAAAATCTGGAGAACAATATGCTTGAAATAGAAACAAGAGAATGCACCTAGGTTAATTCCCTGAATCCTACTTGAACGATGTATGAATTTCTCTTTGCATGTAACTCATATTTGTGAATGAGACATATTCCCAAAAAATTATTATCCCTGTATGTGGTTGGAAAATAAAAGATCACATTTGTATATTCAACAATCATTCACCTATTTCACAAGTCCTTTTTTCGTCCTTTATAGTATGGGAATTATTTTTTACGTTAAATAGAAACTGAATGTACTGGGTTGAACAGTGTCCCCCGAAAATTAATGTACTTCCTAGAGCCTCAGAACGAGACTTTATTTGGAAATACTGTGATTGTGGTTGTAAGTAAGCTAAGACGAGGTCACACTGGAACAGAGCAGGCCCTTAATCCAACATGACTGGTGTTCCTTATAAGAGAAGACAGGCCAGGCATGGTGGCTCACGCCTGTAATCCCAACACTTTGGGAGGCCAAGCCGGGCGAATCGCTTGAGGCCCAGGAGTTCAAGATCAGCCTGGCCAACATGGCGAAAATTCGTCTCTACTAAAAATACAGAAATTAGCCAGGTGTGGTGGTGAGTGCCTGTAATCTCAGCTACCAGGAGGCTGAGGCACAAGAATCACTCGAACCCAGGAGGTAGAGGTTGCAATGAGCCGAGATAGCGCCCTGCACTCCAGTCTGAGCAACCTGAGTTTGAGACAGTACGAGACTCTGACAAAAAAAAAAAAAAAAAAAAAAAAAGAGAGAGAGAGAAGATAGAGACACAATGGAGAATGCCACATGGAGCTGGAGGCAGAGATTGGAGTGATACATCGTGGCAACCATCAGAAGATAGGAAAAAAAGCATGGAATAGTTTCTCCCTCAGAGTTCCAGTAGTAGCTACCCTGCTAACATGATTTTGCACTTCTGGCCTCCAGAACAGTGAGAGAATATATTTCTGCTGTTTTAAGGTACCCAGTTTGTGGTAATTTGTTATAGCAATCCTAGGAAATTAATACTCTGACAGAAAAAAAATCTTGGATAATATGCATGAGAAAAATCCTTCAATAAACACAAAATTGGTTTCAAAATTTTTTCATGTAAAGATAGATTAACTTTTCTGTAATTAGTCGTGTTTTATAGTCATTCTTGCCTGTTTCTTAGTCTTTGTTGTAGGATGCATAATAAAATACATGAATGAGTTTTAAATGGTTAACTTTGGAGAATGGTTTTGAAAAGTTCATGCAGTATACAGAAATAAAAGCTGATGTTACAATGAAATTGCATCACATTTCCAATAAAATATTTCTGAATCTCAAAAAAATAAAAAAGAGAAGACAAATGCATTTGTCAATTATTTCCTTTCAAATAGATTGTTACATAATAAAATGTCACTCTCCAATAGTGCTGAGGCTCCATTTAGTTGCTATTCTTCGCAGTATTCTTTTTTTTTTTTTTTTTTTTGAGATGGAGTTTCACTCTGTCACCCAGGCTGGGGTACAGTGCGGTGGTACAATCTGGGCTCACTGCAGCCTCTGCCTCCCTGGGTTCAAGCAATTCTCCTGCCTCAGCCTCCTGAGTAGCTAGGATTACAGGCGTGCACTACCACCCCCGGCTAATTTTTGTATTTTTAGTAGAGACGAGGTTTCACCATGTTGGTCAGGCTGGTCTCAAACTCCTGACTTCCAGTGATCCACCCTCCTCAGCCTCCCAAAGTACTGGAATTACAGGTGTGAGCCACTGCATCCAGACTCTTCATGGTATTCTAATTTGTGGATTTGGTTTGTGATCCAAAATGTGTGTGAATTAGCATGGTATTCACACAGTTTTACTTGCCAGCTGGGGAACATTTGCAATATCAAACTTTTAATATTTCTCTTAAGCTTGAATATATATGTACATCTATCTATGTCTAAATCACATACGTATTAAGTGTGATACTCTTTATTTGGGCAACTAGGTAAACACTGACTACAAAAATTGGTAATAGTCTCATTTTAAAAATATTTAGTTAATTGAATTTTTAAGTGTTAGCTTTAAATAGTTGAGATTTACCGTTTTTATTTTTACTCATTGTAAGTTGTAGTCTATATTTTAATTTTAACAGATGATATTGCATATTTTAGAAAAAACTTTATAAAATAATTTTAATATTTTACATTCCAGTTAGTTTATACTTCTGATGGTAATATATTCAAATTGCGTACACACTGAAAGTAGTTACATTTTGTTTAATTTATACTACGTTGAAGGTATATTCAAATAGTGTATACTTTAAAATTAATTAAGTAGAACAAAAATCAGAAAAAAATCTTGAGTATAGTTATATAATTAGTGGTTGTGACTAAATGAAGACAAAGTAAAGTTGATGAAATTAATATATAATGATATATTGTGTATATTTTTGTTTCACTACTCCAAATTTTGCCAACTCATCAGTGGAACACTCATATCAGCACAATAATAATTAAATTCATTTCCCTGATATTTTGCTTATTTTCACTCATTAAAACAATTACTGAAAATATTTTTGAACTATTATTATTACAAAACTATTGCAACACAAAAGGATAAAACGTGTATAATAATTTGTTAGCTTGATTTATAATTGTTAAATACTTAAATTACTAAGAAGCACTACTTCATTAAGGAACAATCTATCTTATGCAAAACGAAAAGAATAACTTGATAAATTTTAATTAGTATTTTATTTCTCTTAAGTGGCCTCCATTTATTCTCTTTTCCCGGACCATGCAAACTTTAGCAGTAGTCAGGGCCTGAACCTGTTCTCAGAAGATAGGCGGCAAGTAATTGGTACATAGACAGCTACTTTCCAGGTGTCCCTATTTAGTTTACTAGGGCTGCCATAACAAAGTAGCACAGACTGCTGGCTTACACTACAGAAACTTATCATCTCACAATTCTGGAGGCTGGAAGTCTGAGATCAAGATGTCAGCGGATTGGTTCCCTCCGAGGGCTGTGAGGGAAGGATCTGTTCCAGGCCTCTCTTCTGAGCTTGTAGATGGCCGTCTTTTCTCTGTCTTCATATATTGTTCCCTCAGCATGTGCCTGTGTCTAAATTTCCTCTTCTTACTGGATTAAGGTCAATCATATCCTTTAGGGCCCACCCTAATTACCTAATTTTAACTTAATTATCTTTTAAAGACCCTGTGTCTAAATACATTCAGAGGTCATGGGAATTTTAAAAAATCATATGCATTTTTAAAATTCAGCCCATAATACCCATACACAGACATGAACGTGTTTGCACTTTGGTTTCTTTCTATTGGATCGAACTTTATTGTCCATAAATGCTTGGATATTTTTTGCAAGACAATTGACATATGTCACCTGGATTTTAGCCACAAAGGACAAAGGCTTTGTAAGTATGATCATTTTTCTGGATTTAATTTTGACTCATTACCTTAAAATCATTAAAAAAATGTTATATGATAATAGCTCAGCTAATAGATATAATGCGGCATTCTCCCAAAAATCTAGTTTTGCTGTGTTTGACAGAGGAAGTAGTCCTCTTCAACTTTATTAAGATTTAGCAATGCTCCATTTTTTTTGTCTTATGCAATTATTCTTCAAGGTAATAAACGTGAGTCATTCTTTTATGATTGTTAATCTATTTTTATGTATCTGCATAATATGTACTTCATGGACTTTAATAAAATCTGAAGTGAGGTCCCCTTGAGGCCATTTCCAGGCTGGTTTTGCTGCAAACTGCAGTGAGTGGAAATTCAGTTAGTTCAGCATACAGTGTGTTTCCCTTTAAAATAGATGGGCTAATAGGAAGCATGTCTGTGCTGGCCTGGTATTATGGTTTGGCCTCAAATACTGGTTGTTAAAACAAACTACACACCATCCGAGACCTAACTGCCAATAATTCCATGGTGTAACATAACTTAGCTGAATATGCTTTTAGTTTGGAAAAGGTAAATAGGAAACAAGGTAGCAAGAATAAGCATGTCTGCAAGTATGCCATCTAACTCTACTTCTGGAAAGAATCCAGGAGATTACAGAAGGACTAAACTAAATCAGATAATTCTGTCAGTTTTCTGTTATGAAGAAATGTTCTATCTGAAATAATCAGTAAATACTTGAACTATTTATGGGTTCTACCTAGGATGTAAATATGAGACATTAAACTGACTGTCTGGTAGCATGGAAATTTTGTCTACACACAATGGAATTCCAAATATTTTTGTTTTCTGTAAGGGCATTTCCTAGGGTCTTTCTCTTCCATACCTCTGCCAAATGTATAATTACTCTTAAAATCATTGTTTCTTCCACATCACCACATTTTATTATTGCATATATCTATCCTTCCTATTTATTGCAAATCTCTATAGGCCAGAAATGCTTTTTCTATTTTTTTAAATTCACAATCATATTGTGTTACACAGTTTAAAAATAGAATAAGAATAGAATTAAATGAATTTTAAATTTTACAATCAGAGAATGAAAAGGGTCTTCAAAAGTCACTGCCGAATTTCACATTTTCGGGAAACTAGATGTCTACATTAGTGACAAACCCCATACAAACCCACAAACATGTCAGAGAAGAGCTATGAGCCTTAACATAATTTTTTAATGCATAAGCCAGTTCCTAGTGCCATGCTTTGTATCAATGATTACATTCACTGCCAGCCACACTGTGACGATATGTACTTCTCTTACAGCTGGAAAGTGGAGAGCTGGTTGCTGGATGTCAGTTCTCTGTCATTTGGTGCCCACATCACACAGAAAACCCAGCGTCGGCATAGTCCTTTGCATCAGTGACAGATGTCAGTAATATAATGTTGATAAGCAGTTGCGTTTGGAAATTAATATATTTAAGTGTTCTTCTCATGTGACTTACCTTCTTCACAATTACTGAATATTACTACATGCTGATTGAGACATATATTCAAATTCAGGGTAAAATTTTGTTTGTGTGTGTCAATTTTCTATTGACACTTGTGATTTCAGGAAATACTTTCATGCCTCCTTAACGCAAACACTACTCTTCATCTTATCTCCGAAGTCCCAGAAATGGTCTGGCACATAATAGGTGGTCTTATTTATTTACTTAGTTAATTATTTAAATTTGGCCATTCTTTGAAAAACAACGATGTTCTTGATGACACCTCATCAAGGCTAGTTTATTTTCTTACTGTGAGGGCTTTATATTCCAATTTCCCAGTTTTGTAAGTGATTCTTCTTTATTTATTTACATCCAACTGAAATCCCTTTTGCTTTAATATAAGCCATGTTTTTCTCATACTCCGGAACAAACAAAATATTAATTAAGCATCCTTTATTTATGCATAATACTTTTTGCCCATCAATTCTTACTTCTAGGGTTCGACCTTCCCCCCATAACTCTGCTGTCTGCTTTTGCCAAAATAGAGCTTCATTTGCAATTGTGTTTGCAGGCCTGTGTTTGTGTGTATGTGTGTGTATACTGTGTGGTAAGGGTGGCTGTGCTAAATGGAGATGGCAAATTGATTATTATCCTAACTCTTCTCAAGAAACTCATGAGTTATGCACGACCATTCGATGGCTAATGCGGGCATAGGACATTCTTAGGAACAGAGAAGCAGATGCTGGCAAATTTCAATGCCCTGTAGTAAACTACATTTGAAAAGCAGTAGCTAAAATATATATTTTTAAATACAGGTATAAAACAAAAATAGGGGCATAAGACAAAAATGAATTTATACAACCGTAAACCAAATAGATATGTGTAACCTATTTTTTGTGGTTAGTATAACCAGATGCTGGAAAAGTATACCAGGAATCACGGTGGGGATGAGGGAAACTGGAAATTTCTAACAACTGAGAGGACCTAGGTTTGTTTGATGCCAAGATATGCTTTCCCACTACACTTCCTCTTAATTATCATATTCTTAAATCTCTTAAAATATACCACCTTCCATTAGAAATGCTGTTTATTATCTACAAAGGATAAAATACCTTTAAAATTCTCTGCTACTTACTAATTGGGAGCCTGGTTAGAATGTCCAAACCTCAGTTATCTCATGTCTTAAAGGAATGTATTATACTTTCTAGGACTGCTTTAAAGATTAATTGAGATAATGTCTATAAACACCTGGCAAATAATACAAGTTCAGTAAATATAGGTTGATATTTTCTTGGCACATTACTTTTGGCATTGTAAACCCTGCCCCTCCCCCGAATATTGGTGGAATGTATGCGTGCATAACAATAAACTGGAGTAGACTTTTTAAAAGAATAAATACTTCAAAAACAAGCTTTTACATAGAAGCCATTTTGAAAGAGCTTCCAATAGTCAAATATACAACAATTTGAGCAATAAAATAAAAATGTGGTATTAGATTATAACCCAAAATATAAAATAAATATAAATGAGTCTATCCTGATATAAATTAGTAAAATAAAAAAGGAAGGGACAAATGTCTTTTATGAAAGGATTCCGATTAAGATATGTAGATACTCCCTATGCCGGTTTAATCATCTCTCCTGTCTTGAGTCTGGGCTGCATTTAGGACTTAGTGACCCTCTTACAAAGTATACAGTGGGGAAAGGAGAAAAACTTTACAGTGAAAAGACCTGAAAAACACTACATGAAACAAGCAATCAAGGTTAACGTCGCCAGTGGTGGTAGGTCACAGTACTTCATAAAACTCCATGACCCCAATCTGACCATGAGAAAAACATGAGACAAACCCAAATTGGGGGGCATTCTTCTAAATATCTGACCAGTATTCTTCAAAACTACCAAGATCATGAAAATAAAGAAAGTCTCAGACACTGTCACAGACCCAAGGTGACTGAGAAGATGTGAGGACTAAATGCAAGGTGAAATCCTGGGTTGGATCCCAGAACACAAAAAAGACATTAATGGAAAAACTGGTGAAATCCAAATAAAGTCAGTAGCATATTTAGTAGTAATGTACCCATTTAGTAGTAATGCACCCAAAAAATTAAATAAATGAGGAATTATGCACAATTCTATAAGGTGTTAACATTAGGAGAAACTGGGTAAAATGTATTAAAACTATGTACTATTTTTGCAACATTTTCTAAATCTAAAATTATCCCAAAGCAAAAACTGTATCTTAGAAAAAAAAACGAAAATCTTTATATGTAGCATCATGCATTCTTCATTAGCTAATTTCAAACATAAAGAAAATCCACCCAAGAAACTGAAATTCTGCCTCTTCTGTTCATCTGTAATATTATAATACAGTGTTTAGTGAAGCTGTGAGGCTTAATCAACTCGAAACGCAACATCACAAAGCTCTTTGAAATCCCAAGATGAAAGAAAATTATATAACTATGTAAATAAAGTCTTAGTTTGACCATTCAAAATGTTTCTCGGTACATACCTAAATAAAGAAATGAATCTGTGAGCTGTTTTCTCTAAACAAATACATTCTGTGTGTAATGATTAGTGCACAGTGCCAAAATACCTTATGGGAAGTTGCAAAATCCAATCAACTTAATTATTAAACATCTTGTGTCATGCAGTCCCACCCCCACAAAAAGTATTCTTGCTTACCACACCTGTATTTTTGCTTTTTGCTTTTTAAGGTATTAAAATTTAGACTGCATTCAGGAGCAGAATGGTACTTAACTTTCTATTTGAAAACTGTCAGGCAGCACTTTTAACGTATTGTGGGATGAGACCCATTGTATGATTGGTATTCCATCAAAATTACCACTCTGCAGAAATGATTCAATTTAGTTGGAGTAGCTAAATTGCCTTCATGTGACTTCCATATTTTTCGACACATTTCCCATTGTCTAATACTTAGGGTCATTACTGGATAATATTAATATTAAACAGGGACTCTGTTCTCTGTGGTTCTAGAGACTCTCTCAGACATCTGACACCCTTAGCCCCAGCCTTTGACCTTCGACATCATAAAGTTTACATTTTTGGTTTCAATTGACAAACTTATAATAGACTGTCATATTTTTGGTTAAACATGGCTGTAGCTATTAATACTTCCACACTACATTATATTTAATTTGGTCAGTGCAAACTAATGGTCAATCTGGTGAACAAAAGTTTTAGTTCAACTGTTGACCGAGCTGTGCAGCTTTTATTGTTTGCTTCATTAGAAGGTTGATCCCACTAATCCAAAATGAACTTAATTAGGATGTCTTTTTTGCTTGTTCTCAAAACATGTATTTAAAATTCAGGTCATATAACAGGGAAAGCATGGGCTTTAAAGTCATGCAGATCTTCCTGACAACTTTATTAACTAGCTGTGTGACCTTGGCAAGCCACTTGACCGCTCCAATCCTCAATTTCTTTTTCTGTAAAATGATCATAAAAAATATTAACCTTACATAGCTATTGTGAGGATGAAATAGATTAAAATGTGCAAAAGTACTTAGCATGATGCCCGACTCAATAAGTCTCCTTTCAACACTAAAATGATGTTAGAGACTGTAGTTACATTCCAAGTAGTTCACAAAAACCAAGACAGCCACACTATGTAACAGAAATATGTCTATCTCAATGAAAAAAAAATAAAAGAAATCATATTGTTGCCACATGTCTAATTAATGCAACATAGGAAATAAAAAATTAAATAAATGAGGAATTAAAGTTGTGTTCCTACATGCAACTTAAACATCTTGATTATTGGTGCTTGAAAGAAAGGTATATTTCGTAATGAAAGTTAAAAGTCCCTGAAGCTTTTCTAGTGGTTTTTTTATCTAATAAATATTATCATTTTCCAGGCTGGGCACTGGAAAAAGGGAAAAAAAATTATGCAGTGAGCAAATGAAGATGGGAACACTTCACTCTTGTTGCTTACAGTCTGGTGAGGGAGATATTTAAGAACAGATTTATACTTTCAGGCTGAGATAAGATCCCTGATGATGCAGTGAATAGAATGATGGAGATAATGATTTCCCTGGATGGTGGAAAAGGAGTAAGGACATGGTAGGGAATCCAGAACCAACTGACAAAGGCAGAGTGTTTATATGTGAGAGTGATCTATGGGATAAAACGTTAACTGACTTGTAATTGGTGAAAACAAGAGTGAGGATTTGTTGGTGCTTCCCCACAGGGAATGACTCAGGAAGGGAAAGAATGAAATGGTGAGGAGATAGTGTTTCTCCTACATTGTGGCTAAACCTGGGAGGGAGCTGAGTGCAACCAGTTGTTTGCATGTAGAGATGTATGTTTGTGAGGCTGACATTGGCCACTAAGAAATGAATACAAAGGTAGTTGATCCCAGAACAGTATAGATGACCTGTTTTGGAAGAATACAAATATACATAAAGCATGCCTGGACAATAACAGTATTAGCAATAGGGCTGTACCAGAACCATGAGCTTTAGAAAGGATAGTTACAGTCAGCAACCAAAAAAAAAAAAGGATGTTTTCTTTACATGAAAAATGCTTCAAACCTGTGTGAGTAATTCTGGAATTTTCAATAAGCCCAGTTGTTATAAGGAATGACTCACTCTTGCCTAATAAGTGAAAGAATGAAGTTTTAGAAACAAAATCATCTGTTCCCCAGCCGGAATGGTTTATTTCACAACTGAAAGTTTAACATTAAACAAATATAACTCAAGTCACAATGCAATGATGATTGATGTTTTTCATCAACATCCAATTATCATTCCATCAAACACTGTTGTCTGGGCCAAGTAAAACATAGAGTATGCATCTAGAAAGGGTTATTCTCTACACCTTTTCAAAATCACTTGCAGGATATAACTACACTTACTGAATTTCTGACTTGTTAGAGCATGTCACAGGGAACCTCTCCAAGTGAATTTGGGTGTTGTGTTATCGCGTGTGCTTTCCAAAGTATATTAGTTGCTTTTGCTATTTGAACTTAAAAAGGAAGCCCCTTTCATTTCTTTAACTTACTCCTTTAGAATAATCTGCATCTGTGTTTTCTTTGTCTTTTGTTAGCTGTGAAGGCAGCTACTTAGGTATCAGGCATGATGGTAGGCTGTGGTGTGAGGTCTTGTAGGAGGTGAGGGAAACTGGTGGGATTTCAGGAAAACAAAAACAAAATAAAAACATCCCTTTGACTGGGCTTCAAAGGAAGCCATCACATTCAGAAACAGCTCTTCAAGAAAACACAATCACTTCCCATTTTGTTCTGTGCTAAGCCAGTGGTTCAAAAGAGGAGTGATGGATGGCTTGGAGACTGCTGTAGTTAAAAAAAAAAAAAAAAAGAAAAAAAGCCTCACATTCCCAAGGATGCCTTTTGTCCCAGATCACTCTGCAAGCAGCTCCCTCAAAGAGCCAGGAAGCTTTCTCACCAATTCTCAACCTTCTCTCCTCTGGGAAGGCAGCAACAGCTGCTTCACCATCAGGAGTGACTTGCTGAGGAAGACAAAGAACGCACCTTTCCTGTCTGAAACTTCAGGGAGGGCTGAGCACTGAAATAAAATTAATTGCTCAAATTGGAACTTGGCCAGAACCCCAAGGCTAACAACGTACTGTTACAGGAGGGGGAAAAAAAGCTTTAATGAACTTAGGAAGAAGAGATCTAAAAATTATATCAAAACAGACAATACAACTTTTCCCGCCATGGCTTATTTCAGCAGGGAGTGACTTGGAAGGGAGGTGGGAGGGAAGAGTCTGGGTCTCCTGGAATTCTGGCTATCCAAAATCTGAATGAAATCATTGACTTTGCCTCACTTCTAAAAACTTGCTTCAACCTAGAATGATAATTAGGAAGCAGATCTGGTTTAATGTATTATTAATTTAATCTTAACCTTAGTTAAAATTCATAACTTCCTATTAAGGACATGGGTTCCTGTTGAACTGGCCTATCCCAAAGCTTATGAAGAATCTGTAAGATTGCACAAGCAGCATGCAGAGGCCTGAACCTAGCCCATGACAGGTTCTTCTCCCATCTCATCAGAGGGCCTCTGAGCACCGTCCCTGAGAACACAGGGAGAGGAGCACGCAGCCATGCAAATTTAAATTTAATTCCATTCAGCCAGCATTGGTGGGCCAGTTGGGTGCTAAGAGATGTTCAGTATCAAAAAGAGTATCACAGACAAGAGATGTTAATGAACCACTTTGGGCTTGGGGAACAAAGAGATAGGTAGCCTGTGATTTGAACCCAGAACATTAGAGGGAACCAGTACTGAGAGCACTGACTATAGAAATCGGCTCAGAAAGCACAGCCAGATGCACCAGATACAGCATACAAAGTTCAGAGATGGTCTGCGTGCATGTGCAGGATGCAATGTTTGCCTAGTGGAATAGTGGTCTCCCAGTGGCTGGGTATGGCCGATGACAAAGGACCCAGAGCAGGAGATGTTTGGCAAACAAGAGCCCTGGAGGTTATCATTAACTCTTTCAACAAATACATATATTGAGCATCTACTGTGTTATAGACATTGTGCTTAATGCTGGGGATATAAGTGATCAGCATGGTGGACACTGCTATCTAGGAACTTAGTTCACAGGGAATAGTAAGCCAGCGAAGGATCTGAATTTGTGGGCCAGATTCTAGTCTCCTCAGCAAGTAAACCAGAGGCCAGCCTTCATGTTGGAGTTCCCCATTCTAGATGGTGACAGGTTACAAATAAAGAACTAAAAAACAGGAAAATCAGTCTGCTAGATAACTAGTAGGCTTTCAAAGTAGGTTTCTCAGAGCTATCAAATGCCCCTGCATTGGCAAAGAACAGAGAGAAGAAAGAGGAGGGCTTCATTTGGACCAATATATCTATATACTTTCATCTGGCTTCCTTGTAAATAAACGTACTTTGTCCTGGTTGAAGAATACATTTCCTAATGGAGTGATTAAAATATCAAAGTAATACCATGCTCCAAGTTTGTCATTTAATAAATGGCAAATAAATGAAGCTTATTTATTTATTTAATAAAACAAATAATTCTTATGTATTTATTTTAAAATTAATAAGTGGCAAATAAATAAATTTTATTTCCCTTTTAGTAATTTTAAAAATACATAAATTGTATATATTCTATAAATATTTATCAAGCATTTACGATGTACTAGGAACTGTGCCAGATCCTCTAGATGCCAAGATTAAAATAACAAAAGTCCTGCCCTCAAAGAACTTGTAGTCAATTGGAGAAGACAGACAAGTAACTAGCTATTATAGCTATGCCTTAGCTGCCTTTTCTACCTCCATCCCTATCCTACTGGGATTCGAGTAGATCCAAGGTAGATTTAGGTGCTAGAGGTGAGAGTTCAGGCTAGACTAGGAAATCACAATGAAGGTGGACTGAAGCAGAAAGATCCACTTCAGAGTGAAATTGAGTTAAATGCATCAAGTGATTCAAAGGCTAAATTGAACACTAAGGTGAAGAAACAAGCCCAAAGTCTGCAATACTGGGTAGATCTAGAAGAAAGTGAGATGAAAATTGCAGAAGGAAACTGTGTGTGATAGAGACAGAGAAGAAGGTTGATCAAAAACTGAAAATATAGCTTATTGATCTCTAGCTTTATAGGGTTGGGAGGCTAGGCAAGTTTAGAAAAGTCAATACAGGGTAAAATAAAGACAAATGTATAAAGCTCTGGGAACATAAAGGAAGAGGACAGACCTCATTTGTGATGCAGCAGAGATGGTGAGAGTGGGCTTGTGGAGGTCTTCACAGATGAAGCAATGATGATTTGATTCTCTAAGCCTGAGCAGGAGTTAGCCAGACAGGGGAAGAAAAGGGCATTCCAGGCAGAGGCAACCCCCTATAAAATCACGGCAGCTTCAGAAACCTTGTCACAGTTGGCTTGATGGCTGGGCTTCTTAGGAGCAGCTGGAGATGAAGCTAAACTGAAGGCAGGAGTCAGATTGTTAATTTCATTTTAACTCTTTAATGAACTAGTTTAGGGAGAAAATTTTCATATTTATATAATTTGGATAGTTAACCTATAAATCACAAACTTTTAGATTCAGGGATAGTATAGAAAGTATCCAATAAAAATGTTTTTATTCACTCCCTTAAAAATAAGTTTCTATTTAGTCCACCATAAGCCAACTAGAATAATCTGTGACTTGCTAACAGTTGAATTTCGCATCCTTTCTTAGGAAAACATTAAATCTGCTTAGTTCAGTTAAAAAAGTGAACATAGCCATTTTCATGCCTCCTGATGAAATTATGGCCCCTTATATGATCCCAATACTTAATCACTGTTAAATATAAATTTAACTGCTGAGGGTTTAAGTTGCAAGGCTTGTATTTTTGGGTCTTCAACCTCTCATATATTTGTTTCCTCAAATTTTTCTGACTTTGAAATTGCATGAGATCGATTAAGTCATTAGCCACAAATTAAAGATTTGCCACAAGATTCTTCAGTCCTTTGTAGGCTAACATGTTGCTGCTGGCTGTTTATGGAGCTAATCTTAATCCAACATCAGGTTGCACTTGGTTACTGTTCCATCGTTTAATCAGTTGTTTGGGTGCTTGTGGTGGTGGTGGTGCGTAAAATACTGTTCTTAATTATAAAACTCCTATCCTTGGATCAACTTGTCCCAGATAACATTTGTTTCATCTTTATGCACATTCTTTTAAACATTACCAAATGTGCCATCACAGAAAATCACTGATTAAACATTTGGAACAAGTAGCTGGAATCATTTGGTGCTAACAGCAGCCAAGGCAGAGATGTGTGTTATGCAAAGCAGGAAACTGTGAGCACTTTCATCAGGTCTATTTATTGTTCAGCTTAGTTTATACTCTTTATTCTGGATGAATTAATAATAATCCTTTAGAATCACAGAGCACCTTTATTATAAGAATACAAAGCATTCTCTCATACCCTCTCTCTACTCATTTTGCAACATCCCCATAAAGCAGGAAGGGTCAGGTATTCAGACAGGAAACCAAAGCAGACGCTAAATGACTTTCCCCAGGACATATGGTTAGCCACAGACAGAACCATAACAAGAATGCGAGTCCCTTGACATCAAGGTCAATGTTGATGCCATCAGACTGGTGGTTCTCAAAGGATGATCTGTGAAGCCTCTCAGCTTATCCATAGTCTGGGGGTTGTGACGTTAAAGTAAGCCTAAAACACTTCCACTCATTGCTGCCATTAATTCCACACAATAAACATCTGGGATGTGACAATAGCTGTAATGCTGTTTGCTGATGTGAGGTCTCCCATCTTCAAAAAACATAAAAACAGTCCTTTCCTTGAACTTCCTTTGTGGGCTACTATTCATTTCATTCACTTCTTTCTTTCTTTCTTTTCTCCCTATCAAGAGCAGGACTCAGGCATGCAGGCTACAATGCTAGCACATCTTCAAACTAATAACTTAAATATTTGTTCAACACTTATTTAGTATAGATTGGTAGACACTGATTTCCTATTAGTAAATGTATTCTAGAAAAACAGATACAGAATAATTCACTTCAACTGGCTGACATAGGTTTAGTTCTTGTTCTTCAGTTTTATTTTTGCAATAATTTTCCAAATCAGATGACTTCTTAGGAAACATATTAAAGGATTTGAAATTTAGGCAATAAAATAAACCACTTGTTCCAGTAAACAGCACCACACCCATACATTATTCAGTTTCAGATTTAGCTATGACCGCTGAGTTAAGATTACTGAACTTTCGCATGTGTGCTGAAAAACACTACAACAAAAACCCAAAAACAAAACAAAAAACACAGAAAGAGAGATCAGCATCTAAGACAGGAAAGTTCTAAATATTCAGTGGAGGGCACAGTCCACTTTGCTGAGAGAAGGACCAGCTTTCATTTTGCTAGTTATGTGAAGAGCCCTGTGTAGAGCTTTAAAATCACTGGCACCATATTTCTGATTTTTTTTTCAAGATCTATAAATCTGTAGTCCTAACCTTTCTCACAGCTCCAGGTCCACATTCCAATGGCCTGATTGAGAAATCCACGTAGAATACACTGCTCTATATCAAACCCAGTAGGTCCAAACTAACTTAACATTTCTCCTTCAAACTCAACATTTCTCCTTTGAAGGAGCCACAAAAGTTCTATAAAGGACACACAAAAGTATTTTTTTTTTTCATTTACACTTCCTTCTGAAGGGCCACTAACTTTAGCGTTTACTCACTCATTCATTAAATAGTCCATTCAAGGTTCCTGAACACTATTCTAGGCACTAGAAAACCAGAGAACCTCAAGAAATAACCTAGTGAGAAATGATAGTTATCATCCAAAAATTATAATTATTTCAACTGCTCCACCCTAGCTCTGTGACCTCTTCCCTAAACAACTGCACTTCTCTTGGACCTTAATCTATCTGTTTCTTTCCTGAGTCTTTCCTTTTACTCTACAACCAGACTGATTTCATTAAAATCCTCTCATAAACATTCAGTGACTTAGCAGAGCCAGTGAAATAACAGCCTTCATTATTCCTCTCTGAAATCCTGGCAGGGTGTTGTAGAAAATCAAGAACTCACCTGTGCTTGGTGACGAGAGCCAAGACTAAACCTCACTATCAATGTGAGCATGACATTATGGAGCTCTCATTTGTAAGATGAGAAGACCAGATTTCAAAAATTTATATTTCTAAAGTCCTTTCCAATTTTGAAACTTTATGCTTTTGTCAACATATATATCCTCCAACCAACAAGCTTCTTGCTTTTCCCTTGCTGCCCCTGTTCCTCTACTCCAGCATCATGCCTCTAAAATACCCTTCTTCACTCTTCCTTTTCTCTCCTGTTAAAAATCATACACATCCTTTATGGCTTTGTTCAAATGTCGCCTTTTAAGCTCCCAACTATAAGTGAGCTCTCCCCTCTCAAACCCTCATCTGACTTTGTACATGTCACTTTCTTAAATCAAGTATCTGTATTTAAAGTGGCTTTAAAATTTACACACCATAAATCAGATATAATTTAAGATGTAATTACATTAGGAAATGAAATCTAATTATAAGCCCCTATTTCTTTGAACAGTAATGGAAAAAAAGACCCATTCTAAGTAACATACTCTACTTCTGTTTCAAGCTTAGCCTTCTGCAGATTAACTTGGTCTATTTAAGTGCACATGCTTTCTTGGTTATCTCCCATCCCTTCACCTTCTCCTTTCTTCCCAAGTAGTTTCTAAGCAATGAGATTTCTAGAAATCATTATGGTGGCAGGAGTGAGAGGTCCCTGAGACATTTTCAGTCCTCAGCTCCTCACTGGTCTCACTGAGCTGTGTTGCTGCACTTGACCTTTAGGCGAAGGTTTCTTTTCCCTCTGCATCTACTGGTGCTCCCCGAGCCTTAATACACTTGCCTACACCTGCTGCTGATGCCCACAGGGTCCACAATGACTCCTGACCCAAGGATTTCCATTTGGCCTTTTACTTGCCCTGACATCAGGTCTCCTTGGTTCTCCTTTCTGGGAAGGGGAATTTCTACATCTATTCATGCCATACATACACCACATGGAACCAGAGTTGGGTAGGACTTCATCTTGAACACTCTTTAAACTGAACACATACACACACACCATCATTTCTACTTGACTAGAGTCACTCTATGCCGTTGTTGGATAAGAGTAGGAAACAGTTATAGACCTTAAAATTGTACTAATTATTATTTCAGAGCATGGTTTCACTCAGCCTGCTTTATCTATACTTGGGAATATGCTTTATTGTCCTTACTAGAAGAAAACTGTGTTTAAATCCTGGTTTATTCTTCTGTTTATCCTACTCTACAATCTAGCTTTAGAGCTTTGAAAATTTTCTGCCATGTTTTTCTCTATCGATTTATTAGATGTTGATTTTTCTTCTTTTTTTTAATAACATAGGAAAGAAAAGCAGGTATACAGAATAGGCAGGTCTTAGGAAATGGAGTAAAATTATTTCTGTGTTTTACAATTTGAAATTATAAATACTTATCACAGAAGATACATTTGAAAATTAGGAAAAATTTCACTGTGATTGAATGAATTACAGTGTTTATATGATATGGATGATTTAAAAGCCCATATAATCTTAAATCACATTTACAAAAAGTATCATATCCAGGCCTTAGGAAGTTTATCAATTATGATTTGTATGCAAGTTACAGAAAAATGTACTACATTGCTTTAAACAAAAAGGTGCTTATTGTTTCCTGCAACAAGTAGTGTGGTGATGGCAGTCCATAGAGGCTATGCCAGCTCAGTGACAGAATTCAGGGCCTAGGCTCCCTCTATTTTCTGGCATCAGCATACACATCCTCATAATTGCATGAGCGGAGCTACACTTTTGTATTAATCCGTTCTTAAGCTGCTAATAAAGACATACCTGAGGCTGGGTATTTCATAAAAGAAAAGAGATTTAATGGACTCACAATCCAATCCAGCTGGGGAGGCCTCACAATCATGGTGCAAGATGAGGGAGGAGCAAAGGCATATCTTACATGGTGGCAGGCAAGAGAGAGAGCATGTGCAGGGGAACTCCCATTTATAAGACCATCAGATAACGTGAGACTTATTCACTATCACGAGAACAGCATAAAAAAACCCCACCCCCATTATTCAATGGGGAACCCACCTCCCACTGGGTTCCTCCCATGGCATGTAGGGATTATGGGAGCTACAATTCAAGATGAATTTTGGGTGGGAACACAGCCAAACCACATCAACTTTTAAGCATTATGTCCTTACCCTAGACAAGAGAAAAATAAAGGATCCTTCTCCTAGTAAATTTTTGCCCTTTTATTCAGGAAGAAGTATTATTGGGACTTCTTCCTACATATTAGCTAAACATGCTACAAGTCCTCTGCACTCCCACTCCCATAGCTGGAAGAGACTCAGGGACAGGAAGTGCTTTAATTTTTTTACCTCTGAAGTCAAGGGATGAAAAGTGAAAAGAGGGTTGTGAGGCCACAGCTTGACTATTTTTGCACTAGTTAGAAGATTTCTGAAATAAGGTGCTCAATTTGAGTGTCATCTTTAAAAAGCAACAGATGATGAAACAGATGTTGTTAAAGAGAGAAATATTTAGCCTGAAGAAGAGGAAACCGTAGGAAACAGCAATAGGCATTATTGCTGTCTTAAAATGTTTGAAGGGCTAGATAGGAAGGAGGAGATTTGTTTTGTGTTCAAAAATGCAGCTCTAGAATCAATGTGTGGGACTTACTGGGGAACTATTCCTACTTTATCTTAGAGCTCATTTGTTTTCATGGAAAATAAACTGAATCAAATTATATTAAAACAAAAATAGTTAACAATGACAACACAGAGGAATGTTATAGAGCATGATGTACAAGAGTTATTCCAGGACCTCAAAGCCATTAGGCAACATCTCTCATTCCTCCCCTCCCCTCCTCTCCTATCTTTTCCACCCTCCCTTCTCTCTCTCTCTCTCTCTCACACACACACACACACACACACACACACGCACACTTGTTCTCACATATCTGCTTCACTTTGCACATTTGCAGCATCAGTCTCTCTCCACACGCAACTACTCTCCTGCTAGACTCATCCTTTTGCTCATGGTCCACCTCAAGAATTCCAAAAAGATGAATTTCCACAGTTTAACAACCCAGTTTCTGGTCCCAATTCCAAATTTCTGAGAGGAAAATATCTCACTGAACCAACAAAAGCCCTATGTCCACCCCTGGTTCTATCAGATGTGATCAGGAAAAATAAAGATACATGGCACTATCCTTATTTACTGTGGATGAGGCAAATTCTCTAAGAAGTCTTGTAGATGGAAGAGAAATCATGGCCATATCAAGTAAATATTTCCATTATCTGCCCTCTTCAATTCATCTTACTCTCTACTGTCAAATTCATCTCTCTGGAAGACAGTTCAGTTTATATCACACATCCATCTATTCACAAATTTTCAGTGACTAAACTTTGTCCATAAAATACTGCCTGACATTCAAGGTCCTCACAATATGATTCCAATGCACTTTTCTCATTTTATTCTTTACTATTCTCTTCCCTTGTTGTAGCCAATAGAGCTAGCTATTGTACCCTTTCCTCTATAGTTTGAGTGACCACCTGCCAGTTTAACCAGAACAGTCCCAGTGTTTTCATCGCTTTGTTGTAATTATTAAATCTGCCCCCATTTACTCTGCAATAGGTCCTGGTTTTCATGATAAATGAAAGTTCCTTCTATCTAGAGGCCCATCCCCTTATCAACACTAAATTCCCAAGGCTTAACTATTATTCAACGTGCAGGAAAAATGCCAACTTATTTTTACATAAAGCATTATCTGACATAGTAAGGCCAAAATAACACCACCTTCCTCTTTAACTCCTATTTCATTTGCTTCTCCTGTTTATGATCCACGAAACATCATATACTTTGTTATAATTGGAACTTCTTACTGTCCTTGTTTTCACTTGGAAGACCCAAGTTAATAATTATATAATGATCTTGTTTTGGTTAGAAGATAAAACCAAGGGATGTGTTCAGATAACCTAGATGCTTATCATTCTATAGACATACACCTTGAAAGCTCTAAGTAAACAAACATGTATGGATGAATAAAATCACCTGAAACTCAAAATTTAAGTTGCCTCAGTGGCTGTTTTAGGAAACTGAAATAAATTTCTTTCAGTTCCTGTTAGTTTAAAGACTGGTTGACATATCAGCTAGCACAACAGAGGCAGCTGGGCTGGGGATGGTGGTAACTCTCAATTCAGTTCTTACTCTCAGCCACCTCAGACTTTCTTACCTTTGTTTGCAACCACCTTCCTGGTGCTGGAGCAACACCATTGCATAGTCACAGAGTAGGGACCCTGAAGACAGACCAGCCTGGAGCCAAACCCCAGCTTTGTCACCTATAACTCTATGACCAGGGCAGTTGTTCATTCTCTGTAAACCTGTTTCCTCACCCATAAAATAAAGTGTGATAGTGCAAATCCCATAGAGTGGTTTTGAAGACTAAAGGAGATAATGTGTATAATCAGCTTGCATAATATGTGTCCATATTGTATTTTTATCATCATCTGGTTCAAATTCTATGAAATATGTATTCTCAGGAGTACATGGAATTACTACCAGCGTTTAATAAAGCTACTAACAAAAAGCACTGCCAACAATTGGAAGGAATAATATATCTCACTAGCATAAGTGCCACTGTTTTAAAAAATAAAAAGATTAGAATCAATAAAATAGAAAATAACATAATAGTATTTTGAATATGTTTAACTTATATTATTGTTATTGTTACTATTAGTTTATCAAGAGAGGCCACAGTATAACTGCTAACAGGTGACTGGACATTTGCGTTTGGATGTTAAAAGTGATCTCCATATTTGAAAAGGTTGGTCGTTCTTGCCTTTACCAGAAGGGCTTTCCAACAGTAAAATGGACCCTCTCAAAAGAGAACTTTCATTCAGTTTTCCACAGCGTTTATGACTGACTATTCTCCATGAAATATGTACTTGGCTTCGCTGGCTGCAGCAGGGCTGGAGCACTGAGGCTGGACTGGCACCTGTGCCAGAATGTTCTGGAATTGAACAGGTGGGTGGTGACTGTTTGCCCAGTCAAGGAAGTGACAAAGAACTGAAAGTGCAGTCAGGCACAAGAGCCTCTGGGAAGTGCCAAATCAAATTCCCAGACACCTGTGCAAATATGCTGTCAATTAAAAGTTGCTGGGCAGGAAGAGAAGGTTCAAGTGTAAACTCAAAGAGATGCAGCTTGGGGGACCTAGCGGAGATAAAGTTGAAAGTAAAGGCTATGATGAGTGGCATGGAATTATCTCTGCCCTAATGAGCGAGCAATTGCTTCAACTGTTTAGTGGAGGTCAGAGCATATAAAATCTAAACTGGCATGTGAGCAGTGTGTATATTGTGGTCCAATCATGCCATTTTTAATGTAGACTTCTGATATCTTCTACTTGAGTGTCAGCACTTTATGTACAAAAGTAAATTCTGACTTAAATTTATATTCTACATCATGTCTAGAAGAATGTCTTGCACATATTAGGTGCTCAAGAGATATCTGCTAATCATTAGCACTGTTCAGCATCAGAACAGGCAGCCTTCTTTGACGGTAAACATTACATCCCTGGAGGTATTTAAGCAACGTCTCATTAACAAGTGTGTACTGCAAATTAGAAAAGGTTTAATAAAACATCTGTTATTGAAGCCATAGAAAAATTGAACTTGAGGACATCCAAAATTGATTTCAATCCAAGAATCAAAGATTCCATATTCTGAGAGTTAACATTCATAGCTTCTATGACAATGAAACTTTTTATTTAGTGATTTAATCTGCTGTATTATTGAAAAAAATAGATTTCAAGCAATACTCTGCTTGATGAAAAGCATTTTCTTAATTTCCTATGGATTTAAAAAATTGTATAATTGCAAATGTTCATTAGCATATAATTAAATAACCCCATTTCCCTGGTTACTAATATGTGCCAGGGTGTCATAATTATACGAGTAATTATGAAAGGAGAATATATGACTTGGCAAACTTCTGAAAATTATTACAGATTCAGAGAAGCTCTACTTTGGGGAAAAGACATTAAAATAGGGCAGGATAAAAAGAATATAGAATAAAAGAATAAAGAATATAAAATAGGGCAGGATAAAAAGATAATAGAATGAGAATATTACATAATAATGCACCATACATGAAAAGTCTGTTCTAATTTCTAGGGAAATAATAGAGGAATGCAATAAAATCTGTTCACCATCCATGGAGGTCCAAGTGTTTGAAGATGTTTTATGTACCTTGCCTTTTTATTGTACCTCTGATTTTGGTTAGTTTATGGCTCTGCCTCAAGTTTACTTTTATAGAGATTAATGCAATTTATACATTATATTTTATTTTATGATATACTTAACAATAAGTGCATAGTAATTAAGGCTGTGTGAGATTAAGGAAAAATGCCCAGGAACTAAATACCTTTTAAAAAAATATGTTCTTTGAGTTTAATAGCATTTGAACTATTTAATAGCTTAAATTAAATTAAAGTTAATAGAGTTTAATTAAAGTTATAGTCAAAGGAGAAATATTCTCTCATTAAAAAGAAAGTGTTGTTCTGGAGTCATGAACGTTTTTCTCGATTCTCAATGAAGAAATCACTTCTTGCTATGAGGAGTCTCCCAGCATTACAGTCTTGTCAAAGGCCCATGAATTAACTACATTGTGTGAGAGTTAAGAGTATTCCATTTCCACAGGTAACATTTGATATTCAAAGAAAACCCCAATGTTAGTTTACAGAAATTCTTAACATGTCAGGCCAATTAAAATTCTATTACTTTCTACATATAAATATGGAAATCAAAATTTTTACACCAGCAAAAAATGATCGACATAAAGTGAAAATGGAGAGTAGCTCCTTTGGCCAATGTTGCGCTTGGGGTCACCCAGAGATGCTGTTTCTAAATTGAACAAATAAGGACTTGCTTAGGACTTGTTTGTTTCTCATTCAGATTGTGCAATTATAGACTTATTTTTTGCATTGAATGGAAGCCTAAAAAGTAGGGTCAGGAGAAGAATTGATGAGATGACAGGAGACCCATAGAGCTGCTGAGAGCCATCAGGCTGACCCTGGCTGATGTGTGCCTTTCTGGCCTCGGATGAGACTCACTCTTAAAACTATCCCACTCACTGTCAGGCTGTCTTTCTTCTTAACTTAGATTGGTATGTTTTTCTGGATGTATAGATTAGCATGTGGCATATGAGCCAAATACTCTCTCCTGTTTTCCTTAATTAATTAAATTCTAATTCTCTTAAAAAAATCAAATTCCAAACCTCTAAAGCAACAATGTAAAGTTAATTTTTAATGCAATTTTATTCAATGTGTATATTTTTCCTTATAGATACAATACAGAATTTTTAAAAATAAAAATAAACCCCAAATAAGGCACCCACTCACACACAGCAAGGTAAGCGGGGAAGAAAAGGAAATTATATAGCTACAAAATAGAGGAATAAAGACTATCCAACTACAAACTGAACTTTTTTCCCCTTTTGGCTTAAATGAAATGAAGCTGGAGTGATGCTAATCTACATTGTTATTTTCGTGGAAATAATAAAGAATGACATAAAGTCTAATCCCATATGCACTGGAGGCCAAACTACCTAACTCTGCCTTGATTTTGGTTTGTTTATAAATGTATCTCAAATTCTCTTTTGTAATAATTAATGCAGCAATTGTTGCATAGCACTTGCTACAATGCAGTTGTTGAATAATGATTGAAAAAATTAATTAATTAGTGAAAGAATATAAATTTCAGATGTCTTCAGTCATTAATTGCAATCCTAATCAAAAGCCCATTTTGGGCTATCTTATGAATATGATAATAGAATAATTCTATCATTTCTTAAAAGAAAAAAGGAGGGGCTTTTTTCAATCATTAACTTAAATCCCTATCATTATTCTTAAATTTTAAAACAGATCTTTAAAAGAATATTTTCAATTACAGAACTTTAAAAGAAAATATATAATTGCGAATGTGATTTGATGGTGACTGGTTTCTTCGTATTAATCTTTGGTTTCCCTATCTTTTTTTAATAAAACAAATGGGGATTAAAGTATCTTATTATCCAAGTCACAATCAGCAGGTTGGCAGAGTATAAAAACCACGAAGAATATAATTCTGGTTATGCTTCTGATTAGCTGTGTGAATTTGGGCAAGCCATCTAGCTCCCTTGAACCTTAGTTTCCTTACCTGTAAGAAAGAATCTCACTCAAAGGTTGCTGTGAAGATCAAATGAGATATGAGTGCATTATAAAACACTATGTCAATGTAAGGTATTTCTGCCATAATTACATAATCTCGTTTTGCAAGTTAGACCAGTTAGGGATTAGAAAATATATAGGGAGAGTGGTGTAATGCAAAGAATATGAGACCTGGACTCAATAAACATATTCGAGTCCCAACAACTCTATTTTGTGACCTAGAGCAGAGCCCTTCACCACTCTGAACCTCAGTTTCCTCATTTACAGAATGGGGATAATACTGTTGAGATCTAAAATATATATAAAAGCACTTGGCAAATTTACAAGTGCTACATAAGAATCAACCATAATTCTCAGTAGCTACCGAGTTTACAGTAAACGTGCGAAAAACCACATAAATCCACCTATAGTTGTTCAAAAGTCAGACGGAGATAATACGTCTCAGCACTGATGCACATCATCAGACACTTGGACTTTTAAAAACCATTGTACGTGAGACAAGGTAAAGGTGGAGAAAGGAGTACTGTGGGGACTTAATTATCAACTTAATGGAAAAATCATTGAAAAATATATAAGAGTTCAGGGCCAGGCGCGGTGGTCCACACCTGTAATCCCAGCACCCTAGGAGGCCGAGGCGGGAGGATCACATGAGGTCAGGAGATTGAGACCATCCTGGCTAACACAGTGAAACCCCGTCTCTACTAAAAATAGAAAAAAAAAATGGTCGGGTGTGGTGGCGGGCGCTTGTAGTCCCAGCTACTCCGGAGGCTGAGGCAGGAGAATGGCGTGAACCCGGGAGGGAGAGGTCGCAGTGAGCCGAGATCGCACCGCTGCACTCGAGCCTGGGCGACCGAGCGAGACTCCTCATCTCAAACAAACAAACAAAAAGATAAGATTTCGGGAGTCCGTTTCGTTGAATGGGGTTTTAGTAACTTGGTAAACACAAACACATGCCAGATTTAAAATGTGTCATCACAAGAAAAACAGTCACAGTCGTGATGTGGAAAGGTGTTAAGCTTATGGAAGCTGAAGCAGAAGAAACCTCTGACTAGATTGGCATTGAAATAAAGAAATGCAATTGACAAAATTAAGGAGAGGCAGAAGCCAGAGTCTTCTCTGTGAGGAAACTTAAACAGTTGGGCTTTCTCCAGTCCGTGGAGATGCAGGCAGGGCTGCAGGGTCCCGGGAGCTTCTATGTCCAACCATAAAGAATCAGGAACCTGCAGTGAAGGCAAAGTGTAGCCATCTAACAGCTACTTGGTTTTGTTCTAAAACTCCAGGGGTTCTTCCACTCAATTGGAAAGCTCCCAACATGTTTTTCCAACCACCAGGCCCAATCTCTCTGTGAAGAGCCATGACCAAGAGAACAGGATTGCTTGGCTGGAAGGGATCTTAGAAATCTAAGAGTGGTTGAGGGTTTGCTCTTTGGTGTCGATTTTCCTGGTTTTCAGTTCCAATTTTGCAACTGGGTGTGAGTCCTTGAGCAAGTTATTTGGCTTCTCTGAACCTCAATTTCCACAGCTGTAAAAGAGGAATTATAATATATACAGTGGATTTTGTGAGGATTAAGTGAGAGGATTAAATGCTTGTAACCTGGTACATTTTAAATAAACAATAAAGTAATTGGCTATTATTTTATTTAATTCCTTCGTTTTATGGATACAGAGAAGATAATAACAATAAATATAAGTAATGCCTGGTGTAGCACTTCACCTTATGAAAATATTTTCCCATGCATTTCCTTATCTAATTCTTTTGCTGCCCTACGGAATGGGTTACTATTATTTTGCAGAGCAGGAAACTAAAGTTTAGGCAGATACCATAACCCGTCGAAAATCATGTGAGATAATGGCTATTTCAGGACTCAAATGCAGGTCTTTTGAGTCTCAGAGCAGTGTGCTTTCATCTGAATCAGGCTAACCCTAGGCAGAAGTATTAATAGTCGCTAACGTTCGCTCTGGGTTAAGCACTGGCTGGGCATTTAAATGTGTTATTTCATTTAAACCTCACAACAACTTTATGGTAAAGACAGTATTTGAGTTTCCATTTCAAAAAAGTTAAAATAACAAGCACAAGGGTCACTGAGTTATTAAGCAGTGGAGCCAAGTGTGCACCTAATCAGTTTCATGTTTTATCATTGAACTAAACTGTCTACAGATAGAAGCTATGCAAGAGGACAGTGTCCTAAAAGAGTGTGATCTTCCAATAAGTCATAGCCTGTCTTTATCCAGCACCAGGAGAGGTGTGGGAGAACACGGAATAATAATATGCAAATATCATTACATATAAGCATTGTGCCAGGCACTTTACATGTATTACCTTCATAGCAACCTCAGAAGGTATATGTTACCCCCCCCATTGAAGACATGAAGAAATTATTCCTTGCTTAAAATTACACAGCTAATGGCAGAGCTAAGATTTGAAGCTCTTGACCTTTCTGTAACTGTGACACTGCAGCTTTTAGAGCACAGAGGAACTTAGACATCATTGCTGCCAGTTCTCACCCTCACCTATGAGCAAACTGAGATGGTAAGATCCCATGTTTGTCCTCATAGGTAGAAACTGCAATAAAGGTCAACTTGTCCAACTTCCAGCCCAGTGATCTTTCTGCCTCATCATACAATACAAACATGACCCCTGCCTCAGGGAGCTTATACTCCAGTTGCAGAAACACAAATCATCAGAAAGCAGCACAAGTGAACATGTGTTGGAGACTTCACCCTATGCAGAAGAGGCATGTTTTCTAGAATTTAAAGAGAAGCAGAGTCAGTGAGGACAGGAGAGGCAAGTGGGCAGAGACTTTCTACTTTAATGCACATAAGAATCACTTGGAAGAATCCACTTAAATGCAGATTCCCAAGCTGGAACCCAAAATTTGAAGTCAGCAATGTATATTTTTTAACAAACAGCTCTGACTCTGAAGTATGCGCCAAAATTCACTACTTTGGGAAACAGGAAATTTGTGAGTAGGTTCAAAAGAGCAGTAACAATCAAGACGGGGTATAGACAATAGGAACAGATTAAGGAGCATTTTGTAAACTAGGCAAAACCGTTTCAATTTGTATGATAAATTGGGACATTTTGGAAAAGGGGTGAAGATGAGTAAGAGCTGTGTGAAGAATGGTTTAAACCAGAGAGAACAAGGAATGAGGAGGAAAAGATAGAAAGGCCTGGGTGAGAAAGGGTGTGTTTTAGAGGCGTTTCAAATGAAACCAATAGGAGTGGCAACTGGTCAGATGGAGGGAATAAAGGAGATGGATATAGGAGCACCTGATGGAGGAGGAGTAGCTGGGCCTGGCTGTAGATGCACACAGCTCTATCGAGCTAAAAGTTAATAAATACTATTCTAGTTGTACACCATGACAAAGTTAAAAATTCTTCATGAGACATATAGTCATAAAAGGCATAAAGTGTTCCTTTCAGCACTTCCTACGTGAAAAAGGAAGCCAAACCTCACATTCCTCACAGTGTCCTGAAAAGAACCCTTTTAAAGGACACAAATTAAAAAATGTTGTGCTGATACTTGATCTCACCCAAACCAAGAGGCCCTGGGTTTGGCTCAGAAAAGGGTGATTATTTAACTCTTCTTCGGCAGTTTTCTTCATAATCTTCATTTCTGCCCAAAGAAACAGAAGTGAAAAACTAATGCTGGATATTCAGAAAACTATTTTCCAAAAATTTTAAAATGCTCAAACAGCATTTTAAAAAATCCTTTTTTGCAGGTAGAGGAAAGATGAGGTACTAAAATTGGATATCAAGAACTCCTAGTCTCCAATGAGTAATCTTGTTGAAAAAAAATAAAAAATCAATAAGATGACCGTACAACTCAAACAATTTCTGCTAAACCAGATAAATCTCCAATAACTGTGAGAACTTTCAGATTATTTTTTTTTTTAACTAAAGGGCCCAGGTCTTTGAAGTTTTTTGTTTTTTGTTTTTTTTTTTTCCATTAACACTTGAAAAACAGTACAGGACTCCAAAGTCTAAATACTGTTTAAGATAATTTCAAAAATGAAAAGCTGAGACTTAAAGGCAAACCAACTAAGTGATCATATGCATGTTTTCTTAACTAATCATACACTATAGCTGAGCACTCCAGAGACACAGAAAGTTTGGAGTTTTTTTTAAAAAAAAACAAACATTTTAATTGGATTACAAAGTCCAGTTCACTAGCTAGAACATTAGCAAAAGTCAGTAGATCTGCTTTGTTAATCTACAAACTTTTAAAAATTAACTTTATAAGTGATCATTTTATACATTATGCATGATCATTAATATAATCCAAGTTTTTCAACTTGAGAACTTCAAGTGTTTATAACTTAAAAAGAAAATATAATTTAGCTGCTCTTATTTAGGAAATTTATTTGAGGAATATAACTGAGAACTCTTCTATGAAATGAACTGGTCAATTAGGGTTCACATTAATAGAATTTTCAGTATATTTATTCTAAAATTAATTTATTCATTTAAAATATTTAAATATTTTATTTAAATTGTAGTCATTCTTATTTAACAGTTCGATTTAATTTTTGAGTAAATTAAGCATCTACTATATAATAGCTACTGCTAGGGATTGAAGAAAAGATGGTTGAAATGTGTGGGAAGGTGGGATTATAAAAATGAATAGCTCAGAGTCTAGTGAGAGAGAACTGTGCAAATGGCTAGAATTTAATGTGAGAAATACTGTAATGTATTAACACCCAGTGTTGTAGATACACAGAAATATAAAGGGGAAGATTTCATTTGAAGCTGATCTTAAACAATAAGTAGGAACTAGCTGGGTAAAGGAGAGTAGGGTTCAGGGTAAGGCATTCTTGGCAGGTAACAAGACACGGAAATGCTAAGAGATATGAAATGACATGCTGTTTTGAGAAAACTACAAGTACATCAATGTGGAAAATCAAAGGGAATCTTAGAATGACAGGATCTCAGAGAGGATCTTAGGAATAGGAAAACACAAACTAGCCAGATTGGGAAGGGGGTTACATGACAAAATCCTATAAGAAGGTGGAAGCTCTTGGCAGTTTTTACTAGGGTAATGCCATAAAACAATTGGATCCTAGAAAAAGAACTCCTGTCTGAGTGAAAAAAATAGATTAGAGTGAAAGCATCATTCAGTTTAGTTACAAAGCTAGCGCAGGCATAGACGTAGGCAGGGATGCTGACAAGTGTACAGAGTAGATTAGATATCCAGGAGGTCCACTGAGTAGCACCAGGGAGTGGGAGGAGCTGAGTGAGAATAGGAGCACAATTTCCAGCTTGGTTGCTGAGTGAAAGACTGTTGTGCACCAAATAAGCTGGGGGATAGAGCCTGCCATATATATTATTTTATATCTAAGAATAACTTAAATGCTAACTAAGACATCAAGAGCATATGCTCTTCTCCTGGCCCCCCACTTATTTATTCAGGACTCTGGAAAGTGGATGTGGTGTCAATTTACTGTCTGCCTCATGGCAGAGTATGTCCCACAGCCACTGATGTCACTCAGTGGAGCACAAGGTGGGCAACAAAATGGACTAGAGATTCATAAATTTCTAGGCTATCCATGGTACCTTCCCATCTTTGGTGGATAATTATCCCCAGAAAGAATCCACATTAGGCTTTATTATTGAGGAAGACCCTGGAAGTCAAGGGTTGAGAAGGCAGAGAACTCATGGCCAGGGAAGATGTGATAGAGCATCCGCATGGAAATCCAGTTCTGTGAGAAATTTAATCCCTGAGAAGTTAAATGTTTTCCTGTTATCATCCTCCTAAGATCCTCTCTAAAATCCTGTCATTCTAAGATTCCCTTTGATATTACCACGTTGATGTACTTGTAGTTTCCTCAAAGTAAGTCAGCAGCATTCCTTTCATATCTATTAGCATTTCCTTATAGTTATTTGGAAATGGTTATTGAAGGGATCTCTTCATACTGCCTACCTATGTCATTTTCCTATGCCATTACCCAGAGAGAATATGCAATTTGGTCTGTATATAAAATCAAGTACATAAATAACCAATATCGCAGTTCAAGAAATGGTTTGAAGAGAGGTTCAGAATACAAGTGGTGCTCACAGAAGGGCAAAGAACACCCAGTAGTGAATCAGAAAATATAGAAGTAAGACATGTTGCTTTGAATAATAGTTTCAAATTCAATGAACAGAGGGATTGGAGGGAAAGACCATCCCACTCAGAGAGAACAGCATGTCCAAAGGCCCAGGGAAGAAAAAATATTTTACGGAATTTCAAGTAACAAGGAGGAAGAGGAGTATAAGCAAGGAGAAAGCAGACACAGGAAAAGAGAAGAGCCTGGCAAGGTTAGGGGTGGAGAAATGTGGATGGTAGAAACAAAACGGAAAAAGAAGCCACGTAGTAGATAACCGTGTCCACGAATGCCCTGTGTCCAAGCTTCTCAATCTCTATAATGAAAGAAGAAATGCCTTCCTCTCTCTCTCCATAAGCAATTTGGCATTTTCACTCTGTTCCTACAAGGAGAATAGAAATCTAGATATATAATTATGAATCTGAATGATAATAGCTAATGTTTACGACCTAGGCATTAGAGTCATAAATTACCTCATTTATTTTTGTTTTAGTCTGATCTTATTTGTTACTCAAAAAAATCTTATTTTTGACTGGATTCAGACAGAAGTAGAAGCTCGCTGAGAGAAGAGTCTGCATCTCTTGGCACTCTGTTCCTGGTGCTTCTCTTCAGCCTCTTTCATTCTCTTGGCCGAAAGTTTAGCATATTCTGCAGCCTCTTCCTGATTTTTTTAGTATGCTGCTTCTTCAGAGCAATACGCCACTGTTTGTGCTGCAGGACACATGGAGTAGTAAGACGCTGAATCTTCTGTGCTTCGGTCCTAGGTTTCTTACCTTCTTTGTTGAAGGGCTTTCTTACAACATGCTCACAGACATCATCTTTAGGGAAATTGAAAAGTTTGTGGATTCTGCTAGCTCTTTTGGGCCCCAGGCAACAAGGCACCGTAGTACCAGTCAGTCCAGGAATATCCTTCTCTCAAGTTGAGAACGCTCAGATTGGCATCTACAACGTAACCACTAACAGATTTCGCTTTCTTTCTCTAGTTCTCCTTGGTCTGTAACAGGAATGCCCCTTACTCAGTAGCAGGTGGACACAGCCATGGGTCAAGACACACTGCTTCATAGGGAAACTTTGTTTGTCGTTCCCATCATTTATTCAAACAACGTAGCCCTTCCATTCTTCACCCGGAGCGTCAGCAGCTACTTCTGTGGCCATACGCTTCTCATAAAAAGTAAGAATTTTGCATTCATCAATCACTTAAATGAGTTTCTGGCAGCCAGTGGCTGGGAAGAAGATGTTCAGCTTCATCTTGAAGCTGTTGATGCTGGCCTCCCAAATTATCTCATTTAAATAACACAAAAACTCTATGAGGCAAGTAGTATTATTATTCTTCATTTTAGATGGCAAAGCTAAAGTTTAGTGATGTTAATCCAGTAAACAGGAAAGCCAGCATTCAGATACCAATGCAAAACTAAAGAAAAGGATTTGTTCATGTGCTCTGGATATCTGATCTCTATAAGTGTTCTGAATGAGTCAATTTAGTCAAATCACCAATTTTGCCATTTTTGTAAAAAAAAAAAAAGTAAGTCAACTAAAAATAAACATCCTATTCTACTAGCAGCTGAGAGGAATGCTTTTCTTCCTTTCAATCAATCACAGGTGTCTGACAATCTTCACAATCAGAATCAGTCTAGCATACTACCAAAAAATTCCTGCCTGAGCCCAATGGGCCCCAAGAACCTTAGAGAATCAGATAATCCCTTTACTAAATGGCATCATCAAAAATGTTACTTTTTCCCTCAAAATCAAAATATAAACATTGGGGGAGAATCTATCTTAAATAAAAGCAAGAAATTAATCATAAAAAGAATTTGCTTGAAAGTGTCATAATTTTGCAACGGTTTTACTTTTCTTCCATATGTGTAAGGGAGAAAAATGTGCATGTATAAACATAGGCTGTTTTACCTTCAAGTGACTCCAAGAAAGAGTCATTTTTCAAAACAGAGTATTTATATGTAAAACCTGCATAATAGTAGTAATGACTGTTTTTTGTTTAGTTTTTAAAAAGCAGCCCACCTAAATGAATTCCTACCTGCCAGACAGAATTGGAGTTAGCTAAAGAAAAAGAATACAGGGACAGGATGGGGCGCTAACTAAAATGCCTTTTCCAAATTCTCAAAATGCAACTACATGGACTATTCAAATTAAGCATTGAATATAAGGTTCAGAGGAAAATTCTGTTACAGAAGCAGTAGACAAAGAGACAAGAAGTGATACCAACTGCTTCCCTTCTTTTTGTACATTTTCCACCTTGAATCCCAAAGAACAACGTTCCAAACCTCTTATTCTTTCCTGGCTCTACGGTGCCTCTGAAATCAGTGATCCTGATAAATAAAATCCCATGAGGTCTGAAAGCAGTAGTTTCATGGACAACATTTAAATTGTTTCCATGTGCCTTCTGCTTGCGCAGGATCAATCATCATGATTGGTGTATTATAACTTGCCCTGACTAAATTGGTCTCTCTCCTGTTGTTTTCTTTTCCCCAAGGAACTCAATTTTCCAGCAAAGAGCCTTCTGTTTCCCTCTATTTTTTTTAATTTTCATATTAACTATAATACAAAAGACTAAATGAAAATTCAGACTCAGAGATTCTTGTTTTTAACCCACTGGCAGGCATCTATTCCAGTGAAATGTTCATTTAACATACTTTATTTTACATTTCCATTTATTTTTGTATTAATTTTCAAGTCCAATTTTTGGATTAATAAGGCTCTCAGTATTAATGAGAAAATCATTTAGAGTACAATGGAATTTCAGTCAAGAAAATATTGTTCTATTTTTGATACATTTTTTATCTTTCAGATGCTGTTTTTTAAAAATAATTAAAAGAAAAGTAAACTTTAGAACAAGGTGCACTTTTTAATATATTTCATATAGGACATGAAAAAGGAAGAATGTGTCATTTATATCCCTGTTCTGAAGCATGCCTTTCCTCTAATTTCCATAAAATATTGGAGAATTGTTGGTGTCAGCTATATCAACTAGCTCTTGATCCTATACAGTATTGCACACATAGATTTTTGGTTTTGTTCTATAATTTTCCTTGATACGGTGTACATTGCTAAAAGGCAATGACCATGTCTCTCTAGAGTAATGATTTGTTCATGTGCTCTAGATATCTGATCTCTATAAGTGTTCTGAATAAGTCAGATTAATAGCAAAATACATATGTGATCAATGCCCCAGAATCTCTATAAGTGAAAGTAACTATAAACAAGCAATTTGAAAGTAGTAAGATCCTCATCCTTTTCAAAAGTATCTATATTTCCACCATTTTTTAGAATGCCATAAAGGCCACGTTATTAAAACCAAGAGAGAACATAAATGTACATGAGAGAGGTCACATTCTGGCCCTTCTCAAACTTTTCCACAGAGGCATCACTGGTCAGGACGAAACTGAAGAGTGAATACATACACCCTGGAGTTGGAGGGCATCTCCCAAAGCAACCCATCTCCCATCTGAAATTTCTTTGAAGTCTTCTAATATTGCTTTAACATGAATGCAAATTGTGCCTCCTGCTCCCCAATATATCTGTTTGATTTAATATGAAAATTAAGTTGCTTATCTGGGTTAAAACTGACAGATGAAGAAAGTGTGGCTTGGAACTCCTGCACTCCCTTGAAGACCTACCAAGGCATGCTAACCTTTAAACTGCTAATATTCATTAGCAAGATGCCAAATAGATGCATTGGCTACTTGCAATTGATTCCTCATTTTTTGGAAAGATTGAGTGAAGACAGAGATTCAGAGACTGGAGGAGAAGCCAGCAGCGAAGGAAAGCAAGCTTCAACTCTAATGATACTTTGATGCTCCTGGGAGGAAAGGAATGCCACAAGAAAGAGATAAACTGCAGAAGGAAGGCTTGCAGGGAACCACAATCAAATTTACCTCACAATTTGCCTAAGGCCAAAGAAAGAGGCTTAATAGAAAATCTGCTGATTTAATTTGGTGATTAAAAAAAATGCTCTCAAAAAATGAGTGAAAAAAACGCAAGTAATTAAAACTATTCTTTTAGCAATAAAGGAGAGAGAACTCATTCATTTGCACATTTTAAAAGCATAAAACTAAAAAATGTTGGTTTCTCGTATATTAAAAATAAAGTTATACAGTAAATCTCATCTTAATAAGACATCTCCAATTATATGATTCAGCAGAGTGTAGGCTGTAATTGTTTTAATGACATTTTAAATGATGAACAAAAGAAAAAAATTATGAAGGGCTAATGACATACAATGAAGCAATATGCCATCATTCTTTAGGATATAAATATTATTCCAGAGAAAGTCTTAGTTTTTATTAAAATTAAATGAGAAACACACAATATTTGTACTAAAGTCATACTATAGTGCTATGTTCAAGGGAATAAAAATTTGAATGTAAATGTGATCCCAAAGCCAGGTCTCTTTTGGTCAGGGATATACAATATCATGTTTTCCTGAAATTCATACCTTTATATCATTAAATTATATCTTATTAAAACATTGAAAAGTATCAGTGCGTCCTGAGAATATGCATTCTGGATGCCTTTTAACAACACATGAAACTGCTAAAATTCTAAACCCATATTCAATCAAAGCAATCAAAGTTATCTTGTTTCTTTGCCTCAACCTAGTGTATATAGAATTAGTTGATTGTTTTTCCAAGCTCTTTATGGTGGAAGTTTCACATGTGTGAAAAAGATGAACTCTATGTACCTACTCATCACTCAGCTTTATCAATTTTTCACCAATCATGTTCCTTTTATTGTTTTATTCTTTGCTGGAATATTTTATAGCAAATTCCAGACATCGTGTCATTTTACCCAAAAATATTTCAATGTTCATATCTAATCGATTTTATACAATCTTCATTGCCATTATAAAACAATTTCTTCATGTCATAGTTGATTATATTTACTATTAAATTCAACAGTTATATTTTAATAAATAGGGTAGATATAATTTAGTATTTCTATATTATTATGTAAGTGTAAATATTTAGTTTGGCCATACATGTATTTTCCAGGTCTAATGTTTTAATTAAGTTAACTGGTAAATTCAGTTAAAAACAATGTTAAAGGGATTTTTTTTTCTTTTGCTTGTTTTTGCTATATTAACCAGTCAAATCAGTTAAACTATCTGTGGCTACAGACCTCATCTTAAATATAAGCATCTGGGTGTATACACACTGGGCCAAATCAACCACATCATAGTCAACTTTTGTAGATGCCACATTATGTAATCACAAGAATAGATGATTAGTATTAAAGCAAATAGATTATGCTGAGATTACTCCAAAGCAATTAAAACAGAGAGGCAGTAAGGGAGTGGAAGGAGAGCTTTGGAATTCACACAAATATAGGTTCTAATTCCTACTCTGCTACTTAATGCCTTTGTTAACTTCAACTAGTTAGCTAAGAGCCTGAGTCTCAAAACTACACCTGAAGCACAGAGATAAAAATACCATTGTAACTATTGTGAAACATATAAATTCTTACACGAATTATAAAACATCTGCCATATGATAGGCACTCAAAATTTCTTCTTTGAAAACTCCTTAATCAATATCCAACAATGAGATGGAAGCAACCTAAAAAATCACCCTCAGTTCACATGTCTCTTAAACGTTTTGTATAATATTTCAAACACTGCCTCATACGATCAGCAATAATAGACCATCGTCATTCAAAAAATACAATCTTTTTGCTTTTTCATTAGACATATGTAAGAATTTACTTGTTTCTCTTATGTTAGGCAATATGGTAAAGAAAGATAACCAGCAATCTAAACTTTACTTGGAACAAATTACCATGAAATAAATCATCTCAGTCATATTTTTCTCAGATAAGTAGCTCAATGAGATATGTCTTTGGGGGTTAAGAACTTTACAAAGCTGTTATTATTGTTTTAAAGTTTACAGGTGAAGCAACAAAGGCTCAAGGACACAAAAAGTTTCAGAATAAAAATTTAGGACACATTGTTGTTTGAAACTAAATGCATTCCAATAACTTATCCTTTATTTAGATTTAAGGATGTGTATGAAAAGCATTCTATTGCCCCAGAAAAGGAGGAAAAAGTCAGTAACACGTATTTAGACATTGTATCATTTTCTACATTATTCTGGAATATCAACATTAAGTCATGATGTATCTATCCAGCAATAACCTTGTGAAAAATAAAATACATACATACACACAAAACCCACCTGTTCCAATAATTCCACTGTGCTTTTGCGGCTCCCTGAAACTCTCTTTGTTGATGAAGATGCTTTGTAATGCAGCAAGGTTGAGGGTTATTGATCTATAAAAGTCTTTATGATTCAGCTGCTGTGGAACTGTCTACAATACCCAGGCCTCAAGGGTGTGATTTTTCCAGTGATGCCAGGTTGATTCTTGGAAATTTACATGCTGCTATCTGTTTGACAATAAATTGCTCTGGAAACTCTTATGTGATACACATTCAGGACTCTTTATAATAACAAGCTGTATATCTTGATGGCCAATTTGTCTTTTTTTTTTTCTTTTGAAAACTGGTCTTAATCTACTGCAGAGGTCACTTATGAACAGAATGCATTGCCTGCATTGGTTGTGTGAAGTAAGCACATTCTCTTAGCTTCAGATTTCACCCCAAAGTACTACATTGCTTTGTGCTGCTTACCTGAGAAACTGACAAGATTCAGTTTTCAACAATTTCTTTTTATATGAGAAAACATACTTAAAAGGTAGTCATTAAGGGCACAAGCTCCAAAGCCAGACCACCAGGGTTGAATTCTTGGCTCTGCCATTTACTGGCTCTGTGATCTTGGGCAAGCTGCATAATCTCCAGCTTTAGGTTCCTTAGATGTGAGATAAGAAAACATGTAAAACATGTGGAATCATTTCACAGAATTTTTGTGAGGATAAAATGAGTTAAGAACATTGAAAATTCTTGAAAACCACCTGGTACACAGTAAGTTCTCAATAAATATGAATCATTGTTATTATTAACATACATAAAAGATCTATCACAATTAATATTTGAATGCCTACTTCTTGCCAAGCACAGTGTGTCAGTTACGTTCAAAATATTTTAAACAATTTTCATAGTAATATTTAAATATACATCTTTATCCTTGTTTTGCTAAAGAGTAAACTAAAACCCAGAGAGGTTATGTAAATTGCCTAAACAAACAGAGTTGACAGAATGCTGAGCTGGGAATTGAGTTAAGGAACAAGGATTATAACTGCTCCATGGTGACCTTACATTTGGCCCTCCAGGAGTCTGCTGATGGGTATACAATGCATTCATATTATTATAAAAGTTTGACATTTTTAAAAAGACATTTTCTACGTTAGTTAACATAAATATTTTAGTTATTTTTAAATGCAGTTACAATAATTGCTAATTATTCTGATGATAGAAACATTTAATAAACTTTTGTAATTTTCCTTGTAGAAGCCCAAAGATGGATGGGCCACAGAAGTGTCTCCTGGAAGGGGAAAAAGCCCATGGATCAATGAGTTTAAATGAGTTTAAAAGCTCATGGATCAATGAGTTTAAAGTCAACCTCTTGCCTTGTTAGCTCCAAGACTAACTGATACTCTTAGAATATGCCATTCCTTCTACCTACATGTGCCACCCGCTCCCATACCTTCTCCATGGCAGGCTCTTTTTCATTCTCAAGCTACAAGCTTAAGTTTTTTCCTCTCAGAGGAGTCTCCTATGTCTAACCTATATGATCATCTCTATTGTTATTTACATCACCACTCTGTTCATGTTGTTTGAAGCCCTTTTCATAATCGTCAATTTAATATGTTTACTTGCTTGTTGAATACATCCCTGTTTATAAGATTCATGAGAAAATGGACTATAGTAAATATTCAATAAATAAATGCTAAATAAAAAGTGAATGAATGACCCACAAATATACAGATTTCATCTCACATTTTTCAATTTTTCTGGTCTTAAAAAGATAGCTTCTAGTATCCCAAATGTAATCCTTTATTCATGGAAATCTTTGTTTTTTAGCTGTATCACTAAAGCTTTTTAAAAAATCATAATACTCTTAGATATACAGCATTATACATCACTTAGAAAATTAACGAAACCCATCAATTAACCTTCTTTTACATACTTAATTTCAAACAATTGTATTCTTTTTCCTCTATTAATGTCAAATATACATTATGAAGTAGACATTGCAAAGTATGCATTGCAAAATGAGGACAAAAATACAACTGAATTCATAGAGTTAAAGGGATAATTAAGTCATATACATGTTAAGCACTTAGCGGAATGCCAGTACATGGTTAGTCCTCCTGTAATTTATTGGTTTTTTTTAATAAATATAACAAAGATGGTTTTTTATTATTTTAGCATTGCCATTGGTTGGTATAGTATAATAATGATGAAAAATCATCAATACTACTTAATACAATGTTTTAAATAGAAGAGGTAGTTCATAAACATTCATTGTTGCTCACAATAGGGGTGTCTCAGTTTAAGAAAATGTTAATACTAAAATTCAATAGGTCAATTATTTCCATCAGAAAAAGATTATTCATTTTATGAATCATTATACCTGTTTTTTTGTTTTATAATAGTAGCTTTCACAGTGGGATTCAACTCTTTCTATAGAACAATGACAAGTGGACAGAAACATCAGTGCTAGTACTTGGGGGGAGTGGAAAGAAGGCATCATGAAAGAGCAGCCACATAACATTTTATAAAGAGTTATGTGTCCTTTCAAGTAGATAAAACATCACATAAATTATAATACAAATGAACAGAAAATGTGTTTCAATGTTCCAAACTTTAATTTATATCAGCTTTTCGAGAACATATCAATTTAATCAAATAGCACGACACCTGCCATAGAAAGAATCAATATGATATGGGAGACGAAGGGCTGTTTTGCTGACGTGAGCCACAGGAAGTGATAAAACCATTAGTTCTTAGTGAAGCACCTAATGTCCCCTCAGATAATATAAAGAAGGTCTTTAAACAAATAGTGGTTTGGGGCCAGGCGGCATGGCTCACGTCTGTAATCCCAGCACTTTGCAAGGCCGACTTGGGTGGATCACTTGAGGTCAGGAGTTCGAGAACAGCCTGGCCAACATGGTGAAACCCTGTCTGTACTAAAATACAAAAATTAGCTGGGTGTGGTGGTGTGCACCTCTAATCCCAGCTACTTGGGAGTCTGAGGCAGGAGAATCACTTGAACCCAGGAGACGGAGGTTGCAGTGAGCTGAGTTGACACCACTGCACTCCAGCCTGGGCAACAGAGCAAGACTCTATCTCAAAAAAAAAAAAAAAAAGGAATAAAAGGGTGTTTGGGCAGGAAGCAGTAAACAAGCACTTCTTTTATTGTATAATCTTAACATTAATAGCAGCGTTCATTTACTCTTCAGGTATGTTGCAGAGCAAGGGTTGGCAAACCTTTCTATAAAGAGTCAGAAAATATTTTAGGCTTTGGGCCATAGAGTCTCACCCTCAACTACTCAATCCCACCATTGTAATGCAAAAGTAGCCATAGTTGTCACATATATGAAAAAGCATGACTGTGATCCAATAAGACTTCATCTACATAAACAGGTAGTGGACCAGAATTGGCCTGCACACTGGTAGTTTTCTGACTTCTGATGTAGGGCACTATCAAAACTAATGTTTTGGGAGTAACTGCCATATGTCTAGTCCAGTGGAATCTCTTTTACTTCCAAAATTCTTTTTGTTACTTTACCTTCTAATAGCTTTCCTCACAGGTTGTTGTGAAGATTAAATGAGAAAATCTATGTAAAGTGCCTGAGACAAAGTTTCCAAAACAATTTAGCTCAAATACATAAGCATAGACTCTAAAGCTAGATTGCCTATGTTGAAATACTAGCTCTACCCTTTATTAGCTATGTGGTCTTGTACATGTTATTTAATTTCCCTGTACAGTAAATCCTCCCTTAATGTCATCATCCATAGGTTCTCAGAAACTAACTTTAAGCAAAACATTTTATCACAGGTTATTGACATAAGAAAGAGATAAGTTCCTATATTTCTGGTCACAAAACATCACTAAACTTCTAAATAAAGACCTTAAACACTTCTAGTATTAAACATTGAAATAAATGTGAGTAATACACACATTTAAGAAAGATTAACAAAAACAAGTATGATAAGTGTTTACCCACTTATTCCAGTTCAGGCCTTGGATGGCTGGAGCCTCTCCTAGCACCTAGGGGAGCAAGTCTGGGACCACCCTGGTCAGGACACCATTCCATCATAGGGCACACTCACACACACCCACACTCACTCACACCGGGGCCACGCAGATGCAATTCACCTAATGCGCATGCCTCTGGGATGTGGAAGGAATCCAGAGTGCCTGGAGGTAACTCAAGCAGACAGAGAGAGAATGTGCAAACTCTACACACACAGTGGCCCCTGCCAGAGTGAAGTTTTTTTTTCCTCATCAGTGTTAAAATGAAATAATGTTGAAAGAAACTATGTTATTCAAGGATCTGCTGTACTTCAACCTTTCGCACAGTGAAATGAGATAATAACAACACTTATAGGTTACCGAAGGAAGATGAAATGAGTAGAAGTATATAAAGTGTTTAGAACAGTGCCTAGCATACACTAAGCACTATATGAATGTCAACTATTGTTATTGTACTGTTATTGTTGCAGTTTCATAACTCAGTTAACTTGGTTCTCTCTATTTAACTGAAAATCAGAACGAGCTACATTATAAATGTGGTATAAAAAATTAATGGTAGGAGAGCTAAGAAAGAAAGAGACCATGATGTGCTACAGTTAGGTTCTGGAGGTCAAAGTGGACAACTCAGTTGGGGTCAAATGGTGTAGAATGTTAAATGATATGAGAAGGATGTTGGACTTCATCTCCAAAGAAAAGAGGAATCGCCTAAGGAAATTGCCAGTTTGGATCTAAATCTGATTAATGATAAATAACGGGATGGTGAGGCAAACATGAATTTTAAAGACCATGTCCGGTAGATTTAAGGAAATAAAAATTAAAAAGCACAGGGCCCCAGAGCCTTATGCTCTGGAAATATCATGAGTGCAACGCTGCCTATGTTGCTTAGATTTATGCACATGGAACCTGAGCAGTTTCCCCGAAGGTTCGCATTATCCTCTAGTTGACCTGCAACAGTGGGAGGGGTGCAGAAAGGAAGGGCCCAAAGCCAAGAACAAGTTTGTCCCAGAAATAGAAGGATTGTGACAAGAAGCTAAAGCCAAAAGCAACTCATTTTCTCACACAAGATTGAGGAAGAAGAAGAAAGCCTAGTACAGAGACCAAAGCCATTGTAGCAAAAGAAAAGAGTGAACAAGAAGGAATAAAAACATTTAGATCAATAGACAAACAGCAAAAGGGCCATCTGAGCAGAAGTCTGTATTTCACTATATTTCACTACAGTAGCACATGATAATACAGGACTATGTTTTTAAATACAACCTACCTGTAGATTAATATGGTAGAATCAGCAGAAGGCCAAAATGCACTAGAACTCTGGGTGACCAAGAGACACCATAGAAATAGCTGGCCTTGGGGTTCAGGGACATGTACAAATCTAGGACAGATCTGGTTTATCTAGAACAGTGTTGTCTAATTGAGATGTAATGTAATCCATATGTGTAATTTCAAATTTTCTAGTAGTCACATTTTTTAAAGTAAAAAAAAGTGAAATAAAATTTAGGAATGTATTTCATTTAACCCAATGTATCCAAAATACTATCATTTCAACATGCAATCAATGTTTTAAAAATGAGATATGTTACATTATTTTCTTTTTACTAAGTCTTCACAATCCAGTTGACACATATAGCACATCTCAATTCTGGTGATGAATTTTCACTGGTAATACTGGCCTTTATTTAGATTTATAAAATTTACAGATGGAAAAGTAGATTTATGAACCTAAGTTGCTCCAAACGTATGTAAAAGTTTTCTAATAATTGAATTGAATTTTCATTTTTAAATTGAATTTTAATTAATGGAATCAAATGAAATTAAATTTCTGTTCCTCAGTCACACTAGTCACATGTTTTATGTTCCTTAGCCACATGTCGCATGTGACAAATGGCTAACATATTGGACAGCTCAGAAAGCTAGAACGTGGTAGGGTTAGTCCTGAAGGAGGGACACCAATAATCGAATGTAAAAAAGGTGCTTAAGAGACTGAATGCTGGATGTCCTTAGGGTTTAGAGCAGTGTTCTTAACCCACTGAGTTCTACCATATTTAACTGTATCTATATCACAGTATTTAGAATTTTATTATGTTAATACTGCACTCAAGTCATAATTATATCATAGTTGAGGACAAAAACTATATTTTATAATAATTTATGTATTTTTATAATATATAAAAAACTATATTTTATGATAATTATTTTTTAATCTTTATAATGCTTACCACATTGTAAGAACATAGTGATCATTAAACAGTTGATCAATTGGTTGACATAACTGATTACACTGTAGTTCTTCATAAACACATTTACATACTGAAAAGCCACAGGTTATTTTGATCAGTGCCTCAGTGGAAAGGCTTATATGAAAGAAAGAAACAATGGCTAAGATGAAGAGGGAAGAATTTCTAGACATGGAGAATAGAATACAATGGCTTAAAAATAAGCTAACTGGAGGGACAGTGAGGTAAGCGGAGTAGGAATTAGGTGCCTTTTGGGTAGAATAAAGGATATAAGCTAGAATGTAGCCCAGAGGGCAATCTATAGTTTTGAGAAACAGTAGAAGGTCCTGAGCCACAAAATTAAAGTAGGGACTTAATATGAGGGAAGAGCCACTGCATGTGTATAAAAGTAAAAGAAACAGCATATTATAAAATTGCACTCAAAGACAATTCTTGCTGTGATGTATCTGATTATGGAAAGGTAAAGACAGGCTAGGTACTGTTATTTGTACCTATGGAAATGGATAGGGAGGGGGCAAATCAGAAGATGCTGCAGTTATCGCTATAAAAAACTGGCCATAGAATAACAGAATGATAGAGCACTCATTTAAAAGTTCATAGAATTTCCAAATGTGGTTAAATTTTAGCCAGAGAAAACTTTAAACACTGTATAAAACTGGCTCCAAAAGTTATATGTGAGGTCCTCTACCCAACTGCACATGTGGCTTAAAATGCCTGGAGTTATTCATACAAAAGCAGGTAGCTTATTTAAACATCTATTTTTCATATATCAACAGCTTTTCCCAGTGAAGGAAATGGGGGCAGTGCGGTTCTAGGACCTTCTAACCCCTCCAAAGTGAATGTTGTTTGACAGTCTGCAAATGATTTAATAGTCAGACAGACAGGGCTTATAAAACCAGTAATTCCCATCTCAATATCTTTTTGAAATATAAACACATGTGATGAATTGTGTGTGGATAGATTAACTTTCTGAGCAACTCTAATGAGTAGAGAATCAAGAAATAACAGGGCAGAGTATCTGTCTTGTATTAAACTACGATCATTTTTTTAAACTTTCAACCCACTATTGAATCTAATTTATTTTTCTAAGAGCAAGCAGTGCCTGTCCTGTATAACTGCAATGGGCCCAGTGAGCTCTAGCACGTGGACATTGGTTTTCCACCTTTGTAGGAGAGAGGAGAGCTGCATGACTCAAGCAAAATGTTCACCCGGAGCTCCCTTTTCTGACTGCTGTGACTCAGTGAAGCCAAATCTCAGCTTAATGGCAACATAAGCCAAGTTGGCCTTCAGGATATCTATCAACCTTTGGATGCCCTTCAACTCCAGCTCCTAGTTACAAAGTTTTTAGGGTTCTAAGTCACTCCCTTACTGATCAATGCCCTCTCTAATAATCCATACACCAGACCCTATTAACATCACAATTTACCATTTTTGTTTATCAATCTCTTCAGTCTCACATAAGCTAATCCTTGCTAATAGGCATATTGGCTTGTTAGTTTTTACTAATCCTGGACAAGATAATGTCTTAAATAGATAAACATGTACCAAGACCTTTAAATGATCCCTAATAGGGGATTATAGGTGACTGCAGCAAGCCAATGAAAAGACAAATTTGAGGAGTGGGTTCCTTGGTATTCTTCAAATAATATTTATTTGAAAAACGTCTTCTCCAATTATATGTAGGAATATCTTTAGCCAAATCCCGATGCACATCTCCTACATAATTTATCTATACAAAAAATATGTACCGAATTTAAAAAAATGTGTAGTGGACACTGTCCTAGATGTTGACAATACAAAGGTCAATATGATTGGTATTCTCAAGAAAGTCACAATCAAGCATGGTAAACAAACATATCAAATAGTAATTGCAATATAATAAGTCATAATGAGCAAAATCTGGTAATGACACAAAGAAGGGAAAAATCACTTTCTGGAAGATCAGTGAAAGGTTTTCTAGTGGGAAGTGAAAATTGGGCTGGGGGCAGAGAGACAGAGATAGAGAGAGAGAGAGAGAGAGAGAGAGAGAGAGAGATGAGAAGCATGAAAAACAGAGAGAAAGGGAGAGAGACTGGTATTGACTGAGATTCCCGGGAGACTTTTGCTGGCCAAATAAAATTGGGGTAAGGGAGCAGAGAAGATAGCGATTAAAGTTATTCCCCCTACCCCCTAAGGGAATATTGTTTTAGAAGGATGAAAAGGATAACTAAAAGAGAGAAAGTAGAATTTTCTGAAAGAATTTGAAATGAATTTACATCTAACCCCAATGGGTCTAGTTATAAAGTAACCTTATTTCCTTCTTGGTCTCGAAATATCCAATTACTGGAGTTGCCTTAAGAAGAAATTGCATGTCTTTTTTTTTTTTTAATACATAGATGGAAAATACTTTGTAACTCTAACAATTATTAAGTTAAAATTACCTTTGGTGAAATAGTATTAAATACAAAGAGCACATTAAGATCATTTTTTATATTCTCTTGTAATAAAATAGCAGTTTGCAATTAGTGAGCACTCATGTACCAGACACTATTTAAGCAGTAAATGTATATTAATTTGCTTAATCTTCACAAGTACATATGAGGTAGCTATTATTAGGATATCAATTTTACAGATAAAGGCACAGATAGGTACAGTGACATGTTCAAGATCACACAGCAGGGAAGTGGTACAGCTAGGATTCAAACCCAGACTGTCTGTTTCCTGAGTCCAAGTTCTTAATTACCACACATATTATTTCTTATAATGATGGTAACAGAATTGCAAAATGTACTAGTTCTAACAAAACAAACGGAAAATCGGAACAGAATATTTTAAAGAGTTACATTCTCCAGTGGTCATGTGGATCGTCATGACTTGTCCCATGTTGCTATATATATCTATACATATTTTGTGTATAGATACATTATGTAGGAAATGTGCATCGGGATTTGGCTAAAGATATTCCTAGATATAATTGGAGAAGATGTTTTTCAAATATTATTTGAAGGTCTACTAAGATTGCTTTAGTTTATAAAGACTATGGTGGAAATGAACAATGGAGTTATATTTAAGAGACTATGACTAAACTCTGAAAATATCTCATAAGGCATTTATTTGTGTTACCATTTTGTCCTGGTAGATAAATAAAAACTTAAACCAATCTAGCCATGAAATAGTGATCCTCCCGAGGGTGACATAGACAGGGCCTCTCCCTATTTAAGTAAATGCTGACAGCAGAACCTGCACTAATAGGAGCCAGATGGCTTAGAAGAACACTTCTCTGCTCCAAAACAGAAAACACTTCCATGAAACTTGAGGCTTGTGCTCCACCCCAGCTCTATCTGGCAAGTGTCCGTGAGCACACGTGTATATGTAATGTGTTATGTATGCATGGTTACAGAACAATATCCCAAAAAGGACAAAAAGAGTTTACCAAAAGTGGTTTACAACTTATCTTTTATCTAGCACATGAAAATTGTCCTGCCTTTAGTTACATGAAGAGTCCTCACTGCCCTACTTTCTGGGAGAGGAGTGAAGAAATCAAGTGTTACATGTGCCTAACTGAGAGATATTTTTATTTCTGAAAGAAATAAGTCAAAATGCGCCAAACTTCCTTCTTTAGTAGTAAGGAAGAAAATTTCCTTGTCAGCAAAAAAGAAAAAAAGGACATGACCACAATTTGCTCACAGATATCTAGCCAATAAATATGAAAAGGAATTATTTAAAGCCAGTAGAATGTAGTCCATTCCCTCAATTAAAAGGCCCCAATTATTTTCCAAAGCCAATATTCTACTTGGATGCAAAGAAAGCTAAGGTGGAAATCAAAAGAACTGGACATTAATCTCAGTTCTCCCTTCCCTGAATCACTCCACCTTTTTTTCTTCAGCTTCATCTTTTGATAACTGAGGGTAATAATGCCTCATAGGATCATAGTGGAGATAATAAAATAATAAACATAAAATAAACTTTGGTGCTTTGGCTATTGATAGCTGATATGAAAACAATTTAAATATTAACAATGCTATAGAAATCATATTCTTTCTTCAGCTCATAGTTTTAGCAGAAAAGACTTATTCCACTTACTATATAATAATTAAGCTGTTATTGTATCAAAGTAAATAAAAGAGTATTCAGGAAAAAAAAAAAGTTGCCCTACTAAAACTTGTTATTTAAAATGTGTAAAATGTGGGCCATAATATAGAACAAAAATAGAGGAAAATGTGCTTGATGGTCAGTAAGTAAAGATTTGTAGAGGAGGGAAGTTACTTTGGTAGAAAAGCAAGAAGTTTATTATTCCATGGCCACACATTTGTTTTACGTACTGGAAAGCCACAGACACAATCTAAGCAGCTGTAGGAGCCCATCATGTTGATTTAATTAGCTTTAAAGATGTGTTCTATGATCTCTATTTGTACAATTGTGGAAGTTTACTCAGATGAATGGCAAAAAGCGCAATTACACATGCTGCTCTAATTCTACAAAACTGAAACTGGTAAAACTGAAGTGGAGGAAAACACTCTTTCTGTGACTATCAACCATCTTCTTTCTTTCCCTTTAATAGTTTTAGAAAAAAGGGTCTCATTGATAGCAACAACAATAATTAGTGAGTGAGAGTGACTTCCACTACCATGGCTGGCTCAAGACTAACTTGTTGTTATGAACATTATTTAACCAAATCTATCCAATTAAGTATGGAGTTATCAGCATCAATTTAGATGTGACATTTTGCTAACTCACCAGAAAGAACTGCTGATCATTTGTTTCTTAAACATGAACTAAAGAAATCTTTGTGTTGTTAAAAACACGATCCACAAAGCCATATTGAGAGTCTTTTCTTTTTGGCCAACACCAGCTTATCTCTTACCGAATTTGTCCTTTTATTTGGAACTATGTTTGGAATTTAAATACTGTAATGATCACCCTTTTGAATTGGCTACTGCCTCCACAAGTCAGATACCAATGATGGAGCATGTATATTTGGTATTTGGAAAAACCATCTATCTCTATTAGCTGTATACATTTTTCCTAAATGCAGCCCAACATTATAGATATTTTTTCTCCTTAATTTTATTCCAGAAGGTGAGGAGGACAGACACAGGTATACATATTTTTAAAGAACATTTTTAGCCGGGTGCTGTGGCTCATGCCTGTAATCCCAGCACTTTGGGAGGCTGAGGCCGGGTGGATCACTTGAGGTCAGGAGTTCGAGACCAGCCTGACCAACATGGTGAAATCCCGTCTCTACTAAAAATACAAAAATTAGCCAGGAGTGGTGGCGTGTGCCTGTAATCTCAGCTACTCACGAGGCTGAGGCAGGAGAATCTCTTCAATCTGGGAGGCAGAGGTTGCAGTGAGCTGAGATGGCGCCACTGCCCTCCAGCCTGGGTGACAGAGCGAGACTCCGTCTCAAAAAATAAATAAATAAAAATAAATAAATAAATAAACCTTGGGGGAAAAAAAAAACATTTTTGCATTGTGCTCTTCTTTACTGCCAATTCTGACACATCTTTCTTCATGCTTACTCCTTACCCAGATGCTTTTTGTACCAATTTTAGGTCTAAAACAAATACATACATAAAGTGAAGGTATGCCAATGGAAAATTTATTGACAAATTCAAAAATTTGAAAAATTAAGCTAGTCGTGGTGGCTTGCACTTGTAATCCCAGTTACTCAGGAGGCTGAGGCAGGAGGATTGCTTGAGGTCAGGAGTTCTAGACTAGCTTAGACAACATAGTGAGATTGTCTCTAAAAAAATGTAAAATAAATAAATAAAATTTGAAAATTTCACAAGATGAGTAAAAGGATACGGATCATAGTGAATCCGCCTTATTGATCTCAAACTTCTTCAAGAAGAATCTATGTGTGCAAAGGCCTCACCAGAAAACACAGCTGCTAGTATAGAATGCATTCCAAGATGACCTCTTGGAGGTTTCAAGTATGAGGCACTTCGATGATCTCTAAGAAATCACATATTGGGATATATTGGGAAATTCAGGAATGAGTTCACTCCTCATAAACGTTTGAATCTATTCTTCATTTGAAAATCAAAATGACATAAAAACTGGTTTAAAATATTTTAGAAATTATACAGAGGCTGAGTGAAAACGAACTCTCACTTTGCAAACATCCCCAGGGGAGGTCTCCATTGTCAGAACATGCTCCCTACCTAGACAAGTCACTTCAGCTTCTGAAGATTGACACGTGCCTCTCACAGCACTTTTCCAACTCAAGGATGTTCACAAAGGGTGGAGCTATGCAGATCACATTTGCCTCATTGTGTTTCCTTCAGAAAAAAAAAAATCAGAAAGAAAAAATCATAAACGTTGATGTCTGTAGCTCTCTGAAGTCATAATATTCTATAAAATTTCTTGCATGAAGCTTACTTGATACTTTTATGCCAATCATCCAATTTAAGTCAGAGGAATAAACTGTCTTTGTGAGAAAACTAAAAAGAAAAATCTATTTTGAACTTCACATTCCTTAATTTTTAGTCAAAGATTCCCAAAAGACTTAATACTCTCGCAAGCCAGTTTAAAAATGATCTAAAATCCCAAATAATTCATTCTTATAATATTAAGAATTGAGATAAGCATTATGCATTTCTTTACAAAGGAGCTATTGAGATTCTCCATATCCATCATAAATTTGAAAAATTTAATATTATATCAAAACAACATTTAACTTGCTAACTTTAATTCTAAAAATTTATCTAAATGAAATCATATGGTACACTACTCCAGTATATATAGTATCTACTTTACCTTGCCCGGTTTTATTGCCTTAGCACAATTAACTCAGAATCACCCATGTTCATAAATGTTCTTGTATTCATCAATAGTTCATACTGTTATATTGCTGAGTAGTATTATATAAATATACTACAATTTGTTTATCCATTTACCTATTGGTGAACATTCAGGTTGTTTCTAGTTTGTTCTCATTACAGATAAAGCCGGTAAAAAAAAAAAAAAAAAAAAAAACCCTCATGTAGACATTTGGACACATGATTTCTTTTCTGTGGGGTAAATTCCTAGGAGTGGAATGGCTGCATTTCACGGTAGCTATATACTTTAAATTTCTATGAAACTGCCAAATTGTTTTCCAAAGTGAATTCTTACTACATCGTGGTCGATACTTAGTAAGTTCCGTCTTTTTAACTTTAGCCATTCTAATAGGCTCATACTGTAATCTTATTGTGATTTTTATTTATATTTCACTAAGGACTAATAATATCCAGAGTCCTTGAATCCGTTTATTTGCCATCTGTATTATCTTCTTTAGTGAAGTGTTTGTTTAAATGATTTCCTCTTTTTATTGAATTTTTTTCTTGTTATTAAATTTTGAGTTTTAAAATATATTCTGAATACAAGTCCTTTATGAAAAATATGATTTGTAAACATGTTCTGCCAGGCTGTAGCTTGCCTTTTCATTCATTTTTTAACCGTGTCAAAGACCAGAAGTTTTAAATGTTTATGAAGTCCAATTTCTTAACATTTTCTTGTGTAGATTTTGCTTTAAGTGCTTTACCTAATACATGTTTGCTCAATTAAAAGCTACAAAAATTTTCTCCTATGCTTTCTTTTAGCAGGTTTATAGTTGTAGGTTTTCCATTTAAAATTATAATCCTTTTTTTTTTTGGTGCGTGGTATGGATTAAAATTGTTTTGTTGTTGTTTTTTATTTTTTACTTTTTTGTAGATGTATATCCAATTGCTCCAGCACCATTGTTTAAAACATTATCCCTTTTCACTGGATTGCCTTTGCATTTATATTGAAAATTAATTCTTCATATATATACGGATTTATTTCTGGACTCTATTCTTCTCCATTGATCTATGTCTATCTTGACACTTTCACCACACTGTCTCGGTTACTGTAGCTTTATATTAAGTCTTGAAATCAGGAAGAATTTAAGTCCACCAATTGTGTTCTTTTTAATAGTGTTGAGCAATTCTAGGTCTTCTCCATTTTCAAATCACTTTTATAATCAGTTTGTCAACTTCTAAAAAGATAGCCTACACTGAAATTTTGATTGGGATTACACTATATTTACAAATCAATTAGAAGAGAATTGACATCTTAACAATAGTGAGTTTTCTAGCCCCTTAATATAGTATAATTCACCATTTATTTAGGTATCTTTTTCCTTTATTTCATCGTAAGTATGTCGTTTTCAATGTACAAATTTTGTACATTATTGTTAGATTTATGTTTAAGTATTTTATATTTTGATGCTACTGTAAATGGCAATGTTTTCTTAATTTTAATACTTACTCATTAGTTTATAGTATACTGAAATACAATTATTCTTGTGTATTGACCTTATGTCCTACAAACTTGCTAAACATATATTAGTTCTAATAATTATTTTGGTAGATCCCATCAAAATCTGTACATAGACAATTATGTCAATTGTGACTAAAGACAGTTTTACCTCCTCCTTTACAGTCCAGCTATCTTTATTTCTTTTTCTTCTTTCATTACATTGGCTAGAACCTATAGGACAGTACTGAATAGGAATAGTGAGAGTGGAAACGTTCGTACTGTTTCTGGTTTTAGAGAAGAAATAATTCAGCTTTTCACAATTATGACAACAGCTGATGGTTTCTTGTAGATGACTTTTAGAAGATTGAGGAACTGCCTTCTATTCCTACTTGGATAACAGTTTTTATCAGGAATCAATGTTGAATTTTGTTAAAAGTTTTTCTGTATCTATTGAGATACTTGTATAGTTTTTAATTAATACATTAGCCTAGGCAACATAGAAAGACTCCATCTCTACAAAAAAAATTGTTTTAATTAGCCAGGTGTAGTGACATGCATCTGCAGTCCCAGCCACTCAGGAGGCTGATACAGGAGAAACCCTTGAGACTAGGAGGTCAAAATAAATCACAATGATTGATTTCGAGATGTTAAACCAACACGGCATTCCTTGGAAAACTCTACTTAGTGACAATGTATTATTCTTTTTATAAATTGTTAGATTTGATTTGTTTAACTTTTTAAAAAAATTTGTGTCTGTGCTCACAAGAAATAATGATGTACAGTTTTCTTTCCTTGTGATGTGTTTGATTTTGAAATCAGGACAATAATAGTCTCATAGAATAAGTTGGGAAGTATTCTCTCCTCTTAAATTTTCTGGAAAAGCTTGTTTAAAATTCTTTCATGTCATTCTTAAATGTTTGGTAGAATTCACTAGTTAAGATGTCTGACCTGAGTTTTCTTTGTGGAGAGATTTTTAATTACAACTTCAATTTCTTTACTATGACTATTCAAGTTATCTAATTATTTTTGAGAGAGCTTTAACAATGTGTGGTTTACATGGAATTTGTCCATTTTATCTAAGATGTTGACTTTATTCCTATAAAGTTATCTTTTTAATATTTATAAAATCTGGAGTCATGTTATCGCTCTTATTCTTGATATAGGTAATTTGTCTCTTCTTCCCTTTTTCTTAATCACTTGGACCAAAGGTTTATCAATTTTCTTTGTCTTCTCAAAGAACCAGTTTTTGCTTTCACTTACTTTTTCTCTATTGTTTTTAAGTTTCCTATTTCAATGATTGATTCCCACTGTGACTTTTATTATATTATTTCTTCTCCTTACCTTGGGTTTAATTAGTTCTTTTTTTTTTCTAGTTTCTTAAGATGGTAGCATTTAATTGTTATATGTTCTATTTTCATTTTCATTCAATTCAAATAATTTCTAATTTCACTTTTTATTTCTTCCTTGACCTCTGAATTATTCAGAAGTCCATTATTTGATTTCTAAATATCTGGGAATTTCACATATAACTTTTTTTTTTTTTTTTTTGAGATAAAGTCTCACTCTGTCGCCCAGGCTGTAGTGCAGTGGCGCGATCTCCATCTCAGCTCACTGCAACTCCGCCTCCCGAGTTCAAGTGATTTTCCTGCCTCACCCTCCAGAGTTGCTGGGATTACAGGCATGCGCCACCACACCCAGCTAATTTGTGTATTTTTTGTACAGACCAGGTTTCACCATGTTGGCCAGGCTGGTCTCGCACTCCTAACCTCAGGTGATCCGCCTACCTCAGCCTCCCAAAGTGCTAGGATTACAGGCATGAGTTTTGCAGTCTCAATATATCTATTGAGACTTATTTGGGGGTCTAGAATACGGTCTACTTGGGTAAATGTTTGGTGTGCACTTGGGAAAAATGTTTATCTGTTGTTCAGTAGTGGGTATTTCATACATGTCAACCAGGTCAAATTGGTTGATAGTATTTTTCAAGGCTTCCATATTTTTTCTGACTTATGCATCAAACATTGAGACAGTATATTGAAATCTTGATATATCACTGTGGATTTGTGTATTTTTCCTTGCAGTTCTTTCAGTTGATCCACTGACTTGCACTGTTTTCAGAGAAATCTGCTGTCATTCTTAAAATTTTCCTTTCTATGTAACATCTTTTTTTCCTACAGCTGCTTTTAGAATTTTCTCTTTATCACTGATGTTGAGCAATTTCATTATAATATGTCCAGGTTTAGTTTTCTTTATACTTCTGTGCTTAGGATTCATTGTGTTTTGTAGATGTGTATAGTTACAGTTTTCATCCAATTTGGAAACTTTTCAGCCATATATCTTCAAGTATTTGTTCTGTTTCTCCCATTTCAGTAACTTCAATTACTCATATATCAGTCTCTTGAAATTGTCTCATTGTTCAATGATGCTTTATTTATTTCATACAGTTTATCCCTGTATTTCATTTTGGATAGTTTCTATTGCTATGTCCTCAAGTTCACTAATCTTTCCTCTGTAATGTCTAATTGATAATTCTATACAGTGTATTTTTGATCTTAGAAATTGTAGTTTTACTCTCTTGGAGTCCAATTTGGATGATTCTGTATCTTTCTGGTCTCTACCAAACTTTTTAAATATATGGAATACAATGATAATAACTGTCTTAATGTCATTGCCTGATAATTCTGGGTTGCTTTTGACTAATTGATTTTTCTCTTCAGTATTAAGAAGAGAAATATGGTAATATGTATTATGAAGAGAAATATGATAATCAGTAATATAACATATTATTTCTGTTTCTTTGCATACCTGGTAATATTTGATTGATGCCAACATTATAAATTTTATCATATCAGGTACTAGATATTTTTGTTTTACTACAAATATTTTAAAACTTTGTTCTGGGATGCACTTAAGTTACTTAAAAATATTCTTTCATGCCTTTCTTCTAAGATGTGCTAGGTAAGATCAGAACAGCACTTAGCCTAAGTTTAATTAGTCCCTTCTAATGAGGCAAGACCATTCTGAGTTCTCTGCCCAGTGCCCTGTGAATTATAAGGTTTTTGAGTCTGACCAGTAGGTATTATTCACAATCCTATGAGAGTGCTAGGCATTCTACCCACCGATACTCTCAACTGGCTCTTTGTCAGCCTCAGGTATTTTTCTCACACACATGCCTATCAATACTCTGCCAAATACTCAAATGGGACTCCTACGATCTTTAAACTTTTTTCTCCCCATGCAACCTGCTATCCTCCTGAATCCTGTCCCCTGAACTCCAGGTATTTTTATCCCTCCATAGTCCCAGTTCCATCTCCCCAACTCAGGCAGTCCACCAAGCTCTGCCTGGGTTCTCTCTACTTATACCATGGCCTAGAAACTCTATCAAGGCAGTAACCTGAGGCAATCATAGGACTCACACCATTAGTTTCTCATCTCTCAGTGTTCATTGTCCATCAGTACCAAACACTGAGCCAGATCCTCAGTGTTTCTCATATATTTCACCTTGTTTTCTAGTTCACATGGGTGGGGAGAGGGTAAATCTAGTCCCTCTTACTCCATGTGGGTTCAAAGCAGAAATTTAATATTTATATTTAATTTTTCAGTGCTTCCAAATTTGGTTTTCAAATGACATACATGAATTTATGAACTTAAATATTTTATCCACAAAGAAGTATACTATCTTTAAGTATGAAAATATTTTTATAGGAAGACATGATGCAATAATGAGTAAAGAACCATTATAAAATTATTTAATCCTTTCTCCCAACCATTTCATTCTTCAGTGAAGCTGTGCAAAAATTATTCCTTCAACATTTACTCAGCCTTCTCAGTCTAAGCTCTTCACTAAGAATTGGATTGGAGAGCAAATCCGACTGGCCCTGTCCCCAAGGGACACTATCCTTTGAGTTTAAGAGAATAAATGGCTTGCTCTTGCTAAGGATATGTTAAAGCAAAATTTTAACTATTTCCTTTCAACAAAATATTTCCTTATAGTCCCCAGAGTGTCCTCTTGGGGAGAAGAGAAAGTAGGTATAAAAACTTTCCACATTTAATATATCATTAGCCATGTGATTTGATGTGATTTGAAGTTGTCTCATGCACTTTTATTGTAAAAAAAAAAAGTTTCAAAAGAAGGCATAAGTTACAAAAATTTTAAGGCAAGCAAATGTCTGTGAAAACTCTAGTGCCTCTCCATATAGTTGAGATTTAGTATGTGAACAAAAGACATAAAGAAAAACCTGTCTCACCTAGCTAAGGGAAGCAGGTAAGCAAAGGATATAGCCTCCTTCTTTGGGGAGAGTAGAATTTCAAAGGCTTAAAGTTTGGTAGGGATCAGTGGGGAAAGAAAGAGGAGTTAACTGATACCACTGAAGTTAATGGGGAATTGGGAAAGTGTGGCTGAGAAAAACTCACTTTCTACTACTTTTCCTTGTATTTATTTATTTAAATTTTTATCTCAAAGCTTCATTTTTGTACTTAAATATATTACAAGTAACTTGCATAATAAATATGATGTGGCAGGACACAGTCTATTTTTCTTTATTATCTACAAACATGTATGGTGTATACACGTATACATTTTTGCTGATATTTGAATTTAATGCTTGGAGTTGCATTGCTCAGCAATTTACACTTGAAATGAAATTGTTCTTATGAAATGTTCTTATCAATTATGATAAACATAGGTTTGAAACTTTGTAGCATCATTTAGATAAATTCTAGAAATCAATGAGTTTAGTTTCCTTAAGAGTAAAAATATGACATTATCAATAAGCATTTTGCCTAAAGTCATGAGTGGTACCAGTAATGCTAACAACCTCAGGGAGAGAATTCTTGTTCTCAGTGATGGGGGCATCAGCATCAGCTGCATCATGTTTGAAATCGGAGCACAGGGTATCAAAAGACACAAGCGTCATGCTTGATTTCCTTGGAAAACATCTCACTTGTGGAGCAGATAAATCAGAAAGTGAGCTTAACACATCAAACCCAAATCCAAATCATTTGAAATTCCTTCTATCCATACCTCACCTCCCATCTATGATGAAAGGAAAGGTTTCAATTAGAATAAACATATACTAAGAATGTATTTAAATTACCAGGTTAAATCAATATTAGCCAAAAAGCAGGGTTATGTGACCTCTATTCAACAACATAAAACTTCTGATGGTAGTTTAAATATACAGGACTCTTCTACAATGCCAGCAATATGTCTACACTAGTAATTATGATGCCAATAGGGAACATGCTGGAAAGAACACATGAAAAATATTCAAAGAGGAAGACATGATTAAGTCCACATAGAAATATGAGAGACTTAATGAATCCAGGAGCTGGTTTTTTGAAAAGATCAACAAAATTGATAGACCGCTAGCAAGACTAATAAAGAAGAAAAGAGAGAAGAATCAAATAGACACAATAAAAAATGATAAAGGGGATATCACCACCGATCCCACAGAAATACAAACTACCATCAGAGAATACTACAAACACCTCTACGCAAATAAACTAGAAAATCTAGAAGAAATGGATAAATTCCTTGACACATACACCCTCCCAAGACTAAAACAGGAAGAAGTTGAATCTCTGAATAGACCAATAACAGGCTCTGAAATTGTGACAATAATCAATAGTTTACCAACCAAAAAAAGTCCAGGACCAGATGGATTCACAGCTGAATTCTACCAGAGGTACAAGGAGGAACTTGTACCATTCCTTCTGAAACTATTCCAATCAATAGAAAAAGAGGGTATCCTCCCTAACTCATTTGATGAGGCCAGCATCATCCTGATACCAAAGCCTGGCAGAGACACAACCAAAAAAGAGAATTTTAGACCAATATCCTTGATGAACATTGATGCAAAAATCCTCAATAAAATACTGGCAAACCGAATCCAGCAGCACATCAAAAAGCTTATCCACCATGATCAAGTGGGCTTCATCCCTAGGATGCAAGGCTGGTTCAACATACGCAAATCAATAAATGTAATCCAGCATATAAACAGAGCCAAAGACAAAAACCACATGATTATCTCAATAGATGCAGAAAAGGCCTTTGAAAAAATTCAACAACCTTCATGCTAAAAACTCTCAATAAATTAGGTATTGATGGGACGTATCTCAAAATAATAAGAGCTATCTATGACAAACCCACAGCCAATATCATACTGAATGGGCAAAAACTGGAAGCATTCCCTTTGAAAACTGGCACAAGACAGGGATGCCCTCTCTCACCACTCCTATTCAACATAGTGTTGGAAGTTCTGGCCAGGGCAATTAGGCAGGAGAAGGAAATAAACGGTATTCAATTAGGAAAAGAGGAAGTTAAATTGTCCCTGTTTGCAGATGACATGATTGTATATCTAGAAAACCCCATTGTCTCAGCCCAAAATCTCCTTAAGCTGATAAGCAACTTCAGCAAAGTCTCAGGATACAAAATCAATGTACAAAAATCACAAGCATTCTTATACACCAATAACAGACAAACAGAGAGCCAAATCATGAGTGAACTCCCATTCACAATTGCTTCAGAGAGAATAAAATACCTAAGAATCCAACTTACAAGGGATGTGAAGGACCTCTTCAAGGAGAACTACAAACCACTGCTCAATGAAATAAAAGAGGACACAAACAAATGGAAGAACATTCCATGCTCATGGGTAGGAAGAATCAATATCGTGAAAATGGCCATACTGCCCAAGGTAATTTATAGATTCAATGCCATCCCCATCAAACTACCAATGACTTTCTTCACAGAATTGGAAAAAACTAGCTTAAAGTTCATATGGAACCAAAAAAGAGCCCGCATCGCCAAGTCAATCCTAAGCCAAAAGAACAAAGCTGGAGGCATCACGCTACCTGACTTCAAACTATACCAGAAGGCTACAGTAACCAAAACAGCATGGTACTGGTACCAAAACAGAGAGATAGATCAATGGAACAGAACAGAGCCCTCAGAAATAATGCTGCATATCTACAACCATCTGATCTTTGACAAACCTGACAAAAACAAGCAATGGGGAAAGGATTCCCTATTTAATAAATGGTGCTGGGAAAACTGGCTAGCCATATGTAGAAAGCTGAAACTGGATCCCTTCCTTACACCTTAAACGAAAATTAATTAGAGATGGATTAAAGACTTATATGTTAGACCTAAAACCATAAAAACCCTAGAAGAAAACCTAGGCAATACCATTCAGGACATAGGCATGGGCAAGGACTTCATGTCTAAAACACCAAAAGCAATGGCAACAAAAGCCAAAATTGACAAATGGAATCTAATCAAACTAAAGAGCTTCTGCAAAGCAAAAGAAACTACCATCAGGGTGAACAGGCGACCTGCAAAATGGGAGAAAATTTTCGCAACCTACTCATCTGACAAAGGGCTAATATCCAGAATCTACAATGAACTCAAACAAATTCACAAGAAAAAAACAAACAACCCCATCAAAAAGTGGGTGAAGGATATGAACAGACACTTCTCAAAAGAAGACATTTATGCAGCCAAAAAACATATGAAAAAATGCTCATCATCACTGGCCATCAGAGAAATGCAAATCAAAACCACAATGAGATACCATCTCACACCAGTTAGAATGGCGATCATTAAAAAGTCAGGAAACAACAAGTGCTGGAGAGGATGTGGAGAAATAGGAACACTTTTACACTGTTGGTGGGACTGTAAACTAGTTCAACCATTGTGGAAGTCAGTGTGGCGATTCCTCAGGGATCTAGAACTAGAAATACCATTTGACCCAGCCATCCCATTACTGGGTATATACCCAAAGGATTATAAATCATGCTGCTATAAAGACACATGCACACATATGTTTACTGTGGCACTATTCACAATAGCAAAGAGTTGGAACCAACCCAAATGTCCAACAACGATAGACTGGATTAAGAAAATGTGGCACATATACACCATGGAATACTATGCAGCCATAAAAAAGGATGAGTTCATGTCCTTTGTAGGGACATGGATGAAACTGGAAACCATCATTCTCAGCAAACTATCACAAGGACAAAAAACCAAACATGGCATGTTCTCACTGATAGGTGGGAATTGAACAATGAGAACACATGGACACAGGAAGGGGAACATCACACTCCGGGGACTGTTGTGGGGTAGGGGGAGGGGGGAGGGATAGCATTAGGAGACATACCTAATGTTAAATGACGAGTTAATGGGTGCAGCACACCAACATGGCACATGTATACATATGTAACAAACCTGCATATTGTGCACATGTACCCTAAAACTTAAAGTGTAATAATAATAAAATTAAAAAAAAAGAAATATGAGAGACTTTATGAAGTAGGGGGCATAAGCGGGGGAGGCAACACCTGAGCTAAGACTTAAAGAATTAATATCAGTCCATTTATTTAAAAAGTATAGTGTAAAATTATGCAATATTATACAAATTATCTGCATTTAAAATTCCATGTTATATTGAAAAGGAGGTAGAAGGAAGAGATAGAAGAAAATTATAGCATGTTAAACACCATATCTCAAAGGGAGCCACTCAAATATTTTACTCAACTTTGAAAATGAGCTGAATAGAGATTAAACATAACGTTTGAAAATTTAAAGGAAGCCACTTTGCAAAAATTATACTTTCCAAAAGAGTGGAAGACATAAAAGATAATAAACCATGTACTATACTGTAACTTAAAAAAAATTTTTTTCAAGACAAATAAAAATTTTAAAGGGGCAACATAGAGGCAAGTATAGAGAAACAAAAAAGAAAAAGGACAAAATGACAGGAACGTGCACTATTTATTTAAAACTTTTCAAGTATAAAATGGATAATTATTCCTTGTTAAAAGACTTGTAAACTGAATCAAAAGACAAAATTTGGTGTTTACATGAGTATGCTGATTACAAAGAACAAAGCTAAAACAACATCACAAAAATCCAAAAACGACAGACAAACATATTTTAGACAAATTCAAACATAATAGGTTTAGGTATTCGAAACTCAATACCAGAAACATTAAAAATAAATATCAAATAGATAGTTTTTAAAGAGTGACATTTTAACATGATAAAGGATAAATCATTAAGATAGCATATACTTTTATGCCCTAAATCGTATTTCATTAAATATTGTTAATAGGAGAAATAGGCAAAATCACAATAGTATAGAAAACTTAATATTGACACATTCTTAAATAGATCACAATTCAAAAGCATTTGGCTTATTTATCTTTCAATATGTCTTAGTGACATCAACATTTACTTAATAATTCAAGTATTGGAAAAAGGTAGAAAAATTGTTTCTTAGTGAAGAAACAAGTTATCAAATTTAGAGAGAGCTAATTAAAATTTTGGAAGGCAAATATCAAATGGTCAAAAACAAACATGAACATAGAAGATAAGTGTAATTAAAAAGGCTGATTTCATACACATACACATACGTGCACACACAAAGAAGAAACTGTATTCTATACTGCTCACGAAATATTTGTAAAAAACAAACATTTATGTTAGAAAACCTGGATAAAAATGGAACCAAACAAAGCACTGAACAAAAATATAATAAACTTTTTTCTGAGCTAAAGAAAGAACTCCATAGGTAGATTGAAAGGTCACACATGTTTGAGATTAAACTACTGATAAAAGCACCCATACTTACATGAATTTCAGCAAAATTTTTGGAATTCAAAGACATAGAAAATATATGTTTTTAATCCAAACTGAGGAAACAGGTGTCCTAAAAATAAATCTGGCATCTTTCATCCTTTTCTGCAACTGTAAATTTCTAAGACAATGGGAAAACAGCAAGACAGTTTTGAGGAATAAAGTTATGACCCAGAATTACATATGCAGTGAAGTGAAAATAATGATAATAGGCATTGTCAGAGAAATTAAAGAGACCTGAAAATTGTTCCAAACATGCTCTTTTCTTGACAGTATCACGTGGCAAGCACTATGCTAAACAGTTTACATGCATTATTTCATTTCATCCTCATATCATCCCTATAATGTGATGTTTAAAAAGGAAGAACCAAAGCTTGAATTAAGCAGTTCCCCCAAGACCACAAACACAAGATATAGTAAGAACTTCAACCCATGTCTCATTGACACCAACGTCCTTGCTCTTATTCACTCATTTATATAACTCCCTTAAGTAGTTATTAGGATATCTCTGCATCAGTATGTTAGACAAATAATACGGCAAGCTTCATAACAATCCAAGGGCTTCCTAATTAGCCCCATAGCCTTCTAAGTACATATCCCCCCTTCCCATCACCTTGCTTTATTTTGCTTCTTTTGAACATCAGTGGACATAATTGGCCATGGCATGTATCACCATTAGTTCATGTACATCCATCTGATTTATACCATTTTTTCCAATAGATAAAAATCTCGATCCCATTCCTTTCCCTCCTACAAGAGCATCACTGGCTCTTATTTATTTGCTCTTTTCTTTTAGTCTACCTTCCAAATCATTGCATTCTTGGCCTCTGTAAATTCTGGATCTAATGATCTTCTTTGTCTTTTTTGAAACTTTTTTGTTTTGTTTTACTTTAAGCACATGGTTCCTAGTTGCCTGGAAAATCTTTTTCTATCCCATTATTTTCAACATTTTTGCATCATTTTAAGTATGTCTTCATTATCCAAAATATTACTGAATATTATATTTAGATCCAGCCAGATTGACTTCTGATCTTTGAATTTATAGATCATATTTCCTTTAGTTATACTAAAACTGATTTCTATTGGCATATTTTGTATTATCTATGAAACACTCCGTGTTTTTCCCCCCTTTTTTTTGTTTTTCTAGGCTCCATTGGATATAGATAGAATATTTCATTTTTTAGTTTAAATGTAATAAAAGCCATGTTTATTCTTCTCTTTTTGAGGCCAAGACTAATGTTAATTTTTTTCCAATTAGTGTCTGAGGTTTTCAATATCCATATGTTCCCTTGAATACAATGGGAAGCTCAATATGCTCTTACTTCATCTGTTCCACAACCATCCTTCTCAGGCCCATATGGGTTTTATCTGAAATTGTTCTGCGAGATTTTTGTGGATATACAGGTTTCCCTTTTAATCTTTCCTCATTTATATAAAAATACATTATATTCATTTATTTATTCTAGAGACACAGTTTGCTCTGTTGCCCAGACTGAAGCACAGTGGCATGATCATAGCTCATTATAGCCTCAAATTCTTGGGCTCAAGCAACCCTCCTGGCTCAGCCTCCCAAAGAGCTAGGAATCCAAGCACATGCCACCATAGTCAGCTAATCTTTTTATTTTTTGTAGAGACAGGGTCTCACTATGTTTCCCAGGCTAGTCTTGAACTCCTGGGCTCAAGCAATGCCCCTGCCTCAGCCTCCCAAAGTGCCGGGATTACAGGTGTGAGGCACTGCACCTGGCCATTTTACTGAATTTTAATATAACCTAACTTGATATATTTTATCTCTCCCCCTCAATTCATTTCTCATCTTCTTGTTCTATATCCTCTAAGAATTCTTTCAGAGATGGTCTCTGTATAGTAAATATTCTGAGACACATAACCAAACCTTCACATTTATATGATAATTCAGCTGCATATAAAATTCAACATTCTACATATTGCTCATGTTCTCACACCCAGTACCTAAAACTGTGTCATGACCCAAATTAGGTACCAATAAATATTTAAGTGAGTGAATAAATGAATAATGAGTGAATGGATGCAATTATACTATTAAGAAGAGTGTAACTTAAAACCTGTGAAGAGAACCTATAATATACAATGGTTCTGCTGGTTTCAAAAATAGCAATACTTGAAACTAGAATATGCCATATTGTTTTCTATACAAATGCTGTAATTTCTCCCTTCTGTCTTGGTGACTCTTTCCCAAACATCTATGTAAAGGCTGGGCCCCTTCCTTCATATTAACTCACTTAAGCCTGAGAACAGCCCAAAGAGGAAGATGAGATCATCTCCTCTTCCGTTTTTAGAAATAAGAAAACTCAGAAGTTCCCTAACTTACCCAAAGCAATAATTGAAACATTGGTCCTCTGACAACAGGCACCAAACCCTCACTCTCTGATGTTCCTTAACATCTTCCAGTGGAAGAGAGGACTTTATGAACAGGGACTTTTCATCCTATTGCCTGGATAGACACTGTATTAGTCTGTTTTCACACTGCTGATAAAGACATACCTGAGACTGGGCAATTTACCAAAGAAAGAGGTTAATAGACTTACAGTTCCACGTCGTTGGAAAGGCCTCACAATCATGGTGGAAGACAAAGAGGAGCAAGTCACATTTTACATGGATGGCTGCAGGCAAAGAGAGAGCTTGTGCAGGGAAACTCCTGTTTTTAAAACCATCAGATCTCATGAGACTCATTCACTATCACAAGAACAGCACAGAAAAGATCTGCCCCATAATCCAATCACTTCCCACTGGGCTCTTCCCATGACATGTGGGATTTACGGAAGTTACAATTTAAGATGAGATTTGGTTGGGGACACATCCAAATATATCAGACAGGGAAAATAATGATGAAGCAATCTGGTAAAAAAATAAAGAAATATGTAAAATCGGTCAAAACAGGAAACCTTTCTCTGTAATGTTTCTTGTTGCTTTGTAATCTTTGAAATTTATTAGGAAAAAGAGTATGTAATGAGCAGAAATGGAAGTGTGCTAAAACACATATCTAATAACCTCTTTATCTCAATTTATCAAAAGACTACCTCATTTCTTTTCTCAAAATCTCAGCTTCACAAGATGTTTTCTTAAGTTCATAAAAGAAATGAATCTCTTCCTATCTCATTGTCCTCCTGCCACTCTCAAGTAGGCCATCGTGTCTATTGTTCCCTTCTTTGTGTCCATGTGTACTCAGTGTTTAGCTCCCACTTGTAAGTGAGAACATGTAGTATTTGGTTTTTTGTTCCTGTTACTTCACTTAGGATAATGGCTTCCAGCTCTATCCATATTGTTGCAAAGGGCATGATCTCAATCTTTTTGATGGCTGTGTAGTATTCCATGGTGTATATGTTTTCTTTATCCAATCCACCAATGATGGGAATTTAACTTGATTCCACGTCTTTGATATTATGAATAGTGCTGCAATGAATATAAGCGTGCATGTGTTTTTATAGTAGAACAATTTATATTCCGTTGGGTGTATATCCAATAATGAGATTGCTTGGTCAAATGGTAGTTCTGTTTTAAATTCCTTGAGAAATCACCAAACTGCTTTCCATAGTGGGTAAACTAATTTACATTCCGACCAGCAGTGTATAAGCATCCCCTTTTCTCTGCAAACTCGTCAGCATCTGTTCTTTCTTGACTTTTTAATAATAGCCAGTCTGACTGGTATCTCAATTGTGGTTTTGATTTGCATTTCTCTAATAATTAGTGATGCTGAACATTTTTTCATAAGCCTGTAGGCTGCATGTGTGTCTTCCTTTGAGAAGTGTGTATTCATATCCTTTGCCCATGTTTTAATGGGATTGTTTGTTTTTGCTTGTTAATTTGTTTAAGTTCCTTATAGATTCTGGATATTAGACCTTTGTCAGATGCATAGTTTACAAATATTTTCCTCCATTCTATAGGTTATCTGTTTACTCTGTTAATTTATTTTGCTGCGCAGAAGCTCTTTAATTTAATTCGGTCTCATTTGTTAATTTTTGTTTTTGTTGAAATGCTTTTAGAGTTTCCATCATGAAATATTTGCCAGGGCCTGTGTCCATCCAGAATGATCTCTTTTAAGTTTTCTTCTAAAGTTGAAATGACCATACTGACTATATCAACTTACAGATTCAATGCTATTTCTATCAAAGTACCAACAAAATTTTTCACAGAATTAGAAAAAAAAACTATTCTAAAAATCACATAGAACCAAAAAAGAGCCCAAATACCCAAAGCAATCCTAAGTGAAAAGAACAAAGCCAGAAACATTACACCACCTGGATTTAAACTATAGTTCTAGGCTACAGTAATGAAAACAACATAGTGCTGGAACAAAAATAGACACATAGACCAATGGAACAGCTTAGAGAACCCCAGAAATAAAGCTGTAGTACATCTACAACCATCTGATCTTCGACAATAACAAAATGGGGAAGGAATCCCTATTCAACAAATGGTGCTGGAATAACTGCATAGCCATATGGAGATGATCAAAACTGGACCCCTTCCTTTCACCACATACAAAAAAACCAACTCAAGATGGACTAAAGACTTAAATGTAAAACCTAAAACAACTCTAGGAGAAAACTTATAATACCTAATACCATCCTGAATATTTTTATAAGAAGAAATTTCATTAGAACTTTGAGCAGAGCTCTTTGTTGTAAAATTGTCTTCCTACATTTGTTACATATTTTAAGAAAAGATTCCATGTTCAAATTATTAACTCTATCTTTAATCACAGATTGTAGACAAAATCTTCTATAGATCTATCTCAGAGAAACAGAGACCTGCTCTCCAATTTTCAAAAAATTACTAGATAAGCCCGATGTCTAAATAAACATGTGTGTCTTGAAACATGGCCCAAAGTTCAAGATAACCTCGTCTGTATACAATTGTAGGAGTGCATATTCTTCATCATAAATGCCACAGCACATGGTCCTGCAAAGAACTTGTCTCTGGGGGTACATGGGAAGAATTTTTTAAGAAATGAAATATTGAAGGAGGGGAAGGGAAAAAAGCAAAGTAGTCTGGTTTAGAAATTTGAACCCAAAATCAATTCTGAGCTTTTAGAAAAAACCAAGACCTTCATTATCACACATTAAGTAGGAAATTCGTATAGACCATTGGCCTTAATGTTAATAATGGTGGCTAAATCCACCTAAAAGACTGGTAGCTTGGGCTGTCCACTGAAGACTGTCAGTATCATCCAGGAAAGTCCTTAAGAAGAATTTGAGCTTAGAAAAGAAATCCTCAGGGGTAGGTCCTATTGAAAAGTTTGAATTCTTTGAATTACTCTACAAGCATTTTATGTCTATTTAGCATAGTCCTTTCCTAAGAAGGCTCTTCACTGAAACTGAATCAGAATTCTCACTCCATTCTCTAGTGCATCCTCCTCTGAGCCTCATTGTGAAGAATTTCTTTTAAAACCTAAGGCCTGAAAAAGTTTGCTTCTTCTGAAGGATAGTTATGCTTCCTCTGATCTGATAATAAAAACTAAGTAACTGACCAAGACTCACTTTTTTTCTCAGAGACAAATCTAAGTCTGAATAATAGTAACTACTTAGAGTCTAATCACCTGCATATATTTTTTCTACCCAGTATGTGACTTTCTACTTCTGCTTATATTTCCCTTCTTCCCTACTCTGTATGTCTATTTTATCATTATTTATAACATGTGTTCCCTTTATAAAATGTTTCAAATCCTTTGTGGACCAAGATGGTAAATAAGTAAGGAACTAAATAGATACGTATGATCTATCTCTTTAATACCTAGATCCACCTATTAATTTTTTTTTATTCTCTCTCCCTTCCCAAGGCATCCCCTCTTCAGTGAACAGCTACACTGTCTACTCAGACTTCATGCCAAAAACCTAGAAATCATCTATAATTCTCTTTTCGTCACCTTTCACATACAACTCACTAGTCAATTCTATTGGCTCTTCCTCTAATTACATCCTATTTGTTTTTGGAGGTTTTTTGATTTTTCCCTCCATCTCTATCCCTTCTGTCCTGAAATACGTTGTACCATCTCTCTTCTGGATTACTACACTTGCTTACTAACAGTTGTCTATAGCCAGGCATAGTGGCTCACACCTGTAATCCCAGCACTTTGGGAGGCTGAGGCGGGTGGATTACCTGAGGTCAGGAGTTCAAGACCAGCTTGGCCAACATGGCAAAACCCCGTCTCTACTAAAAGCACAAAAATTAGTGGCATGTGCCTGTAATCCCAGCTACTAGGAGGGCTGAGGGAGGAGAATCGCTTAAAACTGGGAGGTGGAGGTTGCAGTGAGCCAAGATCCTGCCACTGCACTCCAACCTGTGCAACAGAGTGAGAGTCCATCTCAAAAAAAGAAAAAGAAGAAAAAAAAAAGAAAAAAAAGTTGTGTATTCTTCCACTCCTATCCTACTAAAATTACCTTTTAATAGAATGATCCTTCAAAATACAAAGCCGATATTTTTCTCTGCTGCTTAACATCTTCTTACAGCATTTCATTTCACTTTAATGAATTAAAAGCCATAGTCAGTGGTCCGTAGTCCATGGCCAAGAAGGTGCCACACAGTCTGGTTACTGCCTATGTCTGTTCTCCCAATTCCAATGACCCACCCACACTGGCCATCCTTCTGTTTCCTCAGACATGCCGAGTTTATTTCCATCTTTTAAGTTGCCTTTGCCCCGGGACAGAGTATTGTCTCATGACTGCCTCCTTCCTCTTTCAGGTCTCACCGACCCACTTCAAGTGCTATCTTCTCAGAAATGCCTTCCCTTGCTGCCCTCGCCCCCACCACTACCAAATTAACATTGCCACCTGCCATCACTTGCCAGTTCTTTCCTCAGTTTTATATTCTCCATTGCACTAATCACTGCCTTATTATGTTTATTACTTATCTTCTGCCTTCAAAGATAAATATCTTGAAAATAAGAACATTGCCTCTCATGATTATTGCTGCAACTTCAGATCCAAAATCACACATAATTGGTGCGCTCAATAAATACTCACTGAATGAATAAATACTTATTTGTTTCAGAAATGTAAAGCTTAGCCACTTGAATTAGGCCAGTGAAAAATAATAAAGACTAGGATAACATACTGCCTTCCAAGAGCTGCAATCTATTTGGAACGACAAAGTCAATACATAGAACACAATTAGAAAAAATGCAAAGATGATCTAGGGAGGGCAAACACTTGTCACTGGAAATAAACCCGGCAAGTTCAAAAGTTTCAGCAGCCTGTCTGAAGCTTTCTGCAGTCAGAGTTTGCTGCTCCTTACTCAAATGCTAGGCTGAAAAGGGTGAAGTATAACCTTTAGGATATTAATATCTATCTGTAGAAGAGGAAGACAGACCACATATGTTAAAATCCTAACTCTGCCTTTTATTCTCCGGGTCAATTGCTGTTTCTTATATTTCTAATTTATAAAAAGGGAATAATAATAGTGCCTAACCAGGAGAATTGCTTCAGCCCCGGAGACGGAGGCTGCAGTGAGCCGAGATCATGTCACTGCACTCAGCCTGTCCAACAGAGCAAAATTCTGTCTCAAAATAAATAAATAAATACATAAATAAAAATAATAGTGCCTAACTTATTCATTCAGTACCATCGAGAGCATTAATCAGGCATTAATCTGGGAAGAGTATTGACTTAAAAAGATAAGGGTCCATTCTCACTGAGTTTCCTTTCTAAGAGAATACCTGGGTTGATTATATAAGATAAAGATGGAAATGCTTAGCAGAGTACCTGGTACCAAATAACCACTCAAAATTTTTAGCTAGTATAATTTTCACTAGGTATGACAAAACATTGTAGGTCTGGGAGCAGAAAAAAAATCTTGAAAGCAGTGCTTTAGAAAGAATAATCTGTTAGAACGAAATAGAAATGATTCAACAGCATTGAGATTAGAGATGGGAAAACTAGTTATAAATTTTATTATTTGTATGGTCTTGTATCATTTTGCCAAAAGTAAGTGTAATTCCAAAATCATATCTTCAATTTTACTCTGATAACCTTCTTTATGGTAATTCAGTTGCCTTGCTCTTGCCAATAACAGATTCTGGCAATGAACTTTAATTTGGCAGTATACTTAGAACCAAGAATAGACAATGATATAGCAAAGACCATGTTATAGTTCAGCATCCTCTCATTTTTTATTTATTTACCAATCACAGATGCCTAATATAGTAAGTGCTGTGCTGAGCATTGCTTTCTAAAATAATTACATAATTAAGTAATTTCTGATATCTGAGAGTTTGCAAGTAGTGGAGATGAAAAATATACAACAAGCATATTCTTGGAAGAATTTTTATTCTTGCTGTGGACCATGAAGTTTTATTCTTGTTGGAAGAATTTTTGTAATTGTTGCAGGCAATTTAATATGGAAGTTACAAAGAGGAGCAAATGACTGTCAGAGAAGACTTCATAGAAGAGACAACGGAACATTCAAGGATGAGTAGTAGTTTGCCAGACATAAAAAGAAGCAAAAATAATAGTATTCTTTGTTGATAACAATAGTGATCACTAACATTCATTGAGAGCTTGCCATGTGTCAGTTACTATTCTATTTTATAAGAATTAGCTGATAATCCCAATGATAAGCCATGAAATGGCTACTTTTGGTATTCTTGTTTGGTAGATAAGGAAATCAAAGCCCAGAGTAATTAAGTAACTTGTTTATGGACACATACCTATGAAGCAATAAAATATTATTTGAATCCAAGGAATCTAATTCAAGAACCCATGTTCATGATAGGTCATATTCTTTCCCTATAGCATATACTGTATTCTATTAGCTTCACATCTAATTAATGTTCTGGTAAAGAAAGCTAAGAGGGAGACATAAACAATCCTACTTTCAATCCCTATCTATCCAACCACCCCCAGTGTGGATAGTTCCTCCAATACTGATTTCCCACATATTGTGAGAGCACGGAGTATAATCTCTTTACCTCTCCTTGGTCATGGGACAGAAACATAAAAGGCTTTTGTGCCACAATCAATTAGATATGGAACAACATATCCATCCCTGGGAATCACCTGCTACTTCATCTATCAATGTCACCAAAAATATTGGTGACCTTAAAGAGCAAGGTCAGGAGAATAAATACCGGAAGAATTTGAGAGATGCCCAGTTCTACCAATCGTTTTCCTTTTCAAATTGGAACAAAGTAGCAAAAATTCTTATTCATTCACAGCAGGAGTATCCCCTGACTATGAGTAAAGAAATTTCAGAAATAAGAAGGGAATTTAAGGCAAATGATGTATATTTTGGTTTTATTTGGGAAGTAAACCCTCTAACAATCAAAGGATGGGAAAAAATTTTCAAATTAAAAGAATATAATTTCTTGTTTTTATTTTTTGTTTTTCTTCAGTTCTTAAAAAAAAAGAAAATAGGATATATGTGCAGAACGTGCAGGTTTGTTACATAGGTATCAGTGCGCCATGATGCTTTGCTGCACCTATTGACCCATCCCCTAAGTTCCCTCCCCTCGCCCCTCACCCCCAATAGGCCCCGGTGTGTGTTGTTCCCCTCCCTGTGTCCCCTATGTCCATGTGTTCTCAATGTTCAACTCCCACTTAAACAGGCAGTATTTGGTTTTCTGTTCCTGTGTTAGTTTGCTGAGGAGGATGGCTTCCAGCTTCATCCATGACCCTGCAAAGGACATGATCTCAAAGAATATAATTTCTATGTTCTAAAAAAAAAAAAACAATGCTTTCTTATTTTTCTTTCAAGATGGTAACCTAAAAAGTAAGAGAAAAACATTTTTTTTACACCCAAGTATTTTTCTAAAGCCAAGTACAGAACTTATCTTAATATTGTACAAAACACCCAGAATATAATCTGGACTTTTTAGTAACTAAAATAATTTGACTATCCTAATGTGGCCATCTCATACCTAATTTGATGATTTTAGACTAAAATAATCAAGTAAATATAAAGCCCCAGAATGAACAAAGCTTGCCTAATTCCAGCAATTCCATTTTCATGCAAGATACATCATTTTGTAATGATGTGGTAACATACTGTATGAATAGATTAATGTATATCTTTACATGTTTTTAAGAGTAGTAATATAGTACAGTGGTTATGAGAACAAATTCTCAAGTTAGACTGGCTGTATTTGAATCCTAGCTCCTCCAGTGACTAGTCATATGATTGAGTAAGTCATTCAGCCATCCTAAGCTTCAGTTCCCCCTTTTGAAAACTGGTTATATTATTAGCATGTACCACATAGACTTGTTAGAAAGATTAAATAAGTGAACACATGTAAAGCTTGTGGAACAATCTGGCGCACAGTGAGTTGCAGTGTCTGCTAACACTTGCTAATGTTGTTTTCATACATTACATCATTTAATCTTCAAATTAACCAAGATATTTAAGTAGGACAGATACAAGCCATCTTTGTCTTTTTTAATGCACTGTATCCCATAAGCTGTATTTTTTGTTTCATGAGTGAATGCGTGTGTGTCAATGAGTTAAAATCCTGCACACATGCCTTGTACCCTGAGATTGTAAAATTCACAATGCCTTGCATACCGTAGTCTCTAATTAAGAACATGGTAAATGTTTGAGATGGGTATGGTAACTACCCTGATCTGAACCCTATACATTACATGTATCACAATATCACTGTGTGCCCCATAAATATGTACAGTATGTGTCACTTTAAATAAATTTTTTAAAGAATGTTATGGTAGACTATTGATAAAAATGATACTGGGTTTATGCATCAATTTGTTGGACATTGGCAAGAACTTGCAAATAAGTGAATAAAAAGATAATGATCAGAAATATAATTCTTTACTAGGTAACATTAGCAAACAAAAAATTTAGAGGTAAGGAATTCAGATAGGAAAACACAGATTCTACCTGTACTATTATTTAGCAGCTGAGGAAATGTAGACCTCCTAAATCTAAGTGGTTTGTCTATTAATGATCATCCATTTGGAAGAGCTCAAGTAAGTTCACCACAACTATCAATGTTTATTTATATTAAGTACCTGTGTATCATTTGTTTGCTTTTGTTGTTGTTGTTGTTGTTGTTGGAGACAGAGTCTTGCTCTGTCACCCAGGCTGGAGTGCAGTGGCACGATCTCAGCTAACTGCAAGCTCCACCTCCTGGGTTCACGCCATTCTTCTGCCTCAGCCTCCCAAGTAGCTAGGACTACAGGCGCCTGCTACCATGCCCGGCTAATTTTTTTGTATTTTTAGTAGAGACAGGGTTTCACCGTGTTAGCCAGGATTGTTTGCATTTTTTAAAATACCACAAATTCTTCTGGAGTCACTGGGCCCCAGAGCCCCCTTCCCAGACCACTGCTCAATCCAACTGGGTCAGCCTGGGGTCCACTCTCAGGTCCAGCTGAACCACTGCCAGCGCCCATTTCCTCAGTCTGTGTCAGAACTGAGGCCTCCAAAGGATTCCACTCTGCGATTTACCTGACAAGGCAAATCATATTATTTGTTATAGACAAATTAAAATCTATTAATAAAATCATAACCAGAATGTTGAAGGAACTTGCGACCATATTAAAAAAAAAAAAAAAAAAAAAAAAAAAGCCCAGCCGGGGAAACTGGGCTGATCAGCGGGGAACCATGAGGGTTATGGTTATCACGGTCGTGATAACTGACTTGAACTAGGTGAGAGGCAGAGATGGGGAAGAAGAATTGAATTGGTTCTTATGTTACTTCCAGCTGGAGACCTGGAACTAGTGACTAAAATTAAAGGAGACAGATTTGGACTTAAGAGACAGAAGACTTACTGACACTAGAAGGTAAAATAGGTTCTTTGAATGGTTCTGTGTTCCTTATCCTGGAGCTAGAAAGGGAAGCAGGGGCTAAAGAACAACTTGTTAAAGATGCAGAGAATACTCCAAACCAGCTGGATGGGTAGCTGTACTGAGTGACCTTTGAAGTCTGAAAAGTCGGAATCTATGACTCTATAAAACTATGAAATATAAGGAAAACATGAATAAACTGAAGCTCACAAAAATGATTTCTAAGAAAGCTTTCCGTTATCAAGATGAATTTTTCACATATCTAAAAATGAAAATGCAATAGGCTATTAAATATATATATATATGTACTGTCACTGTACTAAGCATTTTTACATACTGTTGTGTATTGGACTGTGTTTCCAGAATGCTATGTTGAAGTCCTAACCCCGAGATCTTATTTGGAGATAAAATCTTTATAGATATAATAAAGGTAAACCATGAGGTCATACTGAATTAGGATAGGCCCTAAATCCTATGACTGATGTCCTTACACAAAGGAGAGATGTGAGACACATGTATACCCAGAAAAGAAGGCCACGTGAAGATGGAGGATGAGATTGTTGCTATGTGGCCACAAGCCAAGGAACGCCAAGGAAAACCAAGGATTGCCAGTAGCCACCAGAAGCTGGAAGAGGCAAGGAAAGTTTCCTTCAGAGCATGGCCCTGCCAAACACCTTAATTTCAGATTTCTAGCTTCCAGAGTAGCCTTTACTCTGAGAGTAAAGTAAATACACTTCTGCTGTCTTACGCCACTTTGCTTACGGTAATTTGTTATGGCATCCCTGAGAGTCTAATACACATGGTTTATTTAATTTGTTTCTTGCAGCAGCACAAAGGAAAGTATTAATATTACGATCTCCATTGATAGATTTAAAAAAAAAAAGCTAAGATCTAAGAGGTCAGAAAACTTGGTCAAGGTCACATGCTAGAAAACAGCAGAATAAGATGCCTCTATCCAGGTCCATATTCCTGGGAATCCCATTCCCTGCTCCGCATTACCTCCAACAAACATGCATTCACTTAGAGAACATCACAGTTTCCATTCGACTATTCTCACACATCTCAGGGTAGTACAGTTTTTAGCAGCCACCATCTCTAGTGAGCTAGGGGTTCTAGCAGAACCTGATTTAGGTGGGATAGGTAAAGTCCAGGAACCAGAATCAAAGTGCAGATCCCCGATGTCTTCTCTTTAGACCAGGTAAGTGCCTATACTCACCTCCCGGGTAGCCACACCCCTCCTCCTGTCCCATGTCTCATCTAAAATATTTTATGTTCTAAATTATAATTTATTGGGAATAAAATATAATCAAAGGTCTGTATTGAAGACTTTCTATAGGGAGAAAATACTCGCTTACACAAATAAATATTCCTAGTTGTTAACTTTAACAATCAGGAAACAATGCTGGGGATGACCGTTTGAAGCCATCACTGGTTTCTATTGTAAGTCAAAGAACTGATCTAAAAGTGTCATAAGTCTTTGTTACATCTTTAAAAAGATTTTTTAAACCACATATACAGAAAGCAACAAAGAAAGCTACAATGATGGGTGAGCTTCTGAGGAACTTTGATGGAGGCTGACATCCGCCTCTCACACATGTGGCTATCATCTGGACGCTCATCTGTTCCTTTGCTGAAAGAAGGAGCTTTTGGCATGAGAAATCCATTGGCTGCTGGTAAGCTGCTGCCAGGCAAGCCTCCAAGTGCTTACCTGCCCGCTCGAGAGAACATTTTAAAATATTTATATATACATGCTAATAAAAACTAAACTAAACAATGTACCCAGGTACTTTTTAAAAGCCACTGCAATACTATGTCATCATATTTGAAAAACTGCTAAATTTTACTTCTGAGTAAACACTTCATAACAGACATGCTGGAAATATGTGTGTGTGTGTGTGTGTGTGTCTGTCTGTGTATGTGTGTATATATTAGTAGGATATGTTATATATATACATTCTAGTAGGATACTGTTATGGATACATCTATATATAATATACATCTATATATTGTATATATACACAATATATACACATATATACATAATACATATAATATATGTATATATACATATTATACATATATAATATATACATCTATATTATATATATCATTATCATATGTTTCATATATGATGTATATGATTTTATATCAGATATCACATATGTATCAGATATATATCTGAGATACATATATAAGATATATATGATACATATATCAGATATATATTTAATATGATATATTTCTAATATCTCATATATGTGTGTGTGTGTGTGTGTGTCTGTGTATGTGTGTATATATTAGTAGGATATGTTATATATATACATTCTAGTAGGATACTGTTATGGATACATCTATATATAATATACATCTATATATTGTATATATACACAATATATACACATATATACATAATACATATAATATATGTATATATACATATTATACATATATAATATATACATCTATATTATATATATCATTATATGTTTCATATATGATGTATATGATTTTATATCAGATATTACATATGTATCAGATATATATCTGAGATACATATATAAGATATATATGATACATATATCAGATATATATTTAATATGATATATTTCTAATATCTCATATGTGTGTGTGTGTGTGTGTGTGTGTGTGTGTGTGTGTGTGTTGTATCCATAACAGTATCCTACTAGTATGGTCTCAAACCTCTAGAATATAGTTACCTATACATAAATAGATAGATAGATAGATAGATAGATAGATGATAGATAGATAGATAGAGAGATACACAGATACATAGATATATACATAGATAGATGGATAAGGTCACAAAGCCTCTGCAAAACCTGTTTCAACTCCCAGGATGAAAACAGTGTTTTTCTTCAAAGGAAAAGCCCCTAGACTAAAGGTGACTTACTCTGACATTCCAAATTCACCCAACATTTATTGGGTAGATACTCCTTGTCTTGAGACTCTGTGGTAGACTGGGGTTATAACAGTGATGAAACAACAAGGCAGAACAGCATGGTGCGTGGAAAAACACTGGCTTGAGAGTCAAGTTTCAAATTCCAAGTCTAATTTTCACTAGCTGTGCTGCCCTGCACATCTCATCTGTGCACACAATCATAAGATCAACCTCACAGGCTGTTAGGAGTATTCAATGAGACGGTGCATGTCCAACACCTAGCCAGGCCCTGCAAGTGTTGCCATGCCTCAATAAGTGTTCCTTCCTTTCCCTCCCAGTGGGAACTCATGCCCTCCTTTTGACAGTAGCCTCAGATTCATATGGGTCTTACTCTACTGCCAGTGCCTCCCTGTATGAGACACACCCGCCCTGCGCAAACCTCGGGGCTCCTGTCCTGTCCCTGAGGCAGGAGGCTATGGAGGATGTTCAATTTCTCTGGGTATAGCATAAAGAGGGGCCCCTGAAAACAGACTGGTTGCAAAAGGGTGAGACTTGAGGTCATGTTTAGGATTTCATACTTTATCATAATAGTAATTGGAGCCATGAAAAGGCTTAAAGCAGAATTTCCCTTTTATAGGTTTACTCTACCACTGGAGACAGGAGGGGATGCAGGAGGACTTTTGAAGTAGTTTAGTCAAAAGATACTGGGATTCTGAGTTGGAGGACGGGCAGGTGTCAATGGAGAGAAAAGTAATCGGATGGATTTAAGGAAAAAATACAAGTGAAATGTCTGGCTGGAGATTGATTAGATATGGAGTAGAGGGAGAGAGAAAAAAATCAATAGCACATTCATAATGAACAAGATCTTAGAATAATATTTGGCACATAATGAACATCTGATAAATGTTAGTGATTGTTATTTGATTTTTATACCTAATAAACAACGTATTAAAGTTTTCACAGATTACATATAAATTCAATTTTTTAGTACAAAATTATGAAAGGATTTCCTGTAACTTTGCTCTTGAAATTCTTTGGCTAAGCATCTCACTGAATTTACAATTGGTTATAATTTTATGATAATCATTTTGCATACTCAGAAATTCTTACAAAAAGAGAAATCTAAATTACAGTTTATTTCCAAATATTATGAAAATTTTATGAATACTAATTTTAACAATTAATGAAGTTGACTTAATATTATATTTTGTAGGCATTTCATTAAACATTTATCAATGCTGGTTTTATGGTTTTATTTTTGGACTTTGGAAGACATCATTTGTTTTCAGGGCTCAAATATTTCCAAAGGACCTTTAAAAAGCTACTAGGACCTAAGCTATGTGCCTGTCATGCCTAATGAATACAATGAATCTGAAATGGTGGACAACTGAGAAAGAATAGCATGAAGCTAGGGTTTTAACAAATAGGATTCTGTGAAAAAGAGAAAATTCAGAGAAAATGGCATAATGTGATGTGATTTTTTTGGAATTCTTATTCATTGGTTCCCAGGCTCTCTCAGCCTTAACATGGGGAGTTTAACAAATGTCAACATAGTTTAATAAACACCATTTACCCATTAGTTTAATAAACACCATTTACACCATTATTATATATAAATGAGGGCTCAAGAAATATACACTTTGTTGTACTGTTTAAGATGAGAATCACCACATCTTAATGATTATCCTCTGAAAGTACTGCGCTTTCAAAAAGATAGCAAGCATTACCTCCTTAGAATGGAGGTAATGCTTTTTAGCTTAAAAGGACATTAAAAATCACATATGTGAAAAAGGAGAAATGGCTTGCCCAAGATCATTTAGCAGCTACTGACCAAGGGAGTCACTTCCAGGAATATGTTGACTAGTTCTTTCCGGTGTTGGTGGCTTTGAGGGACAACTGAGTGCTACTCAGGGACTGGAGCCTTGAATCTCCATATCACCTCATATGGTGTTCAAAATGTTCATACTCTGGTCCCATATGTAAAGGTAAAGTCCTTAGAAATCACTGTGAAAAGGGGAAGCCTCATACACCATTGGTGGGAATGCAAATTAGTATAGTCTCTGGAGAACAGTATTGAGGCTCCTCAAAAAACTAAAAGAAGTTCCTTACGATCTGGCAATTTCACTACTGGGTATATATCCAGCAGAAAGGAAATCAATACATCAAAGAGATGTCTGCACTCTCATGTTTATTGCAGCACTATTCACAATAGCCAAAATATGGAATCAACCCAAGTGCCCATCAATGGATAAAGAAATTGTCATAATTAAAGCAGACCAGGTTTCATAGCATACATAATCCCACAAATTACATCTTTAATAAATTTACTTTTAACTGAGTTACATTAAAAGCTTGTGTGCCCAGACATAGCCTCAAAAATATGTCCATACTACATTGAAGGACTGAAATAACTATAGATGGACATTTTTTTAAATGTATATTTCCATGGTAGAATAAATACCTTTTGTTTTTGTGGTTTCATAAATAATTTCCCCTGTAATGCATTGCAGGTTAAAATATTTAAATTTTCTACAGAAAAGTATACTTCTTTATGAAATAAAAGAGACCTTCAATGCTGGACTGCATTGCTGAAATACAGTGCAGCAAAGTATTCATCAGTGGTACCCCCCATCACTTCCTAAATTGTAAGTCTTACTTTTTGTTAATTTAACTTTTAAAAATGCATTTTTCAAGTGATATCTTGACATTTCCCCTTTTCATCTGCCCCAAGTATGAAAGGGTGGGCGTGCATAACGTAGGACAGGTAACCGAGTGTCTCTCACTTGCCAAGTTTCAATTAGGATGACACTGATTTATTAGTGTTTGCATAAATTTTATCTCCATTGAAAAATAAATGAGAAAAAGTATTATAAATATTAACTCACAGAGACAAACACCATGATAAAATATTTCCCCCTCACACTTCAGATTTACTGAAAGTCAATTTTATCAATGCCTAGGTTATTTTCTTATTTAAAACCAGCTAGAAATGTTGACTTTATATAATTGTAAGAAATTCCCTATGTTCATTGTGATCAAATAGTATCAAGCTATCAAAATCTTTATGATTTCAAGTACTTTTTTAAAAGACTAAGTATACATTATTAATAAATGCAAGGATGCACAGAGAACTCATATGAGCAGATATAATAATTCTGGAAGAATGAGGTATGTGGTCATGAGGCCCTCCATGGAGACCCTGCCATTCTGGTTTAGAATTGCTGCATTTTTCACTCCTCTCTTCTAACATACTTTCAACTATCTACAAGTTGTGGCAGACTGATGACAAGTGTCAACCAACTTGCTCCCGCATAAACCCTTTTACCAGAGACACTAGTAAGTAAAAATTAGAGAGAAGAAGAAATTACATTGTTTTTAGTTCATATATATTATTTTATTATCAAACCTCCCATTACAAGAAATTCATTTGAAAGAGTATTTTTCCAGGCAACAATGACAATTTAGGCTGGCTAAGAAACATATTAACCAGGCTGGGCACGGTGGCTCACACCTGCAATACCAGCACTTTGGGAGGCAGAGGCGGGTGGATCACCTGAGGTGAAGGAGTTCGAGACCAGCCTGGCCAACATGGTGAAACCCCATCTCTACTAAAAATACAAAAAAAGGCGGGGCAAGGTAGTGCACACCTGTAGTCCCAGCTACTCAGGAAGCTGAGGGAAGAGAATCAATTGAGCTGGGAGGCAGAGGTTGCATTGAGCCAAGATCCTCCCACTGCACTCCAGCCTGGGTGATGGAGTGAGACTCTGTCTCAAAAAAAAAACAAAAAAAAAAAAAAAGAAAGAAAGAAAAGAAATACATTAACCACCTCTCAGCTGAATATTTAACAATGAAAATAGGTTCACATATTAGATTTTGCTGCATCATCTTGGACAAAAAATTCCAGCAACTTTTCTGAGTTTCTGGATCATTTTAGATGAAGAGTATCTTGAAACTTCAAGGCAGGTTGTTTTAAAAAGGGTTGGGGTGGGTTGTGGAGATGGTTAATGGGTGCAAAAATATAGTTAGATAGAATGAATATGATCTAGTATTTGATAGCACATCAGGGTGGACTATAGTCAGCAATAATTTATTGCACATTAAAAAAAAGAAAATAGAATTGGAATATTTCTAACACAAAGAAATGATAAATGCTTGAGGTGATGGGTACCTCATTCACCCTGATAAGACTATTGTACATTGTATGCCTGTATCAAAACATCACATGTATCCAATAAGTATATATACCTACTATGTACAGACAAAAATTAAAAATAAAATAAAAACAAATGAGGAAACAAAAAACACTGCTACCATTTGTAACCACTTTAATGTGTGAATCAGGATTTTCTCAATATTGTGAAACCAAATAATACAGAAATCAATTTGATGCTACAGTTGATATAAGGTTACAACTATCTTCTCTAATATACCTTTTAAATTTTTGTGCTAATCAAAGTAATTTCATTGTTCTTATTAACAGATTTATAATAAGCATATTATATGAATTTGAACTCAATATACATCTTTGTATAAAAAAATTTTAATCTGATTTCTATACTGGAGTTTCATATAAGAATGTCATAAAAGAAAACTTCCTTTGAACACTACCAGTATAAATAAAGGACAAGTGAAATTCTAAAACAGAAATATTGGAGGTGGGAGGGACTGAAAATACTAGGTATTTTAAGGTCTAAAGGAGAGCCGTGAAGTGGTATGGGAAATTTCCTAAAGAACGCTGATAATATTCTCATCTTGAAACAAGAAGTGGAAAAACACACTAAATATATTTTAGTATACAACGTGTTTAGCTTCAAAAAGTTGCTAACAGATGAAACTTAGTGTTCATATGTAAAAAAGAGAGAGATTGAACTAAAAATTAGTTAGACTCTATAGCTCTCTGAACTAGTCTTAGGAGAAAATCAACCAAAAATAAATACCAGAATAATAACTGCAGAAAATTTGCTGGAGGTAGGGTTGTGAATTTTTTTTAACATTTTGCCATATTTACTTTTTTTCTTTTAAAATATTTTTAATTGATACTTAATATTTGTACATATGTATGAGGCAAAGTGTGATGTTTTGAAACATGTATACATTGTGTAATAATCCAATCAGGGTATGTAGCATATCCATCACCTCTGACACTTATCATTTCTTTGCAATGAGAACATGCAAAATTGTCTCTTACAGCTATTTTAAAATATACAATACAATATTGTTAACTATAGTCATGCTGCTATGCAATAGCATACAAGAACTTATTTCTTGTTTTTATTATCTGTACTCCAGTTATTTCCAGACAGATCATGTGCTCTTAATCCTCAAAATCTCTTCAACTTCTCCATTTAACTGCAACATTCTTCTCTGCTCTACTCTTGCCAAACCCTAGTTCAACACTCAAAGCTCCATTCAAACGTTACCTCTTCAGAGAGTCTTTCTCAATTCCTCCAGGCACAGTTGGCCTCTATTACAGTACTATCATTTTTATTGTAATTACTTGTTTTGAAAATCTATCACCCCATGACACTATATGATTCTCAAGGATGGTAACTCTGTATTATTCATTTTTGTATTCCAGCAACTATTACAGCACCGAGCACATGTATAATCGATGCTGGGTCCATATTCGTTGAATGGATGAGCTTAAACACATGCACACACATGAACACCCACATACACATTCTGCTCATATTAATGTACTGTGCTATCTCAAGTAGTTTATTTCACCATCTGCAAAATGGCTTTATCTCTCCTGATTAACATTTTAAAAACCTATAGAAATATTTTTTAAAAGCAGGGGGAAAAGTACTTTCAAAGAAAAACTTGAATCTTTAAAAGTATACATAATGATGCCAACAGTAATCATACATTTGATAAACGACATTTGGGCACTAGGCACTGACAGGAGAGGTCTCTCTTGTATATTATAAAACACACTCGAAACTCTTTACACTGTAGCCAGTTAATATTGTTTATGATAAAAATATGATGGTGATAGTAATGACAAGGCTGATGGCATTTATTCCATTCAAGAAGTGACCGCAATAATTAATTAAGGTAAGAATAAGTAATACTAATACAAAGAAAGGCACTATATCAAAAGCTGTTTCAAAGCCCAAAGGAGTCCCCATTTTAACAGTTAATGTGGTTAAAATAATTTGTTCAAAATAAATAGTGCCATCCAACAAGAGCTCTTCAAGTTCACAAAGCATTTACTTTTCTTGGATGCATCGGTTATTTGTTTCTTTTGATCTAACATGAGTTCATTTTCTATTACCATGTAGTCTTTCCCATTTCAAATATCCTACACCGGTTGGTTAAAAAAAACATTAATAATAAAAATAAAAATATAAGCCACCTTTCAAGAAACATTTACACGTTACTGAAACCATGTACTGAAAATGGAACTCAAACTTGGAACTAGAAAAGTGATGACAAAGAATGCCCTTAATACCCTCTCTTCCCTAACATCTGCAGAGAGCATTTTTACTAGCTAATTCAATACAAAGAAGCTGAGAATTAGCCCAGCTTCATCTTTTTAACTTGCAGACTAGGAGCTTGGTATCTAGTAACGATTTTAACAAAATACCATTGCAAATAAACAATGTGAGGTGTTTACAAGTTCAAAAAATTACATTGCATCTTCTCTCTCCTTTTTCTCTCTTTCTTTCTTTCCTTACTTCCTTCCTGTAGGTTTGAAAGAAATCTAACCATTTCTTAGCCTTGCTTGTTTCCATAAGGCCACTTCTAAATTTTTCCTTGATACATGTAAGTACAAAAAAAAAAAAAAGCTTTACCAGCTGTGTTCCCCACCCCGCCATTATTTACCCAAACTACTTCATTGCCACAGTTCAGGGATGCCAGTAATGAAGGCTCACCAGCGACTGCCAATACCCCTGAAATATCAATACAGTAAACTAGTAGGCATCAAAGGGATTCCTAAATAACACCAAGGACAGTTTTATTACCCATAAAGTAGAAAACCCACACAGAAGAGAAGCTGTCCTGGCGTTACTGTTTATTGGCCAGGTGGAACTGATTAAGAATGTGAGAATCTGTGGTAGGAATAATCATGGGCTTCTTGTGTTCAACACAAAAAAAGGGTTTCACATAACCCAGCAATAGCAGGGCATTAGTGCTCCACACTTGGAGCTATTTATACTCAGAACCAGGCTAGACAGGCTGGCTCAGAGGAAGTAATATTAAGGAAGAGTATAGAAGACAGAAAAGCTATTCTCAAAAACCACAAATAAAGTACAGCAGATTACAATTCCTTTGCAAATGAAAGTAAGGATTACCCCAAGTGAATTCAGTCCAGGCAATATTAAGATGGATGGGTAGCTCATAGCCAGGTCTGGTTTCATTTGAAGTCCTCCTTACCAAGAAGGCCAAAAATTGCATTCCCTGCAGGAAATACTTTCTTGTCTTTAGGCTGCTTTACCAGATGTTGAAGTGGGAAAAGATGCTACTGGAGAACAGTGTGAAGAAGTTTGATCAGGGAGAGAGGCATTTTATCTTTAGTCTTCACATGAAGGAAAATAGTCATGTTTATGAAAATCATAAAGTAGCAGAATCCAGAGAGATATAATAGATGGTCAGTATTCATGGTATGAATATTCTCTACTTTGCAAAAGATTGTGATGCAGGTTTGCTTTGAATGTGTTCCTATTACATTCTACAAATGGTTTTATATTCAAAATTATATACATTTATGTTTCCATAGGTATCCATTTTGTAATCTAGAAAGACTACTGAAAATTATCCCCAAAAACCTATATATTACATGTATTACATGAAAATAAGTTATGACTAAAGAACACAAAAATATTACCATAAACTTTCTAGAAAACTTGATAGGTTTTCATGGAACAAGAAAATCAATATAATGAAGAAAATAAGGTTTAGATTTAGGTAGAAGTTCGCTTTTAATAATTCATTCAGTCTATATGAGATAAAAACTCTTGCCAAGGATTTTTACATCTCTACTTTTCAAAACACTATTAATTTCAAACGTTATCCTATTAAAAATTTTAAACTTTGCTTCATTAATTATAAATGAGTATCAAAGGAAATAAACTATCCTAAATATATGAAATATAATTTAGTTTTTTTAAAAAAAAGTAGCTCCTTTACTGTAGGAAATAACAGTAAAACTCTAAGGAAGTGAAATATGAACACATAATAGAAAAGCACACATGTTCATAAATCATGCATCAGTTATCAACAAAATAAATATGGAAACTTAGCAAGTAAAATTAGAGTTTAGAATCTGATTACATTACTATGGTATATATTGTACCAAAAGAAAAATTAAAAGTCAAATCTAACTGTATCAGTGTGTATAAGAAACCATTCTCTCACAGTACATCTGTGATTACTTAGAGTATAATTCTTTGTGATTCTCAGTATCAAAGATCATCCAAAGCTATAAGCAAAGTAAGAATCTTTTAAGCATTTGGTATATTCTCCATGATGAATCCAAAGTCTGCCTTAACATCTAGAGTTAAATTTCATAATGTCTAAATTCTGTTCCATTTAAAGACTAGAAGTAACTCATTTCATTTGATCATCACTTTCAATTTGAAGGACTAGAATATTCCTGGAAAGAAGTGGCTTTTTGCTCCCTTTATATTATTTGTCCACTATCTGTATACAGAGGATGAGGCATGATGTCATGCAACAGCTTTCTGGTCATGCATGAAGTATGAAGAGGCACGGAAGGGGAAGAGGTGCGTCTTACATGGCGGCAGGCCAGGGAGAGCATGTGTCAGCACAGAAAAAACTACCATTTATAAAACCATCAGATCTCATGAGAATTCACTCTCTATCACAAGAACAGCATAGGGGAAACCGCCCCCATTATCAATCATCTCCCACCTGGTCTCTCCCTCAGTACCTGGGGATTACAATTCAAGATGAGATTCGAGTAGGGACACAAAGCCTAACCATAACAGCATCTAACCAGGTTCAATGACAACATAAGGAAGAGTTTAAAAGGCATGCCTAAATTTGAAAATAGAGTTTAGGTGGAAATAACAGGTGAGACTATTTTGTTAATGGTATTTAATGTCTAGACTAATGTCTACCTCAATAAACACATTGATTTTTTCTGACTTGTATTCTAAATAACTTTCTATTAAGATTTTCTCTCAGATATGTTACCATTTGCAATTATCTTAATAAACCCACAGCTTCATTTTGAAAGTTGTATTGATTTTAGAAAGGGAAATTTCTATGACTGGCAAATGGCTTGTACATCTGCTCAGAGAATGGGAAGTTGTGAGGCCAAGCAGCAAACAGAAGGCAAAGTCTCCTATGAGAGAAGAGAGTCATATGTGCTGAGTCATGGTCTAAAATGATCACAAATCAAAACATGGAGTGCAGGAGAGGCACACTGGTGGCAGGGAGGAGAGCATTCGGGAACTCCTAACACCCGACTACTTTGCACCCAGTGAGGTCAGCCTCCTCCATCCTACCTGCCTAGCAATGAACACAAGTCCCTCCAGGACCTTGGTTTAGTAAGGCCTTGACAAGGCCATCCTGCGTCCTTTACTTCCAAATATGGACCTGCACGTGCATATTCCCTCCTGAAATGTATTGCCAGAGCTACCCGATATGCTTTCACTCTGCTTAGAAGTATTTGAACTTCTAGACGACCCCTACCAAACTTCTGGGGACAGTTCTATTTTCATCGTATGTGACTTCATGCCTAACCAATTTATTCCCTTCAAGGTGATCTTACGAAATGCAAATTTGATCATGTTCTGCTGTTTGAAAGCTTTCAAAGAAAAAAAAAAAAACTTTATTTTTCTAGTCAAAGCCTCCATCTTTGCCCTGTTAGATAGCCTTACGTATGCTGGGCATAACTCTGACTCCTTTATCATACTACTGATTACAATGTAATCTTATTGCTGTTGTTATATTGTTAAGTATTATTATTATGCTTATTATTTTCCACTTTCCTCTACAAAACTATTGATCTATAAAGGCACTGCTTGTTCAATGCTACTTCCTTAGTACAGTGTCTGTCAGATAGCCGGCACTCAAAAATAGTTTTTGAATGAATAATAAATGAATGAAATATATTACTCTTGGCTCCTATTGTTCATTTCTGTCTTACAGAAGTTATATTTTGGAAGAGGAGTATTTGCCCTGGAAAATTAAAAAACTATTTTTAAAACAATTTTCTTTCACATTTATATATAACATAGATGACATATTGTATTATATGTCAACATATACATACGTTAGAAAAGCTCAGGACTGCTGAGATTTTGCTATTTGTACATATATATGGAATCAGACCCTCCGCATCATTGTCATGGTTGTCTCACATCAGTGAGGTCTTGACACCAGTAAGAAATAAAGAACATTAGAAGAATGGTGTAAAAACACCCTTGCTTAGATCATTCTTTATCATGGTTGAAAAATTCCAAACACCATGTTGGGGCAGATGCAGATTATTATTGGCCTTTACATTTCAGATTTCTTTTTCCTTGTTAAAACTTCAAACTGAATTTATTTTATTTGTCTTACCATTATGAAAAGGTGCACATATTTCAAGCAGAGGTGAGAAAAGGGAAGTCGAGAGGAGTCCATTCCAGCCAGAAGGAAAAGCCTGTACGGAGACAGACAAATAGGAAGCTGCAAAGTGTGCCTGATGATTCAACTGTGCGCATGCTAGGAGCTCAGGTTTGGGTGTGGCAGGTAATGAATGACAGAAGGTCAGACTAGAAACATGAGTGGATCAGCTCATGGAAGGCTTGGATACTCCACATACTCTGACCAGACTCTATTTACTTATATAACTATGGGGTGGCACAAATTTAAATGTAGGATTTCATCACTAGCAGAAAATCAACATAAATTTCAGATGTGATTTCAAATATAGAGACTCAGCACAGATGTGGGATGCATCTTCACTGATAGGTTGATAATGCTCTGGGTTAAGAAATCCATCTGATGTGTAAAATCAGGAAATGGGCATTGTCAGATAACAGAGAATCAATCAAGTCAAGTTGATAGGCTTTTCCCCTGGTTGTGGAAATTCGAGGAATAAATGCCCACTGGATTCACAAATAAGTATTATCTTGAGCAACAAAAGTAAACGAATTTTTATAGAGGTGCGTGGATGCCCGGTACAGTGGTTGGAGACTGTAATCCTAGCTACTTAGGAGACTGAAGCAGGAGGATTGCTTGATGCCATGAGTTCAAGACCAGTTTGGGCAACATAGTGAGACTCTACTTCTAAAACAAAACAAACAACAACAAAAAATTTTAATCAGCTGAGTGTGGTGGCACCTGCCTGTTGTCCCAGCTACTAGGGAGGCTGAGGCAGGAAGATCTGTTGACCCCAGGAGTTAGAGGCTGCAGTAAGCTATGATCATGTATAGTAGACATACCCGATAGCAAAATCTTAATCAAATCCTGAGAATGACCCTGTTTGGTAGATGCACCTGAATGTATATACGTTCAGAATTCCAAACTGTGGAACCTAGGAGTAGCCAACACCAAGATTCATTCCTTATCTATGAAGAACACCTGAGTTTCTGGCCTGTTCCCTTGGAACACGGGCCACTCGAGGAATCAAGCCCCTTTGTTTTGGGTTAAATGAAGGCTGCCAGGTGGAGGTTGTTAGGGAGAGGGTGCTAAGTGAAATGTCATATAAACCACATGCTTCTTGCAAGTGGTTGCAGTTCTCCTGTACAGCTCACTGCCACTGGACCAGCTCTATGTGTAAGTTTCCTTCAATAAGACCCCATGTCCTGTTTGCTGGATCTGAGTCTCTTTCTCAGCCTCCTGAACCTGATGCTATCCCTACTGATGTTACTGGAGTGCCACTGCACTCCAGCCTGGGCCACAGAAGACATTTCATCTCAAAAAATAAAAATAAAAATAAAAAAATACAGGCCAGGTGTGGTGGCTCACACCCGTAATCTCAGCACTTTGGGAGGCCCAGGTGGGTGGAACACCTGAGGTCAGGAGTTCGAGACCAGCCTGGCCAACATGGTGAAACCCTGTCTCTACTAAAAATACAAAAATTAGCCAGGCGTGGTGGCAGGCACCTGTAATCCCAGCTACCCGGGAGGCTGAGGCAGGAGAATTGCTTGAACCCGGGAGGCGGAGGTTGCAGTGAGCCGAGATCGTGCCACTGCACTCCAGCCTGGGCAACAGAGAAAGACTTCATCTCAAAAAAAAGCAACAAAATACACACACACATATATATATATATAAGTACATATATAGATAGATAGATAGATAGATAGATAGATAGATAGATAGATAGATAGATAGATATAATTTAAAGTGGGGGTGAAAGTAAGACCAGGAAATGAAGCTAGAGACAGAATTTTCTGAGAACAATAGGGCAGGGGAAATGTCAAGTGTGTCCAGGTAGCCTTCGGCTTTTACTACTTCACTGATCCTTAAGATAATTACTTCCTTCTTACTAGCCTCCCTCTTCTCCTGTCTCCAGGTGCTGCTTGCATCAATGCTGGTTCAAAGAAAAACTATAGCTGGACAGCAGTTAAAACAGTAAAACCAAATTTTTGCAGGACTATTGTAATAGGTGAAAAGAGACCTCAGTACAAAACTAGATTAAATTCCAAATACAGCATGGGCAAGTGGGACTTTATAGCCAAGGAGCAGGGTGAGGGTCAGTGGATAAAGGAAACATTGTGGGTATTGGAGTTTCTTACTAAACCATCCTAAATGGATTCTTGCTGAAGACCAGGGAGATCAGACATCACTTGGGGAGTGGTGGAGAAGGAAGAACCTGATAAGATATCAAGAATGATCTGATATTGGCGAGGTGTAGTGGCCCATGCCTGTAATCCCAATACTTTGAGAGGCCGAGGCAGGCGGATCACTTGAGGTCAGGAGTTCGAGACCAGCCTGCCCGTCACTACTAAAAAAAAAAAAAAAAAGGCCGGGCACGGTGGCTCACACCTGTAATCCCAGCACTTTGGGAGGCCGAGGCGGGTGGATCACAAGGTCAGGAGATCAAGACTATCCTGGCTAACACGGTGAAACCCCGTCTCTAATAAAAATACAAAAAATTAGCTGGGCGTAGTGGCGGGCACCTGTACTCCCAGCTACTCGGGAGGCTGAGGCAGGAGAATGGCGTGAACCCAGGAGGCGGAGCTTGCAATGAGCCGAGATTGTGCCACTGCACTCCAGCCTGGGTGACAGAGCCAGACTCCGTCTCAAAAAAAAAAAAAAAAAAATTAGCTGGGCATGATTGTGCGTGCTTGTAGTCCCAGCTACTCGGGAGGCTGAGGCAGGAGAATCGCCTGACTCCCAGAAGGTGGAGGTCACAGTGAGCTGAGATCACACCACTGCACTCCAGCCTGGGTGACTCCATCTCAAAAAATAAATAAATAAATAAAATAAAATAAAATAAAATAAAATAAAATAAAATAAAATAAAATAAAGAATGATCTGATACAAAGGATGGGGGATCCCGACTAAACAAACTTAGCAGGGACTTTCTAAAACTGGATTTTACAAGGAGGTGCACAGATGGGCCTAGGAGAAGGTCCAGGAACCTGACTAAAGTTTGGTAAAGCAAAGAATCCTCATGATGCTCAAGCAAAGCACCTTTCTTTACCTCTGCCACTAGAAAGGAAGGCCCTTGGCTACGGACTTGTTCTCTGCTAGATGGCAATGACTGGTCCAGCTAGTGAATGATTGAGTTCTCTGCTGCTGCCTTTTGAGTACTATCGTAGCTCATCTCAGATCAAATATCCACTTTCTTTTTCTTCCTATTATTTTTTAATTTGAATGAAAAATTTCAGCCACACAGAAAAGTTGAAATATTTAATGGAAATCTGTGTGTCCTCTCTCTTTCTCTTTTATTCTTAAGATTCAGAGGGTACATGTGCAGGTTTGTCACATGGGTATGTTGGATGATATTGGGGGTTGGGCTTCTAGTGAACCCAAATAATGAACATAGTACCCACTAGATAGTTTTTAGCCTGGCCTCCTTCCCTCACTTTCACCTTCTGGAATCCCCAGTGTCTATTCTTTCCACCTTAATACCACGTGTAGTCATTGTTTAGCTCCCACCTATAAGTGAGAACATGCGGTCAAATGCCCACTTCCCAGGACCCCAGAAGACAAGTAGGATTGTCAGGGAGGCTTTCAGCATTTCTATAATCAAAATAAGCCAGTAAACAGGGTGGCTTTAGTAGCAGCATTTGAGGAGAAATATTGTCAAGAGAAAACAAGCTGAAATCTCAGACACCGTCTTGCCTAACGTAGGACATCTGGTTACCTTATACTAGTATAGTCAATACATCAGAAGAGTCTAAAATGCAACATCCTGATGACCATATTAACTCTCCCATATGAAGCTTACCCTGGAATTTCCTGTATTTGTGTTTCAATTTCCGGGTTTATTTCTTCACATTCTTCATGAAAAGAGCTGGGGGGAGTGGGGAGAGAGGGCAGCAGGAAAGAAGAAAGGGAGAGAAAGAAGAGAAACAGAAAAAGTGTTCAGGAGATTATAGCTGCTCTTGTCATGGGGGCGAGGGTGGGGGGATGTGGGGTGGGTGAGTAGCTAGATGGCATGATGAATATGTTAATTGGTTTCATCGTAGTAATCATTTTACTATATATGTATCTGATAATGTCATGTTGTGTATCTTAAATATGTAAAATATTTATTTTTAAAAGATTTATGAAGGTAACATTTAAATGAACATTCCCTCCAGAAATGGGGCAGAGGGAAGTCCTTAGCCTGAGGAAGAGGTATTTTAAGCAGACATTTAATGAATACAAGCATTCAAAAGAGGTGTGAACGTATATGTGTTCTGATTACAGCAAACACCATAAAACAAATAAATACTTTCATTAGCTAAGAACTTTAAGTAACCATTTGCCAAGTTTATCTTCAGAGTCTTTCCTGTCAAATGTCAGAATTGTAATTTTAGCTGTTCTTTTAAAATAAGGCTTAATTAGGACCCAAAAGTAAGGAAGAGGATTTGACTTTTCTATGACATGGCAAAAGGGTGCAACCAGATCGCGTTGCACAGCCCATGGGAGCAAAGTCCTAGCTCTCAAATTTCTTTTCTTCAAAGTTATAGGAAGCTGCGACAGCTAAGATCTCCAGGGCTGTCTTTATTCAGTGGCTGAGCAACAGGACACTCACTATTCACTTATTTGTCTGCTTTGTATGGCTGAACAGCCTAAGAGTACTCTCTAATTTCATGTAGAGGAATCTCTTACACATGTAATTTTGAATGAAAATTACTCAATTCTTAAGAATTCATTTTTTAAATAGTGGTAAAAAGTATTATCAAAAAGAAATTACATTTGGTTTTAATCTACTTTTGTACAGAAAATTACTATTTTTTTAATTAATTAATTTTTTTAGAAAGTCTCACCACATTGCCCAGGCTGGTCTCGAACTACTGATCTCAAGCCTTCCTCCCACCCCTGCCTCCTGAGTAGCTCGGATTACAGACTCGAACCACTGCACCTGACCAGAAACATATTCTTAATGTTGTGAAGTAGGCAATTACGTCTGAAATTGCTGGGCTTGCAGGACTGAACCTGGGAAACAGGCCTTTTGCCGTCTATGACTCTGCCAAATGGTTTTCATCTTTCTTCATTCATCTAATGGGTATGATCAGTGGTGTACTAGAGCTGACTGTACACATTTCTTCCCAATTCCATATTCAATAACTTGGGTTGCTTGAAATTGGCCATAATGAGATTATTTACACCATGAACATGGGCAAACACTACAAATATCAAAGGTTTTCCCCCAGAGAGCTAGCTGTTAAACATTTACTACACAACTGAGATTGAGTGTGATATTCATATTTATAGTGTAATGACAAGTTTTATAGGCATTGTTGAAAAGTGTGTTTGATTTTGCCATTTTCTATGTAAATTTGAATATTCTGATTTTGAAACTGATCACCAAAGCAGCTGATATATTTATTTGAAGGTGGTCTATTGTAAACCATTAAAACTATTACAAAAAATCATAATTGAAGAGTTTGATTCCCCATTATTTTTAAAAACAAATAACTCTTAAATGGGAATGATCCCACACTAGAATTCAACATGAATTGGTATGTTTGCTTATTCATGACACATTTGGCCTATCACAAAGCTCCATTTGCCTTTCAGCATGATGAGAAATTGACTGAAGCTGACATTAAAGACCCTCAAAAGGTATTTTGTCCTGAACCTTTAAGGGTTAGCTAGAGCTGGCAAAGGTTACAGAAGGAAGTAGATGTTCATAAAGTGTAGTTTGGAGTTTGATAGGGTAACATGCTTCTTTCTCTTAGATCAGCAAGGATAACAGAAGGGACCAGACCACACAGAAGAGATATCACCTTTGTGCAGTTAAACATAGATACTCCTTTTAGGATAGATACAAATCTGTCCAGAAGGCCTCCCAGAAGGAATTATATACTTGCAAAACCACAAACCATGGACTTGGGTCTGTTTCTATTAGGGAATTCTTTCCCAGACATTATGTCACTTTATTTTTCTTTTAACATTGTTTGTGAACAGGTCTGCAACTATAGAAAATGTGTTGATTATACCTGTCACAATGAAACTGTTTTCCAAACACTTTACAGTTTTCATGCCAATAAAATAACTTGGAACATCTAGAGCAGATAGTTTAATCATTAAATTTTATACGTATTTACTTATGACATCATTTTCTATTTCAAACATGACCAGATCCCATATTCTCTGTTGAGATTGAAGAGGTCATTTTATATATAACAAAAAAGTATCAATTTTTTCAAACAAATGATTAACCATTTTTTAAGTTGCTTTTTCAGGCTGGAAAAAATGGGTAGCCAAGCATTTTCTGAATGGTCAAAGGAATATCAGAAATATGTATTTATGAACAGTATTAGCAAGACAGAATCAATCACTTTACGGATATGTAGGCTGAGGTCTTGAAAAAAATCAAAGAATTATAGATTTTAGGAGGTGGAATCTTAGAATTCATGTCTGATTGTCTACTGTAACAGATGAAGAAGCCAAGTGGTGCAATTAGATGATTTGTTAGGGGGTCATATATCTGGCAGGTGGCTGAAGCCTTTTGGCTAAATCAGGCATTCTAATTTCTGAGACCATTTTCCATAGCACTGTGGTCTTTCCAAGATATACAGCTGACATGCCAACATAGCATTTACAGTGTTAAAATCGTGCCTCCTTTTCACCAGAGGGACTTTAGTAGATTTCAAATAAACTCTTTTGTTTAGTGTTTTCATTTTTACAATTATATAATGTAGCACCTTTACAAGGCATATGTTGACACACAGCATTAACTCTTCTAGGTTAACCATGTTACATCAGACTTTCCCAGGGGTAGGTGTTATATTTCTGGAGATATGTTTTTAGTCCAATACTTGTAGAAGTCAATATATTTCAGTAGGAATTATGCTTCACAGCTGGAAAAATTAAGACAAAAAGGTTACTTAACATATCCAAACTACACTCATAGTTAGAGTCAGGTCATTTCTATCTTTCAAATTAGATGGCTTGCTACTCAACTACACATCAATTTAATCTTTAGTAACACAGAGGAAAACCACAAGAGAAACCTAGTAGCTTCAATTACCCATAGCAAACATGCATTTACAGATGCCACTTCAGGGGCTATAATAAGGGGAAATTGACTGAAGGTCAATTCCACATTGGGATTCCACATTCCCAATTCCACATTGGGAAAAGCCCCCAGTACAAAGCAGAGAACACATTCTGAGTTCAGCCCCCAGGTAGGAAAACCCTAATACTCTTTAAAGTAGGGATCACTATTTGGAAAATTAATTCTCTAGTCTTTTAGCTCTACTCAAATTTCATATTCATCTTTCATATGTGACTTTTTATTTGCAATGCTCAATTATTAGTTTTAGACTTTTAGAGTTGAAAGGGGTCTTGAAGATCCAGCCCCACACAGCACAGAGATTCATTCAGCATTGCAAATAGTCATCTATCTGTTACTTAAATATATCTAATGAGAGAATACATGTATTTTTTGTCAAAAATCTTACAAAGGCCCCAGTACAATGCAACACAAATATATCACTTCTGGGGTATATCTCAAAATTCATAACATCAATGTAATAATAAGAATATATCAGACAAACTCAAAATGAAGGATACTCTACAAAAGAGCTGCCAGTGTTTTGATCTTGGATTGATCTTGGACTGCCCAGCCTTCAGAACTGTGAGCAATAAGTTTCTGTTATCTATAAATTAACAGGTGTAAGGTATTTTTCATAGCAACCTGAATGAACTCAGATAGTATAAAAACTGGGGAAGCCCAAATGTTAATTTCTTATTTTGATAAATATACTATGGTTATGTAAAATGTTTATATTAGATATAAATTACATGAGAAATTAACATTAGAGGAAGCTGGGTGAAGCGTATATAGAAACTCTCTGTACTAGCTTTGTAACTCTTCTCTAAGTATAAAATTATTTCATAATAAAGTAAAAAGTATCTTGGCTAGATGCGGTGGCTCACTCCAGTAATTCCTGCACTTTGGGAGGCCAAGGCAGGTGGATCACATGAGGCCAGGAGTTCGAGACCAGCCTGGCCAACATGGCAAAACCCCATCTCTACTAAACATACAAAAATTAGCCAGGTATTGTGGCATGCACCTGTAGTCCCAGCTACTAGGGAGGCTGAGGCAGGAGAATCACTTGAACCCGGGAGGTGGAGGTTGCAGCGATCCGAGATCACACCACTGCACTCCAGCCTGAGCGATACAGCGAGACTCTGTCTCAAAAAAAAAAAAAAAAGTATCTTAAAAAGATATTACTTCCATTTTATGATGAAGAAACCGATTGACTAAGATGTGAGAGTTAATGAGTGAGTTTTTAACTTCAGCCTGTCCCTTACCTTTTTTGGTAATTAAATCAACGTTTTGTTGAGAAGCATCATAAAAATGAGGGTTGGACACTTCAACGCCGTTTCTGCCACTCACAAACCTAAACAAATTTCCTTGGCTGTAAAATGTCATGGTGATTGGCACAATGTACATGCTCAATAACTGTTAGCCACCTACTGAACATCCACTGAAGGCACAGAAAATGACTTAGCTAATGTCCAAGCAGCCACTTTAACAGCAGTCCTCAAACCTGGCTGAGCAGCAAAATCAACTGGGGAGCTTTTGAAAAAATGTAAATTCCCAGGCCTCATTGCATTTTTATAAATCTCTCCAGGGGACTCAGATGTGCAGCCAAATTTGGGAGCCACAGTTGTTTGGTATTTAGAGAGTCACCAAGGGGGAGTTTTTTCTATAGTGTTCCTTGAAAGTCAAGAATTTAAACCTAAGCCTCTGAATAAAGAACCAATAGATCCTATATAATAGGTAACATTATACATAGTTTTACCTTCCCTGAGGGAGCATTGAGAAAGGGGCATTTGTATGTTATTTAAGGAAAGGTATAACTGCAGAAACTTAATCTCCTAGACAATCCTAAATGCTATTAGAAATTTATGTATTCTCATTATAATCACTTTGTATTTAAGCCTCTTGCTTTCATTTTTCAGTTTACTAGAGCCAGGAACATACCCTTTCATTTAGCATGAGTTTGCTCACTCGATTAGTTAGCCATCATTTTTCAGAAAATAGCCATGACAAATTTGGTCCCAGGTGGAAAAATCTGCCTGGAACAGGGGACAGCATGAAAACACCAAGTGAAGACAAAGAATAAAGAGGGGACATTGCATAATGATTTATATTTTCACTTAAGGGCCAGGACTATTGGCTAATGAAGACCGTACATATTTTTAAAAATATTTACATGCATATGCATGCACACATACATGCACGTGTGTGTGTGTGCATATACATATACATATGTAAACTAAGATAAAGCCAAATAAATGGTTTTTGGGGGGTGGGAATGATAAGGCCAGGATGAAAGACAGAAGTGAAGAACTAAACAAGAAAATAGAGAAAAGCAGGTGGGTTACTAATAGAAGCAAAAATATTTTGGGGAACTGAGTTCTACCACCACCAGTAGCACTTTAGGGACACTCAAATCACTGGTACTGATTGAAGAAGTATTCAAATCACTGGTACTTCCGCTTCAACAATAAAGATGTTTCCCAAGGCCTCGTTCTGTCTTTATTTCATAATGTACCTTGGAATTCCTATATTCATGCTAACTGCTCCTTTGGGACAGAATTTTATTTTATGCTCTTTTTTTTGTTACAAAGAAGTCTGTAAGAATTGTGATTAAAAACAACATTTTGTGCTGTGCCTTTTAAGCATCTGCACATGCTCTGCAATCTTTGGCCTAATTTCTGTTCTTGCTGTGTTCCCCTAAAAAGCTGCTCTGAGAACACAGCATATTCAAAACCAATGGGTACTCTGTGTATGGATTAACTCCAGGAGTTTCATACAAAGATAAGGCAGTGGCCTGTTAATGAGCAAAGGTCAGGCTTGACTTAGAGAATGGTCTCCCCGTTGCTTAGCCTGCTGCCTTCTCTCATCACATCATAAAAGCTTCTAAAATGTAAGTAGTCCCATTAATTAAATTTTAAGGAAGATTTGAAGTTTATGTGTAGATGTGGGGTATTTTTTTCCAAATGGCCTTGTAGTCATAATAATTTAGAAAAGTGTGACATTAAAATGTCTTCATAGCAGGCAATAATTCTACTTCTAGACATCTATCCTAAGAAAATTATCAGATGCCAGGCACGGTGGCTCACGCCTGTAATCCCAGCACTTTGGGAGGCCAAGGCAGGCGGATCACGAGGTTAGGAGATAGAGACCATCCTGACCAACATGGTGAAACCCCATCTCTACTAAAAATACAAAAATTAGCTGGGTGTGGTGGTGGGCGCCTGTAATCCCAGCTACTCGGGAGGCTGAGCCAGGAGAATGGCTTGAACCCAGGAGGCGGAGGTTACAGTCAGCCAAGATCATGCCACTGCACTCCAGCCTGGTGATAGAGGAAGACTTTGTCTCAAAAAAAAAAAAAAAAAAAAAGAAAGAAAGAAAATTATCAGATAAGCTATGATTTATATAAAAATAGTTCATCATAGCATTATTTATATTAAATACCTATAAACAATCTAAATGCCTGACTTAAAGGGAATAATTATATATAATAGGGTACAGCTATATAATGAAAAATTAGATGACTTTACATTTATAAAGAATTATTAACATGAGAAATCTTTATGAAAATAAGTTTTTAAAAACGCAGAATATTACATTGTTTCTAACGTATAATTTAAATCAAATATAAATGAGCATATATTTGTGGCAGCAGAAAGTAACAGTTCAGACTGCTTGAATTTACACTCAAACACTCCACACTTTACTCTGTGTACCTTTGGCCAAGTTATTTAACCTCTCTGTGTCTTAGTCCCCTGTAATATTGGAATGGTAATATTACCTACCCCATAATATTTTGTTAGAATCAAATGAAGAAATGTATATAAATCACACAGAGAAGTGTCTGGTTCATAGTTCTCAATAAATGTTAGCTGGTATTATGTTATTGTTTTGTTTTTATTATTATTGGTATTACTATTATTATTAATATATTTTAAATCCAGGAGGGAAGAAGACCCAAATGTTTACAGTAGTTACCTCTACATGGTAAGTTTAATATGGCAGTGTTTCTATTTAAGTTTTTTCTGTTTTTTAAAAATTTAGAACAAGATGCATAGTAGGCTTTTAAAATCAATGAAAAAGAAAATCACCTAATACAAACATGAAAAACAATCACTATGACAATTTTCAATCCTCAAAATGCCAAAGTGTATGCACTATAGTGATGTCCACAGCAAATAAGTAACACGTGTCACACACTGAACTCTTAACACACTGATGTTATTTCCAAGTCACTGACTTCAGCTTCTTAGAATAAGAAGGGTTTCCCCAACTGCTGAGCTATAATTTAAGCCTACTCCTGCCCACATAATTGTTAAAGTCAGACCAACCCATTCCTATTTGTTGATGCACTTTATTTATGTCTTGATTTTGAAGAAATACCCTTAAATATAACAGAGTCGGCAATGGCTATAGGTTTGTTTTGTTTAGTTGTACTCTGTCATCAAAAAATTTATATCATTCAAATGAAACAAAAAAGGTCCATGATATACAAATGAACTTCCAGTTCCAAAATGAAATGGAATCAACCCAAACTAAATACGTAGGATTATTGCCACAGAAAATAATTGAAAAATTATCATGGAATTTAGTTACCAACAGTGACACATCTTAATTTGATTTACAAGCTGCCACCCTCAAGAGGGTAAATAAGATTTGATAAGACCTACAAACTTTCCAAGTCGCTGCATTATTTGTCCCTTCAGTCCAACCACCTAACACTCTCTAAAGAGCTCAAATTTCCACCCTGGGAATCCCCCGTCATGTTTAATTCAATTGACACATACAAAATCTCCTCTTCTAAGAAAACCTTAAAGGCTCAATTTCAAAAGAATCTTTTCATATGTTTTATATTTAAATCTATAAAACTAGAACCAACCAACTTCTGAAATCAATAATATACCAGTTCTAAGATAGGTTTGTTTCATTTTATTTTTATTTTTTATTACTTATACATCACTCCAGACATGGTATATGCAACCGTGCAAATGTTAAAGCTTAAGAAGTCCTACAAACTCATTCTTTTGACAAAGGGAATAAACCAATTATAGCTGCTTTATAAGATCACAGTTGAGGCAAGTGGAAACAGTATTTCATTTATTTGGCAGCCAGATCCTTTCACACCTGAAGGTAGCAAAACTTTCAAACAGATCGTCCACAGTAATAAGAAGATGAACCTATTGTTTGAAGCCAAGTACGACAAACACAGTATACACATTTAAAGAAAAAGAAGTGAAAGAAAGAAAAAGCATTCACATGTTTGATATAAATTGGCAATCACATGCCATACAATATAAGATACTCAGGCCAGTGAGCCTCATTTCTGGTTCCTGCTGTGCTGTTGCCCAGCTCTACGACCCTAGACAACTTAGTCACCCCTTAAGACCTTTGTTTTTTCTTTACTCTAAAAATGAAGGTTTGGGGCAATATATGCAAAATATGCACTATATGCTTAATGTATAGGTAAATGAAATTGACTTTTTCTCTATTACTACCTTATAAAGTAAGAAAAAAAGCTAGGTCGATTTTTGCCAAACTTGGAGGATATTTTGGGGTGATAGGACTTAACAGATAAGCTCCAAGGAATATTCGCTTCGGGCACCTATTGAGGAAAGTAAGGCAGTCTCCACTGTCAAAGAATTGAGGAGAAATAGGCTTTGATTTCAAAATCAAAGGGCAGGCAATCCAAATTTCAGGACCTGATTGATAATGGAGCTGTTCCTTACTTGGGTAACTCTAATAGCTAGCTCAAGGGTGAAGAACAGCAGGAACATATTTATTTAAAGATTGTTAATTATTTTTCTGGAACAATCCCAGACTAGTTATAACATAAATTTAAGTTTGCATGTATATAGAGAGAGGAAGAGAACTCTTGGTTGAATATGTGTTTACAAGGTGTTTCAGGGTGGTCTCCTTAGAGCAACAGGTATCGCCACTCCCCTCCACCTTCTTTAGGGCCTACTTGATCCATTATCTCCCAAGGAGGTCTTTTCAACCACTCTTTCTTCCCTAGCTCCTTTTCTACATTATAAAACCATAACCTACATCTCTTCCCCAGTCTAAGGGGCTCTGCACCTTATATCTACCAATGTTCTTGAGAGTGGCCTGTATTTGCTGTTGCCAATCTCTCACTTCCCACTCACTACCCCACCCACTGCATTCAGACTTTTTGTCCTATACTCTGACCAAAGTACCAATGACCCTCCCAACAGCCAAATCAGCAGCTACCTCTCAGTCTTTGTCCTGGCCCTATATGCAGTATTTGATACTGTTTGACCTACTCTTTCTGGGATGTCAACCCAGCGCCACAGTTTTACCGTCATCTCCACATTGGTCTTTATTGCTGGCCCTGACCTCTCTCATAAGCTCCACTCCGATCTACATGCCGACTGATTACTTCTTCCTGGATGTACCATGAACTCTCTTAAGACTCAAAATTTAAATCCATGATTTTTCCCTAAACCTGCTTGCCCTCTTTATTCCATTAATAAGTTTGGTGACATTACCATTCATACCCTCAAATAGTACTTACCTGAGAGTCATCCACATTTACTTTCTTCATCACCTCTCAAACTCAGTTATATGCCTAAGTAGCTTTTACTTTCAGTGTCTAACTCTTATTCCCAATATCCTCAATAACTCACAGAAGAAATGAAGCACTAGCCTCTGAAGTGGACTCTGCATCCCCATCTCACCCACTCAAGTCCATTCCTCCCAACTGAGTGTCACAAGGTTTTTTCCCTGGCTCTGCTTTCCTCCCTGAGATCTTTTCCTGGGTGATTTTACAAACACTCAGAGTTGCAGTCATTATGTATCAGCAGGTAGCTCTCCTACTGATAATCACTACTTACTTCTGTTCCAAACATCAGTATAAAATTACCAGTTGTCTGGTGGATGTTCAGCTTATAACAAACCTGACAGCAAAAACTTAACAGATTTTCTTCTTCAAAAATCCCTTTCCCTACCTCCTGTATTCACTATTTGGGTTAACTGCAATACTCAACAATGTCTAAACTGAACTCAATTACCTTCATTGAAAACCTGCACCTTCCATCTTGGAGAATCCATTTAACTTTTCAGAAAAACTTGGAATCATCTTCAGCTCCTCCTTCTTGATCATCAGCCACATGCACAGGTCAAGAAACTCTGTTGATTACAAGCCTGAAATGCCTCTTCCAAATACATTCTTGCTTTTCTGTTTTGGTGTTCTATTCATTCTTTTCCATTATGAAAGTAATTTAAATACATTATTTAAAACTCATAATTAGAGAAAGAAAAAAATCCCACCCACATGATCCAACAATTTGTTAGCATTTTGCTGTATTTCTTTCTAAATATTTTAAAGTGCCTTTCAGAATATAGTCATAACTATAGTATATATGCAATATATTCTCTGCATATCCCAATATTTTCATTATTTTTCTTCATGATGCTACATAAACCTTATGTCATTGTAAATGACTGCAATAATTAACCTAGTGCATGTTCCACACATATATTATAGCTTCCCTAAAATGAATTATTTTGGGATGCCTTTATTCTGATATTCTTGCTGAAACTCCATACACAATTGGAGATATGACAGTTAATCAAAACAAAATGTCTAATTTACAGATATAACTTTTTAAAAATGTTTTTCAACTGCTTATCTAAATTATAACAAGCAATATTTCTCATCAGATTTTTCATAATACCATTGGACACCCACAGGGCATTGGTATTGCTACTAGATCCTCAAATCAAACTGAACAAGAATGTTAGTATCTTAACTAACACACATGAACACTTAATTCTGGTCTCTCCATAGAATCTCCTACACTAGGAGTCAGTTAAAATCTTCCTTCACTCCAGAACAACAGTAAAAGGTTTAAAGTATCAGCTCAAAGCTTAGCAAAATATAGGAGTAGAGGAAGCAGCAGTTTCCTGGTAGCTCACTGCAGCCCCTAGCAGGTCATTCCTGCCTGGCACCACAGGGATCCATCGGGAGGGTGACCAGAGGAGCAGGGTGTAAAACTCCACAGGGAGAAGAAAATCTCTAGCTGAACTTTGTAATAATTTGAACCAGGTGAGAAACCTCTGGGCCAGAACTATGGGAAGGGCAGAAATCCCGTGTGCAGACTCCACAGGTAGGGGAAGAACCAAGCCCTTTTCTTTCACAGCTGGGAGGCGGGTAGCCTGGGGCAAGTTTTCAAGCCCTTCTTGCCCACCAACTGGAAACAGACTCCGGGCTGTTGGGGCGGGGGGCACAGTGGGAGTGAGACCAGCCCTTTGGCTTGCATAGGAGCTGGGTGAGACCTGTGACTGCCGGCTTTCCCCCACTTCCCTGACAACCTGCATGACTCAGCAGAGGCAGCCATAATCCTCCTAGGTACACAACTCCAGCGACCTGGGAATCTCACCCTCATCCCCCACAGCACCCGTAGCAAGACCTGCCCAAGGAGAGTCTGAGCTCAGACACGCCTAGCCCCTCCCCCATCTAATGGCCTTCCCTATCCACCCTGGTAGCTGAAGACAAAGGGCATGCAATCTTGGGAGTTCTAGGGCCCCATCCACCGCTGGTCCCTCTCCACACTACTACAGCTGATGCCTTCTGGAAAGTGCCACCTCCTGGCAGGAGACCAACCAGCACAAAAATAGAGCATTAAACTACTAAAGCTGAGTGCCCTCACCAAGTCCATTGCACCTCCTCCCCACCCGCCAGCACCTGCACTGGAACAGGCGCCAGGATCCACGGCTGAGAGACCAATAAACAGTTCTCATCACAGGACTCTAAGCAGACAACCCCCAGTACAAGCCCAGAGCTGGGTAGACTTGCTGGGTGGCTACACCCAGAAGAGAGACAATAATCACTGCAGTTTGGCTCACAGGAAGCCACATCCATAGGAAAAGGGGGAGAGTATTACATCAAGGGAATACCTGTGGGACAAAAGCATCTGCCAACAACAGCCTTTAGCCTTAGACCTTCCCTCTGACAGAGCCTATCCAAATGAGAAGGAACCAGAAAACCTCCCCTGGTAATATGACAAAACAAGGCTCTTCAACACCCCACAAAGATCACACTAGTTTACCAGCAATGAATCTAAACCAAGAGGAAATCCCTGATTTACCTGAAAAAGAATTCAGGAGGTTAGTTATTAAGCTAATCAGGGAGGGACTAGAGAAAGGCAAAGCCCAATGCAAGGAAATCCAAAAAATGATACAAGAAGTGAAGAGAGAAATATTCCAGGAAATAGAGAGCCTAAAGAAAAAACCACCAAAAATTCAGAAAACTCTGGACATACTTTTAAAAATGCAAAATGCTCTGGAAAGTCTCAGTGATAGAACTGAACAAGCAGAAGAAATAAATTCAGAGCTCGAAGACAAGGTCTTCAAATTAACCCAGTCCAACAAAGACAAAGAAAAAATAACAAGAAAATATGAGCAAAGCCTCCAAGAAGTCTGGAGTTATGTTAAAAGACCAAACCTAAGAATAATCGGTGTTCCTGAGGAAGAAGAGAACACTAAAAGCTTGGAAAACATATTGGGGGGAATAATCGAGGAAAACTTCCCCAGCTTTGCTAGAGACCTAGACATCCAAATACCAGAAGCACAAAGAACAACTGGAAAACTCATTGCAAAAAGATCTTTGCTTAGACATATTGTCTTCAGGTTATCCAAAGTTAAGATGAAGGAAAGAATCTTAAGAGCTGTGAGACAGAAGCACCAGGTAACCTATAAGATAAATAGCAGATTAACTTATCAGATTAACATCAGATTTCTCAGCAGAAACCCCTACAAGCTAGAAGGGATTGGGGCCCTATCTTCAGCCTCCTCCAACAAAGCAATTATCAGCCAAGAATTTTGTATCCAGCAAAACTAAGTATCACATATGAAGGAAAGACACAGTCATTTTCAGACAAACGAACGCTGAGAGAATTCGCCATTACCAAGCCATCACTACAAGAACGGCTAAAAGGAGCTCTAAAATCTTGAAACAAATCCCGAAAACACATCAAAACAAAACCTCTTTAAAGCATGAATCACACACGACCTATAAAACAAAAATACAAGTTAAAAAGAGAAAGCAAAAAGACAAAAGTACACAGGCAGCAAGGAACACGATGAATGCAACGGTACCTCACACTAAATGCTCCACTTAAAAAATAGGGAATTGCAGAATGGATAAGAAATCACCAACCAACAATCTACTGCCTTCAGGAGACTCACCTAACATATAAGGACTCACATAACCTTAAAGTAAAGGTGGGGAAAAAGGCATTTCATACAAATGGACACCAAAAATGAGCAGGGGTATCCATTCTTATATCAGACAAAACAAATTTTAAAGCAACAGCAGTTGAAAGAGAAGAGACGAAGAGGGACATTATATAATGGTAAAAGACCTTGTCCAACAGGAAAATATCACAATCCCAAACAAATGTGCACCTAATATTGGAGCTCCCAAATTTATAAAACAATTACTAATAAACCTAAGCAATGAGATAGACAGCAACACAATAATAGTGGGGGACTTCAATACTCCACTGACTGCACTAGACAGGTCATCAAGACAGAAAGCCAACAAAAAAACATGAATTTAAACCATACCTTAGAACAAATAGACTTAACAGATGTATACAGAACATTTCATCCAACAACCACAGAATACACATTCTATTCAACACCACATGGAAATTTCTTCAAGATAGACCACATGATAGGCCATAAAACAAGCCTCAATAAATTTAAGAAAATTGATATTATATCAAGTACTCTCTCAGACCACAGTGGAATAAAACTGGAAATCAACTCCGAACCTTCAGAACCATGCAAATACATGGAAATTAAATAACCTACTCCTGAATGAGCACTGGGTCAAAAACGAAGTCAAGATGGAAATTAAAAAATTACTTGGGCTGGGCGCAGTGGCTCACACCTGTAATCCCAGCACTTTGGGAGGCCAAGGCGGGCAGATCACCTGAGGCCAGGAGTTCGAAACCAGCCTGGCCAACATGTTGAAACCCCGCCTGTCTCTACTAAAAATACAAAAATTAGCTGGATGTGGTGGCACATGCCTGTAATTCCAGCTACTTGGGATGCCCGGGAAATGGAGGTTGCCGTGAGCTGAGATCGTGCCACTGTACTCCAGCCTGGGTGACAGAGAGAGACTCTGTCCCAAAAAAAAAAAAAAAAAAAAATTTGAGCTGAATGACAATAATTATACAACTTATCAAAACCTCTGGGATACAGCAAAGGCGGTGCTAAGTTGAAAGTTCATAGCCCTAAGTGCCTACATGAAAAAGACTGAAAGAGCACAAACTGACACTCTAAGGTCACACCTCAAGGAAATAGAGAAATAAGAACAAACCAAACCCAAACCCAGCAGAAGCAAAGAAATTACCAAGATCAGAGCAGAACTAAATGAAACTGAAACAACAACAACAACAACAAAAATACAAAAGATAAATGAAACAAAAAGCTGGTTCTGCTGGGCGCGGTGGCTCACGCCTATAATCCCAGCACTTTGGGAGGCCGAGGTGGGTGGATCACTTGAAGTCGGGAGTTCAAGACCAGACTGACCAACATGGAGAAACCCTGTCTCTACTAAAAATACAAAATTAGCCAGGTGTGATGGCACATGCCTGTAATTCCAGCTACTCGGGGGGCTGAGGCAGGAGATTTGCTTGAACCCAGGAGGTAGAGGTTGCAGTGAGTCAAGATTGTGTCATTGCACTCCACCCTGGGCAACAAGAGCAAGACTTTGTCTCAGAACAACAACAACAAAAAAAGCTGGTTCTTTGAAAAGATAAATAAAATTGATAGATCATTAGCAAGACTAGCTAAGAAAAGAAGAGAGAAAATCCAAATAACCTTACTAAGAAGTGAAACAGAGATGGAATTACAACTGACACCACTGAAATACAAAAGATAATTCAAGGCTACTATGAACAACTTTATGCACATAAACTAGAAAACCTAGAAGAGATGGATAAAATCCTGGAAAAATACAATGCTCCTACCTTAAATCAGGAAGAATTAGATACCCTGAACAAAGCAATAACAAGCAACGAGATTGAAATGGCAATTTAAAAATTACCAACAAAAAAAAAAGTCAAGGACCAGATGGATTCACAGCAGAATTCTACTAGACATTCAAAGAAGAATTGGTACCAATCCTTTTGACACTATTCCATGAGATAGAGAAAGAAAGAACCCTCCATAATTCATTTTATGAAGCCAGCATCACCCTAATACCAAAACCAGGAAAGGACATAACCAAAAAAAAAATAATAATACTTTCAAAGTTCATATGGAACCAAAAAAGAGCCCTCATTGCCAAGACAATCCTAAGCCAAAAGAACAAAGCTGGAGGCATCACGCTACCTGACTTCAAACTATACTACAAGGCTACAGTAAGCCAAAAGAACAAAGCTGGAGGCATCACGCTACCTGACTTCAAACTATACTACAAGGCTACAGTAAGCCAAAAGAACAAAGCTGGAGGCATCACGCTACCTGACTTCAAACTATACTACAAGGCTACAGTAAGCCAAAAGAACAAAGCTGGAGGCATCACGCTACCTGACTTCAAACTATACTACAAGGCTACAGTAACCAAAACAGCATGGTACTGGTACCAAACAGAGATATAGACTAACGGAACAGAACACAGCCCTCAGAAATAATACCACACATCTACAACCATCTGATCTTTGACAAACCTGACAAAAACAAGAAATGGGGAAAGGATTCCCTATTTAATAAATGGTGCTGGGAAAACTGGCTAGCCATATGTAGAAAGCTGAAACTGGATCCCTTCCTTACACCTTATACAAAAATTAATTCAAGATGGATTAAAGACTTAAACGTTAGACCTAAAACCATAAAAACCCTAGAAGAAAACCTAGGCAATACCATTCAGGACATAGGCATGGGCAAGGACTTCACGACTAAAACACCAAAAGCAATGGCAACAAAAGCCAACATTGACAAATGGGATCTAATTAAACTAAAGAGCTTCTGCACAGAAAAAGTGGGAAAAGGATATGAACAGACACTTCTCAAAAGAAGACATTTATGCAGCCAACCGACACATGAAAAAATGCTCATCATCACTGGCCATCAGAGAAATGCAAATCAAAACCACAATGAGATATCATCTCATACCAGTTAGAATGGTGATCATTAAAAAGTCAGGAAACAACAGGTGCTGGAGAGGATGTGGAGAAATAGGAACATTTTTACACTGTTGGTGGGACTGTAAAGTAGTCCAACCATTGTGGAAGACAGTGTGGTGATTCCTCAAGGATCTAGAACTAGAAATACCATTTGACCCAGCCATCCCATTACTGGGTATATACCCGAAGGATTATAAATCATTCTGCTGTAAAGACACATGCACACATATGTTTACTGCAGCACTATTCACAATAGCAAAGTCATGGAACCAACCCAAAAGTCCATCAATGATAGACTGGATTAAGAAAATGTGGCCCATATACACTACAGAATACTATGCAGCCATAAAAAAGGATGAGTTCATGTCCTTTGTAGGGACATGGATGAAGCTGGAAATCATCATTCTGAGCAAACTATCACAAGGACAGAAAACCAAACACCGCATGTTCTCACTCATAGGTGGGAATTGAACAATGGGAACACTTGGACGCAGGGTGGGGAACATCACACACCAGGGCCTGTTGTGGGGTAGGAGGAGGAGGTAGGGATAGCATTAGGAGAAATACCTAATGTAAATGACGAGTTAATGGGTGCAGCACACCAACATGGCACATGTATACATATGTAACAAACCTGCATGTTGTGCACATGTACCCTAGAACTTAAAGTATAAAGAAAAAAACCTACCAACTGAAATCCTTGATGAACATTGATGCTAAAATCCTTAACAAAATACTAGCTAACCAAATCCAATAACATAACAGAAAGATAATCCACCATGATCAAGTGGGTTTCATATCAAGGATGCAGGGATGTTTTGACATATGCGATTCAGTAAATGTGATACACCACATAAACAGAATTAAAAACAAAAATCACATGATCATCTCAATAGATGCAGAAAAAGCATTCAACAAAATCCAGTATCCCTTTATGTTTAAAACTCTCAGCAAAATCGGCATACGAGGGACATACCTTAATGTAATAAAATGTGTGTGTGTGTGTGTGTGTGTGTGTGTGTATATATATATATATATAATATATATATATATATATATATATGAATGATGGAATACTACTCAGCCATAAAAAGCAATGAATTAACAGCATTTGCAGTGACCTGGATGAGACTGGAGACTATTATTCTAAGTGAAGTAACTCAGGAATGGAAAACCGTACATCATATGTTCTCACTGACATGTGAGAGCTAATCTATGAGGACACAAAGGCATAAGAATGATAAAATGGACTTTGGGGACATGGGGGGAAGAGTAGGAGGGGGACAGGGATAAAAGACTACAAATATGGTGCAGTGTATACTGCTTGGGTGATGGGTGCACCAAAATCTCACAAATCACCACTACAGAACTTACTCATGTAACCAAATACCCCAATAACTTATGGAAAAATAAAGAAAGTATTGCTTCTAAGTTCAAAAGCTAGCTCCTTCATTTACTTAGCTTGTAACTTTAAGCAAATTTATTTAGCTTCACTCGGCCTCAGTTTCCCCATTGATGGAATGATAATAATAAGAGTAATTACTATACAATATTATCAGGAGGAACAAGACACAATATAAGTTATATGAAGTTCTTGCCTGGGCATGGTAGTTCACCCTTGTAATCCCAGCAACTTTGGGAGGCTGAGGCAGGTGGATCACAAGGTCAGGAGTTCGAGAACAGTCTGGCCAATATTGTGAAACCCCGTCTCTACTAAAAATACAAAAATTAGCTGGGTGTGGTGGCACACATCTGTAATCCCAGCTACTTGGGAGGTTGAGGCAGGAAAACTGCTTGAACCTGGGAGGTGGAGGTTGCAGTGAGCAGAGATCGCACCACTGCATTCCAGCCTGGGCTACAGAGCGAGACTCCATCTAAAAAAAAAAAACAGGAAGAAGTTCTTAGTCAAGTGTCTAGGGCAGTGGTCCCAACCATTTTGGCACCAGGGACTGGTTTGATGAAAGACAATTTTTACAAGGACAGGAAGCAAGGAGGTGGTTTGGGGATGAAACTGTTCTACCTCAGATCATCAGGCATGAGTTAGATTTTCCTAAGGGGCATGCAACCTAGATCTCTTGCATGCACAGTTCACAATAGGGTTCAAACTCCTGTGAGAATCTAATGCCAAGGTTGATCCGACAGAAGGTAAAGATCAGGTGGTAATGCTCCATCAGCCACCGCTCACCTCCTGCTGTGTGGCCCAGCTGCCAACAGGCCTCGGACTGCTACCTGTCCATGGCCCAGGGGTAGCAGACTCCAGGTCTAGGGTATGGCAAACACTGAAAAGTACTGGCCATTATAATCATTTATCAGGCTTGGAGAGTAAAGTCTAGACTCTGTCGTCATCTTTTCATTGCTGTGGGGTTAATAAGCCTGGGCCTACATCTCATTTTTGGTTTTATTTACTCACACTCCTGTGTTTTTCTGCCAGTCTTGGGTATTACTGCATCCTTTATCATTGGGAGATAGTAAATAGCCTGAGTAAACAGGATTACAACTCAGTCCACAGCTCACTACATTTCATGCCACCAACAGAAAGAGCTGTGGGCACTGTAACTACCTGATTCATATCCCACCAAACTGACATTGAGGTTGGCTCCTGTCTACGTAACAGGCAAAAAGCAAAATGCGTATTAAAATAATTTAGTTTAAGAGTCTATAACTTACTTTGACTGGATTTTACCAAAATGAAAAAAAATTTTAATTGCTAATTGAATTTATCCATGCTTCTAGTCTTACGGTTTTGGTCACCACTTATTTTCTCCTAGTTTTGAAGGAAGTGGTAGGAAACCATTTTCAAATTTTTCTAATGAATGAGTTTCTTCATAAGAATGATTCTGATTTTCCATATGTATGTATTTGATTTTTCTTTTTTTCAGTATTTACTTAGGTTGACATCTGAAAACCTATATAAGAAGTGCAAGTGAATGAAAGCAAATTATAAATAGAAGTGATTAGCTCACCCCCACTAACCCCCCAAAAAGGAAAAAGACTGGCTATATCTTTAGGAAAACCTAACTTGTCTTCTTTTATAAAACATAGCAAAACTACCTATAACTAAAGCACTATATAGATATAGTTTGGTGATTCATAACTTACTATTAAAATATTACTAGCTGGGTGTGGTCACATGCAACTGAGGAAGCTGAGGAGGGAGGATCGCTTGAGCCCAGGGATTGGAGCTTCCAGTGAGCTATGATCTTGCCACTATACACTAACCTCAGCGACACAGTGAAACCTTGTCTTAAAAAATATATATTAAATATAAAAATAAAAAACAAAATATTACAAATATGGCAATCAACATATTACTGCTGGATCAGTTTGAGAAAATGACTACAGAGATTTAGGTTTTCATAGAGAAGACAAATTTTCATTTTCTTTCTTTTTCCAATTTTCTTTTAAAATATTTCTAAAGTTAATTTCTTATAGCAGCTGTGTATATCCCCAAGTGTTAAACAATCTAATTCAAAAGTCAAGTAAGACTGAAGTATTATCTCCATAAAATATAATTAAGAATTTAAAGGTAATATTTTAAGTTTCACCTTGAAGACTATATGTGTTTTTCTCCCAAGGCAATGCCTCTTTAAAAAATCCTAAAGTAATCCCCATTCATACAGTTAAGACATGACTTTATAGTTTTTACTATTAAGTGGAAAAAATAAGTTTTGAACCATTAAAGGTTGAATGTACCCTATAAAAAATAAAACAGGAAAAGCAACGACAACTTCAACTTAAGCTGTATCAGTAGCCGATTTAAGTTATTCACTCCAAACGGTGACATTCTTCCTTCCCCCAAGGGCTTTCCATTTCCTTCTTTTCATCTATTCTTTTGTTTTTTTAAAACTATAACTGAGTTTCCTACAGGAAAGGGAAGCTGGAGTAGCAAAATTTAAATGCATGTACACCCCGTTTCTACTCATTTTTCTCTTGCAGGTGGCTAGAAGTAAGATGTATACTTACTTTTTATTTTTCCTAAAAATACACCCCTGTCACAGGAGAGAAAGACATTTTCTGTGAAATTATAACTAGCCTTACTAAGTGAATATACCCTTTCAAAAGTCACTGAAAGATAAGGAAATGTATCAAGGCATGAGATAAAACAAAGTCAACATTTTAGCCAATGTTTCGTTAAAGTGACAGAGGAAGAGAGCAATTCCAGCAAAACAAAGCAGAAAACCCAAGTGGCTGATAGTTCCACTTATAAAAACTTTAGAAACAAACCAAAATGATATTAGAAAAAGAAACCTAACAGTTATTTTTTAATAGCGCAATTGTTGCTAATTATGTAAAGTCATTGTATTTTTCTTGTCACTTATATTTTGATTGTATGCTATGCGATCTAGTGAGCACATTAAAAACACTAAGTCTCACAAAAAACTGTCTGAAATAGATACTATTATACCTGTTCTATAGATTGGAAACCGAGCCTTAGAAACTCTCAAAACATTGCCAAAGATCACTTAGGATTTGAACCCAGGGCTTAGCCACCATGTAAGTTGATAACATTTCTCCCTACCTTTTCATGTTCTAAGTAGCTACTAATTGCATGGTACCAGGTATTTGGTCTTTATTCATTAGATATTATTAATGTGACCCATTCTTTCATTATTTTATATCAAAATAAATGCTCTTCAACTTTCCTCGGGAACTGCTACAACAAGACTTTGTTTTGTTTCTTCTGTTTTGTGTTCATTCAAGTAAACATTTCATTTAGGCTCCTTTGGAGGGATAATTACTTGGTTAGATCACTCTAAAGTTCTCCAATAGCTTTTTCCTCTCATTTTCTTAAATATTTTCATTAAGTACTCAAAAACTATTTTTAAAAAGGTCCAAATTGTTAACAACAACAACAATAATTTCCTAGGCTTATCTATCCTTTCCATCACCTCTACCTAATATCTTTACATCCTTACCTCAAAACATTTATTAAAGGCACTCCTTTTTCTCAAATTACATGACTACCACTCCTTATGCAGGGAATACTATAATATTCTCCTAACCTAGTCTTCCTGACACTACTTTCCTCCTCTTCTAGTTCGTACCAAATACCTCTGCCAGAGTGATCTTCCTGAAACGTAATTTAATTTGATTTCAGACTGCAGTTGAATTGATATATTGTTACAAAATATCACATATGCAAGAGTATATAAAATACATACTTAGCATTTAAGGAATAAAATGAAACCAACAACTAAAGGTCTACTAACTTCACTGAGAAAGAGAACATTCCCAGTATTTTAGAAGCCCTTGTTTGGCCTTCCCAGATCTCAGTCTGTCCTTCCCCCAAGAGGTGAACACATTCCTAAAGTTTGTACTAATTATTGTCTTGCTTCTCAATTTAGTGTGGTCACATAGCATGTGATTCAAATTATATATACATATATATACACACACACACACACATATGTATTTTAGTGTTGTCTGTTTATTTGTACTTTATTCAAATGGGCTCATACTGTACATATTCCTTGGTGATCACTCCTTTTTTACAATACTATGTTTTTCAGATGCATCCAGGAATTACTGCGTCTAGCTCTGTTGCATAGCATTTCTTTGTATCAACATTACAAAATACATTTATCCATGTTACTGATGATATAATGTGAGTTATGCTGTGTATTAGTCCATTCTCACACTGCCAATAAAGACATACCTGAGACTGGGTAACTTATAAAGGAAAGAAGTTTAATTGACTCTCAGTTCTGCATGGGTGGGGAGGCCTCAGTAAACTTACAATCACGGTGGAAGGCTAGAGAGAAACAAGGCACCTTCTTCACACAGCAGCAGGAAGGAGAACTGAGTGAAGGGGAAGAGCTCCTTATAAAACCATCAGGTCTCGTGAGAACTCACTCACTATCACAAGAACAGCATGGGGGAAAGTTCTCCTATGATTTAATTACCTCCACCTGGTCTCTCCCTCGACAAGTGTGGATTATGGGAATTATAATTCAAGATAAAATTTGGGCGGGAACACAAAGCCTAACCGTATCATGCTATAGCATATAATCTGAATGTGTATAACCAATGTAGTGATACAAGGAGGTGAGGCCTTTGAGAGCGTGGTAGGTCACCTGGGAAGAGCCCTCATAAATGGGATAGTGCCCTTATAAAGAAGATCCAAGAGGGACTCCCACCCTTTGCCAAGTGAGGACACAGTGAGAAAGTGCTGTCTGTGAACAGGCCCTTATCAGATGTTGAACCTGCTGGCACCTTGATCTTTGACTTCCCAGCCTCCAGAACTGTGAGAAATAAATTTCCTGTTGCTCACAAGCTACCCAATTTATGATATATTATTATAGCAGCCTGAATAGGCTAAAACAAGTTGTTCTGTTATTTTGTTATTATAAGCAAACTGCCATGAACATTCTTGTACATTCCTCTTTGGTGTACATATGCTGGAGTTCCTATATAGTACATGCCAGGATACACTGTACACAAACTAGTTTCAAAGATTATTTCCAAGGTTTATACCAATTTATACTCCCACGTGATTTCTGTTTTCCTCCACATCAGAGATCAGCAAATCTCAGCCATGAACCCAATCAAGTTTGCTGCCTGTTTATGTAAATAAAGGTTTATTGGAAGAAAATTATGTTCATTTGGTGAGTTATTGTGTGCAGCTGCTTTTGTAATACAACAGCACAGTCAAGTAGTTATGAGAAAATTTATGCAAATCCTAAAATAATTACTATCTGGCTCTTTACGGAAAGTTAGCCAGTCTCTGTCCTATATCCATGTAAACACTTGATATTTTCTGACTTTGAAAATCTTTGGCAATTTGGTGCATAATAAAATACCTCATTGTGATTTAACATGTAAATATATTAAATTATATTTTACTTCATTACTAATGATGTTTATCATCTTTTCATATGCTTATGGACTTTTCCGATTTCCTCTTCTGTGAAATGTTTATTCATGCCTTTTGCCAGTTTCTCTATTCGCTTTTGTTAGGTTTTCTCCCCTTTTTAAACCATAGGAGGACTTTGTATATACTAGTTAGCAAACATTTTTCAGTGACATGTGTTGGAAATATTCTTTCCCAGTCCCTGGCTTATCTTTTACTCTCTCTCTCTCTCTCTCTCTCTCTGTGTGTGTGTGTGTGTGTGTGTGTGTGTGTCCTGAAACAGTGTTTTTCTGAACAGAAATAATTAATTAATTAATTAATTAGAGACAGCCTTGTTCTGTTGCCCAGGCTGGAGTGGAGTGGTGCTATCTCAGGTCACTGCAACCTCTGTCTCCTGGGCTCAGGTGATCCTTCCACCTCGGCCTCCGAGGTAGCTGAGACGACAGGTGCCTGCCACCACACCTGGCTAATTGTATTTTTGAGAGAGACAAGGTTTCGCTATGTTGCCCAGGCTGGTCCCAAACTCCTGAGCTCAAGTGATCCACTCATCTCAGCCTCCCAATGTGCTGGGATTACAGACATGAGCCACCGCACCCAGCCCAGAAATACTTAATTTAAATGCATTTAAATATGTTAAGAGATGCTTCTATATCCCAACAACAGGATATACTGAGGTATATTGTCTTTTTAAAGTACATTTCTTAAATATTGCATTTCACATTTAGGTCTTTAATCCAACTGGGATTGATTTTTGAGTGTGAGATGAGATAGGGCTTCAATTTCACTTTTCATCCTCAGGGGTCATCATTTTTTCCAGCGTCATTAATTACATTGTTTTTTTCTTTTCCCACTGATTTGCAATGTCTCTTCTTCCAAAAGCCAAATACCAAATAGGAAAGAATCTCTGTCTAGGTTCTTTATTTGGTCCTAATGTTCTATTTTTTTTGTACTGTGACAACACACTGTCCACTGTCACAATATCTGATTGGTCAAGTGGCACATGGATCATCTCTGTTCATCGATACAAACGGTAGAATTAGTTTGTCCAATTCCATGAAAAACCAGTTGAAATTAATTTGAATTTTTAGACCAAAGTTGAGAGAATTCACTTCCTTATAATGCCTGAGAACATGGTATATAGGTTGTGCATCTCTTATCCAGAATGTTTGGAACCAGAAGCATTTGGAATGTTTTGAATTTTGAGGTATTTGAATATATATAATGAGACATCTTGGGATGAAAACCAAGTCTAAACACGAAATTTATGTACATTTTATATACACCTTATACACATAGATTGAAGTAATTTTATACAATATTTTGAATCATTTTGTGCATGAAACAAAGTTTTGACTACATTTTGACGGCGACCTGTCACATGACATCAGGTGTAAAATTTCTCCACCTGTGGCATTATGTCAGTGGTCAAAGTGTTTAGGATTCTGAAGCACTTCAGATTTTGGATTTTCAATTAGAGATGCTCAACCTGTATATGTCTCTACTTATTTAGGTATTACTTAATATCTTACAATAAAATGTTATAATTTTCTCAATAAAGGACATTAGTGTATTTTAATAGTTCTTTTCTTGTTCATGGTAGTTATTATTGTTATTGTTGATTTAAGAGCTATTAAAAAAAGTTTTTTGGTTTGTTTTATTTGAATTACATTTCCTGATTGTTACAGGCATGTGGATTTACAAATGAATTTTGTATATAGATTTTGTTATCAAATACATTTGCAAAACTCTTTTAAACTGGTTAGAAATTATGATAATGAGCATATCTGTCTTGTTCTGGATTATAAAGAGAATGTTTCCTATATTTCACTCCAAGTATGACATTTATAATATACTTCTGGATATGACCTTTTTCAGATTTGGGAAATTCCCTTTTATTCCTAGCTTGCTAAGATCTTTCTATCATTAATAAATATTGAATTTACCAAACTTTTTTCTGTATTTATTAATATAATTAAGCACTTCTCCTTTAATCTATTAATGCAGTAAATTAAATTAATTAATTTGCTACCAAATTAACCTTGGTTTTCTAGGATAAACAGTCTGGCTCATTAATTCTGAGCATTCTTATATAATTAAAATATTTAAGGCTATGAAATTCATTCCAAAATTTACTTTACTTTCAACCCACAGGTTTTGTAATATATTTTTGTTATTATTTAGTTTTAAATACTTAACATTTCAATTATGATTTCTTTCTTTAAACCTATCAGTTATTTGAAAATGTATTTTTAAGTTTTCAGATATTTGTTTTTTTCTTCCTAGAATTATGCCTAGATTGATTTTTTACTTCCTTGGGTGGTATTTAAGAAATGTGAGCTATATGGTTATCAATGGCTTAATATTTGTTGAGTATATCTTTTATGCCCTAGAACGTAGTCAACTTTGCCTAGAATTATGCCTAGATTGATTTTTTACTTCCTTGGGTGGTATTTAAGAAATGTGAGCTATATGGTTATCAATGGCTTAATATTTGTTGAGTATATCTTTATGTCCTAGAACGCAGTCAACTTTCATAAAGTTTTTCCTGTGTTTGAAAAGAATATTTACACCCCAGTTGTGGAGTATGATGTTCTCTGAATATTACACAGATCAAATTTGTTAATTGTACTGTTCAAATCTTCTGTGGAATTGTTGATTTTTTTCTGCTTGATTTATCAGTTACTGAGAGATGTAGTATAAAATCTCTGGCTATACCCAGAGACTATATTATTAGGTGCATATGAGAATAGCACTATTATATCTTAGCAGTGGTTGAATTCTTTATCTCTAGGAATGCCTCTTAAAGTTTACTTTTTCTGATAATAAAATGACTACATTAACTTTCTTTTGTTTATCAATGAGTGGTAAACAGAGTTTGTCTGTCTTTTGGCTTTAAATCTTTATCCAGAAGTTTTAAGTGTATATCCTGTAAACATAATGCAGCTTGATTTTTGTATTTTATTTGTTTTTAAATCCAATTTGACAACTGTTTTTAACGAGAAAGTTTCGTCTATTTACATTAATAGTGATTACCATTATATTTTGATTATTTCTACACTCATATATGCTTTCCACCTTTTTCTTTTTTTTAAATCAAGAAAATTGAGTTACTGAATCTTCAAAAAAAAAGTAAATGAACTTCTTTTACATAGGTAAGACGCATTGCAGAAAATAATAAAACACAGATTATAAACAAGAATCTTTAAAACACTTCCATATGCATCACTCTGGTGTATACCTATTCATATTTTTATTATTTTTATAGGTTCAATTATATTGGGTATAATGAGATATGTATACATACATAATGTTGAAGTTTTCTGAGGAGGAAAACTATGAAATAATATTTAAGATTTCCTTAGTAGTATAAAACAGATTAGAGGAAAGAGATTAGTGTCACAAAATGTAGAAAAAAAATAAGGCTGCTATAGTTTTCTGAACATAAGATAAAAGCATGATTACAGGTGCGTTTGAGCACTCGGCACCTAGTTGCCCTTGATAAATATGTCACTAAAACTTAAAAGCCAGAAATGCTGCACTAAGTTTGAAAGCAAATCTTCATATCCCTACCATTATTAAGGTAAGACATTGCTTTAAGTTATAATTCAAGCATAGTTTAAAGTCACTGAATCTTAGCTCTTTAATGATATCATAAATCTCAGCTGTGTGAAATAGAAATCAGCCCACTTTTGGAAGATCTTGACAAGTAGTTGGAAGGTGAATTAGTTAATCAAAAGTCTGTTCATTTACATGTCGTCAAATTAAATTGGGGCGATAGTTTCACTGAATTAACCAGTTGTTTAAGTGTTGCATAAATATAGCCTTAGTTTTAAAATTAAGAACTGGCAGAATTTCTTCTTAGAAGGTTGCCAAGTTTGGGGCTATTAAAGGCTATCCCATCCCAAGAACTTTCCACTTGTAGCTGTCAAGGATCTTTTTTCTTAATTAAGCCAAAATAGCTTGATGTCTGAGAGACTTCCTGATTATAAATGAAGTGTCTTTGGAAACCTTTCTATGTCTTCCAGGCCTAGAGACAGATCCACGTGCTCTCAAGATTCATGTACACTCGAGTGGGAAGAGCAGGAGGAGGGAGTGTTGCAAGGAAAGGGAGCACTGGCCAGTGTGTCAGGTGTTGCTGAGTGGGCCTTGCCACAGGAGCAAATATGTCCATTGGGCATTTGTGGCTGTCATAAACAGTTTCCATAAGCTGTCGGGCAGCTTTGTTTCCACACTATTGGGACTTTTTAGAAAGGCACCCAATGTCCTGGCAGAGTTCACCATCTTAGTTCTTAACACCCACACTGATTTGTCCTTTGTTCAACAGCCTAGTTCTTCAGGCTCAGGGATCTACATGTTCTTCTGAAAATGGCCATATATCACTTTCTAGACCTGATACTCAGTATCATGGTCATTTTCCCTCTTTAAGTTTTTCCCTTCTCCCTTTATTCATTTCAACACACACACATACACACACACACACACACACACACACCTCTTGAGCATGTACAATGTTCTAGGCCCTGGACACTTAGCTAGGTTCAGGGAGTATGGTGATAAATAACTTAGAAATAATTTCTGCATTCTCAGTGCTCATAATAGTAGGGACACATAGCAAAGACATTATCCACGTTCACTCTTGATAATCTTTTTATCAACTGTTGTCCCAAATAACCCTTTTCTTCCCCCACATAATCTCAACCCAAGAGTCTCTTTTTTTTTTTTTTTTTTTTTTTTTTTGAGACGGAGTCTTGCTCTGTCGCCCAGGCTGGAGTGCAGTGGCACGATCTCGGCTCACTGAAAGCTCTGCCTCCTGGGCTCACGCCATTCTCCTGCCCCAGCCTCCCAAGTTGCTGGGATTACAGGCGCCTGCCACCAAGCCTGGCTAATTTTTTTTGTATTTTTAGTAGAGATGGGGTTTCACCATGTTAGCCAGGATGGTCTCGATCTCCTGACCTCGTGATCCGCCCACCTCGGCCTCCTAAAGTGCTGGGATTACAGGCGTAAGCCACCCCGCCGGGCCTGAGTCTCTATTTTTTTCAATGACTGGAATAAATACTCCTTTTGCAAAATGTGGCCAAGAAGGACCCAGACAGATGTCTTAGACAAAGACTGTAATCTGTTAAGAGTCATACCACATCAGATTTGGGCAAAAAGGTAAAGGATTCTGGATATAAGAAATAATTTCACTTTCTCCACACTAAATACAGCTGCTTATTTTTAGTTGCCGGTTGTTGTTTTTCTTTTGGGAAACTTTCTCTCTTCAATGAAAATTCCATGGTGACTCATTGAGACCCCCCAAGGAGAGGACTGTGCTCCATGGGACACCTGTGGATAGGGCCACCATGGCAGTTCCCTGGTGGAGTGGGTCTGCTGGGCACACAGCCATCCCCGCAGGCCAGCTTTGACCCAGGTTACAGTAATGCAAACGATTTGCTTTAATCCAACCAAAATAAAAGTAGGCAATCCTAAAGCTCTTTACGAAAAATCTTGTTCTACCTTTGACCCAGGCTATTTTTCTTCAATATTTAAAGCTGAAAGACATCGCGTGCTTATGCTTTTATTTCAAACCAGAAAATCACCTTTATTGTATTTGATCACTCTCTTACTTTAATTTGCAGACTTGCTTATTTACATAGCATATGCTGGACTTTAGCCTAATGTTTAATGGAGATAATAATACAAGAACTTTTTAAAACTTGTTAGCTAGGAAATACATAAAATACTGACCTTGTGGGTAAGTGTCTTTTGCATACATTTTTAAGCATTAGTTGCTTACGAGTTGCAAGAGTGAAGTTTTTAACATGACTCCTGGGAGAATTATACCAGTCTTTATGGAACACATTGCTCACAGCTGTAGTGAAATAGCGATCACTAAAATTCACAGCACTTTTTATTCCACATCAGTGACATCACTGGTGTAATTTAACTATAATTCACATGTGGGAATCAGTTGTCTACAAACTGAAATTCTCCACAAACTGATTCTAAGATGGGGAAGAAACTGTAACATAAAGCTACTGTATGATTTTATTTTGCATTCATCATTAATGTCAGTTTCCAAAACATTTTGGATAATATTATGAGAGGGTATACTTCTCTTCCTATGAAAGCAGATGATATTTTGAAGATACTTTTTAAGGTACTAATAGAAAGACACTGTTCCATGAGACCAAAGGGCTGCTTGGTCTTAGCTTCTCCATTTAGCTTTCCAGCTACACGCTCTACTATTTTTGTTCCATAAAGAAAGACTTTCTGTTTAGAAATGTGACAGTAAGACAGCTTGTGTCTAAAACCTAAGTCAGTGTCCCCTGGTAATCTCATGAGGAATCTGAAATTACAAGGAGACACAACTGGATTGTTTTAGAATATTTAGGTCCTCACTGGAGAAGAGTAAGATAGAAACAAGTAGAGAATTGCCCATTATTAACTCTCTGTTGTTTTATCGCTCATATTGACTTGCTTTAATGATAACTTGAATGTCACCCTGTATCCTTCTGTTGGGCAAAATTAATTTCTGATTACTTTACAGGATGAAATAAATCCCAAATCTTTTTTTAATTAATAAGAAATAGACTGCTCCTTGACTTCCTTCATTCAAACAAGAGAAAATAAACCTTCCCATGGGGAAATATGGTCAAGGAAATAGAATTCAGGACTAGGCTAGAATGGCCACCTGTACGGAGTACATTCTGCTCAAGGGGAATATTTGCAACCAGAAAAACAAAGCTTCTAATATTCATTCATTTAGACCCTCAGCATAGATATGTGAAGCTCTGGTTATGTGTCAGCGCTGGGGATTAGACATTCTATAAGGTTTTGTTGATTACTACAGCATGGCTGGCATTGCTCTGGGCATGGAGTTTCAGTGGTAAACAGGACCAAGTTCCTACCCTGCGGGGCTTATATTCTGGTGGAGGGCATAAACAATACAAAATACAGATATAATTTCAGATAGTGGTAATACAAAGAAGAAAAATAAGTCCCAGAAGGACTAGAGATTGCCTGGAGGCAGGGAGAGGAAGAAAGCTATTTTGAAGATGTGGTTAGGAAAGTTTCGTTGGAAAGCGAAATTTGAAAAGAGGCCTTAAGGAGGCGACAATGAGGCATGAGGCTCTGGCGTTCCAGGTGGAATGAACAGCAAGGGCAACTGGCCTCAGATGATAATAGCCTTGGTATGTGCCAGAAATAAAAGGAAGGGGAGCAAGTGTGGTATTTCCAGGGGGAGATAAGGTTGAGAAAGCAAATGGATCCTGTGGGGCCTGGTAGACCTCAGGCAAACCTCTGGATTTTATTCCAAGTGTGAAAGAAACCATGGGAAGATTCAGAGTGGGAGAGCAGCGGAATCTGGTCCATGCTTAACCAGGAGACATGGGTTGCTTTGTGAAGAAATGATTACAGGATTTGAGACTAGTATCAGAGATGGGGTAAGGGGCTTTCCCATTAATTCTGGTGAAAGACGATGATGGCTGAAACAGGGTGGTGGGAGTGGAGGTGTTGACACTGGTCAGAATCAGTATGTATTTTGAAAGTAGAGCTGACAGAGCTTGCTGAGGTGGGAGGTGGGTTGGAAACTGTGAGAGAAAGAGAGGAGTGAGGAAGATCCGTAAGAATTTGGGTGAGTGGATAAAAAGTGATACTACTAGCTGAGATGGGTATTCAGATCATTAAGACAGGCCCTGGACTCAAGATGCAAGGAATTCACATCACTGGAAATAAACCAACCAACACACACACACACATAAACACACACACACACACCCCTAACAAGTGTTACAATAAAAATATACATAGGAATTTCCTTATCTCTAGATTTTTCATAACTTTCAGTTAAATGATTCTCCTTTTGTCAGTTGCATAAATAGACAAGTGAATGATGTGGCCTGCTGCTATGTGGATATCTGATATTTCTGTGCTGGCTGACTGTACAAATTAGTTTGTACAGCAGCAGATTCTTCATGGTTATTTACCATATAAGTATCTATTCCTTCACATCACAGAAGGTATTCTTGTCCAGTAAATATCCCTCCGCCTTTCTCCAAATTTCCAAACTTGTCCAGGCTATGATGATTACTCAAGATAGAATCAGAGTGTCTTTTTCTGTATTCCTTAAGATTCATCTATATTCTTTGATGGAATAAGATGGAAAAAGAGAAGAGTTTATGCACGTTTAGCATTTCATCACCCATGGAAAGAAAGCATAAGAAGAGCTACATGGTAATAGAACTTGTTCCTCACAATTCCAGAGTAGCAACTTGCAGATTCTCAAATTTTGGAGGGTGTGTTAAACTGCAGATCCCCAGAACCCATCTGTAGAATATCTAATTCAGTAAGTTGGGAAAGAGCCAAATAGTCTTTCTGGTTTTTTATTATTATTATTATTATTATTATTATTATTATTATTATTATTTTAGAGACAGGGTCACTGTCACCCAGGCTGGAGTGCAGTGCCATGATCATGGCTCATCATAACCTCGAATTCCTAGCCTCAAGTGATCCTCCCACCTCGGCAATGCAAAGTGCTGGGATTACGGGCATGAGCCACCATACCTGGCTTGAATAGTTTTTGTGTTTAATAATCCTCCTCCATGTCTGATGCTAGATTTACACTGATCATCCTCGGAGAACCACTATCATCTATAAATTGTTCAATTTTATCTTAGTGTGTTGTGCCTTCTAAACTGCAGACAGAGGAATCATATTCAGGATAAAGTTTCATAATTAAGGAGGATAAAAGATGAAAGATATTTTAAAGATTCTCTGACCTAAACTTTTTTCCTTTAAATATCAGAGTTATAAGAAGCTGACAGCTCTTAATCTCAGATCTAGTCACATATAAAATGCAACTTAAAGATGTAACTATAGTTACCAAATATGGATTGCCTTAGGATATTGAAGCTATTTTTAATGGAGGCAAGAATACTACATTTGAGTGATTTTATAAAAGATGATTTTTAAAAACTTGCCTAGGGCAAAACTTTTAGAAAGAGCTTTAGTGGCTGCTATCAGTATGTTCAAATTATGCATAATTTTGTTTCCACCATTCTTGTCTTAGATCACCAGAACTCAAGTATAATTATTAACATGATGGAGAATACTATCCTCACCTTGAGACATTTGTCATGAACACTATAGAAAAAGATCAAAAGTTATGGTAAAAACATAGTATATTTTCTTGTTTACTTCACAAGCTTATCAATTTAAATGAATAATCACAAACTTCAAGAAAATGTCCATCAACTGTTAATGCTATAGAATCCTTTTCGAACAGACCTACCGACATTTAATGCAATTAATTATTCATGTTTCCGTTAACTTCCTCATATTGTATTTTCATTAGGTGAAATAAATGTTTTATCCAAATTCCTACTGTTAAGATGCCTTGGCTTTAAAAAATATTACCATTACATTAAATAATTTAATATTCTAGGACTAACTGCCCAAATAAGCTTTACTTTTAAGAACATATTTTTTATATATCTGAAAAATTCGATACACTTTTATATGAATTACTTTTGTGCATAGACTGATAAAATCATAATTAGAGCTCTCAATATTGGATGATAATAAAAATTCAAAAATGAATTCACAGCTTTTAACACAAGGAGTATATGTCTCTAGTACTTTCTCTTATCAGAAAATATAGATTTTATCAGAATTCTAGTAGGTGTATTGTGTTACTCATAGCAGAAAGTATTTATCATGTTACTGAATGGCTTAAGTATAAATTAAGACAATGAATATAACTTAAATGAATATAATGACTTTTAGAATTTGTGTTGTGTCTGAATTTGAGGGAAGATTCTAACTCAAGCCTCACTGAGATGACTCAGGTAGTCTCCTAAAGAACGGAAGCCTCTGAGATGTTCCTTTGGCAGTGGACTTGAAGCTCAGCCTCAAAACATAAAAAGCTGAATGGGAAACTAGAATTTAAACTCAGCCAATTTGGGACACTTTTGTTTAAAATTTTTTCCTTATACTGTTCAGAAGTTAGAAAAGCATAAAAATTAGCATTTGCCCATAAACAAAAAGAAAAATTCTGTTACCACATGTGAAGTATCTCAACAGTAAAAACAATCTCTAGCATTAATATTTCATTTCCCTGGACTTGTGGGACCACATGCACCCCATTCATGGTTCCCCTAATTAGGTGCAGCCCTAGACAAAACTGTGAAGAAAGAAAAGCCTGTTTCCCTTTCTGCATCCTTTTCCTCTTCTGATTACCAACCACCTAGGTTCTCCTGTGAGCCAAACTTAGTTTTATAGAACACTGACCATAAAATGTCAATGATACCTTATGTAACACTCCTGGAGGTGAGGGTATATTGATATTGCCAAAGAGGACTTCAGAAAGACAGTAATGTCTGAACCCCATAGTTCATCTCTAATGGTTAGATTCGGAGCACTACTCTGATATCTGGGCAGGACATCAACCTTCACAAATCGGACCCTAAAGTGATTGATTCATACATCTGCATAAAATGAATCTTTTTTGGATCAATGAGGAAAGGAGGAAAAAAAGGAGGGGGAGTGATTGCAACTGACCACCTTCAAAAAACCAGGCAAGGTCCATACTTTCCTTATTGTTTTCAATCTACTGGAAACTCCTTTTTAGCACTAAGGAAGACAGTGAAAATCCTTGCTTCTTCTGACTCTAGTGGAAAGCAGGGTAGCATAGTGGTCAAGGGGTACACTGTGAGGTCAGGTTGACTGAGTTTGTATCCCAACTCCATCACAGGTAAATTCCTTAGCATCTCCATCCCTCTGTTTCCTTATCTGGTAATGTGGGGATAATAACTTAGAAGGTGATTATAAAAAATAAATTAGTTAATAATATCAAATATCTAGAGAATAGTAAGAGTAATAAGAGCTTGATAAATGTCAAATATCATTTGTATAGCTGAAAGGGCCTCATACCTCAATGTCTCCATATTCATTTCTATAAGGCACATAAGCAGAAAGACATCCCTGATACACATAAGAGTGTGAGATAGAAGAACAGTAGTGTTCATGCAAAAGTGTTTAAAATAATTGTAACTATTAGGCCGGGTGCCGTGTCTTATGCCTGTAATCCTAGCACTTTGGGAGGCCAAGGCGAGCAGATCACTTGAGGTCAGGAGTTCAAAACCAGCTTGGCCATCATGGTGAAACCCCGTCTCTACTAAAAATACAAAAAATTAGCTGGCCATGGTGGTGCGTGTCTGTAATCCCTGCTACTCAGGAGGTTGAGGCAGGAGAATCACTTGAACCTGGGAGGCGGAGGTTGCAGTGAGCAGAGATCATGCCACCGCACTCCAGTCTGGGTGACAGAGCGAGACTCCATCTCAAAAAAAGAAAAAAAAAGAATTGTAATTATTTAATTTGCAAAGAGATAGCTAAGGAATATTGCTGGTGACAGCTTCGATTTTGCCCAGGATAAAAATAGATCAAACATATTCAAATGACAAGAGAGCAGAAGTTTATTTATGTGGGCTGTAAAGATGAATGTTCTGACTGAAAAAAAAGTTTTTCAAGTCTGAAATAACTGCTGTGGGAGCAGAAGAGGTTTCCTGCTGTAGTCACAGTTGTGCCTGGGGCAAGCAGATGAGTGAGGTGTTCTTGCAGAGCATCTTCATGCTCCACGTCAGTATTTCAGCGGAAATCTTTCTGCATGGATGTATACACATAGCAGAAGTGTGGAAAGCTTTGGGCTAAATTTTAAGATGTTATCAAGGAAGTATCCGTACTGTCCGTACTGTGACAGGTGCACAGCATCTTGCTGAAACTGACCCCATTCCACCAAAATTATCCCTCACTGTCTATTTGAAAATACATATGTGGAATCATATTGTAACTCGATAGCAATCCTTATATTTAGGGACAGAAGCAGAGCTTTCAGTGCAGGGAACTTGATTCTGACAATGTTTATGACAAAGTCACCTTAATAATTTGATAGTCAGGCCTGGGTAAATGTAATATGTGTAAGAGGATGAAACTATAAATAAAAGCAATAAATAACTCATGTATAAGTGCTCTCATGGTTCTGAAATGCAAATTAATTCTTAGAATAGTGCATAGGCCAACTGTTCATCCAAGAAGTGGGAGAAAAACATTCTGCAAAAAGTTCCCAGGAGGGATATATAAGTCTTTTTAGTAAATATGCCTAATGATTCTTTCTGAACTCATGGCATAAATCATAACAAATTGAGTTATGCAGTAACTTCTTGAGATGGCATAATAAAATTCCTACTAAAAAAAAAAATCTCAGAATATGTACAGTATGCTGTCATAACAGACAGATTTAGAGCCTTGTATTAAGGTTAAAAGTGGTTTAAGTTTTGTTTTCATTTTAAAATTAAATATTATTTTCCTCATTCTATTTTATATTAATAGTTGAAGGTTTACTTAATCCCAACATTCCATTGGAAATTAATCTCAGCAGTGGGATGTTTCCGTAGCGCACTCACTTTGTCTCCCTGAATAATGAAAACAGCAATTTGGAAGTAATAGGAACTAGAATCTATATGGGACGTTATAGTTACAAAATATTGTACTACGGTACAGCAAGGTATCATTTTTCACTGGATTTTACAGGTGAGAAAAATGGAGCATAGAAGTGTGAGGAAATCCAAAGTTACAGCATTTCACCTTCTGACCACCCCGCTTCTTCTCTGACAATTTTTCAAGCATTTAGATTTCTGTATTCCTGACAGGGTAGGCTATTTGACATGAGTTGAGATTCTCAGTGGAGTTTTAGGATTGCAGCTGGCTACAGAAAAAAAAAAGAGAAGAAGAAGAAGCAAGGATTGGAAAAAGAAGAGAAAGTGTTCTGAGGTTCTCAAAGGAATGGGAAAACTGGAGACCACTCAAAGGCTCTACTGCTGGGAAGGACACTCTGCCTTAAGGAGGGTCTGGTGGAAGCTGAAGGCGCCCTCCCCCTTTTCCCATTCCCTACCCCATCTCCAGACTCCCAGCAGCTCCAAAATGATTTCCAGGATATCCAGTGTTGTCTACAGTATGAGTTTTCCTCAGAGCTCACATTATTCCCAGACGGTGACATGGGAAATGAGTAAAATACAAAATAGCATATATTAATTTGCAGTTGAGATAACACTGTTTGTTTTCAATTCAAATAATATCACACAGTTGGCCAACTTGAGAAAAACAGATGGGTGGCTATCTTTATTTTTCTAAATATTTTCTGAAAGTTAAGACATGTTCATAGCAGGGGTTGTGTAAAGTAATCTGCTCTCTAAGTGAAGCTGTGCATTTTGTGTGTTTGTATGTGTGTGTGAGAGAGAGAGAGAGAAAGGAAGGTTATCTATTTCTTCTAAAATGCCTTAATGAATGGGAAAAGATATGGTTAAGTTACAAAGTACAGCAACATTTGCTTTTGGCATCATTATCTGGGGATTTTTGTGCTTTTCTTCCTCCTTTGCCTTATCTCTTTTCCCTTTTCACAGCTCCCACTTACACAAACTGTGTCATTCATTGTAATGATAAAGCAAGTACTGAGTGTTTAGCTTTCATTCTTGTCCTTGGATGTTAAAACTGACAGTTTAGCACCTCTATTACTTTTTATCGGTGAGTCACTGGCCTTGCCAGCACTCAAGATAAGAAAGTCTCACACTTGCCAGAGAAAGAAAAAAGACCAGGAAAACTAAAAAGAGCACTGGGATTGGGTTATGCTCACCACAAAATGGGTGGTAGGAGACCCTTTTGAAAATGGATGAAACTTGCCATTCACTGGGACACAGCTGGAAACGAGAAACTGTCTGGTGTGATCTCAGCAATTTCCAATGGAAAGCTAACTTCCAACTACCTGGTTAACCAGTGTAAACCTCTGAAGGAGTAGAGAAATCCAACATCTTATCTCATTTTATTTCAAATGTTAAAAGACCTCTGGTCAAAATGAATTTGACTTTCTCATACTAAATTCTTATTTGTAAGCCATTATCCACAAAAACTGAGATTCAACATTTGATAGCACTGTGTCCTCTGTGTGTGTGTGTGTGTGTGTGTGTGTGTGTGTATACAAGAAAATGACATCATAAGAGTATCAGAGAATTCAGTGATACATTAATCCTGTTTCTAGGTCACTGTTATTCCCTGATACATTTTGGGAGATTAAACAGAATTTTATGTACCTCTTCTTCCTCTATTACAACTATCTTTGCTGTCACTCTGCCTTCACGCCTATTTTCTATATACTGTAAAGGAATCAGAACAGAGCTGTAAGGGACCTCAAAAGATATTAGTTCTCATCTGCCCAGATGGATACCCAGTGGAAGTTCTCTCTGCCCTGTGGTTCATGAAAGGTTTGAGAAGCCTGTGAAAATATTACATTGATGTAAAGTTTCAGCCAGGCAGGTGGCTCATGCCTGTAATTCCAGCACTTTGGGATGCCGAAACGAGTAGATGGATTTCTTGAGCCCAGGAGTTCGAGACCAGACTGGACAACATGGTTAAACGCCATCTCTCTCTCTCTATATATATATATATCTATATATACATATATTAAAAATACAAAAATTAGACTGGTATGGTGGCATGCGCCTGTGGTCCCAGCTATTCAGGAGGCTGAAGTGGGAGGATCGCCTGAGCCCAGGAAGTTGAGGCTGCAGTGAGCCAATATCCCGCCACTGCATTTCAGCCTAGGTGACAGAGTGAGACCCTGTCTCAAAAAAATAAAAATAAAAAAATTAAGTTTTCATGTAGGACTAGTTCCCCTTTGTATTGACCACATGGTTAAGCACATATCGAAATGTAGAACAGTGATTTTTAATGTGCGCTGTATTCTTTCCATGTCATCCTCTTTTACTCTCTCAATGATCCCATTAAGTTCTGAGTAAGCTTAAGCCACACCCATAAAACGTCCTCTGTTGATTAATTCCCAAATACAATTAAAGTGGAACAAGATCTTACTTGCAAAGTAACCTTTCCAAAAAAATCTCCTAGATATTTGTAATCTCCTCCTCCCATATTTACAACTGTCTTATCTTCATCTAATTGGATAGCATTGTTTTATCGATTACCTTTAAAGAATCTTTCCCAACCTTCAAATTCATTATCATAGAAATAAAGGTATTTTCTTGTTGCACTTGTATTTGGTTTACACAATATTGTGTAACATTAATAATATATATAAACAAGTCTGTAACTACTGTGGATCAGCACCTGACAGGTAGGAGCAAATATGCAAAGGCTGTTCTAAGGAGAGGCTGGTAGTTTCTAGATTTCAGCTGGTCATAGGCATCAGTCAGGTTGTACAGAGAGAACAGAGTGACTGCTAATCCAGTAACTGATAAATGGAAGCCAGCCAGATAAGATCGTTTTTTATTGTATTCCCAATTTACAGACTGAGAAACTGGGGTACTGAAAACTTAGGTAATTTAACTTCACAATAGCTGGTAAAACCCTTAAAGGCGATAAGGAATACATGGTTATCGGAAAATTCTGTAGTATTACCTGGGGGTTAGAGTGAAAATGGTCTATTACATTCCAGTCAATACTGATGTGCTGGAAGTATACTGGAGGTATAGATAGTTAAACCTGACTCAGGGAAGTGTTTGCCAAAGAAGGAATGCCATCAACCAGGCAGAAGAAGGAGCAGAGAATGATTTGGACAGAAGAACCATTTGCAAGAGGGCTGAAGGCAAGAGTACAGCTGGGAAGAGAATTGCAAGTAGCTCCTAGAGTAGGAGAAAAATGATGAAAGACAATGAATTAAAGAGATAAATAGAGGCTCAATGCCAAAACAAACAAACAAAACTGTATAAGTCACTCTAAAGAATTTGAACCTTATTCTCAAGACACTAGGAACCCAAGAAAAGAACTGGTCAGTTGAGTCACAGGCTCAGATTTGACCTTCAGAGATATCACTTAACTGCCCTGAGGAGAAAGCAGTGGAATGCCTGATAGGTGGCAAGAGCTGCTGGTGGTCTGGATTTGCATAATTTCTACAGAGAGAAGATACATTTAGGAGCTAGCTTTAACATGACTTGCTAATTGATTGACTCTGGTGGTGGTGGTGGTGGTGGTGAGAATGAAGTAATGTTAAGGTGACTTTCAGGTTTCTGGGGCATTCATCTGGATGGAGGGAAGTATCCACTCTTTAAGACAGTGAATTCAGGAGGAAACAAGTCAGTTTCAAGGGTGGTGAAATTTAATTCTAGACATGTTACATTTGAACATCCAATTTTTAATGACCTGTGGGTAATTGCACATATGGATTTCGAGTTTAGGAAAAAGACCTGGGCTGAAATATGGATGTTGTATATGTCAGCATGTAAATGTAAATGGAATTCATGGAAGAAGATGAAATTATACAAGGAGAATAAAGAATGAGAAAAGGAAATGAGCCAAAACTCCCCAAAATGGTAGCACATTTATATCCCTGTCATATGTCTCATGTCTCAAGAGCAAGCCTCCATACTGATGTTACCTTGCTTATGCATAATGGCATGTGTACAATGGAATCTTTCTTCTTTTTAAAAACTTCAATGAATTATACCTAATTTTCCTTGTATGAAATAGATGGGGGGCCGGGTGTGGTGGCTCACGCCTGTAATCCCAACACTTTGGGAGGCCAAAGCGGGCGGATAGCCTGAGGTCAGGAGTTAGAAACCAGCTTGGCCAACATGGTGAAACCCTGTCTCCACTAAAAATACAAAAAAATTAGCCGGGTGTGGTGGTGGGCACCTGTAATCCCAGCTACTTGGGAGGCTGAAGCAGGATAATTGCTTGAACCCAGGGGGTAGAGGTTGCAGCGAGCCGACATCGCATCACTGCACCCCACTCCAGCCTGGGTGACAGACTGGAGTGTCTCCATCTCAAAAATAAAAAAATAAAAAAAATAAATAAAAATAGATGGGGGATACTGAGCTGGAAAATCCTTACTATGACTGTAGTGTGTTTTGTCTACTCCCAAGCAGACAAAATCATAAATTCAAAACCAAGGTGCCATCATTATAGATATTTTCTAATTATAATTATACATCATCCAAAAAGGTAGTAGCGTTGTTGTTAATGGTAGCTGGAAATAAGAAAATGGGATACCATATCTAAAATAGGGTGTGTTAACTTCAAAGTGAGTCTTTTCCTTCCCCCGTAAGTGGGAGTGATTTGCTACAGTGAAAAATCAATGGGCCTTAGAGTCAGGGTTAAAGTCTCAACTCCACAAGCTATCTCCACTCCTCAATCATGAGCAGTTTACGCAACTCCAAGGACAGACAAGCTTGGGCAGACAGCATGCAATAAACAATGTATAGAAGTGAAAACTTACTTTAAGCTTCCAGGGTTTGTTTTTTGGTTTGTTCATGTTTTCTGTCTTGCTTTTATTTTTATTTTTTTTGCAACAAACACATTAGTTACGTTCTCTAGGTCTATTTCCTTACCCAGAGGAGGAAGGCCCCTTAGCACATGATCTCTGCGGTCTCCATTAGTTTCAACATCTTGTGGCGCTGATCACCTGTAAGTTAAGGAACAAACTTCACTGGGAAGTCCTGTAGCCTGAATCCAGCCCCAAACATCCACTCCCCCAGCTGAGGAGGCCGGGAGGTACTTTTACCCTGGTAGCATTCTCAATCAACATGTGTCATTACTCAAAGCGCAAGTGGACCAAGGTGCATATACTAATTTTTTCCTCCAAGGTCTTAGTTTTCATTTTACTTTGAAATGTCACTGTGACTACTTTTATTATTACTATTACCAGGAATCTATGATTGCCATCGAGGTCTATTAGAAGGTCATCTCCCATCCCCCACCCCGCCCAGCTTTATCCAGTGCACGAAGGCTGGCTATTTGTAATTCAATATACACTTTCCAAAACCACGAGTTTTACGTTTTATTATTGTTTTTACTTTTGAAGCCGATGTATGGGGGAACACCCACCAGCATTAACGTTGAAAGAGCTGTTTTCATTGAAACCACTCTTTCATCTGTGGATGGTAGGATAATTTATCAGTGTCTTTAATTTGGAATTGAAAAGTTTCCTGAAAACACTGCTAATTAAACTTTACTTCCCTGAAGTTCTCCTAAATACCTCCAACTCCGAGAACTAGCCCAGTATTTGCTCACTTCCTTTTGCCTTTCAACTCCATTTGATATATGTTTCCCACGACGTAGTGGAGACTTCTGGCTGGAGAGGCTGGAAAATATAACTCTGAATTTCCTACAATCTCAGCTCCACTTTCTCCCGCGCGTAGGCCCCCGGCTGGAGCGGTGTTATTGTCACGTGGCCACGGGGACGCCCGCAGCCGAGTCGGCCAATGGGCGCGCGTCGGCCTCTACCCGCCCGCCTTGCTACTCCGCCGCGCGGGGACTTGGCGCAGTGCCGCGGGGTGGAGGCGAAAAAGTTTCTTTTGCAGACAAGAAGGGGCTTCGGCGAGCCGACGCTGCTCAAGCTGCAACTCTGTTGCAGTTGGCAGTTCTTTTCGGTTTCCCTCCTGCTGTTTGGGGGCATGAAAGGGCTTCGCCGCCGGGAGTAAAAGAAGGAATTGACCGGGCAGCGCGAGGGAGGAGCGCGCACGCGACCGCGAGGGCGGGCGTGCACCCTCGGCTGGAAGTTTGTGCCGGGCCCCGAGCGCGCGCCGGCTGGGAGCTTCGGGTAGAGACCTAGGCCGCTGGACCGCGATGAGCGCGCCGAGCCTCCGTGCGCGCGCCGCGGGGTTGGGGCTGCTGCTGTGCGCGGTGCTGGGGCGCGCTGGCCGGTCAGACAGCGGCGGTCGCGGGGAACTCGGGCAGCCCTCTGGGGTAGCCGCCGAGCGCCCATGCCCCACTACCTGCCGCTGCCTCGGGGACCTGCTGGACTGCAGTCGTAAGCGGCTAGCGCGTCTTCCCGAGCCACTCCCGTCCTGGGTCGCTCGGCTGTAAGTATTCTTCCCGCGGGGGGAGGGGGCCCGGGCCGCTGGAGATTCGAGAAAACAGGAGCCGGCGGGGAATGGGGTTCGGCGTGCAGTCCCCTTTTTGCCGTATAGCTCCTTCTGGCCCAGGCCGCGATCGGCGCTCCGTGGGCGTGGAAAAAGAACTGTCCGGGCCTCAGTTTCCCTCCCACGTGCTTTGCGGGCGGCGCAGGTGGGCTCTTGGCGCGTCCTAACTGGCTGCAGGTAGACCAGGGTTGGGGGCCAGTAACGACGCCAGAGATTGGGGATGAAGTCCTGCGCCCTAAGCTAGCCAAGGGGTTCAAATGCTTGCTCCTGCCAGGCCCAGGGGAGATAAGCGGCAACCTGCACACATCAGGAGTTTGCAGTTCTCGCTGAGTTATGAGTCTGGTTCAGTTTTAGTTTCTAGCTGCGTCAGACTCCTTTTCCTGTTCCCACCCAGTAACTGAAGTCAGGCTTTTCATTTGGGAAGCCCCCTCAACAGAATTCGGTCATTCTCCAAGTTATGGTGGACGTACTTCTGTTGTTCTCCCTCTGCTTGCTTTTTCACATTAGCAGACCGTAAGTTCCCACTCCTCAACCAGATTGTAAAGACTGGTCGGTAGCTATGGAAAGGGCGGAACTCGATTATCCAGAATCAAGGGCGTGATTTCTGTAGCTCCTCAGAACGCCCAGACGGTTTAGGGGAGAGCGCAGGGAGCTCTTATGCAAGTTTTTGGATTTTTAGCTGCGAAGTCTGAAAACCTGAAATCACTGCCAACTGCGTGAAGAACAAGGAAGAAAATGTAATTTAGTTGGAAATGCTGATCTTTTCCAAATGTCATCTCTTTTCTTCCTCAGTCCCAGTTTTAAAATTGGAGTGCTGTAAAAAGTAAACAATCAAAATTTGTATTTTTTAAAGTAGTTGTTCTGTTTAAAATAAAAGTGCACTTCATACGTAATCTTATATTTTGACTTAGCAGAATTGCAATGAAAATTTTAAGTTTTTAAAACAATTCTAGTGAACTATTCCAATGCCCTAATGTGGTAGGAGGTTTGGTCAGGTGTTTAAGAATTTATATTTTAAAATTATTGTGCTAATCTAAATAACTTTTGTGAATGTAGAATTGTTGGCCATCAGAAAGTATATTCCTTGTGTTTTTAATAAGCCTTAGTTTAATAAAGTAGAATTAGTATTGGATTGATATTTAATTTCTTGGGACGTTTTATTTAGTAGTTTTTATTGCAATTGGAAGAGGAGATAAGGTCTTTAACCGAAAGCAGGGAGACTTTCAATTAGTTGTGGCTAATTCTGTTAAATTGCCTCTTGTGGAGGTCATGCTGCCTTATTCATGAGTGAATGGCTCTATTGACAACATATGGAACTGAACATGTAAATGACTGGAGGTGAACACTTAGGAATAATAGAGGGATGAGAAAGAGAAAATGAATACAGTGCTTCCTGGAGTGTATTTAGATATGCTTAGATTATTCACGGCATCTAACTTGTATTCGATAGTTTTTCAATGTCAAGTTGTCTATTGTGATCATGCTAGTGTGCAGTACTTTTTTTCTTTTTTCCTGGATTTAGATGTTTAGAAAAAAAATCTGTGTTGCCCTTGATCAGAAGTTGAGTTGAACCAAAAGGGGTTCGATACCTATTTAAACATTGTCTTAAAAGTAGCTGACCTAATTAGGATTTTGTTTTGCAGATAATTTGGTGGCACACTAAAAACAAATTAGAGTTTATTTGGTTAGCACAGTCTTTAATTACATTTCCACCAGCAGTAAATTGTCTCAATACTAGCCCACATTCCTTAAATGTATGTGAAAATAAGTTCCACTTGTATAAATAAGCACTCAGTCTGTTGTCAGGAACCCTGCTGTGATCACTTATTGGACAGCTCTGTCATTCCTGTACTTCTGTGACTTTTAACCATCTTTGTAGGTGTCACCAAACCATGTGGTCTGGATTCTTTATTGTAAATATTTCTTTTGTTTGTACCTAAAGCTCTAGAGGTCTCCTCTTTCCACTTTTGAAAGGAGCAGAAAAACACGTGGAATTGAGTTTTACTTTCTCTGTTATTTGGTATTTTAGAATAGGTGGTCTAAAAAGCTACTAAAGTTTTTCGTAATTAGAAAAATCGTCTTAAGGAGATGATTTCCGAGTTCAGATATAAATAGAAAAATGCATGTTTTTGTTCCCCATATCTTACCTTCCCTTTCCTTGGGTAATCAAAATAGTAGGAGTTTGTCTTTGGACTGGCTTATGAAAGCACTTTTCAGAAAAAGTTCAGTGTCTATCTTTTGTTTCATTTGTTGAATTTGCAAGTTTAAGAAAAATTACGTGTGTATGTATTTTTTCCACTTTATTTGGTTGTGATTTATTACTATAGGAGTCCCATGTGTGAAAAGTCGAATAGTTTGAGCTGTAAAATAATAATACTGTATCAGTACTCCTTTTAGAAAATAACCTCTAATGCTTTAATGAAAGTGGCTCTTAAAGAGTAACTATGTGAGCGAGACTTTGTCTAAAAAAAAACAACCCAGTAACTACGCCAAGCCTTGCTCACAACTGCCATTAAAGGCAAGCTAGAGTTTATGTCAAGAGTTTGCGCTTAAACAGTTCTCAACCTAAAGAGGAATGCTTGTTAGAATGTTATTTAGCCCAGAGACGGAAAAGTTGCTAAATTGCCAATGAGAACTTCCAGTATTATTAAATTCTCACTGGCATTTCAGAATTATTTGTCTTATGTAGAAATGTTTGAGTTCTCAACAGGACCCAGGCGAAAGTCCCAAAGGTAGTTTCTGCTGGTGTGACTTCTTTAGTGTTGACCTGTTATAAATCTTATGGTCCGGACCACAGTTGGGGGTGGGGTGGGGGTAATAGTCCTTATGGTTTTCACAGCTGTTTTTCTGTATTTTCCAGACTAAAACTTGAATATAGCAGGCTGATTTATGAGTCACTTTGGATCAGTGTCTTAAAACAGCTATAGCCTGGCTTTTTGTTTTTCAGCTTTCCAGATTTGTGCTGAATTAGCAGCTCTGCAGGCCCCAGTGGGATTGCTTAAGAAGCTGTGCTGGATTTGCATTTAAAATTTGACTTGGAAGTCAGATTTCCAAATGCTAAAAGGAAGAAAATGACAGCTTGAACCAAATGTTGCAAATTGATTATTTTCATATATATTTATTCATTTGCTAATATTCAGGAAGAGAGAAGTCTGTCTAACCATATAGAAAGAGTTTGACTTTCAAGTGTTGGCCAGCTGAGCTCTGGGTACAGTTAACACTTCCGTACCTTACTACCTTTCCCATTCATTAACCCCACTACAAAAAGTTTTTGTAAAAGTTTTGTGGGGAAGATGCTATTAATGGAACTCTAAACATGAAGAATCTGCCTTTCTTATTGAATGTTTTATGATCTGGGTTTAAGAAAACATCGACGTTGTACAACTTGAATCTGTTTTTAATGGTCTAGCCATAAAAACAATGTAAGGAAGATTTAGGAAAATGTGACATCCCTTAACTGGAAAGTAATCATTTCTCAAATGTAAACTATATTAAATCTAAATTTAGGTACACTAAAAGTTTCATAGCTGTAAGTATTTAGCAGTAAATGTCATTTAAGGGGTGTTTTTTTTCCTCCTACATATAATGTAGTTTTAATAGTACACAAAACTCAAGAATGGAAATGTGTTGCAATAACTGAAATATTCAAAGTTTCAAGCTCCTGCTTCTGGATCAGAAATGAGGGGTCCCCAGCATGTGCACTGGTCTCTGAAGGGAGTTTCTTATTTTTTACAGGTCTTTTGTAGGAGGAATCTTATCCCATTACTAGTTGAAAAAAGTTAAGCACTCCGTCTCATTTCTCTCACAGGATTGCCCTGTGAAATAATCCTTAAAATGAAGTTAATCCTCAGTTTTAGTGTTTTTTTATTTTTAATTAAAAAGAGAATCACCTGTGTTAAATATTAATGCCAGATTGCTTCCCCTTTCTTTTTAAGACCTGAAACAATAGGGGATGCAGTTTTACGCTGGCTCAATGCTCTTTAGTTAAGTGGGTCCAAATGAGACTTTCTGTTGACTCAGGCTACCTCCCAGGTGAAAGACTCTTTTCCTTGGTTGTTTTTTAAACCATGTGGGAAATCTGTGACTGTCTGGGGTGCTAAAAGCACACAGGTTTTGTTTGAATCCTAACGTGAGTTGTTGGGCTCACGGTTTCCTTGATGAACTCCAGATGGACTTGAGCTGGGCTGCAAGGGAAAGTGTCTGGCTCCAGCCAGCGTGGTGAGCATGCACAGCAGTGGTTGTAATTGCAGGATTTTTATAGTTTAAAGACTGTGCCAGATTTTTTTCATGTTATAACTCTACCAGAACAAATCTACTCATGTCTGTCACTGTCTGGTAGGTCTTTGGGCAAACATACTTCAAATAAAACCTTGCAGATTTTTTTTTTTAGGTGAAAAAGAGAATCCAGGTTTATTCTCAAAACAGAAACTCAAAGACTGAAAGGAACTCTGATTTCTAATTGTTAACTAAACACTGAGTAACACTGTGCTTCTCTGGAGGTGATTTCTCTTTATTTATTTTTTAGGAGGGGTGTACTTATGCATATAACAAATAATTCATGCTTTTCTCCAATCAACTTTGGTTATTTAAAAAACTCCGTTTTAAACACCAAAAAAATTAGTATGGGTTGGATAACCCTTTCAGTGGGAAGCTTCAAGCCATACTATTTGTTATCCCGGTTTTTCATCACTCTGGAACCATTTCATTTTTATTACACTATTTTGAAGGCACATAGTCAATGTGTTAACACATATGGGGAATATAACCAAGAATATTTGCTGGAATTTGTTCCATATTTTGAATCTTAAATGAGATGACTTTCTAGCCTAGAGTATTGTATATGTATGAGTTTGTTATTGTTTTTAATAGTAATGATGTTCTATGGAAATTGTTACTAAGTTAAATTGAGTTATTGAGTAAGAAGCACATTTATTTTAATGATTGAAATCTGTTCACAAGTTTTTGTGCAATCTGCTGAACTTTGTTAGATGGCGATGTGGTTTAAATTTTATATTATCAGATATTGATATTTGGGGAATTTAAGAAAGCAGAGGGTTCAGATTGTTTTCTACCCTCTCAACACTCACACACAAAATAATGCTTTAAATGATTTGGTGCTTTAACGCAGAGAAACAAATATGTATGCAAAGCAATTTCTGTTTTCCTTGACTGCAATAAGGACATTGATGCTTAAATGTATGACAATAAAAAGATTTCTATAGAGGCTTTAGTTTCAGCAACCTGCCTAATTAGCTCCTTTTCTTAAACCATGATGTCATCATATCAGGTTAGGAGTGGGGAGATGGGAGGGTGAAGCAGACCTGCCAGTTCACAAAAGATCTGTTCACCACGTGCCAAAAAAACATCTCTTAAAACATTTGTGGGCTTAAAGTATTTGAATCTGCCAGTCTCCCTAAACTAATTTTGTCCTTGGAGCTTGTATTTTTGAGTTTGGCATTTTGGTTGCCATCTAGTTTGTGGACAGAATAGACCAATTATTTCTCCTGCTCTCACTGGTGTTCATAGAGATACTTCATAAGCCCAGTTAGCACTATTAGTGATTTTTAGAAATGACTTATAATTTTATTTTTGTTTTCTTATAGGGACTTAAGTCACAACAGATTATCTTTCATCAAGGCAAGTTCCATGAGCCACCTTCAAAGCCTTCGAGAAGTGTGAGTCTTCGTTATTTTGTTTTTAAGGTTTGAGTAAAATACGTTACCCCTTATACTATTTAACCGTAAGGAATACTTGGATTATAGTGAGTTATTCAAAACTTTTAACTTGGGTGGTATCTTGAAATAATATGTAAAGTTTTCACCTCTGTGAATTACAGATTACCTAATCAGCTTTTCTTTTTCTTTTTTTTTTTGGCATTTGTAGGAAACTGAACAACAATGAATTGGAGACCATTCCAAATCTGGGACCAGTCTCGGCAAATATTACACTTCTCTCCTTGTAAGTGAATATCAGCAGAATTCCTCATGTATGTTTGCAGGAACCTTGAGTGGGAGTTCCATAGGGACTAGCATAGAGATCTTAGAAGAAAAAAATGGAATATTTTTTTCAGGGCATAGTAAAGATACGCGCTTTAAATTGGTTAACTTGTTTTCTAGCCTCTAACTCTCTCACTGCTAAATTTCATGTATTCTTATAACAACACACTTTACACTTTGCTGTTGTTGCCGAACTGGTCTTCGAGATTCAAAGAGGCCAGCTTTACACCATAGAAATGTGTATTTTATCGTATTCTGTAGACTAGGACTTTAATTTTAGTATCGCTCAATGGTTGGCATGGGGATCTGTGGGTTATGTATTACGTAGTTCCTAGTGGAGAATGATCAGAGTTGCTTTGTGAGGAGAAACCGGAGTTGAGAATAAGCCATTGGAGTATCCTGTTTTAAGTGTGGTACCTGCAGTGTAAATCAGAGTTCAGAGACATCAACTCAAAAAAAGTAAATATGTGACTGAAGACAGAAATAACTTTGCAGGTTGTTTTGCAAATATGAGTTTTCAAATACAATTAAGGTTGTACCAAGTTTTCTGTATTTTTAGTGTAGGTAACGTTGTATATACATGCACTGACGTAGGTTTTGGAATAATTCTGACTTTCAGCATTTAAAGGTAGCATTTAGAATGCCTGTGGTTTAATTTCTAAAATCTAATTAGCTTACCACCTTAATCTTAAATAATTTAAAAATATATTTAAGCTACTGATGTTAAAAAATGTTTTTCTTTAAGCAACTTAAGGAAAAAACCACCATTGTTAGTTGCTTCTGAGAGAGGTGTTGGGAGGGTTGAAATTATACAGTAAATTTCAGGAAAGCTGTTCAATTAATAGAGTGATCACTACCCAATTGCTTACATCTGGTGATTTATAGAGGTTTGTTTTTACTGAGGGCCCAGGTCAGCTAAGTCACGGGTGCAGCCGCTGTGTCTGCTTTCCTCTGTTTGAATAAGAGCTAAGTGACATTTGATACTGATGTGGTTTTTCCAAAGATCAGAAACAGAAAGGAGTGAAAGAAAAAGCAGTCGGTATTTGACAAATAAACACTGTATTTAAAAAACATTTTTATGCTAGCATAAATACCTTTTTTCTTTGTCTTTTACAATTGCTTAAAATTTTAGAATCTAAATGGAGTGCTGGTTTTGGTATCGTAAACATCTGCAGCTATTCTTGTTTGACCAAGGTGGCCTTTTTAAATTCCACTTTGCTCTTGCTGTCCTCGCACTGCATATTGGCAGATTCTGTCAGTATGTTTAAGAGAGCTTGAGGGTCATGGCATACTTCATGGCTGAGAGGATCTGCAGTGCAGTTTTGTAATCTGGGCAGCATGGGGAAAGCAGTCTACTCTTTGGCATGGTATAGCGTTGAGAGCATTAAGAACTTGTGAGGAAGTTAGAAAATTATAAGTAACCTAGTGTTTTATACTTTTTTTTTTTTGAGACAGAGTCTTGCTCTGTTGCCCAGGCTGGAGTGCAGTGGCACGATCTTGGCTCACTGTAAGCTCCGCCTCCTGGGTTCACACCATTCTCCTGCCTCAGCCTCCCAAGTAGCTGGGACTACAGGCGTCCGCCACTACGCCCGGCTAGTTTTTTGTATTTTTAGTAGAGAGGGGGTTTCACCGTGTTAGCCAGGATGGTCTCGATCTCCTGACCTCGTAATCCTCCCGCCTCGGCCTCCCAAAGTGTTGGGATTGCAGGTGTGAGCCACTGCGCCCAGCCCCTAGTGTTTTACACTTTAACGTTATAACTTATAATTAGAAAGCTACAATGATCTCTCAAAAGTTAGAAATTTGTGCTCCTTTAAAATTTGTCCTCTTCTCCATATTGTTTTTGTGTTTCACTTTAGCAAGTGCTGGGTGTGAAATCACCCTGAATAATTTCACTTTCTTTCTCCTTAATGTGTTACAATACCTCTGGCCAGTGATTGCTTTGTTCGTCTCACATAATGATACATCCAATGTGTTACCTAGATTACATAGACTCTGCGAAGAGTAATTTATATCATGGGCCTGATAATTCAATGTGGAGAGTAAAAACTTCTTTTTATACCTATGAAATATCTTGAAAAATTTACCTCTCTGGTTGTTTTCATCTACGAATGTTTTGTTTCCTCCTGCAGGCTTGATTGGATATTGTAATATACAATTATTGTTTCTCAAGCACTTTTAATTTGTGTTGTGTAGAGTAAAACATTTTCTTTTATATAAAAACACTTGAAAATAAAGCTAAAAATGAGTTCTTAAATGCTTTTCTGAGATTAAAAAAAATCTGTTAAGTTATATAACATGACACAGATTGAAAACTTGCTGTAGCGTCACAATTAAATCTCATATCTTTCAAAGTAGTTTTTAGAATGATTTGACTTTCATATTAAGAGTTTTTTGTGGTTGTTTTTTGTTTGTATCTTTTACATTTTGCAGAGGAAAACATTTTTATGAGTTATTTGCACAGGTTAAATAGTTTGAAAGCTTGTGTGTAAAGAAAATGAGTAATTAGTTGAAGTCTTAACCATAGGATTTAATATTACTGCTCCATACTCTTTCTACTCTGTGCCATGAAGACCCCTCCCAGCTGGAGGGGCTGCATGCAGAGAAGACTGTCCTGGTGAGACTTTTGTCTTCTCTTAGCTATAGGAGCCAGGAGCTGATAATTAGATCAAAGGGTACCGCATGTCCAGAGACAAATTCAGTTAGGGACCTATTCTCATAATATCAGGGAATCTGGGATGATAGGAATCTGCGATAATCTTCCCACTAACAAAGCTCATCTCTAACCTTTTTAGCATGCACAAGGCCTGAATAGACATGCTTTCCTTTGAATCCCACACAGAACTAGCTCAGAAGTCAACCAGTGTGCTAGGTGCAAGGCATGATTTGTATGTTTTTTAAATTTTTCTCTCACAATATCCTAGCTATTGCAGGATGACATATTTTAAAGAAGTGGAATAGTCTTTGGAATGAACATATCTTACAGTAAAACTCTATTGACCTGGCTTACATGAGGGAGTTGATTTTTCTGAATGTATGAACTCTGGCTTTGCGTGGTGTGGAATGACCTGCTCGAGCATTGGACATGATTGAAATCTGTGCCTTGGGTTAGGGAAGTTTGAATCTGTGAGTTCTACAGCATTGTAGTTGAACAAAAGAGCCTTGTTGGTTATTAAACGGAGCTAGTTGGGTCTTAGTCTTGATGCTAATGGTTTATATAGTGTTACCCAGCATGCAGATGCTTGCCTGGTGTCCTAGAGTTGAAGAATGTTAGGTCAGTGACTGTCAAAGAGGCACCTAGGGTACTTGTTTTTTTTGTTTTTGTTTTTGTTTTTTTTTGAGACGGAGTCTCGCAGTGTCACCCAGGCTGGAGTGCAGTGGCTCAATCTCAGCTCACTGCAAGCTCCGCTGCCCGGGTTCATGCCGTTCTCTTGCCTCAGCCTCCCCAGCAGCTGGGACTACAGGCGCATGCTGCCACGCCCAGTTAATTTTTGTATTTTTAGTAGAGATGGGGTTTCACCGTGTTAGCCAGGACGGTCTCGATCTCCTGACCTCATGATCCGCCCGCCTCAGCCTCCCAGAATGCTGGGATTAAAGGCGTGAGCCACCGCGCCCTGCCAGGGTGCTGGTTAGATTATCAGACACTATCCCTAGAGATTCTAAATTAGTAGATTTGGGTGGGGCCCAGGAGTATCCATTTTAACATATGCAATATTCTTATCAGATATTGCATAAATATTTCTAGAATTACTGATAAAGGTCATATCATAATCAACTAAGCCTTTTCTCTTTATTTCTTATCTCAAAAGTAAAGCATTTCTTAGTCCATCATTGTCTTTATAGCCTGTCATCTTCCCAGAGGTGACATTGTCATCATTCCAGAGAGGTTATTATATATATTGATTACCTTTGCTGGTAGGACACCGAAACATGTACTCTACCAATGGAAAGCCATTGAAGAGACGTAAAGCAGAATGACATGATCAGAGCTGCTATTTGAAAATGTCATACTGTCTTTAGTGTGGCAAATGACTTGGAGGTGGCAGGAGGATGGTTTAGAGGGGCAGATAATTAAACCACATGATGGCTGAGAAGCCATGGTGGCCTGTTCTTCAGTGAAGTCACGTCAGTAGAACAGTGATTAAAAGTAAAGCTCAAGTCAGGTGGCCTGGAATTAACTTTTGGCTCCACCCTTTGCCAGGTTTGTAACCTTGGGCAAGTTACTGACTGACTGTGTCAGTCATCTCTAAAATGAGAATAATGCTGATGTCTATCTCATAGAGTTATTGTGAAGATACAGGGAATACAGGTAAAGCTGTCTTGCATGTACTGAGTGCTCAGTGAATGTGAGCTGTGATAAGGATGACGATTCATTCAACTACAATGTTTTGAGTATCTACTATGTACCAAGCCCTCTTTTAAGTGCTAGGACACCCAGTGAAAAAGCATACAAACTCCCTCTTATCCTGACGCCTGAGGCTTCCATTCTAGTGAGGAGAGAAAAATAAATGAAGAAAAGAAAAGATAACATCAGTTCATGATCAATGCTATGAAGAGAAAGAAAGGAGAATGAAGGGATTAGAGAGCTCTGGCAATTGTTCTTTAATGTAGTCAGGAAAGGCACATATTTACCAAATCCTACTATGTTCTGGGTACTGTTCTAAGATTAGGATTCAGAAAGCAGACAGGAATCCCTGCCCTCTATAGCTGACCTGCTCATGGAAGGAGAAACACAAAAAATAAATAAGAGATGTGATCAGAAGGGGATTAAGTCCTGGAGAGAAGCAGCAGGGAAGAGGTGTCGGAAGCATGTGGCCAAAGAGGGGTTTTACAGTTTTAAATGGGGATGTAGAGAAAGGCTTGCCAGGAGGAAGATACTTGAATCAGGGACTGAAAGTGAGGGAGGGAGTTGTGTGTGTTTCTGGGGACATTGAGTCATCTCTGCTGAGCCTGCCCTGCCACATTCAGGCCCATCTTACCTTGTATATCCAACTTACGCAGTAATTAAATAATTTTGTTTATATTTTTATCCTCTGCTGTATTTTGAGGCCTCTGTAGCTAACTCTTCTTTTCCTCAGCACTTAATGCAGGTATATGGCATAAGTTAGTGCTTAATTAATGTATGAATTACATTATCTATGAATGTATGAATTAAAGAATATTCATGGAATAACCACATGCTGCTGCACTTAGCGTAATTCAGACAGATCTCCTTCTATACACTTAGTTTAAACCAGTGGCTAAAGATTTACAGTGGCAACAGCATACCTACGTTTTACATAACTTGTGTTCAACTATGCATGCTTGAGAAAATAATAATAATTCTGACAATAGCAGCAATAATTAAAAGTAAAAAAAGAACAAGAGAAGTCACTTAACACAAGGATTCAGCTGACCACCCTAGCTGGTGAGTGTATGCCCTGGAGTATGTATGAGGTGGGAAATAAAAGCCCCCTTTCCCATATGCCTTTCTAAGCATGAATATCTCAGCCCACTGAGGGTGACTTTGGTGTTCAGGCATACAGCTTTTTCACGGCCCCTGTGCCCTTCACATTTCTGAACTACTTTGACAGGCCCTGAACTAAAAATTTAAAATGCACAACAGTGACAAAACCCTCCTCTTTCCACACTGATCTCTTCCCACACTGAAGGAAAACTGCCCATGTTAGATTCATTGAGAGGGGAAGACTGTCTACATAAAGTACCTTGCTGGTGTCATAAGAGATCTTCAAGGGTGTGTTGATGATACATGGTTTTCCGCCATCTGCTGGCTTGGAACCTAATGCCGCGAGATGTGGTTCCATCACATCATGCATCCTTCTGTATTGGAGATGCTTTGGGGATGCAGGAAATTAGGACAGTCATGCCCATTGCTGTGCTACAGAGATCAATACTGGGTGGTAGGGAGTATTGGCAATTTGTATGTCATTAACTATAGTTATTGTAGAATCCCAAGGATGGCGATTTTTCTTTTCCAGTTTTGAAGCTTTCACAAGCACAGCATGTGTAGTCTCTAATGACATGGTCACACATCTCCTTCCAGGGTCCAACTTTTATCTTAGCGAGCTCTCAATCCCCTCAGCCCACTACAGTCTCAGACACACAGAAGGTGCTCACTAAGAATCGAGTAGACAAGAGAAATCACGGGCCCTTGTGCATTAGAAGAGAGCCCTGAGCTGGGAATTGGACTCACAGATGCACAGGTTTTCGTCTCGTCTCACACTACTAACCTGTCTGACCTTAGACAGACTTAATTAACTTTTCTTTGTTTATCTGTGAAAACAGTCTAAGATGTCTGCCCATCTCTCTCCTGGGGTTCCGGTAAAGGATCAAATGGCATAATGTACATGAAAGAGTTCTGAAAATGTGAGCGCCAGCAGCTGCTGCTTTTGCATTGTGGTGGGCTTGGCAGAGGAGCAGAGACTGGAGGCAGTGGGCCAAAGTGGATTCTTGAATGGGAGGGTCACAGGAGGAATGCAGGATTTAGAAACATTATCCTGGCAGCAAGAGATGAGGGAAGGAAAAACCATTTTGCATTGGGGGTGAATTTTCAGGAAAACTTCTCTCTTCATGGTTCCTAATAATTTTGGTGGGTACTCAATTATAAATAACAACAATATTTGTAGCCTGAGGGCTTTTGTATCTATAAGGTGAATTTCAAGCTCTTCAGAATGCCCAGCAACAATGCCTACTGTGTGCTAAGTGCTAGGGAACAAGGAAAAATAGGATTTGGCCTCCACTTTCAAGGTGCTCTGAACAAGAGAGAAGACAGACGGTAAAGACATAGCACACGTGGAGTGTGCCTGGGACAGTGGAAGATGCCTGGGCATGTACCAGCACATAGGTTTCAGGATGTGTGGAGCGTGAGGGGAAGTGAGGTGGAGAAGGAAGGAAACTTGTGTGAGTTTGCAGGGATCAGCTCAGGAAGCTTCTTCCATGCTTAGGTGGTTTGCATGTTTGGGGAGTCTTCATTGAAGACTTTTTTTTTTTTTTTTAAGCAGGGGAATAAAATGACTACAGTTAAGCAAAGAATCTACTTTTCTCCTTGTGTTTGATAGTACTAAAGGTCATTTCATTTTCATTCATTAAAGTCATTTAATTTTTAAAATCAAGTGGATAAAAACAAATAAATGTGGCTTTGATAATAATTTTGACTTGCCAAATGCCTCTTTTCCATTGACCCCTGGAGCTGTTCAGTGTTGTGAGCCCTACCATGTGTTAGGGCCACATCTCTTTTTCTCACAAAGGGAAACTGGCCACGAGGTGGGAGTCATAGGAGCGTTGGCTTATGAATGATGAATAGGGTAGAGTTGGCCATAGTGATCACAAATCAGATCTGCAATATTCTGCTATTTATATACTGAACCCAGCATCATATTAAGTGAGAATTTCATTCATAAGCGTGCATTTCTCATTACATTCCAAAAATCAGACCATGAAAAAAACAGCTTTGGGAAACATTTGAGAGACTGTTGCTTGAGTACATGGCACAGAGTTTATTTAATTCATCAAACTCAACATATAACTTTAAAGTAATATTGATATTTTAATATGCTCTGAATTCAGAGGTAAAGTTGCAAAGAGGGAAGGCAAGCATTAAATGTGTTTTCAAGTGAGGGTATCTCTTAGTAACGTGCAGTAGACCGCAAATAGTTGCTACCTTTTTTAAAAAAAGGGAACTTTTATAACTCAGTATTTGAAAAGTGGTCATCAGTTTTTCATATTAATTATGGAAGTTGAGGAGCAGCTTTAGCCACAGTTAGAACTTAAGTTTCTGGGGAAATTGGAGAGTTTTGTTTTTATTAAGTGGACAGAAACCATATCCCATCCTTATACTCTGATCTGAGTATAGAGAAACCCATGGAATTTGACATCTTTACTGCCAAATTTATCTAGGACGTGTGCTCTCCTGATGCAGATGAATGGGCTGTTTGCTTCACATGTAAAGGACATCATTTTATTAGAGGTTGTCCTAGTTCATTTTCTGTGCTTATAACAGAATACCTGAAACCTATGCAGAAAGCTATACAGAATACCTATAGAGTCTTTAATTTATGAAGAAAAGGAATTTATTTCTTATTGTGGAGGCTGAGAAGTCCAAGGTTGATGGGCCTCATTTGGGGAACCTTTTTGCTGGTGGGGACTCTGCAGAATCCCTAAGCCGGTGTAGGGCATCTTGTGTCAAGGGGGCCTGAACACGATAGCTCAGGTGTCTCTTCCTCTTATAAAGCTACCAGTCTCACTCCCATGATAGCTCATTAATCTATTAAACCATTAATTCATCAGTAGACTAATCCATTCACGAGGGTAGAGCCCTCATGACGCAATCACCTCTTAAAGGGCCTATCGGTACGACCACATTGAACATTACATTTCAACGTGAGTTTTGGAGAGGACACATGTTAAAACCACAGCAGGGGACTGCAGCCTTCACCAGTACATACAAACCAGATATTACGTTTAGTGGAAATAAACTTATGCAGCTCAAGTCTTACAAAATAAACACATAAACGTCTTAATATGATAAGTTGTAATCTTTTATTGGATTTTAAATGTTTATAGATGACTTACACATAAAAGAGAGTTTACTATACACAGAGCTGTATTTGTGACAAACACTGTAAGTTTATCTTCACATTTAAATATAAACTGGCCCCCAGAATTCAAGGTTGCTAGGTTTTTGAATTCTCAATTTAGAATGACTGTATTTGACACATAAATTTGTAATTGCTGCATGATTCCTTAAACCCTTCAACAGTTCCCATTGCTCTGAGGTGAAGAAAAAAATCCTTCTCAAGACGTACAATGCTCTGCATGATCTGCATCCTGTTGGCCCATTGAGCAGTCTCTGGAGTCACTCCTCAGTTCTCCAGATGTGCCAGGTTGTTCCAGCCCTGTGTTCTTTTGCATACGTATTTCCCACTGCCTAGAATACTCACCCTGCCTGCACTGTTTAAATCAGACTCTTAGGTTTCCCCTTATACATTTTTATATCTTCTTTATTATAATGTCTACTTTATCATCATATAAGTAATTGTATTTTTTACTCATCTATTTGTTATTCTTTTAAAAGAAGTTTCCCCCACCAAAATGAAATTTTACAGCAGCTGAGATCATGTCTTTTATTTTCTCCATTGCAACCCTGGCATGTAGCATAGTGCCTGGCCCATGGTGGATGCTCAGTACATGTGTGTTGGATGAATGAATGGATGGCTTAGTCCAGATTAATATATATGGGTAACTTTTCTGTTCCTGTGTCTCCATTGTTTTCCTTAATAAGACTTGTTTTTTCCAAGGTAATGACAATTTTAGATTTGACAATGACCCATTTTGGGCAACCTTTCTGTGGTGTTTCTTGAAGCCCGTAAAATTCATTCCCACCTGCATGACTTGACTTTTCAGTATAGCTTGCCACAAAAACTCTTGTATTACCGATACTTATCCTGAACCCACACTATTCCCTCATGCCCTCTCTCACCTTCATTCTAGTAATAGCCATTTCAGTTGGTGCTTTAAAGTATCAGGTACAGCTTCTACCAAGAGACTTCTCTGTGCCAAAAGGAGACTTGTTCTACCAAGAGAGACAAGACAATAAAGCTACAGCCAGTTTCTTTTCATGACTGGGATGGCAAGATTCAACATGTGTCTCTCTCCTGGCCTAGTTATTTTTCCCCCTTCTCTTCCTTATTTTGGTTTCTCAGTTGTCTTCTATAGGGCAGAGGTTCAGGGTCCTCGTTTGATGGAGACCAAAGAAATGAAACAGAGCTCTAGCAGTACCACCTCCTCTCTCTTTGGCTGAAAGTTGCTTAAGTACTAAATTTAAAACATGAAAGAAAAGGCAATTCTTCACAGAATTGGAAAAAACTACTTTAAAGTTCATATGGAACCAAAAAAGAGCCCGCATCGCCAAGTCAATCCTAAGCCAAAAGAACAAAGCTGGAGGCATCATGCTACCTGACTTCAAACTATACTACAAGGCTACAGTCACCAAAACAGCATGGTACTGGTACCAAAACAGAGATATAGATCAATGGAACAGAACAGAGCCCTCAGAAATAACGCCGCATATCTACAACTATCTGATCTTGGACAAACCTGAGAAAAACAAGCAATGGGGAAAGGATTCCCTATTTAATAAATGCTGCTGGGAAAACTGGCTAGCCATATGTAGAAAGCTGAAACTGGATCCCTTCCTTACACCTTATACAAAAATTAATTCAAGATGGATTAAAGACTTAAACATTAGACCTAAAACCATAAAAACCCTAGAAGAAAACCTAGGCATTACCATTCAGGACATAGGCATGGGCAAGGACTTCATGTCCAAAACACCAAAAGCAATGGCAACAAAAGACAAAATTGACAAATGGGATCTAATTAAACTAAAGAGCTTCTGCACAGCAAAAGAAACTACCATCAGAGTGAACAGGCAACCTGCAAAATGGGAGAAAATTTTTGCAACCTACTCATCTGACAAAGGGCTAATATCCAGAATCCACAATGAACTCAAACAAATTTACAAGAAAAAAACAACCCCATCAAAAAGTGGGCAAAGGATATGAACAGACACTTCTCAAAAGAAGACATTTATGCAGCCAAAAGACATGAAAAAATGCTCATCATCACTGGCCATCAGAGAAATGCAAATCAAAACCACAATGAGATACCATCTCACACCAGTTAGAATGGCGATCATTAAAAGGTCAGGAAACAACAGGTGCTGGAGAGGATGTGGAGAAATAGGAACACTTTTACACTGTTGGTGGGACTGTAAACTAGTTCAACTCTAGTGGAAGTCAGTGTGGCCATTCCTCAGGGATCTAGAACTAGAAATACCATTTGACCCAGCCATCCCATTACTGGGTATATACCCAAAGGACTATAAATCATGCTGCTATAAAGACACATGCACACATAATGTTTATTGCGGCACTATTCACAAAAGCAAAGACTTGGAACCAACCCAAGTGTCCAACAATGATAGACTGGATTAAGAAAATGTGGCACATATACACCATGGAATACTATGCAGCCATAAAAAGGGATGAGTTCATGTCCTTTGTAGGGACATGGATGAAATTGGAAATCATCATTCTCAGTAAACTATCACAAGGATGAAAAACCAAACACTGCATGTTCTCACTCATAGATGGGAATTGAACAATGAGAACACATGGACACAGGAAGGGGAACATCACACTCTGGGGACTGTTGTGGGGTGGGGGGAGGGAGGAGGGATAGCATTAGGAGATATAACTAATGCTAAATGACGAGTTAATGGGTGCAGCACACCAGCATGGCACATGTATATATATGTAGCCTGCACATTGTGCACATGTACCCTAAAACTTAAAGTATTATAATAATGAAAAAATAAAAAAAAGAGAAAAGGCAATTATAAATATAAACACCTGCTTTCTAATACTTAAAATCACCTGCCTGCCATCTCCCTGTCTCTCATATAGCTTTATTGAGCAGATAGAGCAGTCTCTAGAGTGAGGTGGAAGGCAAAATGAAATATTAAGGTAACATTCATGCTGCAGGTACCATACAGGGTAGGATAAACATAGTAGACATTCTCCGACTGTCATTTTTAGTGTGCATGAGCAATTTTAACCATTTTTAAAATAAGAAATTATGATATAGAATCAAAATGAGCATTTTTTTTACATTTTTTTTTTAAGAATAAGATGCTTTTGAATTGAGTCACATCGCTTTGTGATCCCACACAAAGTATCGACCTAGGATAGAGGACAGTACTCTTCAAAGATGAATGGATGTTTACAGACTCAGGGAAGTAGTCAATTAATTGTATAAATCTCTCTTTCTCTTATTCTCCTCTGGCCTTTCCTGTCTTAATTTCCTCAGTACAGTTGCCATGTAAATTTCAAAGAAAAAGTGAAAGGAGTTAGGAACAGCTTGCTATATTATATTATATAACTGGTTATAACCCATTTGTTGATAGTTTAGTGCGTTGTTGCATAATTCTAGCAACTTGGAATCAGAAGAGATATTTTTCTCTGTAGAGAAATCCCTGGAAGGGTGGTTGTCTGACTGCCCTCTCCTTAATCACTTCTAAGAACGAAAGCTCATTCTTGGTGAGCAGCCTTTCCGTAGTGACTAATTCTAATTGCTAGGTCTTGTTATACGTTAAGCAGAGGTCTACCCTTCAGCAGCTTCTACCTGTTGTCGTTCTGTGTGCTAGAGAGAGCAGTTCTCTTTTCTGCATAATTCTTGTGAGTCTTAAAATATGAGATTTTCTTAAAGCATTCCCTTCTCCTGGGTTAAATTCTCATTCCCATTTCTTGTATGACATGGGGTATAGACAAGTGCTGTCCAATGGCACTTTCTGCAGTGATGGAAATGTTCTGTATCTGTGCTGTACCCGGTGGTAGCCACTAGACACATGAATATTGAACACTTAAAATGTGGCTAGTGTGACCCAGGAATTGAATTTTCAGTGTAAATTTAAATAGCCACTCATAACTAATGGCTGTTATACTGGAAAATGCAAGTCTAGAGCCTTAAAGTCCGCTCCATCACACACCTGTCTGGCATGGCAGTATAAACACAATGGCCAGAACAAGGTAACTGAGATGTGGTCTGACTTATACAGAATATGGTGGGGTCATCTCTCAACCAGAATACCAGACATTAATGAAGTTTCAGATTATATTAGCATTTTAAGTACCATGTTGTATTATTGGCTCATACTGAGTTTGTAGTCAGCTGTTATTAGTAAGCTTGTTGTCACTTTTCATAAGAATTGCTTTTACATGGGCCTTGTAAAAATGCTTGATTAAAATTCCAAAACACTGCCTTATCCCAGCTCAATTCTCATCTTGCTTTTTGAGCATATTTTAGTACATTGAGAGGTTTTGGATCACGATTCATCAAATATGTGAATTACACTTTTAGTTTTGTGGCATTTGCACTTGGTCATTCACGTCTCTATGTTCATACAAATGTCGACAGCACGGGGCCACAGTAGCTGCCACCAGCTGCTTCCCTAAAGGTTAATGCCAGTCTGTGAATAAAGACAAAGGATGTGAACTCACCTGCCTATGTGATAATTGTCACCACATTTTCTATGCCTTATTCACAAGGACAAGATAAATATTCTGGTGAAATAAAGCTATTCTGTGTCTGCATTCTGGTCCGTTGGTCTGTGTACCATATCAGAACATAAAATGAAATTAGTTTAACTGAATGTGTTTATATGGAATCAACTGTCTATATGATAACTGATGCAGTGTTTTCTGGTTTGTACTATCATCTGAAGTGAAAATTCTTTATGTAGGCTAATTTTAAAAAATACACAAATCTAAGCTGAATTTTTTTTCAGTAAAACAGACTATAGTAACTTAATGGTTTTATTTTAGTGTTTAGAGAAAAACTGGTTTCATTCATTGAATTTCTATAGAAGGCGTGCTATTAAGCATGATGGACTGAGTGCATTTATTTCACTCTGCTCCTTCCTAAAATCCCTTTAAAATAAAAGTAAAAGAATAAAAAGTGCATACCAACGGGAGCAAAGAGAAAATAGAGAACATGAAGAGAAGATACAGTTCAAATGAAAGATGCCATACAAATTTTGCAAGCAAATGGATAAATTGTAACTGACTTAGAGAAATAGTGAAGTTGATCAAAAAAAAAAAAAAGGTGCTTGAGAACCTCAAAGTGGCTTAGGAATTTAGAACCTATAAAGATGGGAGTGCAGAGTAGGACTGAAAACAGGATTGATTAAAACTTTTGTATAGGAGGATAGAAGTAATCAGACCTCCAGGTTTCCCCTCCAAAACTCAGCCCAGTAACTACCTTTCCCATGACACAGAGGTCTGGAAATTTAATTTTGGGAGACCTTAAATAGAAAGTACCTGGGATTCAGGACAGAGGCCCAGCTGTGCAGGGGTAATGATTGAGGGGGGGCAACATCTTCTGAAATCAGGAAAATTAAGTCAAATATGAATACTGAAGGCAACACCCCCAGCCCTCAGTTTATTTCCTGTTAGCCTTCCCAGATGGTAGCATCCAAGCTCTACTCACCAGACTGGAGATTGGAGAATTTGGGAGAAGATTCACAGAAACTGACATGTGGCCATTTTGTCCTAAAATAGGTCCCTCCTTCACCTGTGCTGGCACTCACCATTCAACAAGCCCATACCACACACAGCCCTCAGAAGGCTTTTAGTGCTGCTTTTTATTAAGTATGAATGAGTAGCCAGTGATCATCAGACTTTTGAAGACGTTTCTAACAATGAAGTCAGAGTTTGAAACAAATGAGAAATGAGAATCAGAGATAAATGGAAGGAGAAAGGAACATCAAAACAAATTTAATATCTTTGGAGAGAAAAGAAAGGGTACTATGTCCACAAAATCAGAAAAACATGATGAAAAAAACAGTAAAAGGAATATTCAGAAAAGTTAAAAATACAGTACCAGACACTTTAAAAACATAATAAAAATGTTGGGAGAAAGTTGAAAAACTCAGAAAAAAGAACCAAAAAACAAAGGTATGGAAGTCATGGGAGGAAAAAATAAGAAAATCGGAAGATGAACTAAAAAGGCTAACACTTATCTAATTGGAATTTCACAAAGAGACGTCAGTGGAAATGGAAAGGAGAAAACTATGAAAGATACAAAATTTTGAATTTCCTGGAAGTGAGGAATATACATTTCTAGATTGAAAGGACCTACTGAGTTACGTCTCAATGAAAACAAGGCAAAGATGGTCCTATGAGGACTGTGCTCCTAGCACATCACCATCACCTGGGAACTTGGTAGAAATGCAACTTCCTTGGTCCCCACCCACACCCAGAGAAAAAGAAGCCCTGAAGGTGTGGGCTTAACAATCTGGTCTTCCAGAAGCCCCTGCCCACCAATCCTGATGTGTGCTAAAGTTTACAAAACACTGGTGCAGAGAGTCAGAATGGCCTCTGGCTCCCCAAGCTGGCATTATCCATGAGCAGTGTCTTCAAAATCCTAAGAGAGGCTGGGCGTGGTGGCTCCCACCTGTAATCCCAGCACTTTGGGAGGCTGAGGCAGGCGGATCATGAGGTCAGGAGATCGAGACCATCCTGGCCAACATGGTGAAACTCCATCTCTACTAAAAATACAAAAATTAGCTGGGCGTGGTGGCATGTGCCTGTAATCCCAGCTACTCGGGAGGCTGAGGCTGGAGAATTGCTTGAACCAGGGAGTCGGAGGTTGCAGTGAGCCGAGATCGTGCCACTGCACTCCACCGTGGCAACAGAGCCAGACTCCGTCTCAAGAAAAAAAAAACAAGGGAGAAAAGGATTAATAACCTAAACTATACACACCCAAATTGTCCTGTAAAGATATTTTCAAACATGAAGTGACAGCTTTTACACATGGTTTCTTGCAAAGCTAACAAAAGATAGACCCCAGGAAAATGAAGGAGCAAGCCAAGAAAGAGGAAGACTAGACAGCCAGGTAATGGGGCTCCCAGGAGGAGAGAGGTGAAAGAAACCCCCAAGAGGGAGGGTAGGTTCTACAAGAGGCTACAGTATTTACATGATGCAGTTGTATGACTTCTCTGCAACAAATCTGGTCATTTGCAGTGTTTCTCATCCAGATCTAGAGTCACAACTCATTAGAGCTGGAAGAGATCATTTCATTTCATTTCCCTCTGTTTACAGGTGAGAAAATTAAGGTTCACAAAAACGTAGTAGATAAAGACACAGAACCAGGAATAGAATCTAAATCTCCTCTCTGGGGAGCTGTAGTTTGAGTTACTGTGTCAGATCTTATCAGCAGGTTGATTAATATAGAGTATCACAGTTTTATGTTTACGCTTTCTGGCTGGCAGCAGTAATGGACATTTTGTTTTCTGATGTTCATATGCATTTTGAACAATAGCTAAGTTAAATCCTTATGGTGCAATCTACAGCTGCTCTTGAGTGTCTGCACTCCAGTTTGTTCACTCTGGGGTCTTGTACCCATTCGTTTTATCCCGAATTCTGGGGAACCAAAGATAAATCAGAGGTTCTCTCCACTCACAAGTAAATCACAAGCCTAGTAGGGGAGACTCAAACCAGATCAATGGTCCGATATGTGAAAATGACGGTGGAAGGCCTCTGCCCCAAAAAAGAAACAGTAAAAATTTTTAAGTTTACTAAATCAAAGTAGAGTCCATTTTTATTGTACATAAATTACTTCAGATTAAATATTTTTTCAATGTTTTCTTTATCCTGTTGTCTTCTAGGATTTGCTTTTCAAATTTCCATTTACATGAAGGACTAGATTGAATTTATACTTGGAGATCAAAGAAGGGCTGTTTTGTATGTGGTGTGAATGGGGCTTTTGACTTATTTTTCTTTTATTGATTTTTTGTTGTTGTTGTGTTAAGAGACAGGGTCTTGCAATGTTGCTCAGGCTGGATTTGAACTCCTGGCCTTAAGTAATCCTCCCACCTCAGCCTTCCAAATAGCTGGAATTACTTGCATGCACCGTGGAGCTTGGCTCATATTTCTTTTTTCATTTTTAACATGTGTTATGACTGGTGCATGAATAAGACACTGATTATTGCAGGACCTCTATATTAAAATATTAATACATGGCCATCTTTATTATGTTTGTGATCCAAAGGATAATTATATTTTATGTTGACCTGACTTTTTGCTGAAAGAACTGATTCTTTGCTTCTTACACCAACACTCGTTTGCTGGTTAGTGTCCTTAATTCTTCATCAAGAATCTGTCTCCTTACACAAGTTTCCTCAGTTGGCTTTATTCTTTGATGCTGCAGTACCAATGGACCAGTCTAAACATGTGTTCTTTTAATGAAACCTCTTAATTATCTTTTTAGAAAAGAGATGAGCAGTTTATTTTTTATCTATATGAGAGGAGTTCTTTGCTTGCCAAACTTCTGTTAAAAGTTGCCTGATATTATGGGGTGTTAGTTATTCCAGTCAAGATAGTTTTCAAGGAAGCTTTTCGGAGGGAGTGGGGGTTATTGTTGGAAATATAAGTGACCTTTAATGTGTTTGCAGAATGTAGTGTTTTCTTTAACAGTTTGTAATTCCTTTATAAATGGTGCTAAGCTGGTTGTTTGCAAGTTATATATAGAAATTAGTATTTCCTTGGGGCCAGGCTTGACTGTACCAGTCCATACATTTAATCTGCTTGCTCGATGGTTGTTTGTATGGAATGACCACAGATTCAGCAATTTGTTAGTTGCAATCACTGAATTGGACTTAGGGGATGTGGTTAGAGTGATGCATTCTAAGGAAAGACGGTATTGCAAACATAAAAAATGGCTTCACATTAAATTTCAGTGCACACATCCTCTAAAAGGCAAATGCTGCATGCAGATACCTTCTCTAAATTGCCTAGATTGCATGTCCTTACACATCACAGCTGCAAGGTCTTAAGCTGCCTGTTATCCGTGTACTAGGTAGGAGACAGCTAAAACTATTGACAGATATACATTATTCAACAGGAAGCTACACTTTTGTTGGTTTAGGAATTCCAGTGTGAGAAAACCTGATATTCTGGTTCCTCACTAACAAAGAATATTCCACTCTGTGGTTCTCCTTTCAGACCCTGGAATTAAACTAACACCATTTATATCCACTTAAGAGAGCATGAAGGTTCTTTTGAGACACTTATGCTTTCTGGAGATTACAGTGAATCAAGAAGTAGAACCAGTCATCACACTAAGTGGTCATATCACTAACCTCATAAGTTATATTTTACTGTTGTTAATTTGGTCCAGATTTAGATTCAAGGCAGGTGTTAAGAGTATCCGAACAAACTAGCACAGTTCTTATATGTGAGAATAATGCACTTATCCATTTTCTTAGTGATTACAGAGGCATTAAAATGCCAGTATTGGGCTGTTCTGGGCAGTAGCATCTCACACCTGAGCACAGGGGGACCCTAGTCTGCACTCTGTGTCTTAGAAAACCTCCCATATCAGAAGCACCAAATGCAATGGTAATGGATAGTGAATGAGAACTCCAGTAGAGCTGAACTGGGTCCCTGTGGCCAGAGGCTGCAGAGCTGGAAGAGCTGATCCTGTATGTCAGGGAAGGAGAAAAGCACAGTGTGTGCCCTGGAAACCAGAGGAAGTGTGATGTTTCGCCCCCCAAGTGGGCATCAAGGTCGCTCGTCATCCTTCTGTCGTCTGTCCTGCATGAAGTTAGGAGCCTCCGATTGGTGCCCTTGCGCCTGGTCATGCCCTCTTCCTCCCAGTCTTTCCACCCACAGCCATCAGAGTAGCCATTCTAAAATGTACATGTGATATTGTCACCCCACCATTTGACATCCTCTGGCCCCCTCCCCACAGTTGATCTTGAGATAAAGGTCAAATGTCTGATGTGGTTTCCAGGGCCCAACTTGACTGCTGTCATCTCCCGGCGGCCTCACTCTTGAGCCTCTTCTTTCTCCACTCTCCACCCGTGCACTCTGTACTTAGCCATCAGGTGTTCCTTCATTTCCTCTAAGGGAAGCTTTGCTCTGCTCTCACTTGCCCAAATCTTTGCCTCGGCTTAGAGCACTAGCCTCTACTGTCCTTTGCTGAGCTAACTCATCCCACAGATCTCAGTGTGGCCGTTTCTTCCCTTCCTTTGGGAAGTTTTGCTGACCTCCAACATTCTAGAAGTCTGTCCACAGTACTTCCACTGCCCACTCCTCCTTTCCTGTCGCTGCACTTACCACACTGGACAGCTCCCTGTTGCCTGCTATCCTCCCCACTAGACTTTAAGCTCTGTGAGGTCAAGGGGCATGTCCATCTTGCTCATGTAGAACTCCAGTGCTCTCAGAGTAAATATCATCAGATGAAAATGGTAAGCCATGTTTGCGTCTGCATTTTAAAGGTATTTGGCAAAGTTGGCTGAAAAGTGAAATAGGCAACAAAATGAAACCATTATCACTGGACCCGAGAAGCTGAGGCCAAAATACGTGGTTCTCCTGTTTTTCCAGTGGTCTCTTAGAAGCCTGAGGGAACCATCTGGTGTTCCTGACCAACCCAAGTCCCCAGGTCTGTGTGTCCACAGGGACTAATTATACTTCACTTCAGAAATTAGTTAACCATGGAACTCCCTGTACTATCAACAAACATAGAAGACCAAAATATTCCTAGTCTCTAAGATGGATTTGTACAAGACTGAAACACCTTCCAGTATTTACAGTTTATTTTGTGATTTTTGAACAATGGAAAGATGGTGTTTCCACATTAAGTAATGGAAAAAGGTATTCAGAGTTTTGTTTTTGTTCAAGCGTTGCACATTTCCTGCCAAAAATATTAATTAACTACAGCGCTTTTTAATGTGTTGATCAAGTTTGGCATTTATTCCTATTTGGAGAAAAATGAAAGGTGGGGTTGAGTTGAATCTCTGTCTACTAGAAGTGGGTATTTTTGACCAACTCCATAAAATATGTTTTTTTTTTTAGGATTCTAGATGATAAAAAAGATTTTTTAATCTAGCTTTTTTAAGGTAGTTGTCTCCCATTTTTAGCCCCCTTTATTATACAAAGCAAGTTTTTTGTTTGTTTGTTTTGTGTTAAACTGGTATGGTGTATATCAGGTGGGTACTTGCCAGTTAGTCTGAGAGCTAATAAGAAACGAGTATTTGGATTTAATTCAGTTCCATTAGGACAGATTTAAATTTTTGTGATACAAGGACTATTATTCTCACAGTTGTAAGGGATTTTTGTGCTAGGAAGCAGTGCTGACAAAGACAGCACTGTGCACGCTCCGTCTAGAACTGAGCACTTTCACACTGCGATTTAGGAGGTGTGCAGTTCAGGAAATTGCTGGCTTTGGCTGGAGCATACTTTTACTGCAAGGAAAATTTTATTCGTCACTCAAGTAATTGGCAGTTTTAATACCTTGTTCATAATTACCTTATAAACAAACGGATATATAAACCAAAGACTGTATGGTCTGTTATCTAACTGGTAGCCTTATTTGACCAACGTGATAGACACCTGTGGGCCTCCCTGCCTCCCCACCCCCAACTAATTTGCTTTGTTTATTGCACACATCCATAGCTGAGTGTTTTGTTTTTGTTGTTGTTAAATACAAGCGTAGCTATACTTGCCTCAGACAGCCTGGGGACCAAAACCAGATGCAAAGTTTGAAGGGAGATAGGGCTAGGGATAGGGGAGGGGATAGAGAGAGGGGCACTCGGGCACTTCAGAGTGACTCCAGTGTTTGTAGGAGGACATCCTAGTAATGCAAACATTTGGATTATGCATTTAAGAGAAAACTTCTGTCCCCTAGAGCAGTGTGGTTTTATTTAACCCACACACCCTGACCCTAAGGCCTTGTGGCGTGTCTCCTGGATGGAATCCATCTCCGGGACCTAGGAATTGACTAATTGTCTCACTTGCATTACCCTATACCTCACAGCTAGATCAAGGACTTTATACACAGGCAAATCCAGATGTGGGAAATGGTCAAAATCAGAGGTCATGGCTGACTTGACTCTAAACAAAAGCCTCTAAGACTTTATGAGAATCTGAAGGGCTTGATACTCATTTGTGACTTGTACATGGGACTGCTGAATCGTCTCTTTTTTAAAACTTTACTATTATCATAAAGTTCAGCTCTTAAGATATACATTATCTATGCTAGTTACCTGACATTAGATTTTCTGATGACTTGGATTTTAAAGTTGGAAAAAGACAATCCACCCACAGTCCTTAAAAATACTGTTCAGAAGAGTTTTAACACTATTTCGAGAAGCTTTCTTAATTTGTTCTTTAAATTTAAAATGTATGCCCGTTTTGTCCCCTTATTATTCTCTTGTGAAGAAGGTGGCACCTGACAGAAAGTCGGCCATCTGACTCTGGTAGATGGTAAATACACACAAGCCCTGGGGCCTCCTCTCACCTGCAAAGTGGGCAAGCACAGATTGGGAGGGCCTCTGTTCTGGGGCATTCTTAATGTTGGCATGATGATGGCTCAATGAGCCAGGGTAGATTCCCAGATCAGTTTAAAACCAGAAGTTCAGCATTTTTGCAAGGTGGGAAGTAGCGGCCTTTTCAAGGGAGGTACATATCTGCATAAGAAATTAAATGCCAGAATATCTTTCATACTCTGTATTCTGTGAAAGAAGCCTTAAGGGATTGCTTTAGGAACAATCAGACTTGTTCTTTGAGCTGGCTCGGGAATGCTTGAACTTGTTAGGTGAAAAGCCCTAATTTTAAGATGTTTTGTAATGTCTGTACCAGAGAAATTTTATTATGATTAAAGGGCATAATATATGAAAAGTGTTTAGCATAGGGCTTGGCACTTAATCGATCTTCAATATTGTTAGATTTTATACACATTCTAAGGGTGATATATAGAGAGAATTCTGCTTCTAAGAATATCTCAGTATGGCAGAGAAGACCAGTGGTGTAAGTTTGACGTCAGCTTGCAGCACAAGATTTTGTGAAAATATGTAAGAGGTACACCTCACTTGGGAACCTACTGTGATAGTGAGAGACTGATGAGTTACAATAATGCAGAAGAGCTCAGAACACTGTAGAAATCCAGTTTTGGGTGCAAAAAATACACAAGATATATTTTGTAAGTTTTCTTTTTAATCGAAGATTAACTGCAGACCGTGTACAAACACCAGTGTGTGACTTATGTAAGACACAGAATTCTGTTTAGAGCATTCAGATTGTTTCATTGTTTCTCGCGTTGTAAAGAGGAGACCTTTCTATGATTTGTAGGTATCCTTTCTACCTTGACGTTATTTTCTCCTGCCAAAAGATGGTCTAAAAAAGACCAAACTGCCTGATCTAATATGACAATTATGATGGCTTGCACATCCGTTTGATTGCCATTTTCTAACAAAATTGTCATTTAATGCTGCATTTTCCCTTGGGAGTTACTATATTGATTGATGACTTTTGAAGAACTTTGAAATGACTTCTTTTTTTTTTTTCTGTTTGTTTCTTTCCATTTGTTCAGTATAACAGTCACCAGTAGAACTTTACACAATGGTAGAAGCATTCTGTATGTGTGCTGTACCATTTGATAGCTACCAGGAGTGGATGGCTATTGAGCACTTGAAATGTGGCTACTGTGACTAAGTAGCTAAATTTTAGCATTTAATTTGAATTAATTTAAATTTAAAGAGCCTCATGTGGCTAGTGGCTGCCATACTGGACGTCATGGTCTGATGTTTAAGACTTTTAATGTAAAACATGTTTGGATCTAATTATGCCAAGGGATTATTCAAACTGGAGTGTTCTTCTTATGTAATACTTTTGTACTATTGAAAGGGCTGGAGCATATTCATTGGTGTTGAAGACTATGGCAGTGCCTTGAAACTTGCTATTTCTTAAAGAAAAGGGGATCTCTCTAGCATGGTTCTAGAGAGATCCCCAATCTGACAAGTATTTTAAATTCATTGGCACCTGTAATATGGGCACTTTTCAAGAGAAGAATTGGAAATAGATTAGGAATCAAGAAGAAGGAATAGGGAATTAACTCATGAGTGCCTGGTATGCCACCTTGGTGTTAGGCATTTCGTATACCATTTAATAAGGAGAAGGGAGCAGAGCTGTTAAGAAAAATAGCCAGGTGTGGTGGCTCACACCTGTAATCCTAGCACTTTGGGAGGCTGAGGCTGGAGGATTGCTTGAGGCCAGGAGTTGAGACCAGCCTAGAGAACATAGTGAGACCCCCCGACTGTATAAAAAAATTAGCGAGATGAGGTGGCACTTACCTGTAGCCCTAGCTACTTGGAAGCTGAGGTGGGAATATTCCTTGAGCCCAGGAGTTTGAGCTGCAGTGAGTTATGAGTGTGCCACTGCGCTGTAGCCTGGGTGACAGAGTGAGACCCTGTCTCTAAAAAATAACAATAAATAAAAATTTTTAAAAAAAAAGAAAAATAGGATAAAGAAAAATCAAACCACTGTCTTTAAGTGCATAGCATTTAGACAGCCACAGCTGCTAAACAGAACCCCAGATTTATATAGGAATGTTTTCCACATATTTGAATATTATGATTTATAATTTAATGAATAACTTAAAATGGCCATGGTATTGCTCTTTAACTTTTAAAAGTACTGTTCAGATTAGTCAGTTCCATATTTCTGAAGAACCAGTCAGGAATAGAAAATATTTTTCTTCTTTCAGATTGTTGTACCGTTAACCTTGTTAACTGTGGTTTCTTTTAATTCTAGGGCTGGAAACAGGATTGTTGAAATACTCCCTGAACATCTGAAAGAGTTTCAGTCCCTTGAAACTTTGGACCTTAGCAGCAACAATATTTCAGAGCTCCAAACTGCATTTCCAGCCCTACAGCTCAAATATCTGTAAGTGAAGTTTTCTTTAGCAAAAACTTTCACCTGTAATGAAAATATTACAATGAAAAAATAAGATATAACAAACTTTGTCTACTTTACTACTGATGGATTGAAAGTATAATTTATTGACTTGAAATTTGCTGTAAGCTCGAATGACCACAATCTTCAGTTTATTCTTACACTTTTAGATTACAAAAAATTACATATTTTTTATTAGAAAACCTAGATGGTGTGAAAAGTGCTCATTTTTAAAAAAACAATCAAAATCAGACCATTGCTATGTTTTATTAATAAATGAATGTCATAAAAAGTGGATATTTATAAAAAAATTTTGCATCCGTCACATATTTTAATCACTCTTTTCCCAGCAATATGTGTGAATCTTAACATCTGTCCTTGAGGACCTAAAAAGTAATTATTTTAAGTTTCCATTGATGGTTAAGTTCTCTGGAGACTCCTTCTAATACAGAGATGGCCTGCACTTTAACTTGCAAATAAATCAGAAGGAGAAGCTCATCTTTAAACTTTCAACAGGTATCTCAACAGCAACCGAGTCACATCAATGGAACCTGGGTATTTTGACAATTTGGCCAACACACTCCTTGTGTTAAAGCTGAACAGGAACCGAATCTCAGCTATCCCACCCAAGATGTTTAAACTGCCCCAACTGCAACATCTGTAAGTAAAATGTCCTCTTAGATACTGTTTCTCACCTCCTCCAAACCCTTGGTGTCTTTTCCTTAAAATCTACAATGTGGCAAAAAGGAGTTTAGGAGCAAGGATGTAGCTGCCTTTCCTTTGAGAGTTGGAGCTGTAGAATCTCCAAATTGGAAAGAGCCTTAAACATCATCTCGTCACCTCGTGCCAGCTGCTGCTTGACAAGACACGTTAGATTGTTACTGAAAGAGTGAACAGTGTAATCATTGAACAAGGCTGGTACAAAAGTGCCATTGTGGCACTGAAAAAATCCGAGGTCTCAACAGCTGTGGTTTATGAGAATAATACCGGCAACTCCAGGAGGCTCTGATAGCTTAAGTGGCTGTAAAGATCTGTCTTGTTAATAATGGTAGAGCGATCTGTGAACAGACTCCTGCAATAGGGCAACTTTGGCTGCACATTACAAACACTTGGGGAGCTTTTAAAAAATCTCACTGCCCAGGCCACACCTTAGACCAATTATATTAGGACCTCTAAGGGTAAGATCCAGGCTTCAGAAATTTTTAAAACTCCCAGGTTGCGTCCAGTGTGCAACCAAGGCTGAGAACTACTGCCTTAAAGAGAAAGCATTAAACCTAAAAAGAAGGGTGAAAGATAGTAACCAACTTGTAAACAGATTGTACAGGATAAACTTGAGGCCCAGCTCCTTGATAGACCTCATGTTTTAGTGTAACATTTAATAATCTCATTCTGGATTGTTTAAAAACAAATCTTAATTTGTTTGTGTCTATACTGAGTGGACAAGACTTTAGAAATTAAAGTGCAGTCTAGTTTCAGTATTTTATTATTCCAAAAACACATGACACATTTCAGTAGGAAATTCACTGCCTGCTTAACAAATTGAAATTCTTTGCAATAAAAATGTTTAGAAACTGAAAACACTGTATGTAATTGAACACTGACTGGTTGAACTATATTGTAGTAATGACACATTTTATTACTACCTCCAGAATTTAATTGTCATATAAGCTAACTCTTGTAATACTCAATGCAGCGAATTGAACCGAAACAAGATTAAAAATGTAGATGGACTGACATTCCAAGGCCTTGGTGCTCTGAAGTCTCTGAAAATGCAAAGAAATGGAGTAACGAAACTTATGGATGGAGCTTTTTGGGGGCTGAGCAACATGGAAATTTTGTAAGTGTGGGTTATCACAGTTCCTACTGAGGTAGTATGATCATAGAATGCTCAGTGTACATTCAGCAGGTCTTATGTGAAATCCTATGTTAAAATCTCATCATCCACAATCTTATTTATAAGTCAGTATTCAGTTTTGATTCAGGTAATGTGATCGATAATTTATAAGTACCTAAATTTAGTATAGTATAAACTATATAGTATTTTTTTGCTGACGTCTTCATATAACAAAAGCTAAACATCTAATAACAATAGGAATCTGTAATAGGTTGTAATCATATGTCCCCTTTGAAGAGACTAGATAATGAAGTTTTGATCCTGCTTTTGATTCTTACTGTAAATGTAGGCAGCTGGACCATAACAACCTAACAGAGATTACCAAAGGCTGGCTTTACGGCTTGCTGATGCTGCAGGAACTTCATCTCAGCCAAAATGCCATCAACAGGATCAGCCCTGATGCCTGGGAGTTCTGCCAGAAGCTCAGTGAGCTGTGAGTTGCCTTTTATTTATTCTCCTCAGGTTTGAGAGCAGGGATCATGCCAGGGCATGAGCTTCTTACCACTGATCTGTGAAATTTTCATAACAAAGTTTCCAAGGTGACAGCTTTTTTCACATGCAACCTAGTCTTATTTTTGTTGTGATAAGTTGAAGCCAGTTCTACTGTTGCAGTTCTATGTCACGTTGGCAAAAGCAATGATGGTTATTTTCAAGTAAAGAGAACGTATTTTTTTAATTACTGATATTAGAAATATTTACTTGGATATTATTAAGGCAGAATTTAAAAATAAGGATTAGTGTAGCTCATACAGTACCTGTCTTTTGGAAAACAAATCATTGTGTTGAATTGAAAAATAAAAGCTATTGCTTTTCTCTTTTTTCTTTACAGGGACCTAACTTTCAATCACTTATCAAGGTTAGATGATTCAAGCTTCCTTGGCCTAAGCTTACTAAATACACTGCACATTGGGAACAACAGAGTCAGCTACATTGCTGATTGTGCCTTCCGGGGGCTTTCCAGTTTAAAGACTTTGTAAGTTACACGTTTTGCTGTCAGTACTCGAACGTAATTGGTTCCTAAATATGCCCACTTTTCTCCTAGCAGATTTCCTTTGTTGTCAAGGAAATGCATACAGCCTCAGAAGTAGTATCTTAATCTTTCCCAGATCAGTTTGATTACAATGGATCCATTTCATCCATATGTGTTTCGTATAGGGATTAAAAAGGACAGTGATCAGTTTGTTTTGGTGATTACAGTGAACCTTCTCAGGATCTCCAGGAAATTGGTAACTGCTTAAGAGGGAAACAATTTTAAGTCCACTAAGTTTTTCTTTGTAAAATACAGATTAAAAATTACTTAGAGCAAAAAGGTCTACAAAGGGCAAGGAAGATACTGTTTATCATGCCAGTTATATCCTCAACCTGATCTCTGTCCTAAGAGAAAGAAAAGGGAGTTAAATTAATTGACCTTTGAAAAATTTCTCAAATGGTAATTTAAGGTTGTGCAATGGGCTTTTGATTTTTGCTCTGTCAGAAACTTTTGCTCTGTTCGCTATTTGAAGCATTACGTAATTGAAAGACATACTGTATGCTTTGGCGAACTTCTGCATGCGTGGTTGGAAGAGTGGTTTTAAAGTTTAATGTATTTTTCAGACTGTTCGGATCATTCAGAATGTAGTCATTTTGATAGAGGAATTAATAGGGCCAGTGTCAGCTTTTTCGGATTTTAGGGAAAAACTTAAAATGTTGTTGAGGGAATCAGGCAGGGTGTAAGAGGTAAGTTGGAGAAAAAGAGTTTTCTATTATTTTGAGAGAGGTGGAGATAATGTGGGGAATTATGAGAAATTTTTTACAAATGATATGCCACCTGGGTGGTGATACTAGGCTTTCTGAGCTTATCACTCTAAAGGGAATGCTTCTTTTAAAATTAGGGATCTGAAGAACAATGAAATTTCCTGGACTATTGAAGACATGAATGGTGCTTTCTCTGGGCTTGACAAACTGAGGCGACTGTGAGTATGAATTGCCTCATAATTTAGCTCACTCTTTGATTTAAAAATTTTGTCTTCACTGAAGTCAGCTATACAAGTTGACATCATGAAGAGATGAGAAATCAGTGCTTAATCTGGTTACCACCCTTGATCCTCTCCCCAAATGCCTGCTGTTGCGCAAGATGTATATTATTAACTTTTTCTTCCTTAGGTGAAAGTGTTTTATTCAACATTTTAGTATGTGTAATTTACTTTAATATCCTCATAATAATTTTCATCTATGTTGAGGGCTTACACTTTTGGAATTATCATTGCGTAAAAGTTAGTGCAGGCACTTCCACATCTTGAAATCCTCAATGTTGTACTGTCCCCGTAGGAATTTTTTTAATGAAGTAATCTAGTAGCCACTGATAATGCTGTGGTAGGTTACAAGCAAAACAGGATGAAAACATCTTATAATTAACCATAAAATGGTCTTGCAGATGGTCAAATTACATGTGTTAAGCCAGCAGTATTCAAATTCAGCTCCCTATAGTCCCAAACTCCTATGGATGGAAGGTATCCACAGAGAAGGAGAGGAAGGAGAAAACGTTCACTATTATCTGCTTTGTTAGTGTTCTGAGACAGTTTACTTGAAATAAAGTCTCTACCTATTCCTAAAAGGACTCTGAAAAACAGTGATTTAACTTAATCAGCAGAGTGACTTACTGAATACCTATTTTTGTTGGGCTCTTTGTTGAATGCTTCAAAAACCATGTTCGACTACATTATTGAAATAGATGGCATGGACACATTTTTACAGGATATATTGTTTAATTGAAGAAAATGGAATTGCTCACACATAATTTAAAAAGCAGTTCTGTTTATGAGAGTTCCACCCCAAAATGGCTTTTTAAATTAAGTGCTCCAATGTAATTTTTTTCCCCAGGATACTCCAAGGAAATCGGATCCGTTCTATTACTAAAAAAGCCTTCACTGGTTTGGATGCATTGGAGCATCTGTGAGTAGCTAGAATTTAGTTACCCTAAAAGAGAATCTCTAAGATGGTTTTTACTTATGTGTCATGAAAGATAAAACAAACTGGAATGTAATTTTGTTGGCATCCTTCCGGTTCCATAAAATATATTTAAACATCTCCCTATCTTTCTATTTCTTTCTCTGTCTACCTACTTACCTACCTACCTATATAGAAGTATACAGGTGTATGCTTTCCTTTGTATTTAAGAACAAAAGCTATATCTCCTTAATGGGTTTTTAATTGTTTTTCTCAAACAGTGATTATTTAATTAAAAAAAAAACAAACTACTAGGTGTAGTTCATCCACTATATATCAGGCATTGTACCACATATTCACATATATTCTCATTTAATTCTTAGTCAGAATACAATTCAATAGCTATTATTATCTTTATTGTTAAGCGGAGGTTCTAAGAGTTTATTGATTCCACTGGACAGTTAAAGGAGATGACTTGGCTTTTAAAGAACAAAGACAATGTTCCACAATCCTTAAGAGTGACATAGGAGAGTTTTAGCACTACTTTGAGAATTGTTGGTCTCTTATTGTTGTTTAATTATGAAACATACAACCCCCCCTTACCATTGTTCTCTTTTTTGTTGTTTTCTTTTGTTTCGTCTTGACCCACCAGTTAGTAGCTGTCAGAAGCAGGACGCAACCCAGAGCTGCCCCGACTTGCACAGTGTCCCTGCATCACACTAGCTCTTGCCTGTACAATCTCTGCCGCTACTCCCAGTAGCTCCTAGTAACTCCTGGCACACATTTCTGAAATGTCATTTAGGGGCTCAGGAATTTTCAGCCACTAAGAGAGGAAAGCTAGCTAACATTGATAGGAATCAAAACTTGCATGTTTTAACTAAGGGAACCAACCAGCTGCTTATAACCATGGATGTATGTTTTACGCTTGTACAGTAAAAGTACAAAGTAATGTATAATATCGACTCTGACTGTTAAGGAATGCTTGTATCCAGAAGTTTTAATATGTATTAACCAGGACAAAAGAAGTTACAATTTAAAATACATATTGGGTTCTCCTATGTGTGCTGTGTATTGAGAGTGAAGATTTAGCTGTTATCTGTAAACCACTGTGTTGTCACCTTCTGACTGCACCAGTTCCTCTGAGGGAGACTTGGATCGTGAGCCACCCAGACAGTGAGTGCGGCAGTTCAAATTATAGTAGAATGATTCTGCAAAGCTGAGTTTTGGAAGGGCAGACCAACATTGCAGTATTTATTGAAACCGATTATTTTGAAAAGAAAACTAGCCAAAAGGGTTTGTCATTTGGCCCATTCCGTTTCTGGGAACGTGGAATTAGTGGATCAGTGGAGTATTAATCTCTGCTTCAGTTTTCTTAAATCTTCCTTGATTGCCCCAGCCTCTTCGTCTAGCCATGTCTGGTCCCTTCTTTCTTTGTCTTCTCTTCCCACTTGTCTCACTCAATATTCCCTTTGTATACTGTGACCCCTGTAAAGAAAAACAGAGTGGTAATCATTGTGGTGAATACTTTAATGCAGAGTGCTTATAAGTCTCTGTATAAAGAGAATTAATCCAGAATATGTGCTCATTTTATGAATTTCCTGCCTGAAGTATTGGTTTTAACAAGTATATCTTGTCTGAACATCTTACTGCGTTTATGTTAGTGAGCTGTGGGTGACAGAATTAGGTTAATGGTTAAAAGCACAGGTTTTGGAATTGAAAATAATTGTTTCAACCCTTACCTTCCCCTTTCGTGCTGAGCTAAGTAGTAATACCATCATATTTTGGGTTGTTGTAGGAATAAATGCAGTAACACTTGTAAATCACTTAACTGAGTGCATATCTTCAAAAATACTGTGTAAATGTTTTATAAAAGCATAATTATTTTTATTTTTTATTTGTATATTTTATTTGTATATTTAGAAGTTTCCAATAGTTGCTAATTTGAATAAAGAGTAATAGAATGAAATAATAGAACAGCATGGGCCCTAATGAGTCAAATAATCTTTAAGTGATGACAGAAAGTGAATCTTTTTCACTAAAACAAAACCTATCTGTGATACAAATGCCCTGGGTCTTCAGCACAAGCTTTGCAGTGGATTCTTCTGGGGCTGCCCCAGTCATGTATTTGACACATAGAGGGAGTATTTGTTTGGCAAATGGGGTGGGCAGTGGGGGCCCAAACTTTGTCCAAAAGCACGAAATGATGGTAGTTTGCTCTGATGCATTTGATTTGGTGATTTTTCAGAGACCTGAGTGACAACGCAATCATGTCTTTACAAGGCAATGCATTTTCACAAATGAAGAAACTGCAACAATTGTAAGCTTTTCTTTTCCTTCTAGGAGTCTGAAAGTATAGAGGGGAAAACTGTCATATGGTGTGGCATCCTGGATTATGTATCTATAAAAAGTGCCTGGCACATTCTTAACATTACTTAATTTTTATACTAGGCAACAGAAAAGGAGTTTATTTGTTCTTTTTGTTGAAATGAGTTTTTCTTTCTATTTTAAATTCGCAACTTTGTGGGACCAAATATAGTACAGTCACCCAATATAGTAGTAATTTTTTCAGTTGTAAGGAACTTTTGATAAATCAACACTTCTGTCTCAGTAGGACAGTAAGAACAACAGAAAATCATGCTAGATACATTTCTTGTATTTTAAAATGGACTGTGGGATACTTATTCCATGGGATGTGTGTATTCAGTTTCCAAATTCATTGCTTTGTTAATATTTACTTGGGTTTAGTTTACTTGTAGAAATCTGCATTTCATACAGAACAAATTGAATGTAATTACTCTCCTCAGGCATTTAAATACATCAAGCCTTTTGTGCGATTGCCAGCTAAAATGGCTCCCACAGTGGGTGGCGGAAAACAACTTTCAGAGCTTTGTAAATGCCAGTTGTGCCCATCCTCAGCTGCTAAAAGGAAGAAGCATTTTTGCTGTTAGCCCAGATGGCTTTGTGTGTGGTGAGTATAAGTATTGCCCTTGCCTTTTATTTATTCTTCTTTTTTCCCCCTCCCATTTATCCAAATAATGGTTTTGAATAGATTTATGATCTCTTTATAAAGCTTTTATTTCTGCTGAGGTAGAGGAAAATGGGTCTATAGTTTGCTGATTATTTTAATTTCACAGATGGGAAAGAGAGTTTTCTAAAATTGCTTCATCTTTGTTTTGGCATCAGGATGGTGCGGTGGAATGAGAATGAAATTGGATCTTGGGAGAATGGAAGGGTAATCTCAGCCCTTCTACTTAACTTAAATTCCCTAAATATTAGTCTCTGCATCCATGAAATGGGGACTCTCCTTTCTTCTCTTCCCAACTCTGAGGCTTGTTGGGAGGTTTACATGAAAGAGAAAATTATTAATGATTTATGGGGTGCTAAAAAATTAACTATTGGTCGGTAAAACATTTACAAGTAATAGGAAATGTGAATTTATTATAAATAATTTTAAGGTCCATTGTTTTAGCATCCAAGAATCTCAGCATTAGAAATCTAGTTACCTGAACTTTACATAGCTAGTTAGTAGCAGATCTGGATTTAAAAGAAAAGTTTTCATCTCTGGTGTAACTTTCTGTCTATTACATGATGCTGCCATTTACTATTAGCTGCCATGGAGACCTCTGTAAAAATAAATATGTTTTATAAACCAATAAATCAGAATTTGCTTTTATTTAAGCATGGGTGTTAAAATATTAAGAACCTTCTTTTGCATTGGCATTTAAAAATTTACTTAAAACTGCTTTGTCCACGATATATATTTTTAGGTTGCAGCATTAAGCAGTGCCAGTAGTTTCTGGAAATAAAACCTCTGATGTAGCTTTTGGAACTGAATAAGCTTTTGGCATTCATCTGTAAGGGCCTGAACTGCTCCTTTCCCATGGTCCTTGTTTCATAGTTTTTTAGTCCCAAGATCTGATCCCCCTATTACGTTGAAACACATGTATAGTATCCATCGTTTTTTTCACTTCCTTGTGAATCTGAACATCGATTTATTAGATGAGAATTTCAGAATAGTACAGAAAACACCTCGATTACAATATGCAGACATTGAAAAATAGCAGCCCTGGAGTTATCAAAGCATCCCCTATAACCCATTCAATACACATAAAAAGTTGTCTTTTCAAATAGTAGCACCCAAATGGTACGCTTTGGTAGATCTCAGATGTTTCCTTCTGGGTTTAGATCATGGCTGAGAAACTGAAGTTCAAAAAGGTAACTTTTCCAAAATGTAACAGAGAACTAAAAATAACTGTTAGAATGAAAGAGTTGCTTAGCTCTAATTATAATGTAGCTTTGACAGGGCAGCGCGGCGGCACGATTGGCCGCTCAAAGCTCCAGGCTGAAGCCAGTGTCTTACAGTTTGTTTTACAGATGCTTTTTCTTTTGCTATCAGCTTTTTTTTTTTTTTTTTTTGCCTCTACCTAAATTACTGTTTTTAAATAGTGGTTCTGTTTTGGTAAATGAAGTGTTAATGGCTGTCTTTGTTGATTAATCATGATTGATGTTTGATTTCCTAATTTTGCTGCTCATTATCTGGGGAGAACATGGGAACAATTGCAGTTTCTGATAGTAGCATTCAAAAATGATCCCTGAGCCTGGAAGTTTTTAAACTGCTTTCTTCTTCTACTTATAGAAAGCATAAGGGATCAGGAATAAAGTGTGGGTTTTCCGATAGCTCCAAAATAACAGTCTTTTCTCAGGTAATAGTGATTGATAAATAGATCTGCATCTGTATTCGAGATGAATGAGTTACTTTATAAATACTCTCCCAGTGTATCATTTCAACATGGGGACGGCTAGTCCATCTGGAAAACATACACAAAGGGTAAAACCTAAGCCACTGTTTTTGCATTTCTTGGTGTTCAAATTTGAGTAGTATTTGGACTCTTGAGCCTTAACATTGTTTTGTCTCCTCCTCTCCATTTTTAACAGATGATTTTCCCAAACCCCAGATCACGGTTCAGCCAGAAACACAGTCGGCAATAAAAGGTTCCAATTTGAGTTTCATCTGCTCAGCTGCCAGCAGCAGTGATTCCCCAATGACTTTTGCTTGGAAAAAAGACAATGAACTACTGCATGATGCTGAAATGGAAAATTATGCACACCTCCGGGCCCAAGGTGGCGAGGTGATGGAGTATACCACCATCCTTCGGCTGCGCGAGGTGGAATTTGCCAGTGAGGGGAAATATCAGTGTGTCATCTCCAATCACTTTGGTTCATCCTACTCTGTCAAAGCCAAGCTTACAGTAAATAGTATGTGATCTGACTTTTCCTTTAGCATTTAAAGATACCTTTTAGAAATAGAAAGCACCTGTTTTTCTCTCTTAATCTTAACCCTGTCTTTTCTTCTCACAGTTCCCCACCTGACTCTTCCTTTCCCTACCTTTCATTCCACAAAATTAAGATTCTTGGTTATTTGTATCTAAACCTGCAATTATGTTGAAGACGACACCGTACTCAGTGTGGTGAGTAACACAGAGATGAACCAGACATGTTTTTGCTCTTTTTTTTTTCTTTTTCTTTTTTTTTTTTTTGAGACGGAATCTTGCACTGTCACCCAAGGCTGGATGACATCCTGGTTGCAATCTTGGCTCACTGCAACCTCCACCTCCCAGATTCAAGCAATTCTCCTACCTCAGCCTCCTGAGTAGCTGGGATTACAGGCGTGCGCCACCATGCCCGGCCAATTTTTTGTATTTTTAGTAGAGACGGGGTTTCACTATATTGGTCAGGCTGGTCTCGAACGCCTGACCTTGTGATCTGCCCACCTTGGCCTCACAAAGTGCTGGCTGGGATTACAGGTGTGAGCCACCGTGCCCAGCAATGTTTTCCTCTTTGAGAGTTTACAGTGTAGTATACTGATCTGGAAGGCTGCAAAGCATCATGCTGGATGCACACTGCCTTTAATTCAGAGATCTGTGTGTGAATCCTGCCACTCCTGCGTGATTTTCAGCAGGTTGCTTCACTTCTCCGCCTCCAGTTCCACATCTTTCAATTAGGGATAATAGGACCTGCCCCCTAGAGGCATTATGCTCATTTAGTGAAATAATATGTGTAAAGGATGTAGCAAAATGGCTACAAGGTAGTGCTCAGTAAATGCACTGTTAGCCACTGTTAACAGAAGTCTATTCTTGTTTGCTTTGTGTGGTAGGTATACAGTTTTACAGTAGGATCCTTGCCACTTTATCATTTAACTATCTGTATCTGCCGTGGTAGAAGATTTTGAATATGATTCATTAATGCATTCACTCAGCAAATGATGGCTGTGGCCTGGCACATAGAACAGTTTTGAGTTTAAATTGTAGGGCAAAACATGTATCTTAAAAGTCACAGAATGTTAGAGCTACCAGGAGAGACTTTAAAAAAAAAATAGATGAAGTGAGTGGTCAGGGTACAAAGAGATTAATTGATACACCCAAGATCTCACAGTTGATTGTTGAGGAAACTAAAAAGTGGCAGAAAATAGCAGGAAGACCTTCATTCTGAGAATCAGATGACCTCTGTTTTATCCTGACTTCATTGTTTCTGTATCTGTAACCTTGAGCAAGCCTTTTAATCTTTCCATCTCAACTTTAGTTTCCTTGACTTGAAATTGGAATTAACCCCTGCCCAATCTATGTCAGGGACAATCTGTAAGTATCAAACAAACAAACAAATAATAAAAAGGAATGCAAGTGAACCTGTAAGACTCCACTGTGCTAATGCCTATATTGTTTCTCTGATTTCAGTGCTTCCCTCATTCACCAAGACCCCCATGGATCTCACCATCCGAGCTGGGGCCATGGCACGCTTGGAGTGTGCTGCTGTGGGGCACCCAGCCCCCCAGATAGCCTGGCAGAAGGATGGGGGCACAGACTTCCCAGCTGCACGGGAGAGACGCATGCATGTGATGCCCGAGGATGACGTGTTCTTTATCGTGGATGTGAAGATAGAGGACATTGGGGTATACAGCTGCACAGCTCAGAACAGTGCAGGAAGTATTTCAGCAAATGCAACTCTGACTGTCCTAGGTGGGTGAATTTGTTAAGATTCTGTAGTATAAATCAGTCTTGAAGATACTAGCTCATCCAAGGTCCCTAAGTATCAGAAGTTGTGAGAGTAAGAGATGAAGATGTATGGGGCATTGCCTTTTCCTAGAAAGTATTAATGCAAATGGCCTCTTGAACACTTTGAAGTCAGGGATTGCATGACATCCTCAAGTCTGGCCACTGAGGTGAATCCCTGCCCCCTCCATCCTGAAGAGAGGGGCCGAGGAAAAGTTGGGATGCTTTCCCTTTTATGGGGGATCACCCTCCTCTAATTTCCCCACTGTGCTGTCTATATCAGTAGTCTTAACACCATAAAGAACATTAAAAAAAAATGTGGGAACAAATTGGGAAGGCCTTACTCTCTTTTCTCAGCCTACCATACCTCTCCGGAAGTCAGAGTTTTTTTTTCATCTTTTACCTAAACAAATGCTTTTTAAAAATGTAAACACAATTATTATTCACGTATCTTTGAAAGAGCTAATTAACGTAACCTATTAAGATACTAAATAATAAAAGTAAATTATTGTCAGAGTTTTAATATAGGCCCAGGCATCCGGCCCTAAAAAGTTTCACTTAAAAAACTTAAGCATTCTGATTTTTTTTATTTATCAACATACCCTTGTGCTTGAAATTATTTTTGTACTTTCTATTTTTAAAAAGCTTTTGTTTCCCACTCTCCCCCCCTACTACCAGCTTCCCGACTTTTGCAAAAGTGAGGGAAGCTGAGATTTTAAAAATAGTAGATATTATCCTTAACTGGTGTTATGAGTAAATGACAGCAGAATAGTGAAATACTGAATGTTGTATATGTTTAGGCTCTTAGAAAAGTGTGTCCAGTAAGTTGTGGGAGAATAAAATTTTAGGTTACAATTTGAATAAGTTTAAATGCTACATTTTATGATATGGAAACTAAATTTTATTTGGGAAATTAAAAGCATAACTTGTTATTTCAGAAACACCATCATTTTTGCGGCCACTGTTGGACCGAACTGTAACCAAGGGAGAAACAGCCGTCCTACAGTGCATTGCTGGAGGAAGCCCTCCCCCTAAACTGAACTGGACCAAAGATGATAGCCCATTGGTGGTAACCGAGAGGCACTTTTTTGCAGCAGGCAATCAGCTTCTGATTATTGTGGACTCAGATGTCAGTGATGCTGGGAAATACACATGTGAGATGTCTAACACCCTTGGCACTGAGAGAGGAAACGTGCGCCTCAGTGTGATCCCCACTCCAACCTGCGACTCCCCTCAGATGACAGCCCCATCGTTAGACGATGACGGATGGGCCACTGTGGGTGTCGTGATCATAGCCGTGGTTTGCTGTGTGGTGGGCACGTCACTCGTGTGGGTGGTCATCATATACCACACAAGGCGGAGGAATGAAGATTGCAGCATTACCAACACAGGTGTGTAAACAGAAGCTTGGCACAGGTCACCGGAGTCATGTGTATTTGTGGTTCTGCAAATACTTCTAGAACGTGTGTCTTGCAGTCTGAGTTCATCTCAGAAGGGTGACTCATTTGTTTCAAGCTGCAGAAATATGATTCGCTAAAAAACTCCAGCCCCAAATAAAGCTGATGTTTAAAGATTAATACTTTTTGTTAAAATGACATCAGGGTATCCTGTGGCTGTGAGATAAAATCCAAGTCACTGACTAAAATATTTCTAACTCCTTCATAAGATAGTGATGGAGAACCAGGAACAGCCCTTTAATGATAAGGTTTACTCTCTGCAGTAGTTGTATGTCTTGTTGTCTGTGCGTATGTGCATGTACTTAGGTTGGATTTTATTAGTGGAAGAGGAGCTGTGACTTGATTAGTATGTGCAAAGTCAGATATTGATTAGTAATATTAAGAAGGGAATATGGCAATAATCAAGCATAATTCGAAAGCTTAGATACTGTCCCATGAAAATTCTTAGGCCTTCAGCCTTTTAAAAAATCTGTTTAAACATTTGTTGTTTTGAAATTTGGGAGGTGCATCCAATGGGTGATAAAACAGAAAGTCAGCTTATACGTCCCAGAGCAGCAAAGCCCTAATTTGCCGTTCCAGAATACTGTACAATCGAGATGGTTTTGCCAGAGTAGATCTCCCCTAATTTGATGTATACAGAAGCCAAAATAGTCTATGCCATTCACCCGGGATGCCTGTGGGACAATTAACGATCATCCTTGGTTAATAAAATGCTGCTGTTTTATTACAGATGAGACCAACTTGCCAGCAGATATTCCTAGTTATTTGTCATCTCAGGGAACGTTAGCTGACAGGCAGGATGGGTACGTGTCTTCAGAAAGTGGAAGCCACCACCAGTTTGTCACATCTTCAGGTGCTGGATTTTTCTTACCACAACATGACAGTAGTGGTAAGTGTTTAAAATGAATGTGGGCTGTAATTGTTTTGAAGTCATATGGTGGAAGGCTCAGATATGATATTCATTTTCACAAGACATTGATAACACTGACATTTAGGACCTGGCCCAAGATCACTAGCAAGGTTGAAATTGTATAGTTCTATACCGTTCTCTTAAATACTAGGAAAGAAATAAATCTTTGTTTCTAACAATAAAAAAAGACTAGTAGGTTTAGAAAAATGTAATTATTCCATGTGTAAAGGATATTTGTGTATCCTTTACATTATAAATGTTCTTTGGCCCTTAAATGATATTAACTGGTTACATGAATGGGCTTAAAAGTCTAATGGTTTACATTATTTTCTTTAAGAAGTCTATTTTTTATTTATTTATTTTTATTTATTTGAGACGAAGTCTCGCTCTGTCACCCAGGCTGGAGTGCAGTGGCGTGGTCTCAGCTCACTGCAGCCTCCACCTGCTGGGTTCAAACGATTCTCCTGCCTCAGCCTCCCAAGTAACTGGGACTACAGCCACATGCCACCACGCCTGGCTAATGCTTTCTTTTGTTTTTGTATTTTTAGTAGAGATGGGGTTTTGCCATGTTGGCCAGGCTTGTCTTGAACTCCTGACCTCAGGTGATCTGCCTGCCTCAGCCTCCCAAAGTGCTGGGATTACAGGCGTGAGCCACCGCACCCAGCCTCTTTGAGAAGTCTAATTCTGACCCTTGCTTTCAATGCTGCATAGTTTTGAGAATAATAATGGAGACAGCATAATACAAGAGCACAGGTTTGGTACAAGACCTACTACTTACTGCATGTACTGTGGGGCACATACAATACTTTCTGGTGAGGTACTTGTGCAAATGAAATGAAGATGGAAAACTACATGGCGCTAGGCACATATTAAGGGCTCAGCAAGTGGAAGCCATCGATGTTATTCTAAAATATATGACCAACTTTTCCCATAAGTATTTATTATACGCTCTGTGCCAGACATTGTAGTTGGGAGAGAAGTATATGTTTTCAATTTCACAGTTTCGTCAGAGGTGGATAAACTAAAAGTGCTTGGCAAGCCAGAAATAAAGAGCGTAGAGTTACAGGATCTGAGCATAGAAGTGAGTATTCTGGTTAGACCCGTTTAGAGGCAGAGTGGAGACCCAAGCTCATTAAAGCATAATGGGGTTAACTGAAAAGACACTTAAGGAAAACCTAAAGGGACAGAACTGGGGCATAATAATGCCAGGCTGCCTAGATGCTGAGGCTGGAGATGAGGCTGCTCCCAGAGTAGCTCTGGGCCACCAGCATTACTGTGTCACGTTCTGCATATTTGCTTTTCTCTCAGCCCACCACCTCTTGCTGCCCAGTTTCTGCTTCCCAGACACATGCGTCATCGTGACATCTCTAACCCTGATGATATCATTTACTCTTCACCTGCTGTGTCCAGCAGTAAATGGCGTATATTTCTGTGTTGTTTGGTTCAGATACTCATGAGATGATATGTTTAGCTGAGCTTATCTTTGAGATGGGCATTAAGAGGTCATTGGCCAAGTGCCAATCCTGGTTCTGGTCATCTGGGACCTTTTGTAAGAAGGGGACAGTGCTGATGGTATGTGGTTTAGACCATGGCTGCTTTGGCTGCAGGATCTGCACATATCAGTTTCCCGTAGAAACCAAGTGAGCAATAAGGCCACCACACCTAGCACAATGGCTAATTAAGTCCTCTAATAAATTTTTTAAAACCCTACTGTAAATTTTTGCAATTTTTTTGTCTATATGATGTTCTAGTCAAACTTTCATCTATAAATATGGAAGATGCCAAAACTGGGGAGAATGTTGAATGGCACTTGAATAATTGGATCATTGACTAAGATTTTTGTTTCAAAGGGACCTGCCATATTGACAATAGCAGTGAAGCTGATGTGGAAGCTGCCACAGATCTGTTCCTTTGTCCGTTTTTGGGATCCACAGGCCCTATGTATTTGAAGGGAAATGTGTATGGCTCAGATCCTTTTGAAACATATCATACAGGTAGGTGGTTTTCTTGCTTGAGTACAGTTCTGTTTCTTAGAGAGACTTCTAGATGTGCTAACTGTAATCTCCTTCTGTTACTGCCCCCATATTAAAAAGGTTGCAGTCCTGACCCAAGAACAGTTTTAATGGACCACTATGAGCCCAGTTACATAAAGAAAAAGGAGTGCTACCCATGTTCTCATCCTTCAGAAGAATCCTGCGAACGGAGCTTCAGTAATATATCGTGGCCTTCACATGTGAGGAAGCTACTTAACACTAGTTACTCTCACAATGAAGGACCTGGAATGAAAAATCTGTGTCTAAACAAGTCCTCTTTAGATTTTAGTGCAAATCCAGAGCCAGCGTCGGTTGCCTCGAGTAATTCTTTCATGGGTAAGTTTATTAAGTTATCAGGTACCTCGTCTGAGGATCCATACTCCAAGTTGTGTGTGAGAGAGCAATGACAGCCTTGAATGTCAAACTGGTAAAAAATGGTTTCTTGAATGAGGCTGCCATGACATCCGACTAGTTAGTGTAAATGCCTCCAAAAGCAAAGTCAGAGGTGGGATTTTACTTGATGATGTGTTTAATCTATAACTAAGCCTCAGGAGCTTTCTGGGTAGCACTGTGTGTGGCATCTACTCCAAGACAAGGGTTTGGGGAGGACTTAGGAGCTCAGCTTGTCAGCCATGTGGAAAAAGTGGTTTTGGGCTCCCACGGCCTTTGGGGTGGAGTTGTGTGCTCTGCATGATTGTGGTTTGGTATGTCTGGTGGCTTCCAACTGAACCCGCAGTCGAAGGGTGGAAAACAACATCCTACCTAGCAACAACTGCTAGTCTGACAAGCTGGACTACCTTTGGCCAAGAAAACCAGCCTTAAGGTCCAAGTCGGTGGTGTTAGATGCTGGCTGGCACTGAGATTAGGTAGTGAATTTTTTCGTCTGATGCATGGGGATAATAGGATGGAAGAGCTGAGGTCATCTTTTCACTGAACAGAGAGATGGAAAAATCAGCCACAACTTGCCATGTTGACAATAAAATTTAAAAAAGGAGAATTTTCAAATATTTTACCCAACTTCTACGAAATGTTATGTTTTATCACAGTGTAATTATTTATATTCCTTTTTTGGAAAAAATTAAAATAATATGCTTTGTATAACTGAGGCAAGAATTTGATTCAATTGAGTAATATTTGGCTACAATTAATGAAGAAAGGGCAGGACACAGGTTTATTTTGAAAGAAAATTTCTTTATTTAGCCTCAGTTAACTTGGATGTTACCATCCAACACACCCGTCACCAAAATTGGGCTCTCAGCTAGGATGTGGGGAAACTTATATTGGGGAACTTTATTGCATGACCATTAACATTACTACAGGTCATGAGAAATGATAAAGAATAGATGCATTTGTTCAGTGGATGTAAATATGAGGGAAGGCAAATGTCTTTTGCTCCATTCTAGAAGTGATCTGGCTGTAAGACAGATGTACATGTATGTGAGTGCCATAATGTGGACTTGTAGAAAACACTTACTCATATTCATGGGGTAAGATGTTCCTTCATTTGCAATGGGTTTTATTGATTCACATGCTAGCAAAGGGACCCATGTGCTCAAGGTGTTTCTTTCTTTCAGGTACCTTTGGAAAAGCTCTCAGGAGACCTCACCTAGATGCCTATTCAAGCTTTGGACAGCCATCAGATTGTCAGCCAAGAGCCTTTTATTTGAAAGCTCATTCTTCCCCAGACTTGGACTCTGGGTCAGAGGAAGATGGGAAAGAAAGGACAGATTTTCAGGAAGAAAATCACATTTGTACCTTTAAACAGACTTTAGAAAACTACAGGACTCCAAATTTTCAGTCTTATGACTTGGACACATAGACTGAATGAGACCAAAGGAAAAGCTTAACATACTACCTCAAGTGAACTTTTATTTAAAAGAGAGAGAATCTTATGTTTTTTAAATGGAGTTATGAATTTTAAAAGGATAAAAATGCTTTATTTATACAGATGAACCAAAATTACAAAAAGTTATGAAAATTTTTATACTGGGAATGATGCTCATATAAGAATACCTTTTTAAACTATTTTTTAACTTTGTTTTATGCAAAAAAGTATCTTACGTAAATTAATGATATAAATCATGATTATTTTATGTATTTTTATAATGCCAGATTTCTTTTTATGGAAAATGAGTTACTAAAGCATTTTAAATAATACCTGCCTTGTACCATTTTTTAAATAGAAGTTACTTCATTATATTTTGCACATTATATTTAATAAAATGTGTCAATTTGATGCCAAGCCCCATTTATACAATAACAATTTTTATTATTTTTAGCACAATTTAGGCTTAATTAGTTCACATTATCATGTCTCAAACGGATGGGAATTATATTTAGCCCATTAAAGTATGAACAAAAATGACCGTTTTTTCTACCTCCCAGGATTGTTGTAATACAGATTGAAATCAGATTGTGCATATGAAAGCACAATTGTAAACGAGAAGGAGCTACAGAGATTTAAGGTACATTATTTCTAAATCTACGAACAAAAAAAGATTTGTTGTTATAATCTGGTGTAATATAGTACAACTACCATAAATCACTGCTCAATTCATGTTTCTTTAATTATAATAATGGTTTACGTGGTCTAATGCCTTATGCTTATCCAAGTAGTTTCACTTTTGCCGTCCCTTTTCTTACAGCAAGCGAGTGGTTTATTGCATATGTCTATAGCTAAAATGGCTCTAGCAGAAGTGGACTTTCATGCACTGTTCCAGGTTGTAATGAGATGCTGCTAGAATTGTTTTCTGTTTTTATTGATTTTCTGCTGGAAGAGCAGTTTGTATATAAATGGTACTTCTAAGCTATTTTTGAACAATTACCAAAATATTTTCTTTGATCATCAAGGTTTGGTTAAAAACTAAGTATAAAATATCTTACTTAAGCACATAAAACTAAAACATTTGTTTTAAAACAGTATTCATTGAAAAATGTAATTACATGGCAGGCATATATACACAGAAAAATGAATATAACCATATTTTCTTTTTTTTTTTAATTATACTTTAAGTTTTAGGGTACATGTGTACAACGTGCAGGTTAGTTACATATGTATACATGTGCCATGTTGGTGTGCTGAACCCAGTAACTCATCATTTAACATTAGGTATATCTCCAAATGCTATCCCTCCCTGCTCCCCTCACCCCGCAACAGGCCCCAGTGTGTGATGTTCCCCTTCCTGTGTCCATGTGTTCTCATTGGAATATAACCATATTTTCAAAACTAGATGACACAATTCAAAGTAACTGAAAGGAAAAAAAATTCAGTTTAATAATTCAGATTATAAAACTTTTTTCTTCTGTAGTAAATTCTAGCTCATATGTGTAGTTTAAAGAAAAACCCTCTTGCTCAAGATAAATTGGCACAAAAGGAGTTAATATAGCACAATAAGCTTTAAAAGTCAACTAACCTCCAAGGTGTGAATTTATGCCATTGTCTTGTGTTTGAACTAAACTGAAAGCAGCTATTCAAAAAGCAGATTCTTCTTAGAGAATATGTTGGGGTTAAAGTCTTCCTGCTTTTAGTGAGTTTCGAGCTTTGTTGCTTGTGAGCCAGAAGCCTGGAACCCAGATTGCAGTCGATTTTCCTGCTTTAATTTAGACGCCAGAATCCAAGACAGGAAGTTGATCCTTCCTTGGACCACCAGTGACTAAGTACAGAGAAGTAATTTCGTATGCTTTGGCTTGATCATATTGCCAGATTTTCAAAATTTTATTGTTAATTTGTCTTCATTATTGCCAGATGGGGCCTTTTTCAGTTATTATGAACTTCTTTTAAAGGATTTAATTTTTCCGTACTTAAGCACAAAGGTTTAAATCATTAACGCCTGAAATTCAAAAATTAGATTCACTCTACATCAGTATGATTTTACCCTTTTACTGGGTGTATGTGCTGAAATTTGTGGATTAGATGTAATGTTAACTGTCTGGAGAAAGAGTAGGAACTTGATTTCTCTTTGACATTTGCAGGAAAAGAATATATATGATTTTGAGACTCCAAATTGAATTAACAAAATCAATCTAGTAGGTGGTAAGATAACCTAAAATAACATAGACTCAAGGTAAAAAGCCTAATGTAGATAAATGTCACATTGCTTGGAGGAATACTTAAAAATTCCAGTTTAATCATCCTATGCTTTTTGATAGGAGTTCATGTACAACATATTTTAATAGATGTTCACAAAATTTCTGTATTATTTATATCTTAATTCCACTATTGGCACTAATTGTAGGATATTGGGGAAAAATATTCCTTAGTTCTGGCAAAATTTTATGAAAGTTAAGTATCTGTGGAATATATATAATTTATTTTCACAGCCTTTCTACAGAAAGAAACCAAAAGTTACTGCTCAGAATAGAGCCACACTACTTTTTAAAGATTGACAGAACCAAGGAAAGTGGTTTGGTGTTTCTACACACTTGGGAGGCTTTATTTCTTTCAATTCAATGTGATAGGAAGTAATTTATAACCAATATTATGATAGATGTGCTACACTGGTATTCTTCAAGAGAATGGGAACCAAATGTCCTTGCAAAATGCCTGAGCTGTCCTTCCCACTCTTGCGATCTGAAATGATCAGATTTATGTAATAGGATAACTTTGAACTCATTGTTTAAGACAGCATTCTGTTAACACATTGGATAACACAGTACCCTGCCAAGAAAACAATTAGTCTTCAAAGAAAGGTACAGTTTCTTCATGAATTGAATAATTTTCATACTCCAGAAATATCTAGGTGCCAGAACTTAACCTTTTTTATGGGGCATTTCTTAAACTAATGTGTAATAGGAAAGTCCTGAAATAATTGTCTTGCTTGGTCTCAAACGTGAGCTAAAATGGCACAGAAGTATTTTCATTGGTATTTTATTTTAATAGAGAAGAGGTTTTGCCCACATATTTTCTGAATTATCTCAATATCTTGGGCCATTTGGTTTTTTGTTGTTGTTGAAAAATCTGTTACTGAATGGGATGTCTTTTGACAAAGACATTTTATTTTACTCAAGGTATATTATTAAGATAAAACATATGAAAGTCTATATTTTAGATTAAAATGTGCATAATTTATCAAGTCCATTCTTACTACTGTAAAAATTACAAGTTCATTTTTCATTCCTATTTTTTTTTTAGTGTCAGATCTGGATTCCATATCTGCCTGCATGATGGTTGATATCCATGAATACCTGGAAAGTTAAACCAACATTCACATGTGGCTTTTAATTAAAATTACATGTTTTAATTAAAGAAATTTTAAGAATACAGTTTAAAGAATATGACAAGGGAATTCACAACTGCTGTATAGTTCTTGCTTTTCTTCTATAATTTTTTTATATACCTTTGTTGGGTTTCATGTTGAACTTTGTCTTCTATTTTACAAGTATAACTTTTTTCTTAATTCTTTTTTTCTTCAGTACAACACCTAATACTTTTATGAGGTTATCGTAGTTGTTTTGTTGGTTATTTTGAGATTACTTCCTATGGTTTTATTTTGATCTAACTACAGCTCAGAGTTGAAATTTGGTAACAATACACTCAGTTTTCAAACACATTTCTTATGCTCTGGTGATGTGAAAAATGAATAAAATCTTATTCTAATTATCAGTGGGACAGGAAGCACGTTCATGAATAAATACTTATTATCGATGTGTTAAATGCTATAGCTCAGTAGGCCCCTGTTATTGGCAGTGATTGTCTCCGAATGTTTACTTTCTAACTGTACTACCTGGAAGTGTTACATGCACCTCACCAGCGTGTCCCAGGCTAAGCCAATTATCTCTTTTCTCCACCTGCATTCCACAGCAGTTCCAGTTCTGGTACTCTTTCTTGTTTAATCACCAGTAATCACCATTCCTGATGGTTTTGCTCCTGAGTTTTCTCAAGGCTGATGATACCTTCCCTCTTACCCCATTGCCACAGCTGAAGTTCAACCCCTTGTCTGTCTTTTGTAGCAGTGTTTTAACTAGTCTTTATCCTCCTTTGTTTTATCCAATCCATTGTCTTTGCTGTCACCAGAAATACTTTTTTCTAAAATAAATCTGAATGGGCAACCTCCCTGTTTAAAAACCTTCCATGACTAATTTTAAATCCTAGTTATGTCATATAAGACCTTTCGTACACATCCCAGCTCACCCTTCAAGCCATGCTCTCATCACCCCCGAATGTTTTGACCATACAGTACTCCTTATCCGCCCCTATGCACCGTGTCCTTTTATAAACTAAACATCATTGTATATATTATCTCATCTTCAGTTCTGCAAACATTGGAGTGGCTACCGTGCTAGGTGCTATCTTAGATGCTATGGCTATGGTAACATTACTAAGACAAATATTCTCTCAAGAAAGTGCTAGATAAATGACAAAACTTTTGTCCTGAAATGTTTTTTCTTCTTTCTCACTTGGCAGAATCCAGTTCTTCTAAGACAAAAGTTTTGCTTTTACCCCAAGCATAATAGCTGTTTTCCCATAGAACCATGTGAACCATCTGAGAAACTCACAGGGAAGCAGATAGTTACTAAGCCAGCTGTGATATCATTGTATAAGAAATACTAAAGACAGTTAACCTCTGTGTTAATCAGATACTTTCTAGGAAGAAATGAAGTAAAACAATCTGTGTTTTTGACAATCGCCAGATGATGTGGTCTAGCACTTAGCAGTGTAATCACATGATGAATTAGATGATGTGTGGGCACTTAGCAGGAAGTCACCTTATGCAGTTTACTAAAGGTAAACAGATGGCCACATGCATCAAGAGATTTTTTTTTTTTTTCTGTAGGAACAGTGAGTGGCTCCAAGTTAAGAAGTATGGGGTTTATGGGGGAACGAACTATAGTGATGTAGCTGGAGTGAGAAGTTGCTGTCCCTCCATCTTAACTTTGTCCTCAACCTATAAATATGATTGTGAGAATCCTATAATTCAATATCTATCTTCCCTTAACCTTGCCTCTAGATTATCCCCTCTCTTATTTTTCTCATTCAAACGTCTCAAAATCTTAGTTCCTCTTCAACCTAGGAAGATCAAAATTTGTTCATGTTCAATTGAAATTGCTTTTGCCAAGATTGCCAGTTTTCCTAACTTCCAAACTTGACCATATGTTTACAGTTTTTATTTTACTGGACTTAAACATTGTTGTAGCACCTTTCTGAATCTCTACATTTTTCTAGTCCTACTTGTCTTGCTGGTCTTTTTCCTTTGTCTCTTTCATTGATGTATCTCCCATGGCCCACTTCTTAAAAATCAGTGTTACTCAAGGTTTAAATTTGCTTGGAGTGTCTGATATCTGTCTATTCATTACAAAGTTAATTTTTTTATTTGCTTGGTATATTTTTCCCAGTTTTGTCATTTCCAATCTTACTGTGCCATTTTTGAAGTATCTGAAGTAGCCAAAGAAACAAAGTAGAATAGTAGTTACAGGGGCTGGCAGGAGGGGGAAATGGGAGTTCTTGATTAATGGGTATAGATTTTCAGATATGCAAGATGGAAAAGTTCTGGAAATCTGTTCCTGAACAATGTGAATATGCTTAACATTACTGAGCTATATACTTAAATTTTAAGATGGTAAGTTTATGTTGTGTTGTTTTAATCACAATAAAAAAATTGTGTCTGTTATAATCAAAATATACTTAAAACTTTTCCCAACATGGTCATCTATAGTTTTTTATAGGCGTGTGTATTAGGGTTCTACAGAAAAACAGAACCAATAGGATATATATAGACATATGGGAGGATTTTTTATGGGAATTGGTTTATGTGATTATGGAGGCTATGAAATCCCACAGTATGCTGTCTGCAGGCTGGAGAACCGGGAAAGCCAGTGATGTAATGCAGCCTGACCCAAAGACCTGAGAACCAGAAAACATGATGTAACTTTCAGTCCAAGACCTAAGGCCTGGGAACCTGGAGCTCTGATGTCAAAGGACAAGGATAAGGTGGATTTCCCAGTTCTACCACAGAGTGAATTCACTTTTCTTCCTGTTTTTTGTTCTATCTGGGCCCGCAGTGGATTGGATGATGCCCGTCCACATTGGTGTGAAGGGATCTTCTTTACTCAGTCCACTGATTCAAATGCTAATTTCTAATGGAACCACCCTCAAAAACAGAAATAATATTTTGCCAGTTATCTGGGTATCCCTTAACCCAGTCAAGTTGACATGTAAAATTAACCATCACAGTGAGTTCATGCTGTTATCATTTGAGAATTATGAATACCTTTGGAACTTTTTTTTTCTTTTTTTTTTCTTTTGAGACGGAGTCTCACTCTGTCACCCAGGCTGGAGTATAGTGGCTCACTGCAACCTCCGCCTCCTGGGTTCAAGCCATTCTCCTGCCTCAGTCTCCTGAGTAGCTGGGATTACAGGCATCCGCCACCATGTCCAGCTAATTTTGGTATTTTTAGTAGGAATGGGGTTTCACCATGTTGGCCAGGCTGGTCTTGAATTCCTGACCTTGTGATCCGTCTGCCTCGGCTTCCCAAAGTGCTGGAATTACAGGTGTGAGCCACCACGCTCTGCAGAACTCTTTCTGCTATTTTTTTTTTTGTTCTGTTTCTCATCATTTTTCTTTTTCTCCTTTTCTTGACTTGAATTTTTTCTTGTTTTCCCTTGCTAGTTTGGAACTTACAGGTTAGTTATATTTTTATTCTTTGTAAAGTTACTACTAAAATTTTAACATGTTTTCTCTCTCTATCCCTCTCCTCTTGTTTTTTTTACTAATAGAGGGTTATACTTCTTTGTCTTCCCAGAAAAGAAAAGATAGTGATTTAACAAACTTTTCCTGCTCACCTACATTGTCTTCATTCATATTTATTAGAATGACCAACATACTTTACCATTCCTTCAATCACTTTAATTTCATTATGTTTGGTTAATTTTTCTTCTTGATAAACCAGTTGTCCCTCAGTATACTCCAGGGATTCATTCCAGGAGCACCTGTGTATACCATAATCCACACATACTCGAGTCCCGTGGTTGGCCCTGTGAAACCCACATATTTGAGGTCAACTTTCCTTATATGAAGGTTTGGCATCCCTTGAATATTGTACTTTTGGTCCATGTGTGTGTGGTTTTTTCTTTTTAATCTCCATATAAATGGACCCATGTAGTTCAAATTCAGACTGTTGAAGAGCCAGCTGTGTATTCCTTAGGAATTATTTTAACCTGTTAAAAAATATGTTCTCATGGCTTTTGTGGGTCTAAAGATATCCTCATCTTGCCCTAACTTGAATAATGGTTTAGTGAATAAAAAGTATTAAATTGGTGGTCGTTTTACTTGACTGTCTTTCAGAATCGTTTGTTGAAATCTGTTCTCACTCTATTGTTAGTGCTCTGCTACTGATCCATCTTTCCGTCTGGTAGCTTTTAAGTCTTTTTGCTTTATCTCTCATCCTTTTCAGTTTCATTGTAATGGTTCTAAATGTGCGTTTATTTAACATACCTGACCTGATGCACATTTAATCTGAAAATTTGTTATAATTCTGGAAAAACCTTGCCCTTTTAGAAAACTGCTTACCTGTCTTTCCATTTACTCTTAAATTCTCAAATCCCTTTAAGATGTGTTTTGGAGCCTCAAATAATCTTTTATATTTCTCATTTACTCTCACATGTTCTTTCTAGGTGAATAATTATCTTAATTATTAAGATTAATTATCTTACTGCTCTAATTTTTAGCTGCAATCTAAAAAGTCCTTTTTTATGTCAAGGACTGTATCTTTACATATGTCAGAATGCTAGATGTTTCTGTTTTTAGCCATTTCTTATTAAATTGTATCCACCTGCTTGTGTTTCACAAAATTATATGGTGCTTTCTTGTGTCTCTGATAATCTTAAAATTATTTCAAAATCACCAAGATTGTTGTATTTTTATTTTTTCAAAACTGACAGAATCTCTGTGTCGTTTACCATCTCTCTTAGTTTTGGTTGTGTGCTTTGGAATTTTTGTTTGCAGGTTTATCTTTTTCCTTTTCTTCCTTTTAGTGTTGACTCTCCCTTTTTAGTGGTTTTATGATTGCCTTGTGGTACCACGGGACTCTTAGTCCAGAACCAGCTTTTGTATTAAAAGCTAGGGATGATGTAGGTACCTGTCATAGTCATAGAGCTGGCCAGCATTGGCTCAAGTACTACCTCCTTCAAGCACTGTAAGTTCACAGATTGACATATACCTTAGTCCTAGTCAGTGGTCACTGCTGTTTCCATAGGCGGAGAGCCCTGCTCCCGTGTCCAGTTTGAGCCTGCCTCCATTTCCTGCAACACCAAGGGAACTTTTGGCTCTTGATTAAGCTTTTGGCTCTGCCAGTGTTCTGACTTAGAGCTTTATAGAGCACTGACTTTAGTCTCTGTCACTGCTGTGTGTGTTTCTGTTGTTTTTTGTTGCTTGAATGTGGTCCATAAATATGTTCTCTAATTCTATGTCTCATATGTAGCCATGTGTATGTACCATATATGTGACACATACACATGCATATATGTTTATATTTGCTGGGTGAAGATTAAAGCATAGTGCTATTCTGGCCATAAAGGGATTTCCTAACTGAGAAAGAGACTGTGGCTCTAGCTTTTGTGATTAGATGGAGTTTAACGTCACTAAGCAAGATATGAAACATGGTAAGTTTGGAGAGAGGACATAATACATTTTATTTTATACAATTTGAAAGATTTATTAGAAAACTAAAATAGAATTCCAATAGGCTCTTAGAAAGTGGGTATAATGTGAAAATGGTCGAGATTGAAGAGGCGAGAATCACTTGCATGCAAGTTAGAGTCTAGGTTCTGAGAGGTTACAAGATGAAGAGAGTTTGTTGAGTGTGTAGATAAGATACAAAAGTATACAGGACAAACAGATGAAGTGGAATTGAAAGGAAACCTGAAAAGAGTTTTCAGAAAGGTAAAAGAAAAATGAAGAGCAACGAAGAGTTTTAAAATGTATTCATTGCCTACTATTTATTCAACAAACATGCATTGAACACTTTTTATTTTTTGTGTTTACCTGCAGAAGATACAGTGACAAAAGATGCTATTCTCATTGAGCTTATAGAGAAGGATAGATGATTATGCAAAATAAATGCTATATAGTATGTTACATAGTGACTAGTGCTAGAAAGAAAAAGCGAGGAGATGAGTTTACTAGTATTTGGGGTGGGGGCTGAAATTTTAGATAGGGGAAATTCACTCATTTGAGCTATGTCCTAAAGAAGTGAGGGACCCAGTCATGTTATGTGCAGGAAAAGCACTCCACACAGAACGGACAAACTGCCAGTGAAGTGGTGTTGGGGCAGGAGCAGGTAGCTAGAAGCAGCTGGCCAAGAGAGAAAAGAGTCACACATGAAGCCAGAGAGGTAACACAGGGGTCCTAAAAATGGCCTTACATGCAAGGACTCTGGCTTTTTCTCTATGGCACAGGCATAGAAGTTGAACGACTTTGGTCAGAGGGAAGGCATGTTAACAGGTTCATTTTATGGCTATGCTGAGGATAAACTAAAGAGGGCAAGGCTGGAAGCAAGAAGACTATAACCATTTCATAATCCAGGCAAGATGTGATAGTAACTTGGACTAGAGTTATACCTGTAAAGGTAGTGAGGTTATTGTTTATATAGCCATAGGTTGGCTGTAGGGTATAACATAAAAAGTGGATTCAAAGATGACCATAAGGTTTTTGGTTCCAGTAACATGAAAGATGGAGTTTTCAAATCTCAGATGAAGTTTGCGGAAGGATCAGGTTCATAGAGAAGGTCAGCTGGTGGGGCGCTGTGGCCCACGCCTGTAATCCCAACACTTTGGGAGGCCGAAGCAGGCAGATCACCTGAGGCTGGGAGTTCAAGACCAGCCTGGTCAATATGATGAAACCGCTTCTCTGCTAAAAATACAAAAAATTAGCTGGGCATGGTTGCAGGCACCTGTAATCCCAGCTACTTGGGAGACTGAGGAGGGAGAATCTCTTGAACCTGGGAGGCGGATGTTGCAGTGAGCTGAGATTGTGCTGCTGCACTCCAGCCTGGGCACGACAGAGCAAGACTCCATCTCAAAAAAAAAAAAAAAAAAAAAAAGCTCAGCTTTGGATAGATGTATGGATTCTGAGGGACATCTCAATGGAACTGTCAGGTTGGCAGTAGTTGAATATGAATCTAGGATGAATGTATAAACTCAGGAGTCATTAGCATAGAGATGGTATTTAAAGCCTTTGAACCAAATTAGTTCACCTTGGGAGTGGGCATAGACAGAAAACAGACAAGGTCCAAGCTGAGCTCTGGGCCTCTCCAACAGTAACAGGTCTGGAAGATGAGGAGTATTCATCTAAGCTGATAGAGAAGGAGCCACTAGTTACATAGGAGGAAAAGAAGCAAAGGTAGTGAAAGCCAAGTGAAAAAAGTATCAAGGAGAGGGGAATGACTGACGGACATGGTTTGGCTGTGTCCCCATCCAAATCTCATCTCAAATTGTACTTCCTATAATCTCTACATATCGTGGGAGGGACCCAGTGGGAGGTAATTTTGTCATGGGGGCAGTTACCCCTGTGCTGTTCTTGGGGTAGTGAGTTCTCATGAGATCTGATAGTTTTATAAGGGGCTTTTTCCCCTTTGCTTGGCACTTGTTCCTTTTGCCATGTAAAGAAAAATGTTTGCTTCTCCTTCTGCCATGATTGTAAGTTTCCTGAGGCCTCCCAGCCCTATGGAACTATGAGTCAATTAAACCTCTTTCCTTTATAAATTACCCAGTCTTGAATATGCCTTTACAGCAGCATGAGAATGGACTAATACAGTAAGTTGGTACTGGGAGTGAAGGTGCTGCTATAAGGGTACGTGAAAATGTGGAAGTGACTTTGGAACTGGGTCGCAGGCAGACATTGGAGCAGTCTGCAGGGCTCAGAAAAAGATAGGAAAATGTAGGAAAGCTTGGAACTTCCTAGAGACTTGTTGAATGGCTTTGACCAAAGTGCTGATAGTGATATGGACAATAAAGGCCAGGCTGAGGTGGTCTCAGATGGAGATGAGGAACTTGCTGGGAACTGGAATAAAGGTGATTCTTGCTATTCTTTAGCAAGGAGACTGGCAAAATTTTGTCCCTGCCCTAGTGATCTCTGGAACTTTGAACTTGAGAGAGATAATTTGGGGTTTCTGGCAGAAGAAATTTCTAAGCAGCAAAGCATTCAAGAGGAAGCAGAGCATAAAAGTTTGGAAAATTTGCAGACTGACAATGCAGTAGAGAAGAAAAACCCATTTTCTGGGGAGAAATTCAATATACCCGCAGAAATTTGCATATGAAATGAGCCAAAGGCTAATTGCCGAGACAATGGGGAAAATGTCTCCAGGGCATGTTAGAGACCTTTACGGCAGCCCCTCCCATCACAGGCCCTGGAGGCCTAGGAGGGACCCCTAGGGGGTCCAAGGCCCCCCTGCTGTCTGCAGCATCAGAACTTGATGCCCTGCATCCCAGCTGCTCCAACTGGGGCTAAAATGGGCCAACTTACAGCTCAGGCTGTGGCTTCAGAGGGTGCAAGCCCCCAGCCTTGATGACTTACACATGGTATTGGGCCTGCAGGTACACAGAAGTCAAGAATTCGGGTTTGGGAACTCCCCCCTAGATTTCAGAGGATCTGTGTAAATGCCTGGAAGTGCAGACAGAAGTTTGCTGCAGGGGTTCAACCCTAATGGAGAACCTCTGCTAGGGCAGTGCAGAAGGAAATGTGGTGCCGGAGCCCCCACACAGAGTTCCCCCTGGGGCACCACCTACTGGAGCTGCGAGAAGAGAGCTACTGTCCTCCAATCCTCAGAATGGTAGATCCACTGACAGCTTGCGCTCTGTGCCTGCAAAAGCCGCAGACACTCAATGCCAATCTGTGAAAGCAGCCAGGAGGGAGGCTGTACCCTGCAAAGTCACAGGGCCGGAGCTGCCCAAGGCCACAGGAGCCTATCTCTTGCATCAGTGTGACCTGGATATGAGACATGGAGTCAAAACAGATCATTCTGGAGCTTTAAGGTTTAATGACTGCCCTATTGGATTTCGGACTTGATTGGGGCCTGTAGCCCCTTGGTTTTGGCCAGTTTATCCCATTTGGAAAGGGTGTATTTACTCAAAGCCTGTACCTACATTATATCTAGGAAGTAACTAACTTGCTTTCGATTTTACAGGCTCCTATGTAGAAGGGACTTGCCTTGTCTCAGATAAGACTTTGGACTTGGACTTTCGGGTTAATGCTGAAATGAGCTAAGACTTTGGAGGACTATTGGAAAGGCATGATTGATTTTGAAATGTGAGGGCATGAGATTTGGGAGTGTCCAGGTTTGGCTGTGTCCCCACTCAAATCTCATCTTGAATTTTGGTTCCCATAAATCTCATGTGTTGTGGGAGGGACACACGGAATTGAATCACACACATGATTCAATTACCTATGATAGGAGGTGATTGAATCATGCAGGCAGTTATCCCCATGCTGTTCTCGTGATAGTGAATTCTCATGAGATCTGATGGTTTTATAAGGGGCTTTTCCACCTTGGCTTGGCACTTTTTCCGTCCCCCACATGAAGAAGGACGTGTTTGCTTCCCCTTCCACCATGATTTAAGCTTCCTGAGGCCTCCCCAGCCCTACAGAACTGTGAGTCAATTAAACTAATTTCCTTTACTAATTATCCAGTCTTGGATATGTCCTTATGAGAGACAGGACTAGCTGGATTTCCTAGGCCGACTAAGAATCCCTAAGCCTAGCTGGGAAGGTGACTGCATCCACCTTTAAACACGGGGCTTGCAACTTAGCTCACATTCGACCAATCAGGTAATTAAAAAAAGCTCACTAAAGTGCTAATTAGGCAAAAACAGGAGGTAAAGAAATAGCTAATCATCTATCGCCTGAGAGCACAGCGGGAGGCAGAATGATCGGGACATAAACCCAGGCATTCGAGCCAGCAAGTTACCCTCTTTGGGTCCCCTCCCTTTGTATGGGAGCTCTGTTTTCACTCTATTAAATCTTGCAACTGCACTCTCTTTTGGTCCGTGTTTGTTACGGCTCGAGCTGAGCTTTCACTCGCCGCCCACCACTGCTGTTTGCTGCCGTCGGAGACCCGCCGTTGACTTCCATCCCTCCAGATCCAGCAGGGTGTCCGCTGTGCTCCTGATCCAGTGAGGCACCCATTGCCGCTCCGGATCAGGCTAAAGGCTTGCCATTGTTCCTGCACAGCTAAGTGCCCGGGTTCATCCTAATCGAGCTGAACACTAGTCACTGGGTTCCACTGTTCTCTTCCATGACCCACGGCTTCTAATAGAGCTATAACACTCACCGCATGATCCAAGATTCCATTCCTTGGAATCCATGAGGCTAAGAACCCCAGGTCAGAGAACACAAGGCTTGCCACCGTCTTGGAAGCAGCCTGCCACCATGTTGGGAGCTCTGGAAGCAAGGACCCCCCAGTAACATTTTGGCGACCACGAAGGGACCTCCAAAATGGTGAGTAATATCGGACCACTTTCACTTGCTATTCTTTCCTATCCTTCCTTAGAATTGGAGGAAAATACCGAGCACCTGTCGGCCAGTTAAAAACGATTAGTGTGGCCACCGGACTTAAGACTCAGGTGTGAGGCTATCTGGGGTTGGGAGCCTACAACCAGCTTCCACTTTCAATTTTCTTGGGGAAGCTGAGGGCTGACTAGAGGCAGAAACCTGTTGTCCCGAACTCCCAGCATTAGCCCATTGAGATCATGGCACAGCCAGAAGTCTCTACTTAACAGTCGCCCATGTGTGCACCCCTACCTTTCCTTTTGACCCATACCTCCTGGGTCCTGACCAGGACTTTCTTGAAAGTGTAGCCCCAAAATTCTCCTTACCGCCGAATCTACTTCCTCTGATCCCTGCCTCCTAGGCACTAATGGTTCAGACTTCATTTCCTCTAGCAAGTTGTATCTCCAAAGGGATCTAAGGAAGCTCTAGGCTGCATCCTTAGGCATCTAGACAATAAACCCAGGGAGTCTTATCCCTGGTGTCCCTCCCGATTTAGGTATACAGCTCTCAACATGGGCAGTTACGTGGGACCCGTTCTCTACCACCCTTGCCAGGGCCTCAAGTTTGTAAATGGCTAAGAGAGAGACAGAGGGGAGAGAGAGAGAGAGAGATAGAGGAGAGAGAGAGGGAAGAGGGAGAGAGAGAGGGAAGAGAGAGAGAGGGAAGAGAGAGAGAGAGACAGAGGAGAGAGAGATGGAGGAGAGAGAGACGGAGGAGAGACGGAGGAGAGAGATAGAGGAGAGAGAGAAAGAGACAGAGGAGAGAGAGAGAAAAAGAGGGAGTCAAAGAGAAAGAGAAAGATAGTAATAGTAAAAATCAGTGTGCCCTATTCCTTTAAAAGCCAGGGTAAATTTAAAACCTATAATTGATAATTGAAGGTCTTCTCCGTGACCCCATAACACTCCAATACTACCTTGTTGTCAGTGTAAACAAGGGCGTAGCCTGAAAACACTGAGACCACTGACAACCCGTAGCTTTCCTATCAAAAACCCTTCATTAACCCTGTAACCCGCCGATGCATTCAATCTGTAGCGGCAACTGCTTTGCTAACAGAAGAAAGTAGAAAAGAAACTTTTAGAGGAAACCTCATTGTGAGGAAACCTCATTGTGAGCACACCTCACCAGTTCAGAATTATCCTGAGTCAAAAAAGAAAAAGGTAGCATACTAACTCAAAAATCTTAAAGTATGGGGCTATCCTGTTAAAAAAAGGTAATTTAACACCAACCACTGATAATTCCCTTAACCCAGCAGATTTCCTAACAGGGGATTTAAATCTTAATTACCATATAAAAGTCCAAAAAGACCTAGGAGGAATTCCCTTCAGGACAGGATGATAGATGATTCCTCCCAGGTGATTGAGGAAAAAACCACAATGAGTATTCAGTAATTGATAGGGAGACTCTTGTGGAAGCAGAGTTAGAAAAATTGCCTAATAATTGGTCTCCTCAAACGTGTGAGCTGTTTGCACTCAGCCAAGCCTTAAAGTACTTACACAATCAAAAAAGACTACTCAATCCTGACTCAAAAGGTTACCTACACCCTCTCTGAAATGAATTTGCATAAGAACTGTTTATGGGAGTTCATCTTGATGGGGCAGCTGGGTTGTTATGAAATACTCAGGAACCCAGCCCAGCTCTAGGACTCACCCCTGAGCACAAAAGCAATGTTGGGCACCCTGGTAAAGGACCACTAGAATTCAGCAGCCCAGACCCCTTTCTTTGTGGTCAAGAAAGGCGGGAAAAGGAGTGCAGGACTGCTGCATCAGTGAGCTTAACTAATCTGATAAGCAGAAGTCCATGGTTGTGCACCCTGGAAAGGAATAAGCATTAGTACCATAGAGGACACTCTAGGACTAATGCTCTACGGGAAATGACTAGGGGTGCTGGCATCCCTATGTTCTTTTTCCAGAAGGGAAATGTTCCCCCCAAGGCAAAAACGCCCCTAAGATGTATTCTGGAGAATTGAGACAAGTTTGACCCTCAGACGCTAAGAAAGAAATGACTTATATTCTTCTGCAGAACCACCTGGCCATGATATCCTCTTCAAGAGGGAGAAACCTGGCCTCCTGGGGGAAGTATAAAGTATAACACCATCTTACAGCTAGACCTCTTTTGTAGAAAAAAAGGCAAATGGAGTGGAATGCCATACATACAAACTTTCTTTTCATTAAAAGACAATTCGCAATTATGTAAAAAGTGTGATTTATGCCTTACAGGAAGCCCTCAGAGTCTACCTCCCTACCCCAGCATGCCCCCGACTCCTTCCCCAACTAATAAGGACCCCCCTTTAACCCAAACTGTCCAAAAGGAGATAGACAAAGGGGTAAACAAGGAACCAAAGAGTGCCAATATTCCCCGATTATGCCCCCTCCAAGCAGTGGGAGGAGGATAATTCGGCCCAGCCAGAGTGCATGTACCTTTTTCTCTCTCAGATTAAAGCAAATTAAAATAGACCTTGGTAAATTCTCAGATAACCCTGATGGCTATATTGATGTTTTACAAGGGTTAGGATAATCCTTTGATCTGACATGGAGAGATATAATGTTACTGCTAAATCAGACACTAACCCCAAATGAGAGAAGTGCCGCCATAACTGCAGCCTGAGAGTTTGGCGATCTCTGGTATCTCACTCAGGTCAATGATAGGATGACAACAGAGGAAAGAGAACGATTCCCCACAGGCCAGCAGGCAGTTCCCAGTGTAGACCCCCACTGGGACACAGAATCAGAACATGGAGATTGGTGTCGCAGATATTTGGTAACTTGCGTGCCAGAAGGACTTAAGGAAAACTAGGAAGAAACCTATGAATTATTCAATGATGTCCACTATAACAGGGAAAGGAAGAAAATCCTACTGCCTTTCTGGAGAGACTAAGGGAGGCATTGAGGAAGCATACCTCCCTGTCACCTGACTCTATTGAAGGCCAACTAATCTTAAAAGATAAGTTTATCACTCAGTCAGCTGCAGACATTAGAAAAAAAAACTTCAAAAGTCTGCCTTAGGCCTGGAGCAAAACTTAGAAACCCTATTGAACTTGGCAACCTCGGTTTTTTATAATAGAGATCAGGAGGAGCAAGTGGAACGGGACAAACAGGATACAAAAAAGGCCACCGCTTTAGTCATGGCCCTCAGGCAAGCGGACTTTGGAGCCTCTGGAAAAGGGAAAAGCTGGGAAAATTGAATGCCTAATAGGGCTTGCTTCCAGTGTGGTCTACAAGGACACTTTAAAAAAGATTGTCCAAGTAGAAATAAGCCACCCCCTCGTCCATGCCCCTTATGCCAAGGGAATCACTGGAAGGCCCACTGACCCAGGGGATGAAGGTCCTCTGAGTCAGAAGCCACTAACCAGATAATCCAGCAGCAGGACTGAGGGTGCCCAGGGCAAGTGCCAGCCCATGCCAGCACCCTCACAGAGCCTCCAGTATGCTTGGCCATTGAGGGCCAGGAGGTTAACTGTCTCCTGGACACTGGCGTAGCCTTCTCAGTCTTACTCTCCTGTCCTGGACAACTGTCCTCCAGATCTGTCATTATCCGAGGGGTCCTAGGACAGCCAGTCACTAGATACTTCTCCCAGCCACTAAGTTGTGACTGGGGAACTTTACTCTTTTCACATGCTTTTCTAATTATGCCTGAAAGCCCCACTCCCTTGTTAGGGAGAGACATCCTAGCCAAAGCAGGGGCCGTTATACACCTGAACATAGGAGAAGGAACACCTGTTTGTTGTCCCCTGCTTGAGGAAGGAATTAATCCTGAAGTCTGGGCAACAGAAGGACAATATGGATGAGCAAAGAATGCCCATCCTGTTCAAGTTAAACTAAAGGATTCCACCTCCTTTCCCTACCAAAAGCAGTACCCCTTAGACCCGAGGCCCAACAAGGACTCCAAAATATTGTTAAGGACCTAAAAGCCCAAGGCCTAGTAAAACCATGCAATAGACCCTGCAATACTCCAATTTTAGGAGTATAGAAACCCAACGGACAGTGGAGGTTAGTGCAAGATCTCAGGATTATCAATGAGGCTGTTGTTCCTCTATACCCAGCTGTACCTAACCCTTACACTCTGCTTTCCCAAATACCAGAGAAAGCAGAGTGGTTTATACTCCTGGACCTTAAGGATGCCCTTTTCTTCATCCCTGTACATCCTGACTCTCAATTCTTGTTTGCCTTTGAAGATCCTTCAAACTCAACATCTCAACTCACCTGGACTGTTTTACCCCTAGCGTTCAGGAATGGCCCCCATCTATTTGGCCAGGCATCAACCCAAGACTTGAGCCAGCTCTCATACCTGGACACTCTTGTCCTTTGGCATGTGGATGATTTACTTTTAGCTGCCTGTTCAGAAACCTTGTGCCATCAAGCCACCCAAGCACTCTTAAATTTCCTCACTACCTGTGGTTACAAGGTTTCCAAACCAAAGGCTCAACTCTGCTCACAGCAGGTTAAATACTTAGGGCTAAAATTACCCAAAGGCACCAGGGCCCCCAGTGAGGAATGTATCCAGCCTATACTGGCTTATCCTCATCCCAAAACCCTAAAGCAACTAAGAGCGTTCCTTGGCATAACAGGTTTCTGCCGAATATGGATTCCCAGGTACGGCAAAATAGCCAGACCATTATATACACTAATTAAGGAGACTCGGAAAGCCAATACCCATTTAGTAAGATGGACACCTGAAGCAGAAGCAGCTTTCCAGACCCTAAAGAAGGCCCTAACCTAAGCCCCAGTGTTAAGCTTGCCAACGGGGCATGACTTTTCTTTATGTCACAGAAAAAAAACAGGAATAGCTCTAGGAGTCCTTACACAGGTCCGAGGGATGAGCTTGTAACCCGTGGCATACCTGAGTAAGGAAATTGATGTTGTTGCAAAGGGTTGGCCTCATTGTTTATGGGTAGTGGCGGCAGTAGCAGTCTTAGTATCTGAAGCAGTTAAAATGATACAGGGAAGAGATCTTACTGTGTGGACGTCTCATGATGTGAACAGCATACTCACTGCTAAAGGAGACTTGTGGCTGTCAGATAACCATTTACTTAAATATCAGGTTCTATTACTTGAAGGGCCAGTGCTGCAACTGCGCACTTGTGCAACTCTTAACCCAGCCACATTTCTTCCAGACAATGAAGAAAAGATAGAACATAACTGTCAACAAGTAATTGCTCAAACCTACGCCACTCGAGGGGACCTTTTAGAGGTTCCCTTGACTGATCCCGACCTCAACTTGTATACTGATGGAAGTTCCTTTGTACAAAAAGGACTTCAAAAAGCGGGATATGCAGTGGTCAGTGATAATGGAATACTTGAAAGTAATCCCTTCACTCCAGGAACTAGCACTCAGCTGGCAGAACTGGTAGCCCTCACTTGGGCACTAGAATTCGGAGAAGGAAAAAGGGTAAATATAAATACAGGCTCTAAGTATGCTTACCTAGTCCTCCATGCCCATGCATCAATATGGAGAGAAAGGGAATTCCTAACTTCCGAGGGAACACCTATCAAACATCAGGAAGCCATTAGGAGATTATTATTGGTTGTACAGAAACCTGAAGAGGTGGCAGTCTTACACTGCTGGGGTCATCCGAAAGGAAAGGAAAGGGAAATAGAAGGGAACTGCCAAGCGGATATTGAAGCCAAAAGAGCCTCAAGGCAGGACCCTCCATTAGAAATGCTTATAGAAAGACACCTAGTATGGGGTAATCCCCTCTGGGAAACCAACCCCCAGTACTCAGCAGAAGAAATAGAATGGGGAACCTCATGAGAACATAGTTTCCTCCCCTCAAGATGGCTAGCCACTGAAGAAGAAAAAATACTTCTGCCTGCAGCTAACCAATGGAAATTACTTAAAACCCTTCACCAAACCTTTCACTTAGGCATTGATAGCACCCATCAGATGGCCAAATCATTATTTACTGGACCAGGCCTTTTTGAAACTATCAAGCAGATAGTCAGGGCCTGTGAAGTGTGCCAAAGAAATAATCCCGTGCACTGCAGGCCATACATTTCAATCCCTGTATCTTTACCCTCCTTGTTAAGTTTGTCTCTTCCAGAATCAAAGCTGTAAAACTACAAATAGTTCTTCAAATGGAGCCGCAGATGCAGTCCATGACTAAAATCTACTGTGGACCCCTGGACTGGCCTGCTAGCCCATGCTCCAATGTTAATGACATTGAAGGCACCCCTCCCAAGGAAATCTCAACTGCACAACCCCTACTATGCCCCGATTCAGCAGGAGGCAGTTAAAGTGGTCGTTGGCCAAACTCCCCAACAGCCGTTGGTTTTTCCTGTTGAGAGGGGATACTGAGAGACAGGACTAGCTGGATTTCCTAGGCTGACTAAGAATCCCTAAGACTAGCTGGGAAGGTGACCACATCCACCTTGAAACACGGGGCTTGCAACTTAGCTCACATCCAACCAATCAGGTAATAAGAAAAGCTCACTAAAATGCTAATTAGGCAAAAACAGGAGGTAAAGAAATAGCCAATCATCTATCACCTGAGAGCACAGCGGGAGGGACAATGATCGGGATATAAACCCAGGCATTCGAGCCAGCAACAGCTACCCTCTTTGGTCCCCTCCCTTTGTATGGGAGCTCTGTTTTCACTCTATTAAATCTTGCAACTGCACTCTCTTTTGGTCCATGTTTATTATGGCTCGAGCTCATCTTTCGCTCGCCGCCCACCACTGCTGTTTGCTGCCATTGCAGACCCGCCATTGACTTCCATCCCTCCAGATCCAGCAGGGTGTCCGCTGTGCTCCTGATCCAGTGAGGCACCCATTGCTGCTCCGGATTGGGCTAAAGGCTTGCCATTGTTCCTGCACAGCTATGTGCCCGGGTTCATCCTAATCGAGCTGAACACTAGTCACTGGGTTCCATGGTTCTCTTCCGTGACCCACAGCTTCTAATAGAGCTATAACACTCACTGCATGGCCCAAGATTCCATTCCTTGGAATCCGTGAGGCCAATAACCCCAGGTCAGAGAACACAAGGCTTGCCACCATCTTGGATGCAGCCTGCCACCTTCTTGGTAGCTCTGGGAGCAAGGAACCCCTGGTAACACTTATAGCAGCATGAAAACAGACTAATATACTGACCATATCAAGTCGGCTAACAAGATGAGGACTGACAATTTATCAGTAAACTTAATAATGTGGAGATCATTTGTGACCATGATAGTCACTGTTTCGATGGATTCATGGGTGCAAGGCTTGATTACAATGGGTTCAAGAGAGAGTGGGAGGGGAAAAAAATAGATAAAAAAATAAACAATCCTTTCAATTCTACTATCAGAGGAACAAGAAATAGAACAGTCACTGCAAAAGAAAAACTAGGTAAAAAGAGGTTTGTTTGGTTTTGTTTTATAAGATGATAAGTAAAAGCCCAGCATATTTATATGCCAGTTAGAGAGATCTGGTAGACAATTAAAAATTACTGATGAAACAGAGAGAAGGAGACAGAGAAACAGAGAATTTCAGGGCCTGAACCTAGGAATGTACCTACATGTTCTTTCTATGTCAATTCTGTGGAAAACTCCAATAGAAGGCATGCCAAGAATGGTCTTTAGTTTTGAGCATTCTTATGACTCTGTCAAATCAATATCAGAAGAGCAGTGGTGGTAGAACCTAGGTGAGTTGAATAGTGGTTTTGAGGTGAAGACAAGTGTAAACTGTTACCAAGGAGTGTGTCAATGAAGGGAGGTTGAAAGATGAGTTTGTACCTTGAAGGAGGGCAGGATTAAATAAAGTTACACTTAGGGTGGGGAAAAACATGACTCAGTTTATAGACTTGGAAGATGGAGTCAATGAAAATCATTCTTAAAATATGTGGTCATCTTGGCTAATTGAGAACCAACCACAGCATCTCGGATGTTTTACAAGTAAGTGAAACTAAAGCCTATTTAAGAGGTTAGGTCATGATAGATATTTTGTGTGGAACTGGAAGCTGTAGTTCCTAATCCTCAATTATGTAATTGTGTTTGAGCTTGTGAACTGTAATATCATTTTCTTTAGACATTAGGTCTTCGCTCTGTAGCCAGATGTAACTAATCATGCCTGCCCACCAATGCAATGCTTTCTAAGAATACAACGAGATGGCTCATAAACTCTGGACTCCTCTTGACCATATTGTAAAGATTAATGACAAGCTAAGTCTAATGATGTGTTGTATGATTAAGTTACTACTTTGTGACCAGTTAGATACCTATTGGTAAAAGCAGTCAAATTATGTATCTACCTTTTCACAATCAAGAAGGCTCAATGACTTTCTGAGGGGATAGTTGGAAAGAAATATATGAACTAAATCTATTTTATGTTTTAATATTTACAATTGAGTTTATTTTCAGGGAGGCCATATTTTTAGAAATGTCTGGGTATTTACTATTGAATGAAGAGAAAATATGTCAAGAGGATGAGAATAAGGGAGAAACTTTCTGATATAAAAAATGATTATATCAGACCTCATCAATGCTTTTTAATTACTGTGAAACAAGCACTGAGAATGTTACACAAACAAAACAAATGTTTATAACTTAATGTGGCACAGTAGTTTAATAACGAGATCCCAGATTTAGGAGTCAGACATATCTAGACTCCAATCTCTACTCTAACTCCATACTTAATATATGAATTATTAATATTTCTAAGCCTCTATTTTATGTGTAAATTGGAAATAACACCTACTTTTCAGGGTTACTATGACTGTTATATGTAATGCAAGAGTGCATGATTCCCAGCACCCAGATTAAATAAAGATAGCTACTAACATTCTTTTTTTTTTACTCTTATTATTGAGTAACATGGGGCAAATAGGAAACATGGTTTTATTTTTGCCCGTGAAAATCTAGAGCAAATACTATATTTGTTCTGGAACAATGAGACCTACTCCTACACTTACCTCACTTATCTCACTCTGATATTATAGATTTAAAGGAAAAGCTATACTTATGATCATACATTAGAGATCAAAGAGTTGGGTCTAACTTGAAACTATACTTTGAGTGCTTCTGGAAATTATTTTTTATTTCCTCACTTACGAAATGTGGTTATTGAAAAAAGTATAGTCTTTGTCATGGGAAAGTTGTGGAGATCAAGGGAAATGACATACCAAAGCACTCAGAAAACTGTACAGTGCTCTGTAAAGAATGGGTGTAAGCACCCAGGATCCCACAGGGGAAGCTGGATTCCCATGTTCTTATTGTGGTTGAGCTGGTATTTTTTGAATGATCCTAGGGCAAGTCCCTTAACTGTTCTTGGGGTCAGCAATGAGCCTCTACTGAAGAAAGAGCACCGAAAGTTGGTTACAAAGAGAAGCTTTATTCGAATAAAGCTTCGCTTTGTAGCTTCCAGAGGCTCTTCAGAATAGGTAACGTAACCTGCTCTCTAGAACACTGTCGCTGCATTTCAACATAGAGACCAAGAAAAATGAGAAAATGATCTCTAAAGACTTCATTTTCTAGGAGTTTTTATGGAATTGCTACAGAGTGGAGTTGGCTATAGATAATTTAACAAAGGTTCATTGAGTATTTATGCATAGAAATGTACTGTCATATTCTGTAGGGGAAGGAAAGGCAGGCTTTTAAGGAGGCAAAGATTAATAAGATGAAGGGATAGATTCCTGCTCATCTCTACCACTATCTCAATGTGGTCCCAAAGAGTAGCAGAGACAGTGTCCAGAAGCCAGAAGAAGTGAGTGGTTCTGACTGGCAGCCATCTGGCAAGGCCAGATATAATACATTAGGAAGTGGCAGGGATCACGGTGTTCACCAAAGATGCCAACAGGTAAAATCATGTTTGCCAAGACATTCTAGGAGTTTCACTACTATTTGGGAACTCTTGCATATAACCATTTGTACCAAGAACCAAAATTATAGTGAATGCGTCTCTTGTGCATTCTCACCATGACCTCCCTTTTGCCGATTTCTTCAGGCTCCTTCCACTTGGACTCAACCTCAGACCAGGTGTTTCTAAATGAGTAATGTATATTTCTAATGCAGGAGGAGTGAGGCCTAAATGTAAAAAAGAACTATTAAAGCTAACTACTTTTTTTGTGTAAATAAGGTTGTGAGAAGAAAAAATTGTGAAGTTTTTTTTTTATGCCCCCTCAAGGGAAAAATGAAGCCCACCTTTTAGAGCCAGGTGTTTTTTATAGTTAAGTGATAATGGCAAGGAGAAGCTAAGCTCACTGGACTTTTCACAGAGTAATAAAAGTTTATACTGGCTTTATTAACATGTATAATGTTAAACACATTGCATAAAAATAAAAAGAAAAATATGGTCTATATGTTCAATTCTTTTGCAAATCTCTCATGTCCACAGGTAACTGGGCAATTAGGTAGTCTAAAGTGGGCCCAGGTTCACCCCCTCCCTCACCCCACTTCATTGCTACAGATGCTAATATAAATCAATTAGGGGCTGACACAGCAATTGGCTGCCTGACAAATGTTCCATAATAATGCAGCTCAAGAGAATGTGGAATTTCTGAGGTGCTGGTTATAACGCTTTCAATAATAGCTGTAAATTCCATGCCATGTCAGCACAGGTGGAAAGCTGAGTCATAAATAAAATGTTTCCCCAATTCCTAAAGAGCTCCCTAGATGATTGACCAAAGTAAGTTGGGATTTAATTCAACCACTTAAGCTTTCAGGAAGTAAAAACCAGACCTTCATCAAATTTAGACCAAAAAAAAGGGAGGGAGGAAGGGGGGAGAATGTGTGTGTGGAGAATAGAGGGAAGGAAGAAAGGAAAGAACACTGGCTGCCAAGTATGGGAATGAGCACGGGCTGCTCCAGCTGAAGCCATTAGAGTACTCATTATTTGGAAAATAGTAAAAGACCCTGGCTAGACATGTGCTCAGTTCCATGGGAGTAATTAATGGAGGCACGCCACAGCCACTTCAGCCCCCTTCCTGTTTCACAGCATGTCATGCATGTGGTGACTTAAATTTTCCGTTGTATTTTAATGGCTAATGATGGAAGCACTCTAGCAGACTCCCCTTCCAGTTAGAGAAGCCTAGCCGATTACCTTATTTGAATGGGGGATAAAGGGAAAGCTGAAGTTCTCACAAGCATTTTCTGGGCATCTCCCCAAGGAGATGTATTTTGTATTCTCTACAACTTTTAACATAACTCTAAAAACATAGTAGACACACTGATACTACATTGAAGAATGAATAAAATCAAAGGGTTGTCCTCAGAGATATATTTTAGGACATGTGAGATAAATACAGAAATATTAGCAAGTTTATATGAAGTCCTAAAATTTGAATATACCCCATGTTACCTTTTTAAATAGAGAATTATTACTCCGTCAAATTTGCCCTTAATTCTCTATAGTTTTAGATGCCATTATGTCCAAGTATATTTTGAGTATTTATGAGAAGAATAAAAACCTCCTAGAGATGTAAGTATTGAAACATATTACTATCCAAATTGATGCTAATGCATACTCTTATTTTCAGAGAGATGCCTAAGTAGAGAGAAAGAACTCTTATTGCCAAGATAGTCATTGGTTTTATTTTTATGTTCTTGCATTTCACATTTTATCTAGCTTCTTTGCAAAATTATGAATGTATATGTTTGTGCATAGGTGTGTGTTTGTGCAATTCTGAGTACGTTCTTAGTATGCTTCTACTAAAGATACTAAATATCATAAGTACATCATTAAATTCCTCTCCAATGTAATAGCTATAAAGCTATATTACCGAGAAGCTGAGGATAATATAGTCTGTTATGTGTGAAATGATGAATACTTTTCATATTTGTGAATTGCACTTATGCTTACTGTTCATGAAGCTAATTGTGACTTTCATTAGGGAAATCAGTAATTTCCAGTGTATCTGAAATTTCCAAGTAGACATGCATTTCTTCTCTTGACTTGTGCTTCAATAACTAATTCACCAGATATTTTTATTATCCATGTCATCAGAAAAGACCAAACTCCTGCTTAATCAAAAGTAATTAAGAATAATAAGCTATTTTAAAATTGAATGTATTTTGGTTGATTTAGTATATTTTTAATTTTTATTTCCTGGCATAGATATTATCTATACAATTCCTGGAAATATAAGACCTGAAAAACAAATCTTCTACCCATCTATTTCTATAATCCCAACCTACTCTTCTCATCATGCACTGGACTCAACAATATTCAGATTCAAATGTGCTATGCTTTTCCCAGTCTTCAGGTCTTATAGCACATACTATATTCCCTTTTCCAGAAGATAAATCCTCTATTCTTTAGAATAACTACAGCTTATTCTTAAGGTCTCAGTTTCAAGATTCCCTTCCCCAGGAAGCAGTGGCAGACTCTCTAAACAAGTACCCCAATACTCCTACATTACTATTTTAATCTCCCCTCTTCACAAGCCTCTAAAACCTCCTCATCCCCTCTTCTCATTCTCAGATAATTTTATTGATAAATAGAGGCAAACAGAAGTGCATTTTTACAAGTCCCACTATTACCCACCTACCTCCATCTATGCCCAAATAACTTGGCATCTCTCTTAGTTCATCTCTTGGATGAACTATCAATTCTCCAACCAAAGGTTTGAACCTATTGTACTGTTTACGGTTTATGTATCACCACAGATCAGTGTACTTTCCTTTTTCTCTGCCTGGAGCAGCAATGACAGTTTACACCATTAAAAAGCTAGGTTCATACTGCTGCTGCCACCAGACAAGGCGCGTACTCTGGGAGCTGCTTCAAGTCTTCAGTCATTCATAAGCATAACTCAATGGCAGCTTCCTTACTCCTTGCTAGGGACGCACACCTCTTGCCTCCCACCCCTCATCTTCCCTCGTTGAGGCAACTTTGACATATGGGAGGCATGAACAATTGAACGAATTCTTCTCCCTGTCTCCCCCTTAGATGGATTCTTTGGGAATTCACTAACTTCTCCGATATAGTATCTCTGAAGATGTCTTGCAAGATTAAGCAATTCGTTTGTCATAAAGCTATTGTCAGATCCTACATATTCTCTTATATTTGATTTTTTTTTCTTTCAGACAACACTCCTTTTATGCTCACTTCTGCTTCCTTGGGTGGGATTTCACCCTCATGATAAAATGTTAACACATAAGCCTTTGTTTTAGTAAGAACACACGCTAAGACACCCTCTACCTGTGCACTGGGTCCTCCATTGCTTACTCAAGCACACTGCTCCAATAATCTCCCCTCTCGCATCATCTATCTTTTTCTGTGTTCTGAATTTTTCCTATAAAGATACAGACCATTGTTATTTATTTCACATTAAAAATAAAAATCTGGACACCACCTGGATTTTACTTCTTTCTTCATCTGCTCCATTTTTTTCCTTTTTCTATTTTTCAAACTGCAAGACTGTTGGAAGAGTTGTATCTAACTCTTGGCTTCCTTTCCTTTCATGAGTGTACCCCCACCTCTTCTCTAAAATTGCTTCTGTCCTCGTCACTTATAACTTCCATGTTTCTGAATCTAATGGTCATTTCTCAATCTTCCCTCTACTTGACCTACCAACAGCATTTTACACTTGATCCATTGTGCTTCTTTAGAACAGTTTATTCTTGTGGCTTCCAGGATATTTTACTGGTTTTCTTTCTATTGTAAGAAATTCTCCTTCTCACTCTCCTTTAGTGATTCCTTCTTATATTCCCAGTCTCTTAACATTGGAGTCCTGGGGCTTAGTCTTGAACCTCTTCTTATCTCTATTGATAGCCCCTCTTTAAGATAGTCGTTGTCTTGTCCAATGACTTTAAATAACTTCTAAATGCTGATGACGCTCATGTCTATATCCCAGCCCTAATTCCTTCCCCAGATTCCTTCTATACCTCTGCCTCTGTGACGTCTCCCATTAGATGTCTATTTGGAGTCTTGAACTTCACATTCTGAACTTATTATCTTTCTTTCTCGAAAGCTGCTTCTCTTGTAGCTTTTTCTTATTTTTTAATGGTTATTTCATTCTTCCCTTGCTCATATATATTTTTAAAAGTCACTTTTAACTTCTCTCTTCCTGTAATACCCTATTTTCAATGCATCAGCAAATTATGTTGACTCTGCTTTCAAATTATATCCAGAATCCAGCAACCTCTCACCTCATACCTTGCCACTGACCCATTCCAAGCTACCTGCATCATCACCTGCACAAGTACAATATACTTATAGTTGGTATCCCTAATTCTATATTTGCATTCCTTCAATCTATTCTCAATAAAACTACCAGAGTGATCCTATTATAACATAGAGATCATGTGATTCCTATCCTTGGAACACTGCCATGAATTCAGAGTAAAACACAAAGACCATTACATTGGTCTGCCAGATTGCATAGGATCTGAATTACTGTTCATCTCTTTGACAGCATCACCTGCTGTATTGTCTCCTTCCTCACTGCCTCCAACCATGTGGACTACTTACTGTTCAAGGAAAGTGTTAGACTTGCCATGCTGGGCCCTCTCTTCTGCTTATCTCTCCTTCTTCCCCTTCCTTTCCCTCTTCCAGAATAATCCTCCTCTAAATACCATATGGCTCACCCTCTTCACTCCAGTAGGTCTTCATCAAATGTTACCTTTTCTGGCAGGCTTCCATGATTCTTTACCTAATTCCGGTTGCTCATGATTCACCACCCACCTTCCAGTTGTTTTTTTTTTCTTAGAATTTACCACCATTTCACCTACCTTGTATTTTATTTGTTTGATTTTCTCTCTTCCTTCACTAGCATGTAAGCTCTGTAAGGGAAGGGATATTCAATAGCGGCGTTCATGGCAGTATCCTCAGCGTGTGCAGCAGCACCTCACACATAGTAGGCAGTTAGTAAATATCTGTTGAGTAGCAGCATGCCACACTTCCCCTCCCATCTGACAGTGAGTGTTTGTTAAATGTCTCTCTCCCCAACCTGAGTGAGCAGTTTGCTACAGCAGGGTCAGTTTCCCCAGGGTATAGTATAGGACTGGTGTGAAATTAGATGCCCAATAAATATATTTTAGAAAACCAAATGCAATGTTCCTATTATCCATGTGAATTGCTTATTTATATGCATTTAGATGATTGATTTGCTAAGGTTTATATGATGTCGATGGGAAAGTCAACAAGTTAGCTTTTGACTTAGCCTAGTATATTAACAGCCTTTGCCATGGTTTTAAGAAACACTCAATCTATTTTGTTATAAATACATTAGCAAGATTTGGGTTGGCACTCATTACTTAAATGAGTTGCATATCCTAGAGATAATGTCCCCATTTACCGTGTTAGAATCTGAACCATATGGATATCTAAAACCAACTTCTCCTAAATGCTTATTGCAATATTTTTCTATTTCCCACTCCCTCTTTGTCCTTTTAAGGAAAGCAACAATAACAACAATGCCACACTTTTCTTATTGTTGTTCTTATTATGAAACTAATCACTATAAAACTTTGGAGACTATAGTTAAGAAAGAAATTTCAAATCATCTGCCATGGCTGTGTTCAGTAATAACCTGTGTATACATGTTATATATATTACCTGCTTGAAATCTGATCATACTTTTATACCTTATTTTCACATAAAACATTATATGTACAAATATGTAGATAGTGCTAAATATACTATATATACATATATATCACACACATATATGTAATACACATATTTTTAAAGATATATCATAATTTATTTAACCATCTTCAGATTGTTGATTATTTAACTTTTCTCTAATGAAAATAACACATTTGATAAATGTTAGTTATTTGCTCAGAACTTAATATATTTTGAGAAAGATATATATATATCTTAATATATATATGTCTTGATATATATTATCTTAAATATATATATATTTAAGGCTTGATATATTTTGTCCTTTTGAAAGACTCCATCAATTTGCACTCACTTAGCTGTGTATATCAGGGTCTAATTCTTCATGGCTTATTAGAAGTATTATGATGTGTACAAGTTTTTTACAATATGAGAAGTGAAAGATGAATTCTCATTGTTTACCTAAAAATTCTTCAGCACTTACTATATGCGAGAAAAACACATTTTAGGGCATTTAAAATGAATTACAGAATTTAATCCTCACAATAACAGTATGAAATATTCTGACATAATTCCTCTTAATACCATTATATCAAAGGCAAGGAAAATGAGGAACAGAGACTTTTTCATAGTTTGAAATGTTAAACTAAGTAATTTACCCTTGTTTAAATCTTTTAACTTGTAGTTAATCCTGGATTTGGACATATACTAACTTGTAGCTTAGTTAATCCCTGTGATAGTAAGATTGCATTTCTTCTTATGTTTATTGGTTATTTCTTTTTCTTATTTTTGTGAATTTTCTATTTAAGACATTTTCATTATTCTTTTAGAGTGTTCACCTCTTATTGATATGTAAGAAATATTTATATATTAATAATAATGCTTTGTGGCATAGCATGCATATGTTTCTCATGTGTGTTGTTTGTATTAATTTCGTATATAATAATTTGTCTTAAAGAAATTTTTGTATTTCATGTAATCACATGTATCACTTGCTGCTCTTATGATTTCTATTTTGTTGTAATATTTAGTAAATCATTTTCATATCAGAGGTATAGAAATAACTACCTATATTTTGCTGTAGTTCTTTCAGGATTTCTCCTTTTACATTTAAATTATTGGTCTATCTAGAATTTATTTTGATGTGAGAAAGAAACTTGTTTTTTCAGATGATTTAACAGTGTTCAAGATCACTTATGAAATCATCCATCCCCTTTCCACTGGTATGAAATGCCTCTTTTATCATATACTAAATTTTTATGTCTACTCGGATTCATTTCTAGATTTTTAACCTTCCATAATTGTGACAATGCAAATTTTGAAGTGCCATTTTATGAGGTTTTTAGTGTTGTATTTTGGAAAGAACATGGGTTTTGGACTTACTAGATATGTCATTCTCGCCAAGCAATTTCTTTGATCCTCTTTCCTTTGTAAAAAAAGGAGAGAGCATAATATTTGTCCAAACAATAGCTAAGCTTATGTGCAGCAAAATTTTGACTTTTTATGAAAAAGTGTTTAACCAAAGAGCACTATACATTTTCATATTTTAGATATTCTCAGCTGCTATTGTATGTGACAGGTATTTAACCATCATTTTTAAAAACATTAATGGGGATTGCTGGCAAGATGGCCGAATAGGAACAGCTTGCGTCTGCAGCTCCCAGTGAGATTGACACAGAAGGCGGGTGATTTCTGCATTTCCAATTGAGGTACCTGGTTCATCTCACTGGGACGGGTTGGACAGCGGGTGCAGCCCAAGGAAGGCAAGCTGAAGCAGGCTGGGGTGTTGCCTCACCTGAGAAGTGCAAGCGGTTGGGGAGCTCAGTCTCCCAGCCAGGGAAAGCCATTAGGGACTGTACCGTGCACTCCAGCCCAGATACTGCACTTTCCCCACGGTCCTTGCAACTTGCAGAACAGGATATTCCTTCTTGTGCCTACACCACCAAGGCCCTGGGTTCCCAGCACAAAACTAGGCGGCCCTTTGGGCAGAGACCAAGCTAGCCACAGGAGTTTTTTTTTTTATACCCCCATGGCGCCTGGAACGCCAGTGAGACAGACTGTTCACTGCCCTGCAAAGGAGGCTGAAGCCAGGGAGTCAAGTAGTCTGGCTCAGTGCCCCACAGAACCCAGCAACCTAAGATCCACTGGCTTGAAATTCTCACTGCCAGCACAGGAGCAGTCTAAACTCAACCTGGGATGCTCGAGCATGGTGGGGGGAGGGGCGTCCACCATTGCTGAGGCTTAAGTAGGCAGTTTCACCCTCACAGTGTAAACAAAGCTGCAGGGAAGTTCGATCTGGCCGGAGCCAACCCCAGCTCAGCAAGGCCGCTGTGGCCAGACTGTCCCCTCTCTGGGCAGGACATCTCTGAAAAAAAGGCAGCAGCCCCAGTCAGGGACTTACAGATATAACCCCCACCTCCCTGGGACAGAACACCTGGGGGAAGGGGCAGTTGTGTGTGTTTAGCTTCAGCAGACTTAAACGTCCCTACCTGGCAGCTCTGAAGAGAGCAGCAGATCTACCAACAGTGTTCAAGCTCTGATAAGGGACAGACTGCCTCCTCAAGTGTGTCCCTGACCCCCAGGTATCCTGATTAGGAGACACCTCCAAGTAGGGGCCAACAGACACCTCATACAGGGGAGCTCTAACTGGCATCTGGTGGGTGCCACTCTTGGATGAAGCTTCCAGAGGAAGGAACAGGCAGCACTCTTTGCTGGTCTGCAGCCTTCACCGGTAATACCCAGGCAAATAGGGTCAGAAGTGGACCTCCAGCAAAATCCAGCAGACCTGCAGCAGAGGGGCCTGACTGTTAGAAGGAAAACTAACAAACAGAAAGAAATAGTATCAACATCAACAAAAAGGATGTCTACTCAGAGACCCCATGTGAAGGTCACCAACTTCAAAGACCAAAGGTAGATAAATCCATGAAAATGGGGAGAAACCAGTGCAAAAAGTCTGAAAATCCCAAAAACCAGAACCCTTCTTCTCCTCCAAAGGATCACAACTCCTCCCCAGCAAGGGAACAAAACTGGACAGAGAATGAGTTTGATGACTTGACAGAAGTAGGCTTCAGAAGGTGGGTTATAACAAACTCCTCTGAACTAAAGGAGCATGTCCTAATCCAATGCAAGGAAGCTACCTTGAAAACAGGTAGACGAATTGCTAACTAGAATAACCAATTTAGAGAAGAACATAAATGACCTGATGCAGCTGAAAAACACAGCACGAGAACTTTGTGAAGCATACACAAGTATCAATAGCCAAATTGATCAAGCAGAAAAAAGGATATCAGAGATTGAAGATCAACTCAATGAAATAAAGTGAGAAAACAAGATCAGAGAAAAAAGAGTGAAAAGAAATGAACAAAGCCTCCAAGAAGTATGGGACTATGTGAAAAGACCAAATCTACATTTGATTGGTGTACCTGAAGGTGATGAAGAGAATGGAACCAAGTTGGAAAACACTCTTCAGGATATTATCCAGGAAAACTTCCCTAACCTAGCAAGGCAGGCCAACATTCAAATTCAGGAAATACAGAGATCACCACAAAGATACTCCTCAAGAAGAGCAACTCCAAGACACATAATCTTCAGATTCACCAAGGTTGAAATGAAGGAAAAAATGTTAGGGGCAGCCAGAGAGAAAGGTTGGGTTACCAACAAATGGAAGCCCATCAGACTAACAGTGGATCTCTCAGCAGAAACCCTACAAGCCAGAAGAGACTGGGGGCCAATATTCAACATTCTTAGAGAAAAGAATTTTCAACTCAGAATTTTATATCCAGCCAAACTAAGCTTCATAAGCAAAGGAGAAATAAAATCCTTTACAGACAAGGAAATGCTGAGAGATTTTGTCACCACCAGGCCTGCCCTACAAGAGCTCCTGAAGGAAGCACTAAACATGGAAAGGAATACCCGGTACCAGGCACTGCAAAAACATACCAAATTGTAAAGACCATTCACGCTATGAAGAAACTACATAAACTAACTGGCAAAATAACCAGCTAGCGTCATAATGGGAGGATCAAATTCACACACAACAACATTAACCTTAAATGTAAACAGGCTAAATGCTCCAATTAAAAGACACAGACATGCAAATTGGATAAAGAGTCAAGACCCACTGGCGTGCTGTATTCAGGAGACCGATCTCAAGTGCAAAGACACACATAGGCTCAAAATAAAGGGATGGAGGAATATTTACCAAGCAAATGGAAAGCAAAAAAAGCAGGGGTTGCACTCCTAGTCTCTACTAAAACAGACTTTAAACCAATAAAGGTCAAAAGAGACAAAGAAGGGCATTACAAAATGGTAAAGGGATCAATGCAACAAGAAGAGCCAACTCTCCTAAATATATATGCACCCAATACAGGAGCACCCAGATTCATAAAGCAAGTTCTTAGAGACCTACAAAGAGACTTAGACTCCCACCCAATAATAGTGGAAGACTTTAACACTCCACTGTCTATACTAGACAGACCAACAAGACAGAAAATTAACAAGGATATCCAGGACTTGAACTCAGCTCTGGACCAAGTGGACCTAACAGACATCTACAGAATTCTCCACCCCAAATAAACAGAATATACATTCTTCTTAGTACCACATTGCACTTATTCTAAAATTGACCACATAATTGGAAATAAAAACTCCTTAGCAAATGCAAAAGAACAGAAATCATAACAAACGGTCTCTCAGACCACAGTGCAATCAAATTAGAACTCAGGATTAAGAAACTCACTCAAAACCACACAAATACATGGAAACTGAAACTGAACAACCTGCTCCTGAATGACTACTGAGTAAGTAATGAAATGAAGCAGAAATAAAGATGTTCCTTTAAACCAATGAGAACAAAGACACAACATGCCAGAATCTCTGGGACACATTTAAATCAGTGTGTAGAGGGAAATTTATAGCACTAAATGCCCACAAGAGATAGCAGGAAAGGTCTAAAATTGACACCCTAACATCACAATTAAAAGAACTAGAGAAGCAAGAGCAAATACATTCAAAAGCTAGCAGAAGACAAGCAGTAACTAAGATCAGAGCAGAACTGAAGGAGATAGTGACATGAAAAACCCTTCAAAAAATCAATGAATCCAGGAGCTGGTGTTTTGAAAAGTTCAACAAAATAAATAGACCACTAGTCAGACTAATAAAGAATAAATGACAGAAGAATCAAATAGATGCAATAAAAAATGATAAAAGGGAGATGACCACTGATCCCAATGAAATACAAACTACCACCAGAGAATACTATAAATACCTCTATGCAAATAAATGAGAAAATCTAGAAGAAATGAATAAATTCCTGGAGACATACACCCTCCCAAGACTAAACCAGGAAGAAGTTGAATCCCTGAATAGACCAATAACAAGTTCTGATATTGAGGCAGCAATTAATAGCCTACCAACCAGAAAAACTCCAGGACTAGATGAATTCATAGTCGAATTCTACCAGAGTTATAAGGAGGAGCTGGTACCATTCCTTCTGAAACTATTCCAAACAACAGAAAAAGAGGGAATCCTCCCTAACTCATTTTTTGAGGCCAGCATCATCCTGATACTAAAGCCTGGCAGAGACACAACAAAAAAAGAAAATTTCAGGCCAATATCCTGATGAACACTAAATGTGTAAATCCTGAATAAAATACTGGCAAACCGAATCCAGTAGCACATCAAAATGCTTATCTACCATGATCAAGTCAGCTTCATCCCTGGGATGCAAGGCTGGTTCAACATACTCAAATCAATAAACATATTCCATCACATAAACAGAGCCAATGACAATAACCACATGATTATCTCAATAAATGCAGAAAAGGCCTTAGACAAAATTCAACAGCACTTCATGCTAAAAACTCTCAGTAAACTAGGCATTGATGGAACATATCTCAAAATATTTATCAGAGCTATGTATGAAAATCCACAGCCAATATCATTCTGAATGGGCAAAAACTGGAAGCATTCCCTTTGAAAACTGGCACAAGACAAAGATGCCCTTTCTCACCACTCCTATTCAACATAGTGTTGGAAGTTCTGTCCAGGGCAGTCAGGCAAGAGAAAGAAATAAAGGGTATTCAATTAGGAAAAGAGGAACTAAAATAGTCCCTGTTTGCAGATGACATGATTGTATATTTAGAAAAACCCCATCGTCTCAGCCCAAATTCTCCTTAAGCTGATAAGCAACTTCAGCAGAGTCTCAGGATATAAAATCGATGTGCAAAAATCACAAGCATTCCTATACACAAATAACAGAGAGCCAAATCATGAGTGAACTGCCATTCACAATTGCTACAAAGAGAATAAAATACCTAGGAATACAACTTACAAGGGATGTGAAGGGCCTTTTCAAGGAGAACTACAAACCACTGCTCAAGGAAATAAGAGAGGACACAAACAAATGGAAAAGCATTCCATCTTCATGGATAGGAAGAATCAATATCGTCAAAATGGCCATACTGCCCAAAGTAATTTATAGATTTAATGTTATCCCAAGCAAGCTACCATTGACTTTCTTCACAGAATTGGAAAAATCTACATTAAATTTCATATGGACCAAAAAAGAGCCTGCATAGCCAAGACAATCCTAAGCAGAAAGAACAAAGTGGGAGGTATCATGCTATCTGACTTCAAACTATACTACAAGGCTACGGTAACCAAAACAGCATGGTACTAGTACCAAAACAGATATATAGACCAATGGAACAGAACAGAGGCCTCAGAAATAATGCCACACATCTACAACCATCTGATCTTTGACAAACCTGACAAAAGCAAGCAATGGGGAAAGGATTCCCTATTTAATAAATGGTGTTGGGAAAACTGGCTAGCCATATGCAGAAAGCTGAAACTGGATCCCTTCCTTACACCTTATACAAAAATTAACTCAAGTGGATTAAAGACTTAAATGTAAAGCCCGAAACCATAAAAACCCTAGAAGAAAACCTAGGCAACACAATTCAGGACATTGGCATTGGCAAAGACTTTATGAATAAAATCGGATAAAGAAAATGTACATATACACCATGGAATACTATGCAGCCATAAAAATGGATGAGTTCATGTCCTTTGCAGTGACATGGATGATGCTGGATACCATCATTCTCAGCAAACTAACACAAGAACAGAAAACTAAACACTGCATGTTCTCACTCATAAGTGGGAGTTGAACAATGAGAACACATGGACACAGGGATGGGAACATCACACACTGGGACCTGTCGGGGGTGGGGGGCTAGGGGAGGGATAGCATTAGGAGAAATACCTAATGTAGATGACAGGTTGATGGGTGCAACAAACCACCATGGCATGTGTATATCTGTGTATCAAACCTGCACATTCTGCACGTGTACCCCAGAACTTAAATTATAATATAAAAAAAAAACTAATGGTAGAAAACAAGTTGCTTATGCAAATTAACTAAAATAAAAGAGAAATTATTTTGCCAATTCTGATAGTTTTAAACCAGATTAGTATTTTTTAAGAGAAGGCAGACCCTTTTTGACACATCAGGGCAAGGCCCCATGGGTTTTCTCAAACAGCTGCAACCTTCTGTTTATATTGAGTAGACTTAAGGGTTTCTAGTGCTATAATACAATCAGTCTAGGCAGGCAGAATGGCAATCACATGAAGAGAAAAAGTTGAGATGTCCTGGAGATGGTCTTCACCTGAAACATTTCCTAAAGTTTGGTCATAGATCCTGAAATTGCACAACCTCTTGGGTTTCAACAGCTTTCTCTGATTGTGCAAAGGGGCCTCAAATCCAAGTGGTAGCACCACTATGGTGCATTTCAGGCACTATGACAAAAATCTTAGGGTATATGTGTGCTGATGTCTTCACTCAGCTGCAAATTGTTCCTTTACTGAACTCCATCTTACCTGAAACCTGTGTTACACAGATAAGTATATACAGCCCTAGATTAGAGTTATTTGTTCTCTAGGTGTCTATTTACTTAGAGTGAACTCTTGGATAAAGTTGTAGCCCAATGCCTTTTATAGAGTAGTAACCCAATGATGTGATTTGATCTGTTTTGATTTGTGTCCCCACCCAAATCTTGTGTTCAGTTGTAATTCCCAATGTTGGAGGTGGGGCCTAGTGGAAGGTGATTGGATTATGGGGGTGGATCCTGCATAAATGGTTTAGCACCATCCCTTTGGAGTTGTTCTCATGATGGAGTTCTTAGCAGATCTGGTTGGTTAAAAGTGTGTGGCATCTCCCTCCATTCTCTCTTCCTCCTGCTCTGGCCATGTAAAGGGCTGGCTCCTCCTTTGTCTTCTGCCATGATTGAAAGCTCCCTGAGGGCTCCCCAGAAGCAGAAGCTGCTATGACTCCTGTACAGCCTGCAGAACAATGAGCCAGTTAAGCCTCTTTTCTTTAAAAATTACCCAATCTCGTGTTTTTCTTTATAGCAGGGTGAGAAAGGACTGATGCACCCAATATATGTTGGTTTCTTGAAATAAGCCAGTGACTGGGGGAAGTTATTAAAAACCATAAGAAAACAAATTCTGCAATCACAGAAAGGAAAATTAAAAAACATTTTGTCAACCATGACAATTTTGTCTTAAACTATTAGAGAAATGTACTTATTATTTTTAAGGGTTTCTACATTCATACCCCAAACTATCTTCTAGTGGTTGCCTCTCATTATTCTGCAACAGCTTCTACATTCTCTTTGGCACAGACCTCATGAATGGAAGTTCTAGTCTCACAGACTCTGTACAGCCTCTCTCTCTCTCTATGCTTCAAATACCTCCCATTTTTAAAGAACCATTTAAAAATATATTTCTTCTGAGAAGTCACACATACTTCCTTATATAGCTGTCCATATTCATAGCTGTTACAGTTTTCATTACCCATTTGAACTTAATTTATTGAATGATATTGTTGGTTACTTTTTACATATTTATATTCCACTTGTATAGCTCAGAGCATTAATTCTTTGATGGGGTTACAAGTCTGTGCCTTTTTAAACCATCTTTGAAACTATGTCAGTGCCTCGGTTAATGCTAAATAAATAGTTGCTAAGTTAAATTGCCTTCCTAGCACACATAGTATGTCTAATATATTTGCTTGTCTCGATAGGCAGCTTAAAAACTCTCTGGAATCTGCCCTTCACTTTATCATTTATTTCTCCATTCTCTTCTTCTTGTAGCCCATTGTATTCAGGGGCTGTTCAACAAATGTTAATGGCCATGATCTTTTCAATCAGCAATTTGTAAAGTGGGTGATTATTATCTATAAGTGACAAGGGAGACACTATTTTCTATTTATGCTAATAAAAGACTTGACTTATGAAGACAATATCTACAAACAGTGAATGGTAAAACTAAACTCCTTAGTTCTTCCAAAGCAAATATGGTCCATTTTCAGGAGGAAGAGTGACATCTATTGTTCAGAAGATACTTGTTGGTGTTTTCTGTTTTTAATTTCTGCATCGATTCATGCCTGTGTCAACAATATAAGCTATAAATAATAGCATGTCTAACACAAAGTGGTACTTGTCGGCCCTTTGTCGCATTGGATATCTAATTTCAGCCCTGTTTGGTTGTAAAGCTTATTGGCAGTTCACACATTCAGCAGTAGCTGTATTTTAATCCATGCCTGTTTAAACAGCAAGTCACTGAAGATTGGAGAAGGGCTATGTGAAAACACAACTAAGCCACAACTTTTTAAATTCCTGAAGAAAACCATGACTTCTGAAGAAATAATTCCTTTAAGCATGCCTGGTGAAATTTGACTTCTTTGTATAAAATTATAGTTATCTAATTTTAAAGAAGAAAAAGAAAGCTTTAAGTTTTATGTTACATGTGACCTATGTAAAAATAACTTCTCCTAAAAGGTCATTGTCAACAGCCATGCTGACACTGACTTGTATGTAGTCAATTTGTATTAATATTTTCTTGAAGATGGAGAATGGCCCAGTGGGGATAATCTGTCATCCAGCCTCAACTTCAATACCTCCAATGACAGAAATTTCACTCTTTTTTGAGGCAGCTACAACATAACATGGTACAACCTGTCTTAGCTTTGTTATAGTGTTGTTGAACAGATCCATTGGTAACATGTGCATGAAAGCATTTTGAAATGTGTTGAGTACTACTACAAGATGTGATGAATACAGTGAAAGCCATGTCTATTCGGAATTCTAGAGGAAGCAGTTCATCTGTATGACATAACTTTTACAAGCTGATTATCCCTTTAAATACTACACAGTCTATATTGGAAACTGTGTTAGAGATTGGTATTTCTAAAGAATATAACCATCTTTGGAGTTTTTTAAAAAGTTTGTCCAAAGATAGTTTAAATTTCCATAAAGTGCTCACATCAGCATTTAAAATACTCTAATTTATATGTTTTATAAATTATAAAGTTATATTAGTCACACAACACAAAATACTTACTATGTCCTAGATGCACTATATGTTGTGGCATAAAGTCCATACCCTCAAGACAGTCTCAAAATGAGTTGATTTCAAAACAATGTGGGATGAGAAAACTGGAGAACATAAAAAGGAGGATTTAGGCCCAAAGTTATAAAAGATATAGTGGAATAATTGCCAGAGGAACTGATAACATAGAATGTTTATGTGTTAATCAGATGAAAATAGAGGAGGGGGCAAAGTGAAGGGACAAGAAAAGTAATTCTAGGCAAGAGAATAGCATGAGCCCAGGCACAGAGAATAATCTACTATATAAGGATTGGCTGAGAAGGGAAGGAGAGAAAGAGCTGAAACTATGGTCAATGGATGTTTCCTTTTCTCTCAAGGATGTTTAAAAACTGAAAAGGAGGAGCCAGTAAAGATCCAAGAGTGTAGTAAATGAAGAGAAACAGTATACTAGAGGGAGATGAAGAGAGACTTTATAGTGGAAAAAATAGAATCTAGTAACGATAGTTGGGTCTTTAAAATGAGAAGGACATCTTATCCTCTGAGCCTGAGAAAAGTAGGGAAAAAGGAAAACTAATGATGGTAAATTTGTGAGGAAAAATTCAAGGAAGCACGTATCTGGTCAACTCAAGATATTTGCCAATTTTGTTTCCTTTTGGTCAGCTTTGTTATATGCATCATTTACATATGATAAAATTCATCAACTCTATGTGTATAATTTGATGTTTTACAAATGTATACAGTAATGTAATCATCACCATAATCATGACATACATTTTTATCACCCCAAAAAGTTCTAACATGTGCTTTTGTAACCATTTTCTTTCCTATACCTCCTAGCCCCCCAAAACCATTGATCTTCTTTCTGTTGCTATAATTTTGTTTTGTTTCTAAAATTTCTTACCGATGAAATTAATACAGTATACTGTCTTTTGTATCTAGCTTCTTTCACTTGAGATTCAGCTGTGTTGCTTGCATGTTTTGATAGTTCATTCATTTTTATTGCTAAGTGGTATTCCTTATATGAATAAAACACCGTTTATCAATTGACCAGTTGATGGATTAGATTCTTCCAAGATTTTGGCTCTTATAAATAAGATTTCAGTAAACAATCAAATACAAGTATTTTTGTTAACATAGATTTTTATGTTTCTTTTGTAAATATCATGAAGTGGAATGGCTGGTAGGTGTTATGTCTAACATTTTTAAAAAAACTTTTAAACTATTTCCAAAGTGAGTGTACCATTTTACATTCCCAATAGTAGTAGTTGAAAGTTTCCATTGCTCTACTTCTTCATCATACTTGATATTATCAGTCATTATAATTTTAGAATTCTAATAGGTGTGTAGTAGTATCTCACTGAAGTTTTAATTTGCATTTCTCTAATGATGAATGATGTTGAGAAATTTTTCCACGTGAGTGTTTACCATCCATATATTTTCTTCGATGAAATGTCTGTTCATCTCTTGACTACTTTATATTGGAATATTTGCTTTTATATTATAGACTTTCAAAATTCTATATATATTCTGAATATAAGTTCTTTATCAGTGATTTGCAAATAATTTTTTGGAGTCTGTGGCTTAACTTTTTAATCTTTTAGTGGTGTGTTCATGAAAAAGCCAATGTTTTAAAATTTTGATGAAGTCTAATATCAGAATTTTTCTTGCATAATCATGCTTTTGGTGTTGTACCTAAGAAACATTTGCTTCACCCAGAGTTGCAAAGATATTCTCCTATATTTTTTTCTCTAAATTTTAAAGTTTAAATTTTACATTTAGCTCTATGATCCAGTTTTAGTTAATTTTTATATATGATATAAAAATACAAATAGACATGGTATACGAATTTTCTTATTTTTTTCAAATATGGCTGTCCAAAAGTTCAGCACCATTTGTTAAAGGGATTATCCTTTCTCCACTGAATGCTTTTGCAATTGAAAATCAATTGATCCTATATGTGTGGGCCTATTTCTGGACTCTATTTAGGTTCCACTGATCTCTCTGTTACTCTCCAATACCACATAGTCTTGACAGTAGTAGTTGTATAATAAACCTTGAAACCAGATAGCATAAATCCTCTGTAGTGGGCTGAATAGTGGTCCTCCACAAATGTCTATGTCCTAATCCCTGGAACCTGTGAATATTACCTTATTTGGGTATAGGGGTCTTTGTAGATGTAATTAAATGTAAGAGTTTCAGAGAATGAGATTATCTGAATGGACCCTAAATTCTTTTAAGTGTCCATAAAAGAGACACACAAAAAAACACAGACACAGAGGAGGTGGTGATGTAACCACAGAGGCAGAGACTGGAATGTTGTGGCCACAGGTCAAGGGATACTGACAACTTCCAGAAGATAAAATAGGCAAGAAATGGATTTTCTTTTATAGCCTACAAAAGAGCATGACCCTATTGACACATGATTTCAGAATTCTGGTCTCCAGAACTGTGAGAGAATAAATTTCTGTTGTTTTAAGCCACTCAGTTTGTTGTAACATCATGACAGCCACCCAAAACTAAGACATCCTCCAACTATGTTTTTCTCTCACCATTGTATGTATGCTACTTTATATTTCCTTATGAATTTTGGAAATACCATGCCAATATCTACAAAAATGGCAGGAACTTTGATTGAGATTGCTTTGAATGTACAGATCAATTTTAGAATAGTTAGCACCTTAACAATAGTGAGTCCTTCAGTCCACCTGTATGGTATCTCTGTCCATTTTTTAAGGTTTTTCAGAACTTAAGTTAGCAATGTTTTTGCGGTTTTCAGCATATAGTTCTTGTACATCTTTATCAGATGTATTCATAAGTATTTTATGTTTTGATAATATTAAAATGGTTTTGTGTTTTAGATATTCAATTTTTGATTATTCATTGCTAGTATACAGAAATACAGTGGGTTTTTAAAATATTGATCTTTAATCCTGCAACCTTGATAAACTAACTTATTAGTTGTAGGAGCATTCTTTTTTAGATTACAAAAAATTTCCTATGCAGCCAATGATATCATCTGCAAATAAAACAGTTTTACTTCTTCCTTTCCAAGATGGGAATGATGTTTTGATTTCTTTTTATTGCCTTATTACACTGATTAGAACCTCCAGTGCATGTTGAATAGAAGTGTTGAGAGCAAGCATCCTTGCATGTTCTGATCTTAGAGGAAAATACAGTAACTCAGTCTTTTACTAATAATGATATTAGTTGTAGATTTTTTATAGGTGCCCTTTATCAGATTGAATAAGCTCCTTTCTAGTCCTTATTTTCAGTTTTTTTTCTTAAATCAGGAATAGAGTTTGCATTTGCCAAATGATTTTTTTTATCTATTGAGATGATCATGTTGTTGTTGTTTTTGTGTTGCTTTTTTTCTAGTATTTCTGATGTTTCTGGTCTGTTAATACAATAAATTGTATTGTTTTATTTTCAAATGTTGAATCAAAGTTGCATTCCTAAAATAAACCTCATTTGGTCATTATGTATAATCACTTTAATATATTGTTGGATTCACCTTGCTAAAAATTTATTTTAGAATTTTTGCATATATGAACATAAGGGATATAAGTTCATAGTCTTATTCTTGCAGTGACCTTCTCTGATTTTGATATGGGAGTGATGCTGACCTGATAGAATGAGTTAGGAAGTCTGTCTTCAAATTTCTGGAAGTGTTTGTGTAGAATCAGCACTATTTCTCACTTAAATGTTTGGTAGAATTCACCACTGAAGTCATACAGGCCTGGAGTTTTGGTTTATTTGTTTGTTTTGTGAGAAGTTTTTAAAGTACAAATTTAATTATTTGAATAACTATAGGGGTATTAAATTATCCATTTTATTATTTAAAAAATTTTTATTGATACATAATACTTGTACATATTTATGGGGTACATGTTATATTTTGTTACATGCATGGAATGTGTAATAATCAAATCAGGGTATTTAGGATATTCATTAATTCATTACCTCAAGTATTTGTCATTTCTATGTATTGGAAACATTTCAAATCCTCTCTTCTTGCCATTTTGAAATAAATAGTACATTGTTGTTAACTATAGTCACCTTATTCGAAGATTAGAACTTTTTCCTTCTATCTAACTGTATATCTGTACCTACTAACCAACCACCCCCTGCCTCGTTGCCCACATCCTTGCCAGTCTCTGGTATCTATCATTTTACTCTCTACCTCCATGAGATTAACTTTTTAAGCTCCCACATGGAAGTGAAAACATGTGATATTTGTCTTTCTGTACCTGGTTTATTTCACTTAACATAATGACCTCCTCTTCCATCTATGTTGCAGCAAAGTGACAGGATTTCATTCTTTATTGTGGCTGAATTGTATTCCATTGTGTATATGTAGCACATTATAATTTTTTAATTTTTTATTTTTTAACTTTTATTTTGAGTTCAGGAATACATGTGCAGTATTGTGCAGGTTTGTTACATAGGTAAATATGTATCATGGGGGTTTGTTGTACCAATTATTTCATCACCCAGGTATTAAGCCTACTATCCATTAGTTATTTTACCTGATCCTCTTCCTCTTTCTGCCTTCCACCCTCCAATAGACCCCAGTGTGTGTTGTTCTCCTCTATGTGTCCATGTATTCTCATGATTTAGCTCCTTCTTATAAGTGAGAACATGCAGTATTTGGTTTTCTGTTCCTGCAATAGTTTGCTAAGGATAATGACCTCCAGCTCCATCCATGTTCCTGCAAAGGACATAATCTTATTCTTTTGAATGGCTACATAGTATTCCATGGGATATATGTACCACACTTTATTTAACCAATCTATCATTGATGGGCATTTAGGTTGATTCCATGTCTATGCTATTGTGAATAGTGCTGCAATGCACATACAGTTGCATGTGTCTTTATAATAGAGCTATTTATATTCCTTTGGGTATATATCTAGTAGTGGGATTGCTGGGTCAAATTATACCACATTAAAAAAATCTATTCATATGTTGATGGATATTTAGGTTGATTCCATATCATTGCTATTGTGAATACTGCTGTAATAAATATGGGGGTACAGATGTCTCTCAATATAATGATTCATTTCCTTTGGATAAATATCCAGTAATGGGATTGCAGAATCATGTGGTATTTCTGTTCTTAGTTTTTTGACAAATCCCCATACTGTTTTCCATACTGGCTGTACTGGTTACCATTCTCACCATAAGTGTATGAGAGTTCCCTTTTCTCCATATCTTCATCAGAATCTCATTTTTTGTCCTTTTAATAGTAATCATTTTAACATTGGTAAAATGACATCTTATTGTGGTTTTTATTTGCATTCCCCTGATGACTGGTGATATTGAGCATTTTTCATATACCCATTGGCCATTTGTATGTCTTCTTTTGGGGAATGTCTATTCATGTCCTTTGCCCAGTTTTAAATCAGATTATTATTATTATTATTGTTATTATTAATTATTATTATTACTATTGAATTGACTCCCTTAAATATTTGAGATCAGTCCAATGCCAGATAATTAGTTTACAAATATTTTATCCCATTTAACAGGTTGTCTCTTCACTCTGTTGATTGTCTTCTCCACTATGCAGAAGGTTTATAGTTTGCTACAGTCCCATTTATTTATCATTGTTTGACTTTGCCTGTGCATTTGAAGTCTCGGCCATAAAATCTTTGCCTAGACCAATGTTCTGAAGTGTTTATGTTTTATTCTAGTAGTTTTATAGTTTTTGCTCTTACTGTTAAGTCTTTAATCCATCTTGAGTTGATTTTTTGTATTTGCTGAGATAGGGATCCAGTTTCAGTCTTCTGCATATTGACATCCAGTTTTCCCAGCACCATTTATCGAAGAAGGTGTCCTTTCCCCAATGTATGTTCCTGTCAACTTTGTTGAAAATCAATTGGCTGTAAACAGTTGGATTTATTTCTGCGTTTCTATCCTGTCCCTTTGGTCTATATTTCTGTTATTATACCAATACCTTGCTGTTTGGTTGCTCTAGACTTGCAATATATTTTGAAGTCAGGTAGTGTGATGCCTCCAGCTTTCTCGTTTTGGCTAGGATTGCTTTGGTTAGTCAGGCTCTTTTTTGGTTTCATGTAAGTTTTAGGATTGTTTTTCCATTTCTGTAAAAAAATGACATTGGTATTTTGACAGGGATTGCATTGAATCTGTAAATTGCCTTGGGGAGTATGGTCATTTTAACAATATTAATTATTTTGGTTCATGAGCATGGAATGTCCTTCCATTTTTTTGTGTTGTCTTCAATTTCTTTCATCAGTGCCTTGTAGTTTTCCTTGCAGAGGTCTTTCACCTCCTTGGTTACATTTATTACTAGGTACTTTTTGTGGCTATTACAAATGGGATTTTGTATTCTGAAACTTTACTAAATTTATTTATTAGATCTAAGAGTTTTTGGTAAAGTGTTTACATTTTTCTAGATATAAGATTATATTCAAAAAGGGCCATTTTGACTTCCTCTTTTCCAATTTCAATGCCTTTTATTTCTTTCTCTTTCCTGATTGCTCTGGCTAGCACTTCAAGTACTATGATGAATAGGAGTGGTAAAAGTGGAGTTCCTCGTGTCTTGTTTTAGTTTTCAGAGCAAAGGCTTTCAGGTTTTTCTCATTTAGTATGGTGTTAGCTGTGGGTTTGTCATATATAGCCATTATAATGTTGAGGTATGTTCCCTCTATGCCCACTATGTTGAGAGTTTTTATTATGAAGGGGTGCTGAATTTTATCAAATGTTTTTTCTGCATCTATTGAGATAATTGTAGTTTTTCCTGCATTGGGTTAATGTAAGATATCACGTTTATTGATTTGCATATGTTGAACATCCTTGCTGCTTTGGATATATCTCCCTTGATTATGGTGTGTTATCCTTTGGATGTGTTGTTGGACCCAGTTTTCTACTATTTTGTTGAGGATGTTTGCATCTATGTTTAGCAGGGATATTGTTCTGCAGTTTTTGCTTGTTTATTTGTTTCATCTTGCCTGGTTTTGGTATCATGGTAATGCTTGCCTCATAGGATGAGTTAGGGAAAATTCCATCCTCTTCAATTTTTTGGAATAGGTTGAGGAGAATTGATGTGAGATCTTCTTTGTAAATCTGGTGGAATTTGTCAGTAAAGCCATCTAATTCTGGGCTTTTCTTTTTTGGGAGACTTTTTATTATTGATTTAACCTCATTACTTGATATTGGTCTGTTCAGGTTTTCTATTTGAGACTAGTTTTCTGGGTCAGAATATGGTCTCACTTGAAAATGCAGTGTGGGCACTTAAAAAGATGTATGTTCTCATGTTTTGGGGTGGAATGTTTTATACTTGTCTATTAGATCAAGGTGATAATTTGTATTGTTCAGGTCTTCTATATTTTGTTACTTGTTCTACCAATAACTGGGAAAGAGTGTTGAAATCTCCAAATATACTTTTGTGTTTGTTTATATCTCTTTTCATTTCTGTTGGTTTTGCTTCATATATTTTTGAACTCATTTATATGGTGCAAAACATTGAGAACTGTTATGCTCTCTTGATGAATGAACCAGTTTATTATTAGGAAATTACCTTTCTTCCCCCGGTAATTTACTTGTCTGAAATTTACTTTTTTTGATATTAATAAACCCATTCTAGCTATCTTCTGTTTACTGTCAATAGTATATTTTAACATCATTTTACTTTTAACCTATTTGTATCTTTATACTTAAGGTGAGTTTCATTTTAAACATCATTTTATTTTAACCTATATATATCTTTATACTTAAGGTGAGTTCCTTGTAAGTGGCATGTTGTAGGGCCTTCCTTTCTTATTCAATGTTAAAAATTCTACTTTTTAGGTATTTAGACCATTATCATTTAAGGTGAATATGTATATGGTTGTGTTTAAACCTGCCATCTTTTTCTTTATTTTCTCGTTGTCACATTTGTTTATGTTATTTTTCTTCTTTTTCTTTTTTATGATCCCATTTTATCTTTATTGTTGGATTATTAGTTATAACACTTTGTTATGTTACTTCAGTGGTTGCTTTGGAGTTTATAATATGTATTTTTGACTTACCAGTCTCCCTTCAAGTAAGTCTTTACTTCATGTGTAGCATACAATAGAAACTTCCATTTCTCTGCTTCCTAACCTTGTGTTATTCATTCATTTTGCTGCTACATATGGTATAACCCCACATTACACTGTTACTATTTTTTTAAACAGTTGACTATCTTTTATATAGGTTTAAATAATAAGAATAAAATACATTATATTAACCTATGTAGTTATTACTTATGACACTCTTTATTCCTCTGTGGAGGTTCGAGTGTCTATCTGAAATCATTTTTCTTCTGCTTGAAGGACTGCTTTTACATTTTTGCTTGCATTATCATTTGGTGACATTCTCTTTTAAGTACAGACAATTTTTTCCCAATATTGAATCAGTACATTTCTTACTACTCTAACCCATTCCCTATCAGATATAGTGTTTCTAGTCTAGCTGTTAAAGGCCAGCACTATTCCTAGGAGAGTGTTGACCATGTTTCCCTCTAATTCTTTCAAGTGGTTCTTTCTCTGGCCTTAGGTAATTTTCTCACACATAAGTATGGATAAATACTCAACAGAATACTCTGAGAAAGACCCTCTGTAAATTTCCAGGGTTCTTTCTCTGCGCAGATCTCTCTTCTCTGATATTTTGCCCTGTGAACTCTACTCAGCCTTGAATTCTGAGAAAACCCACGTCCATCTCATCAACTCAAGGAGACAGGCTCTGCTTGAGTTTCCTCTCACTTTGCTTGTTGCTTCCTAAACATCTCCTCCAAGCAGTAAGCTAAGGCAATAGTACAGCTCACCTTATTGGTTTTTCTCTTTTGTTGCCTGAGGTTCAGTATCACTAAAACCATTTATTTCATACATTTTTATAGTTTTTTAGTTGTTCCCATTAAAATAATAAATCTGGTGCCTGTTACTTCATCTCGTCTGAAAATAAAACGTGGAATTTTTAACTGTATTTAATTTCAATTAATTAAAATTTAAATAGTCACATCTGGCTATATTGAATAGCACTAAATAGAAGGTACTGATTACAGAGATATTCACATAGTGAAATTTCACTGAACTGTGTACTTATGATTTGCACACTTTTATGTATGTGTAACACTTCAACAAAAAATGGCTGAAGAATTAAAATGCTATTCTTAAACTTGTTCATCAGAAACATCCTTTTTTTCTGAATCGCTGCTCAGGAAAGCTGACTCTCTCTCTCTCTCTCTCTCTCTCTGTGTGTGTGTGTGTGTGTGTGTATGTGTGTGTGTGAGAGAGAGAAAGAGAATCATGAAAGTTTTAGCAAGGAAGAAGTAACCAAATAATGCTCTCATTATTTTATTTTCCAGGAAAGATGAAAGAATGAATGAGTGGTAAGTAAAGCATCTCTATATAAATTACATATGCCACATTCACATTACAAGATTAAGAATCGTGTCATCTTTAAACTCCAGTGAAATTAAACTGAATGATAAAAAATATACCAGGTATAGTAACTTTACTTAATATCTTATACCTGATTTATTCTTATTATATACTGGAGTTAGTTTAACTTGTGTAATTCCTACCTTTAAAAAAGGGTTTTTTTTTAATGTGCCTAGCCCTAAGTGGTTCAACTTGGCTTGATCTTTGCATATGACAGAGGTATGAGGAGGCAATGTGTATTTATAGCATGAGGAGAACTGTAAAATGGGTCATGTTTTTAATTTTTTGAATAATTCTATATTTCCCTATAGCCTGATTTCCTTTATATGTGGCCTGTTTCTCTTCCTGGGGATGAGTCTGACTTGGTCATTCTATTAATTTTTCTTTCTTTTTTTGAAATGAAGTCTTGCTCTTATCCCCCAGGCTGGAGTGCGATGGCGTGATCTCGGCTCACTGCAACCTCCACCTCCCGGGCTCAAGCGATTCTCCTGTCTCAGCCTCCCGAGTAGCTGGGATTACAGGTGCCTGGCTAATTTTTGTATTTTTAGTAGAGACAGGGTTTCACCATGTTGGCCACATTGGTCTCAAACTCCTGAGCTCGTGATCTGCCCACCTCTCCTCCCAAAGGGCTGGGATTACAGGCTTGAGCCACCATGCCTGGCCTAATTTTTCTCTTTTATTCATGGATCCATCCATCCATCCGTCTATTCATCTATCTATCGATCTATCCATTTATCCAACACATATAGATTACCTGTTTTGAATTGGGAAAATCACTTTAAAAAGAATAGATATTTATCTTAATACAACTTACAAACCAGTAGGTACAACACATATGAATGAAATAATGATTTAAGTTATCATACATGGTATAAAAATGTACAGTGTTAAGTGAGGATATAGCAATGAGACCAGCTCTAGTGTAATTGGGTCAGAAAATGAGTCTTCATAGTGATATTGATGTGAAGCCTGAAAGGTGAGTAGAAATTAGACCATGGGGCTGGGGTAGGAAAAGTTCATAAAAAATTACAGGCAAAGGTAGAACATCTACAAGTGTGCTGAAATATGCATCTATAAATGCAGGAAAGAGCTTCATAATTTTTGAGGAAACTGAAGAAGGTCATTGCAACTGGAGAACCTAGAGTAAGAGAAAGTGACTTGAGGCAAGGCTGAATGAAGGCATAAATCAAGCGATGCAGGCCTCATTGGTCTTGCTGGGGATTTTTGTCTTGATCATAAGAGCAATGCAAAGCATCAAGTAGTTTCACGCTGGACAGTGAGAAAGTCCAGCTTATATGTTAAAATAATCCCTTGGCTGTACTGTGCAGTTTAGATTAGGAAGGAAAAAAGCATAAAAAGTATAAAAGTATATGTGGGCTCAGGAGTAGAAGGGTAGATTTGGGGAGAATGGTTTGTATACCATAGAGATAAGAAATAGTTTAGGCTGGGCGCGGTGACCCATGCCTGTAATCCCAGCAGTTTGGGAGGCCGAGGTGAGTGAATCATGAGGTCAAGAGATCAAGACCATCCTGGTCAACATGGTGAAACCCTGTATCTACTAAATATACAAAAATTAGCTGGGCGTGATGGTGCGCACCTGTAGTCCCAGCTACTTGGGAGGCTGAGGCAGGAGAATCGTTTGAACCTGGGAGGCAGAGATTGCAGTGAGCTGAGATCTGACCACTGCACTCCAACTGGTGACAGAGCGAGACTCTGTCTCAAAAAAAAAAAAAAGAGAAGAAAAAAAAGAAATAGTTTAGATTAATGGAGATTTAATGAACCAATTAAAGCCATTCTTACTGGGAGTATTAAGGGGAAGAAAAGAGAGAGTTTTTTTCCCATCACACTAATAGCTTATGTTTCTGGATTTGTCACCGTACTCGTTTCCATGAGATGGAGAGCACAGACTGTCTTGATGGGGAATATCTAGGAATCCCTTCTGGAGAAGCTGAGTTTATGGAGGTCAAAGAGCTGAGTTTATTATGATGGTCTAAATAAATATATGCCATTGTTTCACTATTATTCTTATTTTTAATTAAAAAACAAGAGGATTGGGTGGGAACTCTGTCAACCAGTAACTACAGTCTCTCTTGAGACTGACTTATCTACACATTTTATAGACATATTTATGACAAAATTATTGCTTATTACAACAATTCTTCCTGACAACACATTTTTATCAATGATTTTGTTTGTTTGTTTAACTTGAATGATTTGTGAATATTTCAGGGTAGCTCTCTGATCAACCAGACCAGACTTTGTAGGATAATTCTACCTCTTACGAAGTGGGTTACCTTGGTCAACTTACTCTACAGTGTCTTTTCCTGCAAGATAATAGTGATATAATGTAATGTCTTATTATCAAGTTTAAATGAACTTATGTATTTAATCTCAGGGAGAGATTATAATATCGTATTATTGTAACTTACTTTTTAGTGCCAAAATCAGACTGAGGAATAGATAAAATTAGTATTAAGTGAAATGATGCAAAAAAGAATATTTTCAAGTAAGAACATATTTCTAAAAATGCTTATTAACTTGCATTTACTATGTGCTTCAAAATCCTCTCTTAAAAGTGTGTCACTGTTTTTTCCCTTGAAGCAAAAAGAAACTTTATAAAAGATTAAACAGACAAAATACGGAGATATAAATAATGAGATCCAACTTTTTCTGTGTATATTGGGAATTTCCCCTTTATTTTATAGGTTTGCACCTAGTAGCATGAACAATTTGCCTCTAACAGAATTAAAAGTGCCTTTAGGACTATCACAATTACATACTAGAACAGAATTTGCCAGCGAGAATTTTATTATGAAATGGGGCTGCATTGCAAAAATACTTGTTTCAACTACAAATGGGAAAATAGCTTCAATTAGTTCTCTGAGGAACCTTGACTTATGTAGATTAGGTGATGAAATCAAAGGAGTTTAAGTTACTGGATTTACTAAATTCAATTTAAGGTACTACTTTGGGATATCACATAAAATGCTTTACTCAGAAAGTATTTATTAGTAAGACAAAATGAAATAATCACTTTATGCTTCTAGAAACTATCATGATTTCATACCATCACCTGGAGAAAAAAGTAAAATATTTAAAACCTGTGAAGATACATATATATATATATGAATTGAAATCTAACTGTGTTAAAAATTTATGGAAGTTTGAAAATCTAATAAATTTGATATTCACATTTAAATACTGTCTTTAAAAAATCTTCAAGTAAAGAAAGCAATTTAGATGCACCTTTAAAAAAAATCCAGACAGACAAATTTTTTACTTCTAAAATGAGAATTTTCCTCCATGACACAAATGTTCTAGAAGCCTCCAGCAGACAGAAGGCCCCAAACAGAAGTTGGAATAAACATGATTTTTCAGTTCAAAGGAACATTTGATTCACAGAATTGGCCTCCTTCCTTAAGAGGTTGAGCTGTAACCAGGGCAGCACAGTCCTCAAGACAGTGTGGCAGAAAATGAAAACAGAGGCCTAGTTTTTATTACCTCTTCTCCTGAAGAGCTTTGTGTTAGAAGCGGGGTTGTGTTACAAGTAGGAAACTTTCAGCAGTATACAAGAAAAACTCATCTCAAAATGATTTAAATAACAATGGGCATTTATTATCTCACAACATTAGAAGTTCTGAGGAAAAGCAGCTCCTACATTGGATTAATTTAATGCTCAAACACACTGTCTAGGAAGCAGGCCCTTTCCATACTTCCTTTCTGTCATTCTCACCTCCAGACCCAACACACAGCAGAAGAAAAATAGCATGTTTCCTTAAAAGTGTGGAAACCTTTCTCCAAAGCTCCACAGCTATCTTCCTTTCATATGTCACAGGCAATTATGAATCCTACTGATGAAGGGTATTTTCTTGACCCCTTCATGGGACTGTGACAGGGGTGCCCTGTTTACTTAGCCCACAATGCTCAATCCCTCGTGGGAGGGAGTATGTAAGCGAGCTAGTGTAGGAACCAGCCGGCTGCTTTGGCACCCGTAGAAGCAAACTCCGTGCAGGCCCTGCGGCAGCCTCCAGGTGGGGGTGCCTGACCTCAAGGCCCCAGAAGGCATGTTACAATGCTCTCTTAACTCTGCCATCCGCAGACAGCAGTGTGTTATCAGCTCAGTGGGCCCTTTGCCTCATCACGTGGGGTGGCTGTCCTCTACCAGTGAGGGCAAAGGGCCAGTGTGACAGCATTTTTGTGTACCTGCACTTGGTGGGTCCTGAATTCTTGTTCAATGTCCCAGAAGAATGAGGTCACGTGGATGAATTGAAAGATAGTGGATGCAGAGAATTTTATTGAGCGATGAAAGTGGCTGTTGGCTGAGAGAGAAGCTGGAAAGAGGATGAGAAAGGCAGGTCACTTTCCCTTGAAGTCAAGTCGCGCCTCTGCCTCTCTCTGCTGTCCAGCCATTGTCTCTGAAGTCAAGTCGCCTCTCCTCAGTGTCCAGCCACTTCTCCCTTCTACCAGCTGAGTCTGGGGTCTTTATAGGCACAGGCTGGGGTTGGGGTAGACCATAGGCAGTTTTGGAAAAGGCAATATTCAATTGGTAAAAAGACATTATTTAGAAAGAACCAATTGGGAGAGAGTGGGCAAATAGGGATAGAAGTTCTCACTTTGAACCATGGGTTTCAGGCTTTTCGGCTTGAAGGTGGGGCTTCATCAGGGACCTGCCTCTGTCTGCCTAGAGTTTCTCTGCCTCCTGTCTCTATCAATATGCCCTTTCCTAAACCAGTTATTGACAAGGGGAATGGGATTACCCTTTTTGCCTTAGACCATGGGTAGGCAATCTTTCCCTTTTAGGAGCCAGGTAGTAAATGTTAGGCTTTATTGGCCATACTGTCTCAGTCACAATGACTCACTTTTGCTGTTGTAGTGCAAAAGTAGCCACATACCATGGTGCATAAACAAATGAGCATGGCTGTGTTCCAACTACATTTTATTCCAAAAGTTGGGAGTACAGATTCAGCCTATGGGCCATAGTTTGGTGACTTCTTCTTTAGACGAATTGGGATTTATCTTTTACAGGATTTCAACATATGACTTTTAGGGGAGGCACATTCAGACCATAATACCATGCACCCTTTCTTGAGAGGATCAGGAAAAATAACTAGTGGGTACTCGGGTGCTGAAACACATGCAAAACCTATCAGGGTACAAAAATGTTTCTCTTCTTTTATTCCAGGGTCATGTCCAAGATCCTTAGATTAATAATTTAGAGATTTTTGGTGATATCTGAGCCTTCTGCTCAACCTAATTTTTTTCTGTTTTTGTTCACTAAAAAGAGGTACTCGAAAAGTCAAATACTCATTTGCCCCTTCTTTCCCAGGACTAGTAAGAAAAGTATATTTGAGAGTTCCTTTCAAGAAAAGCTCTCTGCTCAAAATAATCTCTTTTACTCTGCCAGCAATTACACCAGTGAGATTCATCTCAGCATTGAGGGGCCACTTACATTTCTTACCATGTGACTCTGTCCATCTTCAAGCCAGGAGTGACATGTTAAATCATTTTTGTGCTTCCAATGTCTGACTTCCTTTTCTGCAGCCAGCCAAAAACACTGGTTTTTTTAAAGGGCTTTTGCAACTAGTTCAGACTCACTGATAATCTTCCTATTTTAAGGTCAGTTGTGCCATAACCATAACCTAGTCCTAGGAGTAAAACCTATCACATTCACAGACCCTGGGAATGTGTATAACATGTGATAGACTGGAGGAATGGAAAATCCTGGGAAACATCTTAGAATTCTGTCTACCACACACCTACAGCTAGAGCTTACATACAAAATTTCAAAACATCAAGGGGTTAAAAAGATTCTAAAGTAGAAAAATCATATCAGCATATCACATTCCATATACTACGTAATTACAATTGACTAGTATTAGACTTATTTCACCAGTAACAATGGCTATTGGAACACAGTAAAACAATACTTTTAACTTTCCAAGGTAAATCTTTTTTTCAATGCAGAATTCTATTTCTATCCAAATTATCACTTAAGTACATGAGCAGAGTGCAGGTATTTTTAGATATGCAAGGAGTCATAAAACTTTTATTTCCCATGTGTCTTAGTCCATTTGGGCTTCTATAATAAAATAGCATAAAATGGGTGGTTTATAAACAACAGAAATTTATTTCTCACAGCTCTGGAAGCTGGAAAGTCCAAGATGAAGGTGTTAGAAGGTTTTGTATCTGGTGAGGACCCTTTCCTGGTTCATAGATGGCACCTTCTTGCCATGTGCTCACACGGTAGAAGGGGAGAGCAAGCTCTCTGCAGTCTCTTTTATAAAGGCAGTCATCCCATTCATGAGGGCTGTGCTATCATGACATAATCACCTGCTAAAGGCCCCAACTTTTCATACCATCATCTTGTCGGTTAGGATTTTAACATATGAATTTTAGGGGAGGCACATTCAGACGATAATACTATGCACCCTTTCTTGAGAAGATCAGGAAAAATAACTAACTAGTGGGCATTAGGTTTGATACCTGGGGACTAAATAAGCTTTACACCAATCCCCTTGACACAGTTTACCTATGTAAGAAATCTGCACATGTATCCCTGAATTTAAAAATAAAAGTTAAAAAATAAACTTTTTGTGTAAGAACAAATGTCACTTTATTCTCAATGTGAATATAAACTAATTATCTGAAATTAGATGAAACATTATGTATTATCCACTTTATTTCTATAAAACCACTATCATATAAAAAACAGTTAAAGGAGATTTAAAAAATCAAGAAAGAGGATAACACCAGATTCTGTATAGAGTAGATTCAACATGGGAAAGCAGGGTAGAGAATTCTGGGATGGAAGCTGCTTGGCAGGTCTAGATAATCGGTCTAGATTGGAGCTAGGAAAAAAAAAAAGTTTCCATAGAAAAAAATAATTGTCCTTCAGCCTCAACTTCTTCAACCGCAGATGACTCTAATAATAGTACCTACTTTATAAGGTCATTAGGTTACTGAGGCCACTAAATAAATTAACATTTGTAAAGTACTCAGAGCATTGTCTTACATTTATAAACACTTCAAAAGTGTTTGTAAATTAGATTTGGTGGTAACTATAAGAAGAACTAAAGAGAGAAATGGTTTATGGGAGGTAGGTCAAGGCTTTTGCTTTCATTCAAGTTCTTTCTATTCCATACATTTTTTTTTAAAGTGATGCTGGTCAACAATGTTAACTACTTCAGATATATTAAATAAGAGAATGTCTAAGATGTATCCACTGTATTTATTGTAAGAAGGTAATTGGCAATTTTAGCCATAGCCATTTCAGAAATATGATTTTTATTTAAAAAAAAAAAAACCAGAAAATCTAGTAAGTTTGGGAGTAATGGAAGGTGATAGGCAGTATTTCTTTTTTTGTTGTTATTTTCCTTGTATGAAAAGATTTAATGAATTATGAGCCATTGATCATTACAGACTTTAAACCTTAATATTTCTTCTTTCCTAAGTAAAGCCAGGTAATTAAAACAGCCTATCTCAAGTACGACAGAAAACCATAGTAGGAATAAGAATCATAGTAATGGTGCTTCCACAGTATAAGTATTTCTTTCAAAAAAATGTGACTTTGACGAGGAACGGTAAACAGGATGGTAGCAAGGAAAGGAAGAAAGTTGAAGGAACATATGTTTTTACTTAGAGACTCCACTCCTAGTCATCTCCCTTAGTTCTCTCCTCTTTTTTTTTTTTTTTTTGAGATGGAGTTTTGCTCTTGTTGCCCAGGATGGAGTGCAATGGAGTGATCTCAGCTCACCGCAACCTCCACATCCCAGGTTCAAGCCATTCTCCTACCTCAGCCTCCCGAGTAGCTGGAATTACATGCATGCACCACCACACCACACCCGGCTAATTTTTTTTTTTTTTTTTTAATTTTAGTAGAGACGGGGTTTCTCCATGTTGGTCAGGCTGGTCTCAAACTCCCAACCTCAGGTGATCCACCCGCCTTGGCCTCCCAAAGTGCTGGGATTACAGGCGTGAGCCACCGCTTGTAGCCCATCTCCCTCAGTTCTCTCAAGCCAGCCTAACTAAAAGTGAGGATATAAAATTTTGATACAGATAATTTTTATAATTTTATGTAAAGTGTAAGTAAGTAAAAACAGCTTCAGAAAAACCACTGCTTTTATTGATCTCTAACGAATAAGCTGGGTAAAAGCCATTGTTTGCAGTGCAAACACAGCTCTAACACAGGATCTGCCGTGCAGCCCTAGACAGAGCTTTGAGCCATCCTAGGTAAAAATAAAGGTGAGAAAGATCCAAGGAGAACAATGCAAACCCATCTGCCCTCTGTTCCCCACTCCTTGTCAAGCTTCATTTCACCCCAGTGCAAGAACGGAATCCACACATAGGCAGAACAGTTGTCTGGAGAGCAAGGGTAGACTTAGATCATTCTTCTACACCAAAAATGTAGGGGCCAAGTGTTGATGTTTTCTGAAAATGTTCTTTGGAGGATGGTCCAGGGAAAGACCGGGTGACCGAGAGTGGCTCAGCTAGTCATTCTGCTTACTTTGAAGCCAGGAAGAGTTTTTCATTTGTGTGTGTGTGGTTTGGGGACCATCAAATACATATTCATTGAACCAGTAGATCAACACAAAGTTGCTCAAAGTGTGGAATATAAACTGATGTTTGCCCAGGAATCATTTGTTACCAGTCTGTGGTGGTAATTGAAGGTAAGCATTTATTTTTATAGCAATTTCAAAGTGTAATTTTATATGTTTCAAACATATTCTTGAAATATCTGAGTCAGTATCTCTTCTTGTTTTTTAAAATTTTATTTTGCGAGTAAATCTTTCTTTTTTAAGCATCATTACAAAAGTGACAAATTGTAATTTTAAGAAGTCCTTCACCATAGAGAGTCTGAGAAGCACTGCTTTAGAGCACCTGTTACAGGGACCCTGGACCTCAAGAGGACTTGGGATCGACCTCCCCACCAAACTGACTGAGGACTGTGTGTAAGTCATTTAACTCTTGGAGACTTCATGTTCTCGTCTTTTAGTTGAGGGCAAATAATTCATACCTCGGAAGGCTACTGTGGGGGTGAAATGAGATAAAGAATTGGTGATTAACTGTTTCTCTGTGTAGAAAGAACACTTCTATGCAGATTGGACTGTTGTAGCTGTTCTGTACATGATTAAAGAAAACATCTCTGCAGTTTCTATGTGAAATAGTGCTTCATAAAAATGTTTTGTGTCCTAACTCATTTTAGGGCTCTTTTGCAAAGTATCTCATTCCAATGTTTGTATCGAGCTGTGCAGTGACAGGTTTCTTTTTTGGGTGATTAGTGAACAAGTAGCATTGCTTGGGCTTTTATCTCCTTTTGCATTGTCTTGTTGCTTGCTGGCAGTGCCTTACATTCCTAATTTAGTGGGTGAGAATGAAATGTGGTTGGCAAACCCTGTAATGCTGAATTACAATGTCATGGATCTTTCACATTCCTTCCCTAGATTCTGCTGATCTTCTGCATAGCAACAGACCTGGTTTACCTTCAGAGACTCATCAAACTATCTGAGAGAATGCAATTCCTTTAAGATCTCTTTTCTCTGTGTGTGTGTTTTTAAATATACTCTTGCATTTTAGTAGTTAATTGAGATGGGATTCATGCATGAGAGATTTACTGAATTTGTATCTGATTAGCCAGGGCCACTTTATACTCTGTAATTGTAGATGTGGTTTTTAAACTGACAATTGTAAGTTTGCATGTATTCTTTTTCTCCTAACTCTGTTTAGACTTTGTATTCAGGATAGAAATTACCTTTTCTAAGAAGTTTTACCAAGCTGAGTGTAAATCTATAATACCTCAGCAGTAAAACAATCCCAGAGGGATAATTTTGTGCAACCATTTCAATCTTGATACCAATTAAAATGGTATGATCTATCTCACCGCCATCACACAAAACAGGTTTCTATGCCATCTCCTCACCTCTTGCTTAGAGAAAACCATCAGATTGGTTCTATTACACTCAGATTTAAGATCAAACATCTTTTTTTCAGAGCTTTATGGATTCTAATAACAATAGAAAGTACTGAAATAAGCCTATTTTCGTGGCTGCCTTTCAATCAGTATGTAACACACTTTCCATTTTGTCTTCACCAGAAATAAATTGTACTTTAAATCTCTGCTCTCCTTAAATATTTCAAATATGTGGGATATGATATCATCTCTAAAAAGGGAACTTCTTTAGATGGCATTGTTAGGAAGCCTTAGCAAAAGCATTTTGCAAGCTAGTAACATAATTCTAGAACAGGTTTTATTGCCTTAGAAGATAGTAGCATCCTCCTGAGATTAAGAAATTGCTATAATTGCTATGTGAAAGAGAAGGCAGAGAGATAGTTTTTGCTGATAAACTTTGAGGTGCTTTAGAGAAGCAAGACAAGGTTGCTTTAAATGTATAACCTCCTTTCTTCACTCTCAGTTGTCCAAATCCTATTCCTCTACACCCTTGCACCTCATTTCTCCCACTTTCTGCTTCAGCTCACCTTGGTTCTTTGTGACACAACTTTTTCCATGCAACTGAGTCACTTGGAGAGACCTCTGCAACATTCATGAGGAAACAAGCATCATTGACAGTGCTGAATTTATTGTTTTGTAAAGGCATGGGTTTTTGTGTGTGAACTTCTGGAGACAAAAGAAACATGAATTGTGACTATAATTTATCCCATGCCATATATTCCCTATTCTACACTTAATGTTTAATTAATTGCTCTTATCAGGCTCTGTGGCAGCATTTTACCTTTTTGAATAGCTGCTCATTTTCCCTACATTTCCCTACATTTCAGCGCTCTCTAAAGGGTACTATTCTTCTTGTGTGACAGATGGGCATAACTTTACAAGAAAGGGATTTAGTCATTAACACCCATGCAAACAGATTATTCTTGCTAAGAAAATACCTTGTAAGGACACAAGAGCAGTGTAGCTTTTGAGAGAAACCATATCTCATACATTAAAATTGCAAAAACACTTTCAGATTAATTGCTGTTTATTAGAATTGTTTGTGGGGAGTGAGGATGTTGAAGCAGAAGGCAGATCGTAGAACAGAGGTTTTATTATAACCTTCCAAAGTCTGGAGGTGGCAGCTGCTGGTGGCAGGTATAGCAGAGCACTTGGAGACATGGAGTGGGAGGTCAGCAGTGGTGATGGATTCTGGAGATACTGGATCACCATGAGCAGAGCTCTCATTTCTCTCCCAGCTAGAAGTGGCAGCTACTGTTTGAGAACTGCAATAAATAAACATTTGCCAAGTTAATCAGGCATGTACTATGTCCATTAATCCCTCCTGTTCCAGGTCAAACCTTATCCCTTCCCTCTTTGAAAGGAAACAGCAGTTATGTGCTCACTATTGTGAGGGACATTATACATTTATTCATTTCTATATATCTATGAATCCTTTCTGAGCTGTCGAGTATGCATTCCTTCCTTCAGTTAAGAGGTATTTATTGAATGGCTACAATGTGTCACTGCATGAGGTGACACAGGCTGTGGGGAAACTCGCTGCCTGATATCAGAAAGCTTACAGTCTATCGCAAGAAACTTAGACATTAAGTGAGAAATTACAAATTAAAATGTGAATTGTAATCACAGCAATAAATTAATGCACCTTATAGTGAGTCTTTTGGGTTGAGTAAAGTGTTTTATTTTGAAGTACTTCTCCTTCATAATACTGTTTTCAGCTGAAATGCATTTTTCTCATGCATGAGAAAAACAGAAAGCTGAAAAAGAGTAAATAAGTGATGAGAAATTAAGCAATTAAGATGATAGGACAGAGGAGGTAATGTTTTCAAATTGGAAAACAGATACCTAAGAGATGAATTAGTCTATAATCACATAAGGAACTCTTTAAAATGCCTCATAACAATGCCTTTTTTTTTTTGTATTTATAATGTTTCTCATCCATTAGGTTACTTTGTCCTCACAATGAGCCTGCAGGGGTAATAAGGGGAAGTATGACCCTCCTGGTTTTACGGGGAAGTTCAAGTCTTGCCTAATGTTACCCAACTAACAATGAACAATGTTGGGACTCAGACCCAGGCCTTCTGGTTTCCAGTCTATTATGAGTTCTATGGCTACATGACAACACATTTCTCTTCACCTGTCATCTCTAAATGTGTTTGACAGCTGCAAGGCAATCCAAGATCACTGACAGGACAAAAACAATCAAGTTCACATCAAGACCCTACATTTAGAAAGAAGTTCAGAAAGAAGTTTCGCAAAAGTAATTTATGTCAAATGCAGAAAGTCTAGAAAATCTAGAGAGACAACAAAACTCACCCATAATTCCATCAGCCAAATATAACCAGTTTTAAGATTTACATATATATCCTCCCAGTCTTTTTTCCTTGCATCTTTATTATTATTATTTCACCAAAAGAGACTACATTGAACTTCTACTTTGCAAACTACAGCTTAAAATTAGCTCTCTCTCTCTCTATATATATATATGCTACATATATGTGTGTGTGTATATATATCATACATTACCCCATATTGATATTCCCTATAGTATGATATTAAGGTTAAAATATTTTTGTTATATAAATGTACTTTAATTTATTAAATATTTTATTTATATTATTTTGTTAAAGCAATTTCTAATTCTTAGGTATTAATATTTTTTCTGCCAATATGTACATGGCAGCAGTGATATGCTGATATTTCTCTCTGGTTAAAAAAGAAAGCCCTAGTCCATAATATTGATAATTTCTGTGGTGCAAGGATTTTCACCAGGACCAATTCTAAGTTTCCAAATGTTTAACAACCAGCTTGAAAATTTTCTAAAAGTTAAACAATAGCTTACAAGTTTGTAAGTGTTGTCTCCAGCATATTTCTACATGGCTAGAGTGTATATTCTTGAAGCTAAACCTTTGTCATATTTTTTATTTCTCTGTTTTTGACTCCATAAATAGAAAATTGCATGAAAAATTATTTACTAATAATAAATACTGGAGGGATGAATGAAGCTTATTTCATTGTTAGTGAGCAGTCATTACTTCTGTGATGATCATTAATATTTATATATTTTTCAGTCACTTATCTTTTTTTTTTTTTTTAGACAGAGTGTCACTCTGTAACCCAGGCTAGAGTGCAGTGGTGCGATCTCAGCTCACTGAAACCTCTGCCTCCCAAGTTCAAGCAATTCTCCCACCTCAGCCTCCCGAGTAGCTGGAATTACAGGTGCCGCCACCACGCCCAGCAAATTTTTGTATTTTTAGTAGAGATGGGGTTTTGCCATGTTGGCCAGGGTGGTCTTGAATTCCTGACCTCAGCTGATCCACCCACCTCAGCCTCCCAAAGTGCTGAGATTACAGGCATGAGCCAACACGACTGGCCCAGTCACTTATCTTAACCAAATATTATGTAATGTTTCTCTGTGTCTCATTTGTGTTTAAAGACTGAGGACAGTCATTGGATTATATATACTATTTAAAAGTTCCTTAAATTTATAAACTTAAAACTGGTACTCAGTGCATATTTAATAGATGTAGGTTGTAATACCAGCTCTACAATTAACAGATTGTTAAATTTCGGCCACTTTACTAACCCCTTTGAGGTTCAGTTTCCTCATCTGCAATCATTCAGTTTATTTCATGGAATTACCACAAAGATGTGCTATAAGATTTAAAGATTCTTTTGATGGTGGGACACATGCAGTGACATTTGGATAGGTGAAAGGCAGAACTCTATTTAACTTTCTGCTCCCAAAGAGAGCACAGGGAGTTGTGCTGGGGACAAGATAACAGCAAGCTGGAGCTGTAGCGGCCAACTCATGGATGGGAAGTGCGACAGGGTTAGCTAGGTTTCACAGACTTTCCATAGATTGGCTGTAGAATAACTTTTCAGGCGTCAGGGAATAGGTCTGTTCCTGGAACCTGTCCAGGTTGTCTGGTACCTGGCCCCAGGACGATTAGGGCTGGTACAGAGTGGCCTGGAGTATGGGAGTTTAAGACAGATGGTTGGGGTATAGTCTGAATCAGCTGTTCGAGAAGGGGACCTGACTGGCCTGTCTACTTTTCTTCACCTTTTAACCTCATTAAATCCTCTCACATGACAGAAAAATGACCACTATCAACCGAAGCTATCAGAGTGCTTTTTAACCTCGGTGTGGTTTCATCTGTGAATTAAATGTTGAGGTAACAGTGGTTCTTAACATTCTGAAGTCAAAGGCTCATTGAGAATCCTTTGAAAGCTGTGGGTGGCCTCCCCTGAAATGTGTAAGACTCATGTACAGAACATTTTGCCACTGTTTATGTTGTTGCTTCAGCACATGCACTTTACAGAAGCATTTATTTTGCCGTGAGATAGCTCACAGAGCACACTGCCTCCGTTTTCTTCTTTTAGTGGAGCAGCTCCACCAAGAGATTACAGGCCTTCAGTAAAACCTTGTTGGTTACTGCAGAACATTGAAACAGAAAGCTGCCTGATTAGCATGGCTAAAATTATTCACCAATTCAGACTGGTAGTGAGCCCCTCCTTGTCAAACTGCTCAGAATGGGCTTTCTTTAACCCTCAATAAAAGTGAAAAGGGGATTATTCCTCAGGTTCAATCCAGGCCTTTGAAACTTGTCTTCCAAAAGTCAACTTATCTTCTAAAAGATTTTTCTACACAGTGGAGAAGAAACTTATATTCTCTTTCCATTTCTTAGAAACTTTTTGAAGAAACCCTCTTTTTCATGAAGGTGATGATTTCACAGCAGTAGACAAGACTTATTTCAAGGTAATTGGCAAAAGTCTTTGATCTCAATACATTCTGATGTATTTATAATACTTAATCTAGCAAATATTTATGAAGCACCAACTATATATCAGGACCTTTATTAGGCGTGAGGGATACAGCAGGAAACAGGAAAGATAATTAACTGCCAATAAGCCATGATGGCTTCTATCTTCAGCCAACAAAAAAACCCCAGATGTTCTGCCAAACACTTCAAATGCTCTACCTAACCATAATGTCCCAATTTTTTGTCCCAATTTTTCTTCCAATCAAATATAGTACGTTTTTCTTCTTAAAAATCTGAAGATACTAATTTTCTTAAAGTTTCCAGAACAGACATAAAATATAAGGGTATTTCTGATAGCATAATGATTTACTTATTCACTCACTGTAGATGCAGGAGTAAACAATATAGACCTAGTCCCATGCCCACTAGCAAGCTGTGAAGGAAGAAAGCTAGTAACTGTAACTAACTGCACTTGGAGATATCAGCAATTCCATCTAGTTTATGCTGAAGGAAAATGGCACATCTGCCAATTGCTCTAAGACTTGCTTCAAAATATTAAGCGAATATCAGCATTTCTGGAGTAGATGATGTAGACAGAGGCACAAACTACAAACCAAGCCAGAAACCACTTCTCCTATTTCTAAAGCATGTGGATCCTTGAAGGCTCTCCAATTTGTGTCATACCTTCTATTTGGCAGTGCAGTAAAAAAAATTCACAGAAAACCAGTTTTTGCATTGAATTTCAAGTGAGCATTTTCAGGTTTGTCTATCTATTTCACATTTTCTGAAAACTCATCTTTCTTCCAAATGTATAGTTGGATAGGAGCTACCATGTTTCTGTAAAATGATCCATTCAGTGGCCACAGCCATTGAATTAAGCATTGGACACCTGACCCAGATGGGACAAATACATCTTTTCTCTGGAGAATTTGGTTCTACTATTAAGAACTTTTTTTTAAGAGGCTAAAGTTAAGAAAGGAATATCAGAGCCACCTGATAAGAGTCTAATATCTTAGGTTTAAAAATATAAATCAGATTTGATTTCTCCCCTGATTAAAATCACACAATGGTTGTCCATTATTCTTAAGATAAAGATCAACTCTGTCTCTATATCTGCACTGTACTACAGGACAGCTTCTGCCTACCTTTTTGACTTTACTTTTTATCACTCTACCCCTCATTCAGCCTCACTAATATTCCTATTTTTTATATATGGCAAACTCATTCCAGACTCAAAGACCTTACATTTGCTCTTCCTAAAAATTAAAATTAATGTCCTCTAATTTTCCTATGACAGGCTCCTCCTCATCATCCAAGTTGCAGCCTTCCTTCATGACCTCATTTAAAGTACTCTCTCCTCAAGTCCCTTTGATTTGAATTTTCCCTTTTATTTATTTATTTATTTGAGATGGAGTTTTGCTCTTGTTGCCCAGGCTAGGGTGCAATGGCGCTATCTTGGCTCACTGCAACTTCTGCCTCCCAGGTTCAAGCGATTCTCCTACCTCAGCCTCCCGAATAGCTGGGATTACAGGCCCCCGCCACCAAGCCTGGCTAATTTTTTGTATTTTTAGTAGATACAGGGTTTCACTATGTTGGTGAGGCTGGTCTCGAACTCCTGACCTCTGGCGGTCCACCCGCCTTGGCCTCCCAATGTGGCATTCTCCCTTTTCTAACATCCTAATTATTACCTAAAATCATATTTTGGTGTATTTGTTTACTTATCTCTTTTCCCTAAATTAGAATATGCCCTTCTAATTAATTTGCCTGACTAGTTCACTGATATAGCCTCAAGACCTGGAAGAATACCTGGCATGCTGTGGCAATCAGCAATTAATACCAACAAATATTTGCTGAATTGGTGAAGAATCAAATAATCCTATAGTATACCATACTCAGGAACTGTCATCATCTTTGTTTTTTATCTTTGTTTTCCATCATTTGGAACTGAGAAGTAAAGGAAGATATAGAGAGGCAAGGAAAACAAAGCAGATATGCTAATATTAGCTTTAGTGGGAGAACGAGAGTCCCAAACACATTCAAATCCCTGGCTCTAGTTCACTGCTTAGGCCCATATGCATCCCTCTTGCCTTCCATGAGATAATCTCAAATCCCCATAATCTATTGCTTTTTTTTTCTGAAGCTAATTTGAGTAAGATTTCTGTAATCTTTAGTGATAAAAAATAGTTGTATGTTTAATTAAGATATAATTTAAACACAAAATTCGCAAATCTTAAATGTTCAATTTGATGTTTTCACAATTTTAAGCATCTATGTAACAACTACCCAAAGCAAGAGGTTGAACACTTTCATTACTCCAGGATATTTACTTGTGTCCCTTTCCAGACAGTCCTCCAATCCCTGACGCAGAGGCAATCACCTTCTGACTTCTATTACTGTAGAATAGTTTTTTTCTGATTTTGTTTAATATAAACAAAATTATACCATATGTGTTTTCATGTCTTACATCTTTGATTCAGCATGTTTTTGACATCCATATTTTTGTATCACTGAATCAAGACCTCATTAAGTTGCTTTCTTTTTATAGATGAGTAAAATTCCATTGTATGAATGTATGCAACTTGTTTATCCTAGAAAGAATTTTGAATGCAGAATTTGCACACTAGTTGAATGAAGGTGGGGTGAGGACAGCAAGAATTCTTTATTTGGGACCAGGAGGAGGATTATGCCTGTGGTAGCAGAACAGTTGGTTATTTATCTTCTGTTACATCTAGTACCCAAGATTTTTAGGAGACTTGGTGGCAAAATGTCAAAATATTTTAGTATGTTGACTGATTTATTCAGGCTTCATTATGAGTTTTTTATGAAAGGAATAATCTTCAGTTCAAGATGGCTCACCTGAAAGGAGCCCACAGACAATAGCACAAATTCATAGCTTCTGCCTTTAACCAGCTGGGGGTAAGATAATCTTTTACCTTGCTGAATTGCACCAGCCATTTCTTCAGTTGCATTCTATTCTGAAATTAGAACATATAAATTGGATTTTACAAATCAGAATGAGAATATCTGTGGGGTCCCAGGAAACTTAAGGTGCCCCTCTGAAGCACCAATACGGCGGGGGTAGACACATTGATGACCCCATACAATGGCCCTTTCGTAAAGTACATTCAACAAGACCCAGGTCAGGATAGGGATTCAAAGAATACAGCTCAGTATTTCTTTCACAGGTTATTTAAAAATAGAATTTTCTCAAATGAAATTGACAGACAACTGACCAATCTTTTGTAGCAGTTGTATCTCCAGAAAACACAGGAAGGCAAGACACTGATACAGACACTGATAAGAAATGAACTACAAAGTTGGCTTAGCCTCCTATAGAGAAATCCTCCAAAATCCCAGGCTCAAATGTTGCTCCTGAAGAACACGTATTACAGGAAACCCTCCCAATCAATAAATGCATTAACCAAAAACTTTACTTCACTTTCAAAGGGAGTTAACAAATGGAGGCCCAAGATGTTTTTTCATCTTATAATTTAATAATCAGGATATTCTCTGAACCAGTGACCAAATTATACCACAGCATTTTTCATTTTTTAACAAAAAATAAGTTTTATTTTAATTATATTGATTTTTCTCTATTATTGTTTATTAGATGTATTACATATTGTAAGGAACCATATAAATATATTATTGAACTTGAGTGGAATAGGAATAGATAGTCCTCAGAAAGCCTAGTCACAGAGAAATATTGCTTAGGTCATTATATCACAGAATGCAGGGCAAGTATGATTTTAGGCCAGAAAACTACTGTTTGGGGTTTCACCTGGGAAAGTTGGGGAATTTTAAGCAGGACGTTTTGGAGTTGCATGTATGAAAAGAATGTTATATACATGTTTACTGGGGGACCAAGGGTGGACTGTACATTTCTATACATTAATACCCGGTAATGACAATGTCTTTCTAAGAACTTGCATTACCTCATTCATCCATTGGAGGCAGCAGGAACAGCTACTGTTCCCCAAACCCTGGACACAGTTAATCCCACTGTGGGTACACACCTTCCCCAAGCTGAGTTAATCAAATCCCTGCCTGGGAATTTTCAAGCTGGTACTGTAAGAGAAATCAGGTTCTTTCTGGGTGGCTAAATTTATTCATATTATGAAAAACCTGGAATTGTTGGGGGCTGTATTTTCTATTATATAGTCCATAGACCAGAAAAATGTTGGAAGTTGATTTGCAGAGACAATGGAATGAAGTAGATGGACAGAAATGAGCCCAGTAAAATAAAATGAGTTTAGTGTTAATCTCTCTTGTTGCAGTTTCTTTCTGGAGTCCAGTTAAATCCTTAGGTTCCAAGGGAGAATCTGGTATCATGGTATAATTTGTTTTTGATGCTTAAGCTAACTCAATCTGTGCCTTAAATGAGCAATCTTTAATGAGATATTTACAGTCATAGGGTGGAATACATTATTCCTAACGTTTATCAAAGAAAAATTATTCTAGACATCATAACATGACAACAATGGTAAGGATATATAACTTAATTATCTAAAGAAATGCCTCAAGCTACCGTATAGTTGCCTTAATAAGTTATTCATTTGACAGAAAAAATCGTCCGAAAGATAGTTTTTAGTGTGATAAAACAAAATGAAAGAAAATTCATTTAGAACAACTCTGATTCTATCCTTGGACCTCGAAGGAGGTTTGTGTTCCAGGACATTGGAGGATCTATTTTTCTCTCATTGCTCAAGCATTCATTTTAGATACCTATTACTTCCCAGCCCAAAATGACTTGGCTCTCCAAGGCAGACAAAGCAGACTCCCACTGATCTGGAATATTTGTGAGAACTGAGGTTTGAGGGATGAGGCAAGAGTCCCACTTGTGAGTCATAACCTCACTCTTCAAGTGATATGCATGAACTGCAGGGTACAGCTCGTATCAGAACCTCCACTGCCTGCAAAGCTTTGGTTTGGTCAATCCTATGTATTTGCTTTGCTATATTCCCAAGTTTCACTTTTAAATGTGTGCTTGTTTATTTCAGCCTAGGGTGTGAGAAAAGAGCAACTCAATTTACCCCCAATTGCATTAATGACAGTGCCCTACATTTCTGCCTTTGTTTTTCACAATTCATTGGTGTTTAACCTAAAATATAATAAATGACGATAGAACATTAAAGCTATAGAGTCCTTAATGATTATTGAGCATACCCTGCACCCCCACCTGCATCACTTTACAGACCATATAACTGGGTTTCAAGAAGATGAATGCATTTGCCCAAGGATACAGTTAGTTATCAATGGAAGTGGGGTCTTGTGCCCTGGGCTCCTCGGTCTAAAATTATTGCTTTTTTATGGCACCAAGTTTATGGTAGATAGTGCAAAGGGAAAGATTCCTATTTATTTTTAAACTCAGATATCAACTATATAGTATTTTTCTAGGTAGAAAGCTTCTATCCACTGCCTTTTCCTGAAATTTTAAAGTAATTCTCATGAATTATTCCAAGCACATGGAAATCTGGCACCAAGGGAGAAAAGCAGAAATAATAGAACACAAAGCTTGCAAGCAGGTGCCTATTTTTTATACAGAGAATATTTAATTTTCAATTACTTGTTTGCAAGAAGACATCCAAAACGTCTCAGAACTAGTTAGTCTTCAATATGAAATCTTCCCTGCTGCTTCTGCCAGCCAACATTTTATTTCTTCTTGTAACCACCTCTGCATTTATTAAAAAGGAAAAAAAAAATCCAGGCAAATGACTCTTGTCTTCATACTCAATTCTTGCTATTACTGCATAAACAAAAATGTGCATGCTATCCCTGGGACAGTATTTTCTTGCCTGTACTTTTTTTATTTGGCTAAGTGAGGTATTGGAAATTTCAATCACTGTAAAATTGGAGGAAAATGTTGTTCTCATGTTAAAAACCATGAAAATATGAAGCAGCTCCCATAGGCCAGGTTAGAAAGCCCCAAATGAACAGAATATTAGACAATTACCTGTTGTGTTCAGGACCACGCACTTTCTCTATCTTCAAAAAATTGGAATAAGATACGTCCTATTTGCTCCAAAAGGCATTTAAATTAACCACATTGTCCTCATAAATCCCAGTACTGATATACCACACATTTTAATGCTGTCAGAAGATACAAAATGACAGTTAAATACTCATGGAAACAGAGCTGTTGGGTTTATTGAGTGTGTTCAACTTTATCCGTCAACTTTCTGAGGTTTGGAGTCAGGGAGGGTAACTACAGGACCTCCCTACAAATGTCTCTTGTTGGCATCATCATAAAGTAAGGACTGGGCTGAAGCAATGAGGAGGCTATCAGCCTGCCCTTCTCAAATACATATTGTCACTTTCCATTTTCAAAAGTACTGTTATTTCACAGGGAATAATCAGTTCCTATACTTCTTGCTAGTAAGAATTGGTGTGTTCTACCAAATTATTTTTGCTTTTGCACAATTAATCTCAGCTTACTTCAAAACTGAGTAAATAAAAACCTTCTTTCAATCAGTTAATGTTTGTATCAACCCTTGAAAATAATCCATAGGAAAAAAAATCACCTGTATATACTACAGTAGTGGGGCAGATGAAGAGACAAGCAACTAAGGCAGCAGCAGAACTCTCAAAAATAGACTTATTTCTGACCTAAATGTTGCCAGAGAAGCAGACTCCTGATGTATCTTGGGGCTTGCAGCTGCCAGGAATGTTTTCTGGGTGGTCACAGAGCTCATTAATCACTTCTGTGTGTTCACTAGCCTGGTGGCACGTTGACATGCAGAAGCTTAAAGGACTGGGTAAATCTGGTAAATCTCATCATTTTATAGGCTGGCCTAAATCCCTTCAAAGCCCAAATTCCTTTGCATGGCATATGAAGCATTTCCTGATGTAACCCCAAACCCCTCTCCTACATCATCTGACTATTCCCTTTGTCCTATCCTAAGCTTTAGGTTATGCTGGGCCATGCTGTTATATACCTTTCAACATTCCACTCCCTTGGTTGTAGTATCCTGCCTTCCTAGTCAACATGATGAACCATATAGCTTTCAAAACTCTGTTCAAGCTCCATTGGCCTTGTTGGTTACTTCGCTGTTTTAATCCTCAATGTACATTTTGTAACTTTTTGTTTATTATTGTATCTATTATTTACTGTTATAACTACTGTTTACTATTGTAACTATTCTGCAAGGGCAGGAAATAACTTGTTCATGGGCTTATCTCTGCACACAGCACAATGCCTAGCACCTGACAGGTGCTTAATACATATTTGAAGAATAAAAGAGGGAATGAATCCATCCAATGGATGTCTAGATTGTGACCAACAATGCCAAAGTTAATCATACTTTTATTATAGAATCAAACTATCCGCTGAATTCAATGCTCTCAGTCCTAAATGTTCAAAACTTGAGGTAGGAAATAAGGCCAAGAAGAATAATATCTAAAAGGCAGCAGGCTAAGTATGGAATTTGAACAAAGATTCAAATTTGGCTTTTCCAAAGTGGTGGGGGTGGGGGGTGTTGGGGAGAACACAAATATGGAGTTAGGACTGAAAATGGTACAGCAGCTCAAGGAGAATTGAAAGAGAAAGATAATGATGGACAGCAAATTGTCCCAACCATGTTCAGGTCCCAGATGCCTGACTATGCAGATCAGGGTTATGGAAACTTACTTTGAATTCAGGAGCAGAAAATTCAGGCCCTGAGGACAAAATGGAAAACCAGTTGGTAAGTATCTTAGGAACAAGTAAGATGGATCAACAAGAATGTCTCATACCAAGTCATTTACTTACATATATATACACATATATATTATATGTATATGATAAACTAGGACTTGTCCATGGCCATATGTATATACATATATTTATAATATATACATATGATATATGTATATTATATGTAATATATATATCATATGTATTATGTATATGTATATGTATGTATTATATGTATATGTATAATACATATAACATGTATAATATATACACATATATAATATAATAATATATACACATATATAATATATACACATATACATATACACATATATGTATATATATATGGCCATGGACGAGTCCTAGTCAACAATTTTCAAGAAAGCCTATCCATACCTGTGGGGTGATGAGAGTAGTGTTTAATAGTTGAGCTGTGGAGTCAGGCTGCCTATGCTATAAGCCTGAGTCCATCACTTTCCAGATCAGAAGCACTGTTCAATTAATTAATTTCTGTGAGCTGTAAAATAGGGCTGCAAGAATTGCACCAGAGGTACAAAGAGGAGCTGGTACCATTCCTTCTGAAACTATTCCAAACAATCAGAAAAAGAGGGACTCTTCCCTGACTCATTTTATGAGGCCAGCATCATCCTGATACCAAAACCTGGCAGAGACAAAACAAAAAAAGAAAAATTCAGGCCAATATCCCTGATGAACATTGAAGCAAAAATCCCCAATAAAATACTGGCAAACCGAATCCAGTAGCACATCAAAAAGTTTATCCACCATGATCGAGTTGGCTTCATCCCTGGGATGCAAGGCTGGTTCAACATACACAAATCAGTAAACGTATTCCATCACATCAACAGAACCTGTGACAAAAACCACATGGTTATCTCAATAGATAGATGCAGAAAAGTCTTCAATAAAATTCAACATCCCTTCATGTTAAAAACTCTCAAAAATTCAAGGGTTGATGGAACATATCTCAAAATAATAAGAGCTATTTATGACAAACCCACAGTCAATATCATACTGAATAAGCAAAAGCTGGAAGCATTCCCTTTGAAAACTGGCACAAGACAAGGATGCCCTCTCTCACCACTCCTATAGTGTTAGAAGTTCTGGCCAGGGCAATCAGGCAAGAGAAATAAATAAAACGTATTCAGTTAGGAAGACAGGAAGTCAAATTGTCTCTTTGCAGATGACATGATTCTATATTTAGAAAACCCCATAGTCTCAGCCCAAAAACTCCTTAAGCTGATAAGCAACTTCAACAAAGTCTCAGGATACAAAATCAATGTGCAAAAATCACAAGCATTTCTATACACCAACAATGGATGAGCAGACAGCCAAATCATGAATAAACTCCCATTCACAATTGCTACAAAGAGAATAAAATACCTAGGTATAAAACTTACAAGGGATGTGAAGGACCTCTTCAAGGAGAGGTATAAACCACTGCCCAAAGAAACAAGAGAGGACACAAACAAATGGAAAAACACTCCATCCTCATGGATAGGAAGAATGAATATTGTGAAAATGGCCATACTGTCCAAAGTAATTTATAGATTCAATGTTCTTCCCATCAAGATACCACTGAGTTTCTTTGCAGAATTAGAAAAAAAACTACTTTAAATTTCATATGGAACCAAAAAGACCCCATATAGCCAAGACAATCCTAAGCAAAAAGAACAAAGCTGGAAGCATCACACTACCTGACTTCAAACTATACTATAAGGCTACAGTAACCAAAACAGCATGGTACTGCTACCAAAACAGATACATAGACCAATGGAACAGAACAAAGACCTCAGAAATAACACCACTCATCTACAATCATCTTATCTTTGACAAATCTGACAAAAACAAGCAATGGGGAAAGGATTCCCTATTTAATAAATGATACTGGGAAAACTGGCTAATCATATGCAGAAAACTGAGCTGGACCCCTTCCTTACACCTTATACAAAAATTAATTCAAGATGGATTAAAGACTTAAATGTAAAACCCAAAACTGTAAAAACTCTAGAAGAAAACCTAGACAATACCATTCAGGACATTGGTATGGGCAAAGACTTCATGACTAGAACACCAAAAGTGGTTGCCACAAAAGCCAAAACTGACAAATGGGATTTAATTAAACTAAAGAGCTTCTGTACAGCAAAAGAAACTACCATCAGAGTGAACAGGCAACCTACAGAATGGGAGAAAATTTTTGCAATCTACCCATCTGACAATGGTCTAATATCCAGAATCTACAAGGAACTTAAACAAATTTACAAGAAAAAAACAAACACCCCCATCAAAAAGTGGGCAAAAGATATGAACAGACACTTCTCAAAAGAATACATTTATGCAGCCAAAAAAAAAAAGCATATGAAAAACAGCTCATCATCACTGGTCATTAGAGAAATGCAAATCAAAACCACAATGAGATAGCATCTCATGTCAGTTAGAATGGCGATTATTAAAAAGTCAGGAAACAATAGATGCTGGTGAGGCTATGGAGAAATAGGAACACTTTTACTCTGTTGGTGGGAGTGTAAATTTTGTGGAAGATGGTGTGGTGATTGCTCAGGATCTAGAACCAGAAATACCATTTGACCCAGCAATCCCATTACTGGGTATATACCCAAAGGATTATAAATCAATCTACTATAAAGACACATGCACATGTATGTTTATGGTGGCACTATTCACAATAGCAAAGACTTGGAATCAACCCAAATGCCCATCAATGATAGACTGGATAAAGAAATTGTGGCACATATGCACCATAGAATACTATGCAGCCATGAAAAAGAATGAGATCATGTCCTCTGCAGGGACATGGATGAAGCTGGAAGCCATCTTTCTCAGCAAACTAACACAGGAACAGAAAACAAACACCACATGTTCTCATTCATAAGTAGGAGCTGAACAATGAGAACGCATGGACACAGGGAAGGGAACATCACACACTTGGGCCTGTTGCAGGTTGGGGGACAAAGGTAGGCAGAGCATTAGGACAAATATATAATGCATGCAGGGCTTAAAACCTAGATGATGGGTTGATAGGTGCAGAAAACCACCATGGCACATGTATACCTATGTAACAAACCTCCACATTCTACACATGTGTCCCAGAACTTAATGTAAAGTAAAAATTAAAAATAAAACAAAATAAAGTGTTAAATATGATAAGAAAATAGGGCTGAAAATAGTAACTACTTCATAGGGGTGTTGGGAGGATTGAATGTGTTAATCCATGGGAAGTACTTAACCCACATACTGGAAGGATCAGAGTGAGTATAGCCAGGGAAGTCATTACACTTTTTTGAGAGGTCCCTGGTAGGAAACACATATTTAATTTTTCATGTGGATTCCAAATAGGCTCTCTTTCTATTTATTTGTTTTCAGAAAATAATTACCACTGTGTCCTTTAGAAGGGAAAAAAATCCACCAGCTAACAAAGATACCCCTTTGAGTAGAAATAAGAACAGAGAAACATACGACAGGTCTAAAACTTTGCAAAAGAAGTAGTTTTGTTGGCTAGTTGATGTGTCTGGTTACGAGTGTATAAGAGGTTTGGTGACAATATATTTTTTTAACAAAGCAGTTGCTTAAGTAATACAACAAAATAAAATATAATTTAATTTTGTGGATATAGGCAATTAGGAATTGGCCCTGTTGCACTGCAATCCTTGGGAGCCCAGGCTGTTTCCAGCTTTGCATTCCACCACCCTTAAAGTGAGCTATCAGGGGCCTTAGAGTTCCAGATAGAGCTTCAGCAATCTCATATGCATCCAAGAAGCAAAAATAAGAAGGAAATACACTTCCCCTTTAAGGACACATTTCAGAAATTTCCACACCACTTTCCTACACTTATTATCAGAACTTAGTCATTTTACCACAACTAGTAGCAGAAAAAATTGAGATGTATAGTCTGTATTCAGGTAATCTACTTAACTAAAATTGAGAATTTTATTATATAGAAGAGGAGAGACTGAGGGCATCAAACAGCCTTTGCCAGAGCTGACTTTGATGTTCTTTATGTGTACTCGTGTATTATCCTCATAACTCTACCGTGATAAACACGTTTGTATGAAATAATTTTGTTTTGCTTGTTGGTAACTCATGAAGTCAAAACTGGATTTTCATGTGTCTTTCCATATCTCTGCACTTAATTTCAAGCTAACATATTTGTCCATTATTTCCTGCTAAAATGAGTTTCTTTCATTGCACAACCATTTCCCAGGCTACCAGTCCAATTTCTAGATCTGAAGCAATATTTATGAGGTATTTACTCCTAGCCTGAAGTCCCCCAAACCCTGGAGGATTTAAAATTGTATAAGTATAATTTTTCTTGATTAAGGGTCCTATGTCCACACTGTTGCTAACTTTTGTTTCTAGCAAACTCTTACTCATTCTTCAAAACCCATCTTCAGCTTTCCATCTTTGTCAAGTTTCCTATAATTCTCCTAGTTTGTCTTCCTCTATGCGCTCACAGAATGTTGTTTTTATCTCTAGTGTCACACTTGGCACATTGCGTTGTGAATATGTGCATTCCTGCCCTCTCAAGTTGACTGTGAGTTTGGGCAGGCAGACAGGTACTCGGAAGCATTTGTTTAATGAATGAGTAAATTGTTTCCTCACCTAATAGGTGGTTACTTATATACCATTATTTCAGAGAAAGTTTCTTTAATTAGCAGAAATACAGCATGGGTAATAATAACAGCATTAATATGCACATGACCTCTTCTCCTACTTCACAGAGAAAATGAAACCATCAGAAAAAAATGCCTTCACTTTTCTGCCATCAAACCTAGAAACCTGCCTGCATCCTTATTTCCCACATCTTCTGTTTTCTTTCCATCTTATTATAGTTCTGGAGATAATCCTCCATCTGTGTTATAGGACCCACATCCCAACTTTCCACAGAAACTCACATTATTCATTACAACTTTCTTTCTTGTTCTTTTAACTTCTTTCTGTTGCACTCTTCCCATCATTTAAACATATGCAATTCATTTTCATATTTTAAAGAAAATACCATCTTTGGACTCTACTTCCCTTTCCTACTGTTACTGTATATTTTCTCTCTTTTACAAAGCTTTGAGAAAGTCACCCAAGCTCACCGATTCACTAACCAGCCACTTAGTCCTCAACTCACTCCAGGCTGTGGCCCTCTCCCACCGCTTCATGCACATGGTTCCTGCAACAATCAAACTAAGCCAGTCAGCATTTTTCTAGACAGACTTCTGCTGTTTGACTCTCTCAGCATCATTCGAGAGTGTAGAGTACTATGTCTTCTTGACACAATCTCAACACTAGCCTCCTTATCACCAAATTCCCTCATTTTCATTTACTTCTAGGACTAATTCTCAGATTTTCTTGCTAGATCACTTTCCTTTATCTGGTTTTTGATCTTGAGTTCTTAGAGGTTTTGTCACTGGTCTCTTCCTCTTCTTACTCTGTATTCTCAACTTCATGATTTTATCCATGCCCATATTATTAATTACCATCTATATTATGAATACTTTCAAGTGAGTATCTTCATTCCAAAGTTTTCCTCTGAGCTCCAGACTCAAGTAGCAAATTGCCTACATAAAATCTCCAACTGGAAATCTTAGAAAAACTACAAACCTAACACATTTAATATGTGTGTACCTGAACTCATGACCTCCTTCCTCAAACCCAGCCTTCCACAAGTGCTCTCTTAATAAATGGTGTTACTATTTACCTGGTTGCCCAAAATGAAAATTCAGAAGTCATTATTTTGTCTACAGAAAAGAGTACAGTTCTGTGTGGCCGATTTTCTAGCAACTGAGGGAAACTTTGGTATATAGTGTTAGCTAGCCTCTAAGATGGCCGTCAGTGATTCTGCCACCTGATGTTCATTGTGAATCCTCTTCCCTTAAGCATAGATTACACTTAGTGATTCACTTGCAACAAATGGAATGTGACAGAAGTAATGTGATACCACTTCCAGATTAAGTTTTAAAAAGACTGGCCTCCATCTCGGGTGTGTGCACTCTCTCGTACATGCGCGTTCTCTTTCTCTCACCAAGTATACCGAGAGAAGCAAGCTTCCATATCATGAGGTCATTCAGAAAACCCATAGAGAGGCTCACATCCCAAGAAACCAAAGGTTTCAGTTGCAGATGGCATGTGAGGAACCACACCCTGCCAACAACCATGTGAGTGAGGTTGAAAGTGAATTCTTCAGCCCAGTTATGGTTTGAGATGACTACAGCCCCAGCTGACAGCTTGACAGCTACCTTATTAGAGACTTTGACCCAGCTAAGCTGTTTGCCATTTTAACTTGCTAAGTTTGGGATAATTTGTTATGCAGCAAAAGATAACCAACATATATTTGAAAAAACTTGCCTTTGGCGCTGCCAATCTATAACAACTTTATGATTTTGTAGAGATTGCAAAACAGACATGCATATATAGACTATTGGGTAAATATTGAGCTAATTAATGACACAGTTGATTTGTATGTTTTTCTATTAAAAAACAACTTACAGCAAAAATTTGTTTTCAGTGTGAATTGTCTTTTACTTTTGAAGACTTTAACTGTTGTACAATTATAAAAATATGAAGTTAAATGTCCATAATTCAAGACCTCAAAATCTTGGTCAAATAACCTGAAAAAGTTTATGCAACCAACCCATGCTGACCCAGCCTCATCTTTACATATTCTGGTGAAAATCTTGGGCAGAGAGAATTCTTTTGAGCTACCAGGGATGTGTGGTAATATCATAAGAATACATTAATATATTCCATGTCCTGCGTAAAATTTTTTATTTTTAAAACAAAGCTACGATTAAGAGTTTTTTATTTTTTTTTAAATGAATGTAAGTAAAACCTAGTTAGACTCTCAATTGCCCTTTCTCTTTTTACCTCCTTAACTAACTTATCTACTGTTTCTTTTCCCCTGCTTTTCTGTCTCCAAATAATGGTCATTTATTTCTCATTAATATCATACCTAATCACAAAGAATGTAGGAATCAAAGGCAAGTATAATATAATAAAAAAAGTAAAAAAATAGTAACATGGGCAATAACTAAAGTCAATTATGCAACTTACAGTTCATTTCTTCTCTGAGAAAAATAATGTACTATAATAGTTTTAAACAGAAAACTCTTAAGAAGAACAAATGTAGGCATCCCAGAGCATTGAAATAGAAAAACATGGCTTTCAAAAGAGACAACAGCTGAAATAATCACATGGTTGAATCATGTATAAGAATATAACAATTTTAAAAATCTCCACAAATTAGAAACTCAAAAAACTTACTACCAAAGTTTTAACATAAATATGTAGAAATAACTTAATTAAGAATGGAGCATAATATATAATTTGAGTCTAATAGGAAAAAAGTTTAAAATTTTTTAATAATAAATTATTCAGAAATCTTTGTGACAGCATTGAAATTTTACTTTAACTGATAAATATTTTAGAAATAAAATTACTGTAAGAATGAGTCCTATTTCTTTAAGTTTTAATGCTCAAATTAAAACTGTGATTATTAAAGTGAAAAAATCTTAACTAAAGTTACTTGATTTTTAAAAAACGGGTAGAAAGGTATAGAAATAAATGAATATATTAATTCTGCACTGCTGGAGACAAATCCATCAAGCAAAATGAAAAAAATATTTCCCTTATACAACTAGGTGATTCAACAGAAAATTATAGCAGTTATTACTCTTTATCTTTCATTTTTGGCGAGCCCAGGACTCTTTATGACTGTGGCACATAATGGGAAACTCATTGATCACAGTAGATTTTTTTTTTTTTAACACCATCAGCACACTTTCACTTTGTAAGTAATCTACCAGTTACCATGCTACTGACACTTTAGATCTCTGGATGCATACAGCTTTCACATTAATGAGAAACATACCTTTTACTTATTACTATTCCCTGACACATGCACACACATAAATATATAGACATATAGAGTCCTACACAAAAATACTACCAAACCTGTAAATGTTTTTGCTTTATATCTTTGAGAATTTCCAATTAGCTATTCTACCTTGTTTTATTTACCTTGTAAATCAATTTTGTCTGTTTATGATAGTCAGTAGTTTTCTTATATCTCTTTTATGTAGACAATTATAGAATAATGATGCCAATGATTACATGAAGTATGTTTTCTTATAAAAAGCAAAAGACAGAGCATGGGAAATATGACTACTATGCAAATTATATAAAATAAAGAATTCATTAGCTGTATCTCAAATACACTCTGGCAACATTATGAAAAACCAGCACTAATTCTTTTTTTATTGAGATATAATTTACACATAAAAAATTTTTCCTTTTAAAGTGAACAATTCAGTGGTTTTCAGTATACTCACAAAATTGTACAACCATTACCATCATCTAATTTCAAAACATTTTTATCATCCACAAAATAACCCCTATGCCTATAAGCTGTCATTTCCCATTTCTCCCTTCCTTCAGCCTTTGGTAGCCACTTGTCTACTTTCTGTCTCTTTTACCTATATGAGCATTTCACTTCAATAGAATCATATAATATATAACCTTTGCATGTCTGTATTCTTGCACTTAGCATAATATTTCAAGGTTACTGCATGTTGTAGCATGTTATAGAAATTTATTCATTTTTATGGCCAAATACTGTTTCATTGTATGGATATATGTTGTTTTATCCATTCATAATTTGATAAACATTTAGAATGTTTCTACTTTTTGACTATTGTGAATAATGTTACTATGCACATTCATGTACAAGTTTTTGTGGGACATATCCTTTTAATTTTTTTGAATATATATCTAGGGGTAAAATTGCTGGGTCACATGGTAATTCTGTGTTTACATTTTTGAGAAACTACCAAATTGTTTTCCACAGTTTCTGTACCATTTTGCATTTCTACTAGCAATGTAGGAGGATCCCAATCTCTCCACATCCTTGAAAATCCTTGTTATTTTCTGTTTTTCTTTTAAATTATAATCATCCTAACAGATGTGAAGGAATACCTTATTGTGATTTTATTTTACATTTCCCTAACTATCAATAATGTTTAACATCTTTTTATGTGCTCATTGGCAATTTGTATATCTTCAAATTTTTTAATTGGATTATTTGGGCTTTCTAAAATTATTAAAATGTAAGAATACTTTATATATTTTGGATAAAAGCCCCTTATCAGATATATTATTTGAAAACATTTATCTCATTGTGTGGGTTATCGTTTCACTTTCCTGATAGTGCCCTTTCAAGCATAAAAGTTTTAAATTTCAATAGAAAGTTTTAATTTTTCTTTTACTGATTATGCTTTTGACGTGATATGTAAGACAAAGATTTGTGCCTATGTTTCCTTTAAGAGTTGTATAATTTAAGCTCTCAGTTTTATTTATTTGAGTTAATTTTTGTACACGGTATAAGGTAGGGGTCTAGCTTTATTCCTGCAGATGTGAACATTCAATGTGCCCAACACTATTTATTACATAGACCTTTCCTCATTGTGTATTCTTGACGCCCTTGTAAAAGATTATTCAGCTATATATGCATGGGTTTTATTTCTGAACTCTCTATTCTGTTCAATTGGTCTAGTGTCTGTTTTCATGCTAATACCACACTATTTTTATTATTATAACTTTGTAATATTGTTTAAAATCAGGAAGTGTGATACCTTCAGCTTCTTTCTTCTTCCACAAGATGCTTTGGCTATTAGAGATTAATTTAAAGAATTTTTTTTTCGTGTTAGAGATGCCATTGTGATTTTAATAGGGATTGCATTGAATCTATAGATCACTTTGGGTAGTATGAACATTTTAACAATATTAATTATATCAGTCCATGAACACAGGATATCTTTCCATTTTTCGTGTCTTCAATTTTTTTTCATTAATGCAGTATCGTTTTCTAGCATACAGATTTTTTACCCTTTTAGATTAACTTCATTCCTAAGTATTTTATTGTTGTTAATGCTATTGTAAATGGAATTGTTTTCTTGATTTCTTTTTCAGATAGTTCATTATTAGTGTAGAGAAACAAAATTGAATTTTGTATGTTGCTTTTGTATCCTTCAACTTTAATGAATTTCTTTATTCTAACAGTTTTATGGTAGAGTCTTTAGGGTTTTCTACATGTAACATCATGTCTGCAAACAGGAACAATTTTGCTTCTTTCTTTCTAATTCTGGCGCCTATTATTTATTTTTATGCCTAATCACCCTGGCCAAGATTTTCAGTACTATGTTTAAGAGAAGCATTGAGAGTAAACATCCTTGTCTTGTCCTAATCTTAAGAAGAAAAGCTTTCAACTTTTCACCATTTAGTATGGTGTTAGCTTTGGGCTTGTAATATAAGGCCTTTATTATGTTGAGGTACATTTCTTTTATAGTCACATTGTTGAGAGTTTTTATCATGAAATGATGTTGGATTTTGTCAACTTTTTGCATTAATCGAGATGATCATATGATTTTTATCATTCTTTCTGTTGCTGCAGTGTATGACATTTATTGATTCGTGTACATTGAACCATCTTTGCAGCCTAAGGATATATCCTACTGAATCATCATGTATAATACTTTTAATGTGCTGTTGAATTTGGTTTGCTAGCATTTTTTTGAGAAATTTTGTATCTAAGTTCATCAGGGATATTGGCTTGTAATTTTCTTTTCTCAGAGTGTTCTTATCTGGCTTTGGTGTCAGGGTGAAGATGGCTTCACAAAATAAATTTGGAAGCAAGTGTTCTCACTTTTTCAATTTTTTTGAAACACTTGAGAAGGATTGGTGTTAATTCATTAAATATTTGAAAGAAGTCACCAGTAAAGGCATCTGCACCTGGGCTTTTCTTTGCTGGGAAGTTTTTGATTACTGATTCAATCTTCTTGCTGAATATTTTTCTGTTCAGATTTTTATTTCTTCATAATTCAGTCTTGGTAGATTGTACTTATATTAGAACAATAGACTTTAAGTCTAAAATAATCACAAGAGACAATGAAGGTTATTATTTAATGATAAAGGGGTCAATAAATCAAGAAGATAGAACAATTGTAAATATTTATATACCACACATGAATATCTAAGCATATAGAGCAAATACTAACAGAACTGAAAGGAGAAATAAATAGCAATAATGGTGGAACTTTATTGCTCCACTCTCAATAATGGAGATACAGACAGAAAATCTTTAAGGAAATAGTGGGTTCAAACAAAACTATAGACCATATAGACCTAATAGGCATACACAGAACATACTACCCAGCAGCAGAATACACATTCTTCTCCAGTGCAAATGGAACATTCTCCAGGACAGATCATATGTTAGGCCACAAAAAAAATCTTAACAAATTTGAGAAGACTGAAATCATATCAAGTATTTTTCCAATCATAAAGGTATGAAAGTAGAAATTTATAACAGGAGGAACATTGAGAAATTCACAAGTACATGGAAATTAAATAACACACTTCTGCACAACCAATGATTAAAAGAAGAAATATAAAGAGAAATTTAAAAATTTCTTAGAAACAAACAAAAATAGACACACCACATACCAAACTTATGGGAAATTGTAATCAGTGTCTTTCTGAAGTCATTTATTCTGGCATCAGATTTGCACAAGCAATGACCTTGGCAAACTTGTCACTGAATTTCTTGGCTGCTTCATGATCAGCAGATGCTTTATCACCATAAAAGTTTAAAAATTTAATGCTGTGACTTTTCTTAATGTTCTGCAACTAGCCTGTTGAACATTTACAATACCCTTCAATTTTCAGTTCATTGTGATAGATCTTAGTTTCCTCATCAACATACTATTGAGTGTCATGTGTTCACTGAAATGCTGATAGATCCACCCCTTCAGTACGTAAACGAAATCTTCATTTTTAGCTTTATGCAGTGTTTTCCTATTTTTCTTCTGTTCATCCCTTTCAGCATAGAATTTTGACAGTTTATCCTTCTGTTTCTTCAGGTCATATATGGTGGTCATTGTGACACCATACTTCTATAAGGCATTTCACATTTACACCACTGCTCAGTTTCACCAATAGCCTGATTTTCTGTGCTATATACAAAAATGCTTTCTCGCTCTCTTTAAAAAAAAAAATTTCTGGATGTTACTAGTCAAGTTTATATAAATCAGTCAATAGGGACTTATTATTGTAACATTAAGATCAATACATACACTGATTTGGACTTTTCCTTTTTCGTTATTTTATTTTACTGTAGACTCACGGAGTACATGTGCAAGTTTGTTGGACAGATATATTGCATAATGGTGAGGTTTGGGCTTCTAGTGAAGCCATCACCCAAATAGTAAACATTGTATCTGATAGGTAATTTTTAACCCTCATCTCCCTTGCACCCTCCCCACATTTGGAATCTTCAGCAGCTATTTTCATGTTTATGTCCATGTGTATCCATTGTGTAGCTCTTACGTATAAGTGAGAACAAGCAATATTTGATTTTTTTCTGTGAGTAATGTCACTTAGGATACTGCCCTCCAGCTCCATCCATGTTGCTGCAAAGGACATAATCTCATTCTTTTTTATGGCTGTGTAGTGTTCCATGATAAATGCACATAGCATGAAATACAGTCCATAACAGGTGATTGGATTAAAAATGCGGTAGGTATATATACCATGGAATCAACCTAAGTGTCAATCAACATATACCAATATGTATGCACACATATACCATGGAATGAAATCCGTAACAGTTGTTTGTATTAAAAACGCGGTATATTCATATGTACCATGGAATCAACCTAAGTGTCAACTGTTGATTGACATTTAGGTTGATTCCATGACTTTGCTATTGTGAATAATTCTGCCTTAAACATACCAGTGCACCCTGTCTCTACTAAAAATACAAAAAATTAGCCGGGTGTGGTGGTGGGCACCTGTAGTCCCAGCTACTCAGGAGGCTAAGTCAGGAGAATGGCGTGAACCCAGGAGGCGGAGCTTGCAGTGAGCCGAGATCACGCCACTGCACTCCAACCTGGGCGACAGAGCGAACATACCAGTGCAGGTATCTTCTTGATAGAATGATTTCTTTTCCTTTGGCTAGGTACCCAGTAGCGGAATTGCCACGTTGAATGGTAGTTCTATTTTTCGTTCTTTGAGAAATCTTCATACTGTTTTCCATAGGGTTTGAACTAATTTAATATTTCCACCAACAGTGTGGAAGCATTCCCTTTTCTCCCTTGGCAACATCTGTTATTTTTTGACTCTAGTAATAGCCTTTCTGACTGGTGTGAGATGGTATTTAATTGTGGTTTTAATTTGCATTTCTCTGATAATTAGTGATGTTGAACATTTTTTCATGTTTGTTGGTTGCTTCTATGTCTTCTTTTAAGGAGTGCCTATGTCCTTTGCCCACATTTTAATGAGGTTCTTTGTTTTTTTCTTGTTGATTTGTTTAAGTTCTTTATAGATTCTGGATATTAGACCTTTGTCAGATGCATAGTTTGCAAATACTTTCTCTCTTTCTATAGGTTTGTCTTTTTGCTCTGTTGATTATTTCTTTTGCTATGCAGAAACTCTTTAGTTTAATTAAATGGTGCTGGGAAAACTAGCTAACCATATGCAGAAGAATGAAACTGGACTCATGTTTCACCATATACAAAAATTAACTCAAAATGGACTACAGACTTAAAATGTAAGACATGAAACTATTAAAGTCCTAGAAGAAAACCTAGGACAAACTTTTGGACATTGGCCTATGCAAATAATTTATGACTAAGACCTCAAAAGAAAATGCAACAAAAACAAACATAGACAAATGGGACTTTCTCTTTTTCTTATTATTGTTACCCATATGGGTATTGACAGGCCTTTTTGACATTTTCAGCATTATCTTTTCACCACAGAGCAGAGAATAAGCAAAACAACAACAACAGAAACACAGTGATTAATGTATGTAGGTTTTAGCTCCACTCGGGCCATTATGAGGAACCTACTGTTGGTACTTCTAACCGACACTCCTGCTATCGTATTACCCTCTGTGGGTGTGCTTGCATGAGGAAATCTGAACAAGCCTGTAAAAGACATATTACAAGGGAAGAGGGCTGGGAGCGTCCCTTGGGGATGCTAAATAAACTGTGTGTTATGTGCCTGCATTTTGACTGTGATCCATCACAGGAGATGAGGTGTGAATACTTCCACTTGTGGCATCATGTTGCTACTGAAAAAGTTTTGGATTTTAGTACATTTGGATTTTGGATTTTTGCCTTAGAGATGCCCAATCTGTACTTTTACTTCTTCCTTTCCACTATGGGAGACTTCCTTTCCTTTTTCTTGATTAATTACCCTGGCTAAAACTTCCAGTAAAATACTAAATGGAAGTGGTGACAGTGGATATCTTTGCCTTGTTTTTAATCCTAGGAGAAAGTATTCAGTATTTCACCATTAAATATGACATTTTGCTATAGGTTTATACAATTTCTTTATCAGATTGAGAAAATTTCCTTCTGTTTCTAGTGTGTTGAGTGTTTTTTATTATAAATTGGAGTTGAATTTTGTCAAATGCTTTTTAAGGTATATATTATGATTATAACAATCTACTAATTGGTATATTACATTGATTGATTTTCATATGTTGAACCAAACTTGCATTCCTGGGATAAATCCTACTTAGTCATATTGCATAATCCTTTTCGTGTGTTGGTAGATTCGTTTTCTATTATTTTGTTGAGAGTTTGCGTCTATATCCATAAAGAATGTTGTCTGCAGTTTGCTTTTCTTGTGATGTCTTTGTTTTTGATATCAGTTTAATACGGGCCTTGTGAAAGGAGTTGGAAAGTGTTCTTTCCTCTTACATTTTTTAGAAGATTTTGAGAAATATTGCTGTTAATTGTCCTTTAAACATTAGGTAGAGTTCACTGGTGAAGCCTTCTGATTCTGGGCTTTTCTTTGTGGGAAATTTTTTTATTGTGGATTTAATGTCTTATTTGTTATAGTTCTATTCATATTTTTAATTTCTTCTTGAGTCATTTTTAGTAGCTTGTACCTTTCCAGGAATTTGTCCATTTCACCTAGGTTATCCAATTTGTTGATATACAATTATTGATTGTATTCTCCTATAATCCTTTTTAAAAAAATTTTATAATGTCAGTAGTAATGCTCCCTCTTTCATACCTGATTTTAATAAACTGAGTACTCTCTTTTTTTTCTTGGTCAGTCTAGCTAAAGGGTTTTCAGTTTTGATGTGCTTTTTCTTAGGAACTGAGATGAGCTGCGGAGAAGTGAGCTGCTAGAGTAGCCAGTTAAGACATTAAGCAAAATAAATGTAATATTAATAGTTAAGCCTTTAATCACTTACTGCAATAGTATTGATCAAGACACTAAACCAGAGAAAGCACTGATTCCTGACCCCCTTACCCAGCCCCAGTTTATTTCCTCCCACTGAATGGCACTGGTCAGTTGTCAGATGGATCTGCACAGATGTCAAGATGATCTCAATATTGAGAGAACCCGGAACAAAAGCTTCTTTCAGTTTTATGGACCCAGGAGCCAGGTGAAAGCAAGGGAAAAGGACTTGGAGTGGAAAAGTATTGAGTATTCAGTCAGAGTGAAAAAAAGTATCTTTAGTGTTTCCTTCCTCCTTTCCCCAATAAGGAATCTCTGCAGAGGTACCCAAAGAAGGCCTCTGCTATGGCTCCAAATAAAGAGACCTCTGAATGGGGGCCTAGTCCAGGAATGCTGACATATGTAAGAGCATGACAGGTCAGCGAGGTCTTAGTTCTTGACTGTAACTCTCATCAGAGATGGCAATGCACCAACTGTGCACAAAATCTGGGGAGGCAAGGGGGCAGCTTTCTCCCTTTAGGCCTGCCAGTAAAAGCCTTTCCCTGTGGTGTCTGCCTTCAAAAATGATACAAAGGTTTTTGGCTATTACCCCGACTTCTCACTTTCAAAGAACTAACTCGTTTTCTCGATCTTCTCTATTATCTTTCTATTCTTTATTTCATTCATTTCTGCTCTTATCTTTTTCTGCTTGCTTTGAGTTTACTTTGTTTTTCTTTTTCCATTTTCTTAAGGTGGAAGGTTATGTTGTTTTTTTTTTACATGTGCATGTTTATTACATTGATCTATTGCTTAATGCTGGAATTTGAGTTTCTAGTAAACACATCCCTCAAGTAGTGAACATGGTACTCAATAGGTAGTTTTCCAATCCTTGTCCCCCTTCCTCCCTTCCCGCTGGTGGATAAAGAAATTATATTTATCCACTTGTTGATTGATGGGCATTTGGGCTGTTTCCATATTTTTGCAATTGCGAATTGTGCTGTTATAAACTTGCATGCGCAAGTATCTTTTTTATATAATGATTTCTTTTCCTCTTGGAAAATAGTGGGATTGCTGGATCAGATGCAGTTCTACTTTTAGTTCTTTAAGGAATCTTTACACTTTTCCATAGTGGTTGTACTAGTTTACATTCCCACCAGCAGTGTAAAAGTGTTCCTTTTCACCACATCCCTGACAACATCTATTATTTTGTGATTTTTTTTATTATGGCCATTTTTGCAGGAGTACGGTGATATTTCATTATAGTTTTGATTCGCATTTCCCTGATCATTAATGATGTTGAGCATTGTTTCATATGTTTGTTGGACATTTGTATTTCTTTTGAGAATTGTCTGTTCATGTTCTTAGCCCACTTTTTGATGGGATTGTTCGGTTTTTTCTTGCTAATTTGTTTGAGTTCCTTGTAGATTCTAGATATAAGTTGTTTGTCAGATGTATAGATTGTGAAGATTTCCTCCCACTCTGTGGGTTGTCTGTTTACTCTGCTGATTGTTTCTTTTGCTGTGCAGAAGCCTTTAAGTTTAATTAAGTCCCATCTATTTATCTTTGTTTTTGTTGCATTTGCTTTTGGGTTCTTGGTCATGAAGTCTTTGCCTAAGCCAATGTCTAGAAGGGTTTTTCTGATGTTATCTTCTAGAATTTTTATGGATTCAGGTCTTAGATTTAAGTCTTTGATCCATCTTGAGTTGATTTTTGTGTAAGGTGAGAGATGAGGATCCAGTTTAATTTTTCTACATGTGGCTTGCCAATTATCCAAGCACCATTTGTTAAATAGAGTGTCCTTTTCCTACTTTATGTTTTTGTTTGCTTTGTTGAAGATCAGTTGGCTGTAAGTATTTGGATTTATTTCTGGGTTCTCTATTCTGTTACATTGGTCTATGTGCCTATTTTTGTACCAGTACAATGCTGTTTTGCTGACTATGGCCGTATAGTATAGCTTGAAATCAGACAATGTGATGCCTCCAGATTTGTTCTCTTTGCTTAGTCTCGCTTTGGCTATAAGGGCTCTTTTTTGGTTCCGTATGAATTTTAGGATTTTTTTTCTAGTTTAGTGAAGAATGATAGTGGTATTTTGATAAGAATGGCATTGAATTTGTAGATTTCTCTTGGCAGTAAGGCCATTTTCACAATGTTGATTCTACCCATCCATGAGCATGGGATCTGTTTCCATTTGTTTGTGTCATCCATGATTTCTTTCAGCAGTGTTTTGTAGTTTTCCTTGTAGAGGTCTTTCACATCCTTGGTTGGGTATATTCCTAAGTATTTTATTTTTTTTGCAGCTATTGTAAAAGGATTTGAGTTCTTGATTTGATTCTCTGCTTGGTCGCTGTTGGTGTATAGCAGAGCTACTGATTTGTGTACATTAATTTTGTATCCTGAAACTTTGCTGAATTCATTTATCAGTTCTAGGAGCTTTTTGGAGGAGTTTTTAGGGTTTTCTAGTTGTACAATTATATCATCAGCAAACAATGATGGTTTGACTTCTTCTTTACCGATTTGAATGTCCTTTATTTCTTTCTCTTGTCAAATTGCTATGGCTAGAATTTCCAGTACCGTGTTGAAGACGAGTGGTAAGAGTGGGAAGCCTTGTCTTGTTCCAGTTCTCAAGGGGAATGCTTTCAATTCTTTTCCTTTCGGTATTATGTTGGCTGTTGGTTTGTCATAGATGGCTTTTATTTCATTAAGGTATGTCCCTTCTGTATTAATCAGGTTTCTCTGGAAGGACAGAACTAATAGGATATATGTATATATGAAAGGGAGTTTATTAAGGAGAATTGACTCACACAATCACAAGGTGAAGTCCCACGATAGGCCATCTGCAAGATGAGGAGCAAGGAAGCTAGTGGTGGATCAGTCCGAGTCCCAAAACGTCAAAAGTAGAGAAGTTGACAGTTCAGCCTTCAGTCTGTGGCCACAGGCCCGAGAGTCCCTGGCCAGCCACTGGTGTAAGTCCATGAGTCCAAAAGCCAAAGAACTTGGAGTCTTATGTTTGAGGGCAGGGAGCATCCAGCAAGGGAGAAAGATGAAGACTGGAAGACTCAGCAAGTCTAGTCCTTCCACATCCTTCTGCCTGCCTTATTCTAGCTGCGCTGGCAGCTGATTAGATGGTGCCCACCCAGGTTGTGGGTAGACCTGTCTCTCCCAGTCCACTGACTCAAATGTTAATCTCCTTTGGCAACACTCTCACAGACACACCCAGGAACAATACTTTGCATCCTTCAATCCCATCAAGTTGACATTCAGTATTAACCATCACACCTTCTATGCCAATTTTGCTGAGGGTTTTAATCATAAAGGGATCCTGGATTTTGTCAAATGCTTTTTCTGTGTCTATTGAGATGATCATGTGATTTTTTGTTTTTAATTCTGTTTATGTAGTGTATCACGTTTATTGACTTGCATATGTTAATAGATTGTTAATTTGGGGGTTTATATTTTAAAAATATATGTTTATAGCTATAAATTTCCTTCTTTTTTTATTATACTTTAAGTTCTTACATCACTGGTCATCGGATAAATGCAAATCAAAACCACAATGAGATACCATCTCACACCAGTTAGAATGGCGATCATTAAAAAGTCAGGAAACAACAGGTGCTGGAGAGGATGTGGAGAAATAGGAACACTTTTACACTGTTGGTGGGACTGTAAACTAGTTCAACCATTGTGGAAGACAGTGTGGCAATTCCTCAAGGATCTAGAACTATAAATTTCCTTCTAAACACTGCTTTGTTTGCATTCCATACACTTTAGTGTTTTGTGTCTGTACTAGTTTTTAATCTCAATGTACATTCTAATTTCCCTTGTGGTGTCTTCTCTGATCAATTGGTTGTTTAGGATTACGTTGTTTCACTTTTGCTTATTAATGAATTTGCTCACTTTCCTTCTACTATTAATTTCTAATTTCATTCCATTGTGGTCATAAAACATACTTTGTTTAATTTCAGTTATTTTAAAGTTATTGAGATTGGTTTTGTGGACTAATATGTAGTCTGTCCTGGAGAATGCCTCATGTTGATTTGCAGGACAGGGCTCTGGCTAACCTTGGCTGGCCCAGCTCTTTCCGCCATCTCACTTGTAATTTTCGGAATAGCTATAGAATGTGCCGAGAACACAGCATCCTGAGATAAGGAGAAACTGTTTGGAACAATCTGGGCTCTATTTCTGTTCCTCCTAGAACAGGATGTCCTACAATGTTTTAGCACAGTAATCTAAGTTGTCTCTGTAGTATAAAAAACAGAGCAGAGTGTTTTTGGGGTTCCTCAGTTGCAGTGAGATGTGAGGCACTTGCAGAGACTCAGTCCACCACCCTGGGCAGCTTTCACCACCCTGGGCAGCTTTTCCGAGACGTAGGGACTGGCTTGCCGTAATTCATAGCTTCTGCTGTCCCTTGCTACATACCTGTGAGTAACTGAATTGCTTTTCTTAATTTGTATGAGTGTTCTGTCTCACTGGACTTCTGCAAGTGATAAAAATTACAGCCCAAGATGTAGTGTACAGAAGTGTTTCAACTTTTAGTTCTGGTGGTTGGCATTGCGATGATCTTTGTTATTCTCCATGTAGTAGGAGTTCTCCTCTGGAATTAGTAAATGGCTCATGGTGAACCTGGTCCAAAGGACTTGTGAAGAATGTATATTCTGCTGTTGTTCTGTGGAGTGTTCTATAAATATAATTTAGGTCCATCTGATTTATAGTGTTGTTCAAGTCTTCTGTTTCGTTAATATTGTGTCTAGTTGTTCTATTCATTATTGAAAGTGAGGTATTGGAGTCTTCACCTATTATTGTTGAATTGTATATTTCTCCTTCAGTTCTATCAGTTTTGCTTCATGTATTTTGAGGCTCTTGATCATTATGATTGCATACATATTTATAATAATCATATCTTCTTTATGGATTGACCCTTTTTTCATAAAATATCCTTTTTGTAAATAATTTTTAATTATTAAAGTTAAATTATAATTATTTAATTAATCCTTTTTAAAATAATAGTTTTAAGTCTATTTTATCTGATAGTAGTATGTTATTCCAGTTCTCTTTTAGTTACTGCTTGTATGATATATCTTTTTCTATCCTTTTACTTTCAATCTAATTCTGTCTTTGAATTTTAAAATACGTCTGTTGTAGTCAGCATGTAGTTGAATTATGTTTTCTATTCATTCTAATGGTCTCTGCTTTTAAGTAGAGGTTTAATCTATTTAAACTTAATGTAATAACTGATAAAGTAGGATATATGGCTGCTATGTTTTAATTTTTTTATATATGTCTTATGTAATTTCTGTTCATTACTCTATTACTGCTTTCTTTTGTGTTAAATAGGATTTTTCTAATGTACTATTTTAATTCCTGTGTAGTTTCTTTTGCTATCTATTTTTGTAGGATTATTAATACTAAATTTATAATAACCTAGTTTAATGTCTACTTAATCTCAATATTTTGTAAAAACTTTGCTCTTATACAGTCCCATTTCCTCTTCTTTTATTTATCTATTGTTGCTGTGCAAATTGTATCTTTATACACAGTATGCCCATCAGCACGGATTTATAATTATTGCTTTTTTTATACCATTGTCTTTTAAATCAAACAGGAAAAATATTAGAAACAAAAAATTCATCTATACTGTCTTTTATATCTACTTATGCAATCTGTTTGGTTCTCTTTATCTCTGCATATGGATATGAGTTACTGTTTAGAATAATTTCATTTTAGCCTTAAGAACTACCTTTAGGTTAGTTCCAAGTCTTTGCTATTGTGAATAGTGCTGCAATAAACATACATGTGCATGTGTCTTTATAGTAGAATTATTTATATTCCTTTGGATATATACCCTGTAATGGGGTTGCTGGGTCAAATGGTATTTCTAATTCTAGATCCTTGAGGAATTGCCACACTGTCTTCCACAATGGTTGAACTAATTTACACTCCCACCAACAGTGTAAAAGCATTGATAGACAGGATAAAGAAAATGTGGCACACATACACCATGGAATACTATGCAGCCACAAAAAAGGATAAGTTCATGTCCTTTGCAGGGACATAGATGAAGCTGGAAACCATCATTCTCAGCAAACTAACACAATAACAGAAAACCAAACACCATATGTTCTCACTCACAAGTGGGAGTTGAACAATGAGAACACATGGACACAGGGAGGGGAACATCACACACTGGGCCTGTGGGAAGCTTGGGGGCTAGGGGAGGGATAGCATTAGGAGAAATTCCTAATGTAGGTGATGGGTTGATGGGTGCAGCAAACCACCATAGCATGTGTATACCTATGTAACAAAACTGCACATTCTGCACATGTACCTCAGAACTTAAAGTATATAAAAACAAAAAAAAAGAACTACCTTTAGTATCTCTTATAGGGTAGGTCTTCTAATGACAAAGTCTCTCAGTGTTTGATTATATGGGAATGTCTTAATTCTTCCCTCTTTTTTTGAAGGACAGTATTACCATATGGAGAATACTTGGTTGACAGTTTTTTCTTTATTCACTTTGAGAATGTCATTTCAATACCTTTAGGCCTCCATGATTTTTTTAATCAGAAATTAACTTAGTTTCTCATTTAATTATCTTGGCTTAGTCTGCTAATGCTGCTGTAACAAGATATCTGATATTGGATAATTTGTAAAAAATAGAAATGTATTTCTCACAGCTCTGGAGGCTGAGAAGTCCAAGATCAATGTACTGGCATTTGATGTCTGGTGAGGGCCTTGTTGCCACATCCTCACATGGTGAAAAAAATGAAAGGGCAAAAAAGGACAAACTAGTTCCCTCCAGTTTTTACATAAGGCACTAATTCCATAATGAGGACAAAGCCTTAATGGCCAATATCACCTCCTAAAAGACTCCAGCTTTTACTTCACCTTTTAATACTGTTGCACTGGAGATTAAGTTTGAGCATGAATTTTGGAGGGGATGCAAATATTCAAATCATAGCAATACTATTGAGGATTCTTTGTATGTGTTGAGCTTCTTCTCTCTTGATGCTTTCATGGTTATTGCTTTGGCTTTGGCTTTTCGCAGTTTGCTTCTGAGATTTTTAAGTATAGATCTCTTGGAGTTTATTCTACTTTGATTTACGTGTGCTTCTTGGATGTGTAGACTAATGTTTGCCATCAGATTTGGAAGATTTGGCTTAATTTTTCAAATTTTATTTATGTCTTTTCTCTACCACCTCTCTGTTTTGACTCTCATTGTACATATATTGATATACTTGATAGTGTCCCATAGGACTCTGAAGCTCTATTAATTTTTCTTCACTCTTCTTTCTTCCTGTTCTTCAGGCTGGATAATCTTGATTAATCTACCTTCAAGTTTACTGATCCTTCTGCCAGTTGAACCTTCTACTGAGTCCCCCTACTAAAGTTTTCATTTCAGTTATTGTACTTTCCAACTCAGAACCTTCTGTTTCTTTTTAAACAATCCTATCTCTGTATTGATAATTTCTATTTGATGAGACATTGTTTATGTCAGGTAGCATTCTGAAAATATTTAAAATAGCTATTTATAGACAACATCTTTTCTAGTATATCCAACATCTGATATTCTTCACATAGAGTTTCTATCCTATCATTTCACTCTTGTATATAGCCTATATTTTCTTGTTTCTCAGCATGTCCTGTAATAATTATTGAGAACTGGACATTTGAGTTGGTACAATGTGGAATCTCTGGAAATCAGATTTCTCCTATCCCTAGGGTTCGTTTCTGTTGCTGTTGTTCTATGTTTCATTTGTTTAATTCATTTCTGAACTAATTCTGTAATATCTGTATTCTTTGTCATGTGTGGCCACTAAAATCTTTACTCATTAGTGATCAGCTAATAATTAGATGGAGATTTACTTAAATACCTGAAACCAATAAGTCTCCTAGGCTTTGCTAAGGGAGTCAGTGTGTGTGGTGGGGCTTGCCTTCAATGTCAGGCAGGCAGTTTACAACTCTCTTAGTTCCAACTTCCTGATTACACAAGGCCTCAAACTCACCCAGAAGTGAGAACATAGGGTCTTCTTAGGTCTTTCCTGGGCATGTACATAAACCAGTTTATAAGTGGCTCTCTGGATTCTGGGAAATATTTCAGAACTTTTTAAAACCTCCCATGGACATTTCATTCCCCAAGTTCTTTTTGGATGTTTTGTTCCACTTGTTTTGCACCATGTGTTATCAAAACTTCAAGCAGTTATAATGTTAAACTACTGCTACTGATTGTTTTTGACAAATGCCGTAGGAAAAAGGCTGTTCACACTGGTAGAGTTCTGAGTTGGGTCAAATAAAGATAAGACTTTTGAATATTTCCATGCTCGTGCATTAATTATATAAAAGGACAAAAAAAGACAAGATTTTGAGTGGGATTATTCAGGGGACTACCAATAGATGAAATGACAGTTTTCTGGGAAGAAGAACACCTTCCAGCCCTTTTTTTTTTTTTTTTTTTTTTACTGTCCCATGTCTGCGAGGCTGCGGGCTTTCACCATGACTGCATGGGGCTTGGTTTTTAAGGCTCTCAAAGGACTGGGGAACTGGGATGGGACTAGGACAAAATACACACCACAGAGTTCACTGTTCTTACTGAGATTTAGCTGTTTTACTTGAGTAAATGATCTTGAGATTGTTGGAAGCCTTTGGTTAATTTCTAGAGTTCTGAAAGAGTAAAATTCAACTGTTTTTGTCAGAGTTCTTGTTGCTTTTATGAAGGAGATGTTTTTGTATGTCCTTACTTTGCCATTCTCAATGACATGTAGCAGCATTTCTTGAGATGGCATTCTTCTTGTTCTCCAGGGGTTTTTGACGGAAACAAGTTATAGTCAGTAGTATATATTAACATAACAAATATTTTTATAATAAAATTGTATTTTTATTTGTTTATTTTTTTCTAAGACAAATATTTGTTGAAATTAAAAACTTCCTAAAAACAAAGCTTTTGACATGTTAATAGAATCCAAATGAGTTTTAAAACTTTTAGATATAACATCTTGATCTATACAAGTCTCCAAATGATGAATTGGCCTTGAAACCATTAGATTGAAAAGAGAATGACTGTCCAAGGCACAGTCACTGTTATTATTCTTATGTTGATTATTATTGATTATAACAACTATGTATTGAGTTTTGCTATGTGAAATGTTCAATGCTATTTTCTGGGAGAAATACAAAGCAGAAAAAACCTATATTTGCAATTTAATACAAAAAATTCCATTACATTATTAAACACTATAGTTATCAGTCACTAATATTTAAACATATAAAATTTATTATTACAGATAAGTGAATATATCAGATTCCCTTTTTACTTAAAGAAGAAACATATATGACATATTACTAATTGATAAAAAAAGATTTCCTGCATTATAGCTTTTATTTTATAATATACTGTACATAATTTTTAATAACAATGACAAAAGAAATGTAACCTTCCTTCTAATGTTTATTTACTGCTTTTATTTCTTTCCATACTATCTCTTTATGAATGCAAATAACACAAATTCTTTTGATTAATATGTTCATAATTTTAGAATGTGGGATAAGAAAAACAGTCTTTAAAGAAAACATGAACAAGAAAGCACTTGCTGATTCCCAGCTGTCAGATGCCAATGAGTCTGGTGATTCTTTCCATTGCAGTTCTGTGTGTGGGCAGTAATGTAGTCCAAGTTTTCCTTCCTTTTTCTGTTTCTTATCATGTTTGTTTTAGACTACTGCTGTTGGGTGCAGCTGAAACCCATCTCACATTGAGTAGGCCTGAAGACAATTTCTCCCTATATCCTTTTTAATCTAATTCCCCTATTGATGGTAAGCATCTTTATTTCCACCCAAGTAAGAATCAATTTGCAAGTCTTTTGTTGCAAGATGAGAATGTGTTCCCCCCAAAATTAAAATGATAAATACTTTTACATCTACAAAAATGTTACGTTTCAGTGAGAGATCTGGTGAGTAGACTTACTTTCAGAAAATGTTTCTTGCAGTATTAAATTTGAATGCTCCTTGTGTGTTCTCTTCCAAACCATAAATAGGTGATCCTCAAAGGAGTAAAGTGGAATATTAAATGTAAATGCTGATCCAAACTATTTACTTAGGTTTTGGGGGTCTTAAAGACTGAATTGAACAAAATATTTAAAATGATTTTTTCCTTGATGCTTCTGGAAAATTACCTTCTTTTTGCATATGAACAAGAAGATTTTGAGGGGAACAGTGTCATCTTATAATCACTGTATCACTACCACTATAAGACTGTTTATAGAAGGAAAAAAATACAAATAAGCCTCCAATCTTAATTTAGCCAATAAAAATTCTTCATGTTTACTTACTAGATCTAGAAAATAGAGGTATAATGGACTAGTGAATTTGATGTTTACTTCCTTTTATTTCCCTGTTCTTACAGTGTAAACGCTGATAAGAGGAGCCATATTTAAAAAAAAAAAAAGACAAACTGAATTCTAGAAACTGTACCTTAGTGAGTTCCAAGCTTGTCTTCCTACTCTGTTAGATTCTGTGATGCTGATCTATGATTGAATCTTCCTTTAAACAAGGATAATGATATCTATTTCCCAAATTTTATATAGATTTTAGAAAATGTGAAGGTTAAAGTGCTATATACACATGAAGCATTATTGCAGATAATATATTGTAGATAATACTCGTTTGTGCTACAAAGGAAAGAAATGCATTAAAAGCTGAGAAGGAGAAATAAGGTTTCTAGCAACTATGCTAAAAACTTAGAGAACAAGATTCCAGACAGATGAGAATGTATTATAAGCCAAATAAATTAATTTATTTAATACACTTTTCTCAATAGTTTGTCAGTGAATCTGAAGTGTGGGTATCATTTTCTTCATATTCCAACCTGATAGACTTTCTTGGCACTGGTCATTTTCACAATCATTATTTCTACCACCATCCCAACAATGTAAACAAATAATATGTAAGAAAGTCCCATCTTTGTATGGTGCCATTTGTGGCAAACAGTGCTAAGCATTTACCAAACTAGTTTCCATTCTTCTTGGGCACATAGCTGAAACCACAGTTTCCAGCTTGCCTGGCAATTAGGAGATCCATGTGGCCGAATTCTGAACAATAGAATGTGTGTGAAAGTGATGTAATGCAATTCAGATCCGAACCTAAAAATACTCCCCTTTATAACTCTTGAGCTTTTTTCCTATCTTTAGCTTAAGAGAGAGGGCTCCATGGATCCAGAAAAAGGGAGGGCCCAAGAGGAAAGGAGCCCAGGTCCCCCAATAACTGAATGGAGTGACACGTGACTCGCCTTTCTCCAACAATCCACTCTCATTGAAATGTGACTGAGTGAAATATTTTCACTGTGCTAAGTCACTGAGATTTTGGAATTGTTTTTTATATCAGTTAGCCTATCTTTACTATTCTTACATTGTAGTATTCTATTGTCAGTTTAATATAATATTCTGGCTATCTATATTATGAAAAGAACCTGTCTATGTAGTCAATTTAGAGTTCAATTAGTTGGATAAATAACATTTGTAATGGTTATCTGTCTGACAGGGTATGAACTAAATAACTGACTAGTTGATCAAATCTTCAAAAATCAACTTGGTGTTTGAGTATTACATTTGTAAATATAACCATAGTGCTTGCTTTCTGGGAGTTTAAGGTAAAACCTTCAGTTTCCATACTGACATATGAATGAGATGTTAAAAGTTGCTGTCTGGGTTTCTATTTTTGTGAGAGACTACTAAGCCTTGCAATGGGAAAATAACCAGACACACAACTGCCAGTTGGCTTTATGTCTTTCAAGTATGGGGAATAATTGAAGGACAAAATGGAGAACTGCTGACATATTTGGCCAAGAAAAATGAGTTGAACAGAATTCCTGCCAATTTGAGCAAATGTTGCCTTCAACAACAAAGTTAAACAAACAGCAAAAAGATAAGTTTGGGTTTTAACTGTTGGAATCATGTTGGTTGCAATTTTCTTGAAGTTAAAAGGCAGACACCACTGCTACAGTTTGTAATGAAGCATATCTTATCCAACTCCAAAAATAAGCCTAAAGAAGGATGATGACTACCAACAAGTTTGGAAGAGCCACGATATTAAGCTTTCTAATAGGAAGTCAAAGCTTTCACATGCAGAAAAATTAATAAGCTCTTTTGTCATCAGTCAAATGCACCTTTTCATCATAAAAGAAAAGATTACTAACAATATAATTGTAATGGTGAACTTGGGACGTTTGAATTTCTGAATATTATAGCTGGAAAACTGCTATGCAAACAAATATACTTAGAAACTGAATACTAGGTCATCACTCAGTATTCCAGTAAATACAAAGAACCATTGACACATGCCTCAGGAACATAAAAATATGCTGTTAAAACAGTTCATCAGAGGGACCAGTCTAAATTATATAATTATGGTACAAAAATGAAATCTCATAATATGGTGTGTTAAGAAGGGCAACTGCGTGTAGCTTCTCATTCTGAAAAAAGACAGAGCTCCATCTATAAGGCGACATCTTTATAACCCTTTTATATACCAGCTTTCATGTTATTTTCCATAAAATCAGTGATGATTCTGAAGAACCAGAGGTTGATACACTTGAGTCATTTGAAAGAGTCAACTTGAGTAAGGAATTGAAGGTTCTTGTTTTAGTCTGTTTTCTGCTGCTATAACAGAATACCACAGACTGAGTAACTTAATAAAAGAGATTTATTTCCTGGAGTTCTGGAGGCTGGGAAGATCGAAAAGGTTGTATCTGGTAAGGGCCTGCTTGCTGTGTTATAACATGGCAGAAGGCATCACATGGCAAGAGAGCACACAAGACGAGGAAAGAAAATTGAGTGAAACTCATTCTTTCTATCAGGAGTCCACTCCCATGATAACTAGTTCACTTTGCATTAATTCATTCACAAAGGCAAAGCCTTCATGGCATAATCACCTCTTAATGGTGCCAGCTCTTAATACTATTACAATGGCAATTAAATTTCAACATGAGTTTTAAAGGGGACATTCATATCATAGCATTTGTGTACCTTAGTGATTTTATTCTGTCACTAAAGAGAGGTAAGCTTTAGCCTGAAAATGCTGGATCTTTTTCTCTTTGGTATTCTCTTACCCAGAAGTGTTAGCTTCCTGGAAATGGTAAGGGATGGAAATATTAAAGCCATTTCAAAACTATGATTTTTGCTGAGACAACTGCCAGTTAAGATTCATAGATATAGATATAGATATTATGCCTATGAGAAAATACCTAGTTAGTTGACCTAAATAACTAAGATTCACTAATTAAGTATAAAAACAATAAACAAAATCAAACAATTAGTAGCTTTAATAAATGTGTACATACTGAAGTAACTAAAGTACCAAACCTTTATTTTGTAGATTAAGATAAAAATTAGAGGCAACTGACAAGGTAATTCAGGAGAAAACATGTACATGGTGAATTAGTTTAAAAAGTGCATTATGACAGCTTTGGAAGAAATACAAAGACAAAAATAATGACATTAATTTTATTATTTGTTTTGTTAATAACAAAATGACCTTTATATAAAGATTTTCCTAGCAAATAGTCTAATGATCTTATATTAATACTTTAAAAATAGTTTCTAAAAAAGTTATTTTTACCATTTATATCTCTTTTGAAAAGAAAGCACTTTTGTTAGACTTTCAGTGAGATGAGAAAATTGTTTTTATTCTTTCAAAGTCTCAGCTTTGTTTCCAGATTTTATTCAGATGTTTTTCTGAAAACAATGGTGCATCAAAGAGGATAAAGGTGGGAAGAAAAATCAGATGAAGCTTGTTAAAGTAGTATGGCACTGGTAAATAGCCGTGTTTGCATGCTCTTTCTTTAAAAAAAAAAAAAACCTTTTATTTTAAGTACAGGAGTACATGTGCAGGTTTGTTACATAGGTAAACTTGTGTCATGAGAGTTTGTTGTACAGATTATTTCATCACCCAAGTGTTAAGCCTCATACCCATTAGCTATTTTTCCTGATCCTCTCCTTCCTCCCACCCTCAACCCTCCAAAAGACCCCAGTGTGTGTTGTTCCTTTCTATGTGTCCATGTGTTCTCATCATTTAGCTTCCACTTGTAAGTGAGAACATGTGGTATTTGGTTTGCTGTTTCTGCTTTAGTTTGGTAAAGATAATGGCCTCCAGCTCCATTCACGTCCCTGCAAAGGACATGATCTCGTTCTTTTTTATAGCTGCATAGTATTCCATGGTGTGTGTGTGTGTCTGTATGCATAGAACGTTTCCTTTATATAGATAGGTGATAGATGATAGCTAGATAGATAGATATCACATTTTCTTTATCCAGTCTATCACTGATGGGCATTTAGATTGATGATTATATGTCTTTGCTATTGTGAATAGTGCTGCAATAAACATACATGTTCATGTGTCTTTATAATAGACCAATTTATATTCCTTTGGGTATATACCCTGTAATGGGATTGCTGGGTTGAATAGTAATTCTGTCTTTTGGTCTTTGAGCAATTGCCACACCATCTTCCACAATGGCTGAACTAATTTACACCCCCACCAACAGTGTGTAAGCGTTCATTTTTCTCTGCAACCTCACCAGCATCATTTTTTGACTTTTTAATTTTAATAATAGTCATTTTGACTGGTGTGAGTTGGTAACCCATTGTTGTTTTGATTTGCGTTTCTCTAACAATCAGTGATTTTGAATTTTTTTTCATATGATTGTTGGCCACATGTATGCCTTCTTTCGAAAAGTGTCTGTTCATGTCCTTTGTCCACTTTTTAATGGAGTTGTTCTGTCAGGTCTCTTGAAAACCAGATAGTCGTAGGTGTGTGGTCTTATTTCTGGGCTCTCTATTCTGTTCTGTTGGTCTATGTGTCTGTTTTTGTGCCAGTACCATGCTATTTTGGTTACTGTACCCCGTGGCATAGTTTGAAGTCTGGTGAGGTGATGCCTCCAGCTTTGTTCTTTTTGCTGAGGATTGTCTTGGCTATTTGGGCTTTTTTTTGGTTCTATATGAATTTTAAAATAGTTTTTTCTAATTCTGTGAAGAATGCCAATGGTCAGAAATAGTATTGAATTTATTCAATGTTTGTTTCATGGGGGTTTGTTGTACAGATTATTTCAACAAACTGCTTTGAGCAGTATGGCCATTTTAATATTCATTCTCCCTATCCATGAGCATGGAATGTTTTTCCATTTGTTTGTGTCATCTCTATTTCTTTGAGCAGTGGTTTGTAGTTCTCTTTGTAGAGATCTTTCACCTCCCTAGTATTCCTAGGTATTTTTGTTATTGTTGCAATTGCAAATGGGAGTTTGCTTCTGATTTGGCCCTCTGCTTAACTGTTTTTGGTGTATAGAAATGGTCACGATTTTTCCCATTAATTTTGTATCCTGAGACTGCTGAGGATTACCAGTTTAAGAAGCTATTGGGCTGAGGCTGTAGGGTTTTCTAGATATAGGATCATGTCACCTGCAAACAGGGATAGTTTGACTTCCTCTCTTCCTATTTGGATGCCCTTTTTTCTTTTTCTTGCATGACTGCCCTAAGACTTCAAATACTGTGTTGAATAGAAGTGCTGAGAGAGGGCATCCTTGTCTTGTGTCAGTCTTCAAGGGGAATGCTTCCAGCTTTTTCTCATTCAGTATGATGTTGGCTGTGGGTTTGTCATAAACAGCTCTTATATTTTGAGGTATGTTCCTTCAATATCTAGTTTATTGAGAGTTTTTAACATAAATAGATGTTGAATTTTATCGAAAGCCTTTTGGTTTTGTCTTTAGTTCTGTTTATGTGATGAATCACATTTATTGATTTACATATGTCAAACCAACCTTACATCCCAGAGATAAAGTCTACTTGACATAGTGGATAAGCTTTTTGATATGTTGCTGGATTCAGTTTGCCAGTATTTTGTTGAAGATTTTTGCATTAATGTTGATCAAGGATATTGGCCTAAAGTTTTCTTTTTTGTTATATCTCTGCCTGGTTGTGGTATCAGGATTATGCTGGCTTGATAGAATCAGTTAGGGAGGAATTCCTCCTCCTCAATTTTTTGGAACAGTTTCAGTAGGAATGGTACCAGCTTTTCTTTGTACATCTCATAGAATTCAGCTGTGAATCTGTCTGGTCCTGGGGTTTTTTGGGTTGGTAGGCTATTACTGCCTCAATTTCAGAGCTCATTATTGGTCTGTTCAGGAATTCAGTTTCTTCCCTGTTCGGTCTTGAGAGGTTTTATGTGTCCAGGAATTTATCCATTTCTTCTAGATTTTCTATTTATCTGCATAGAGGCGTTCATAATATTCTTTAATAGTGTTTGTATTTCTATGGGGTCAGTGGTTTGTCATTTCCACTTGGGTTTACTTGAATCTTCTCTCTTTTCTTCTTTATTACTCTAGCTAGTGGTCTATCTATTTTATTAATTAAAAAAAAAAAAACCAGCTCCTGGTTTCGTTGATCTTTTGAATTTGTGTGTGTGTGTGTTTGTGTGTGTGTGTGTGAATTTCCTTCAATTCAGCTCCAATTTTGGTTATTTTTTTGTCTTCTGATAGCTTTGGGATTTCTTTGCTCTTGGTTCTCTAGTTCTTTTAGTTGTGATGTTAGATTGCTAACTTGAGATCTTTCTAACTTTTTTATGTGAGCATTTAGTGCTATGAATTTCCCTCTTAACACTGCCTTAGCTGTGTTCCAGAGATTCTGGTATGTTATATCATTGTTCTCATTAGTTTCAAAGAACGTCTTGATTTCTGCCTCAATTTCATTATTTACCCACAAGACATTCAGGAGCAGATTATTTCATTTTTATGTAATTGTAGGGTTTGAGTAAATTTTTTAGTCTTGATTTCGAATTTGATTGTGCTGTGGTTCAAGAGACTCTTTGTTTGATTTCAGGTTTTTTGCATTTGTTGAGGAGTGTTTTACTTCTGATTTTATGATTGATTTTAGAATATGTGCTGTGTAGCGATAAGAATGTACATTCTGTTTTTTGGGGTGGAGAGTTCTGTAGATATCTATCAGGTCCATTTGCTCCAGTGCTGAATTCAGGTCCTGAATATCTTTGTTAATTTTCTGACTTGATGATCTTTCTAATATTGTCAGTGGAGTGTTAAAGTCTCCCACTATTATTGTGTGGGAGTCTAAGTTTCTTTCAACCTCTGTAAGAACTTGCTTTATGAATCTGGGTACAACAGTGTTGGGTACATATATATTTAGAAAAGTTCTCTCTGCTTGTTGAATTGAACCCTTTACTATTATGTAATGTCCTTTTTTGCCTTTTTGGATCTTTGTTGATTTGAAGCCTGTTTGGTCACAAACTAGGATTGCAGCATCTGCTTGTAGGCTCAAAATAAAGGGATGGAGAAAAATCGACCAAGCAAATGGAAAACAGAAAAGAGCAACTTGCTTCCTGAAAATTCACGGTAAGTTAACCAAAGCCTACTGCCCCTTCTTCAGAGGTCATTAATCTTATTTGTTTTATATGCAATTACTTTGTATGTTGCCATCCCGCAGCTTCCCCTTCCTCACTCAGTTTTCTTAGTCAGGGTTAAGCATCCACATTCAAATGTACTGGGAAGCACATGCAAGAATATGCTGTGTTCAGGGACAGCTTCCTATGGGGAGGAGGATGTTTATCTTCATAGCAGATGATAGTTGGGGCTTCCACCCTGTTTATCTATATTTGTACTAATGTCTGAAGACACCTTAAATTATTTTTCTTCATGTGTTTCTTTAAACAATTGTTTAATCATTTAAATTTAAAAAAATTTTTAAAAATATGTAATTAAAAGCAACAGAAAGAATGAAAATCATGTATTATTTTTATATAGTTAAACATAAATACATTTTTATCTAGTTAACTTAGAAAACAAATTGCCTGGATTCAAGTTTTGGCTCCACAACTTACTAGCTGTGTGGCCAAATTATTTAACCACTCTAAACTTTAATTTTATTTGTTTATAAAATAAGGATAATAATCCTACCTATCATTTAAGATTATTGTGAGGATTACATGAGAAACTGCTTGGAATGTGTGTTGTATATTGAATGACACATAAGGAACATTCAGTAAATATTAGTCCCAACTACAAATTCTTTAGCAGGTCTTTTTGATATTAACTAACAATCCCTCCACAAAAGCAGGATGAGCTCTGAGCCAGCTGCAACTAAAGGAATTCATTCCACGTCACCTTTTACAAGAACCTGCCTGCATGATGCATGGGCTCCACGCTCCTCTAAGTTCATGGTAGTCTTTCTCAACCAGTTGTTTCTGAAACTGCTCAGAGTTTAGGCCTGAGAGTCCTCACCATGTATATTTCTAAGGAACATTGGCTTTTCTTCAATATGCTAAATTAAATATTGAAGCCAATTTCTTGTTACATAGAAAAGAGGTTCTTCATCTGCCAGCATTTCTTCCCCAGTTATCCTTAATGGCTGCTTTCTTGCACCTGCTTCAGATTTTGCTTAAATTAATCTCAGGGAGCCCTTTCCAAACCTGGCCATTTAAAATTGTAACATCTGCCCTTTTCTTCCAACTCTCCAATTCCAATCTTTTCTTTTCTGATTAATTTACATATAACATTTATCATGTTCTGACAGTTTGTTTGGTTCATATGTCTTTTTACTTATTTTTACTATCTTCTACTAGAATGTAAAATCAAAGTGGGCAGGGAAATTTTGTCTGTCTCACCCACTGCTCTATTCTAAGGGCCTAGAACAGCACTTGGCACATAGTAAGCACCCAAATACTTGACATGAATGAATGAATGAATGGAGTTGTCTTGTTCCTTCTTTCTTTTCCTCTCCTCTCTCCCCTCCCTTCTCTAATCTAAGAATTATTTTATTAATTAGATGTTCTTATTTTTTGCCTCTGTTCTACTGTAATATGGAGAGTATGGTTTTATCATGCAATGTTTTCAGAGGGGTAAGTCATTTCAAATTGGTTCCTAAGGACAAAAAAAAGCCACCTTAATTTGGAAACCATGAGTGCCTTTCTCTCACCAGTATAATGCCATTAGACATTTCCTCTGGGTCTATCAATTTAGGGCTTTAACTATTGCATCCTTCATTATGTCACCCACCTAAACTTTGAATACAACCTCAGTGGAACAATAGCAACTGTGTTTACATATAGGCATGATCTAAGTTTTATGATGTTTCTTGGAAAACTAGCATCACTATTCTCTGTGCATGTGCTATGAAGGGCATACCAAGGAAGTAAAAGTTCCCAAGGCGTATATCAATTTTTGTTTAACTGCCAAGCTACTGTATTTCATTAAAAGAAATCTTTACCTTTTAATGAATTTCCCAAGCTGCTTCTTCCAATGGTATGTACCGTTGCTCAACTAAATAAAGCAGCTTTGGAATTTTCAAAACCTCTTTTTGGCTGCTCAAGATACTTGTATTCCCTGGGATGTGTACTCCAAATGGATTAAACAGACTTTAACATTACTCTACTTGTTATGGATCGAATTCCTGCCTGAGGGAGCAGATGATTTGAACAGTGCTGACTGAATCTGCATGACATGGACCCTCCAGACCATCTGAAAAGACTCCACACTCTGTGTTATATTTCCTACCTGCATGTTTTCTCTCGTCCTCCCCACCTGCCCATCTTCTCTTTCCCTGCCTCTGCCACCTCCTCTTTCTTCTTCTTCCTCTTCTGAACATTTCTAAGAAGACATGTTCTTCCTTACATATTGTTCTTTTTCTATAGAATCCTAAAAATTTAGAGCTAAAATGGCCCTTAAAGACTACCTAGTCAGTAGTGTGAATGCAGATCCATGAACATTCCTTTATTTACTCAGTGTGTATTTATTGACTGCTCAATGTGTCCTAGACATAGTTGCCAGGCTACAGGGGTTAGTTGCTAAAGTCAATAGACAAAGATTGCAAGCTTTCCAGCTGCAATGGAAACTCTACTCTCACTCAAAATGGATTTCAAACTGCAAACAAAAGATGAAGCTCATTTCAAAGGTCAACAAAGATATCTTTCCGAAATGAAATGTGAGAACTTATTTATAGACACAAGGTTTCATCTCAGCAGAACACATAGAAAATTCCCAAGAGTTTTAAAGACTTGAAAGATGTAAAAATGTGGGAAAAAAGTACAACTTTATGAAGATAATTTCCAGATTGCTGTGAGTCTTATCTGGCTTCCAGTCATGACCTAAACAAGTACTTCTACAAATAATGAATTGTCTAAGGTTTCCCAATACAATCCTATGTGGCTAGTCCCATGGTATTGAGAAACCTGGGAATATTATGGACTTTCTTGGGGCAGATATTAAATATAAACTCAGAGATTAGACGTTGATGTTTGAGTAAATGAATTATAAAAGCAATGAACAATTCACGAATTGGCATATATGAAGTCTCTCCTACAATTAGGAATCAAGTCAAATTAGTGATAGAGAAAGGCTTTCCTGCAATAATAATTAATGCCAACTCATATCTGTAGGAGATTCAATAATATAATATTTTGATTTTCAAAATATATAAAAATCCAAAAGTTAGTGGAACTTGACTTATTAGGAACTGTTGAAATTACTTTCTTGAAAATTACCCTAAATATTTGCAGTTCTTTAAATATATTGTGCTGCCTTGTATGCCAATGTTTTACATATCCCTCTCCTTTTATTTATAGGCTGCACCTCCTCTTCAATCTACTCTCCTGTGTGATTCCTACTAGCTTGTTAAGATTTAGTAGAGAGGCCACTCCTTCTTGCAGTGTGTTCCCTTCTTAAATGGTTCCCTAGCAACCAGTTCTTTACCTTTATCACCGTAGGTGTCATAACCATCTAATTTTGCTTGTCTATTTATCTATATCCCCTCTAGAATAGGAACTCCCTAAATATAACAACCGTGCTTACTCATCACTAAAATTCTCAAGGCCTCACCAATTTCCTGGCACATCAATGGAGCCTAATAAATATTTCTTAAATGTTGATTGTTACTGAATGAAGATAAAAGAAGCCAGGATTAACATGAATTTAGTGTTTACTTTATATCCTTACTTCAAATTCTGCAGCCTAATCTTTGTTTTATTATTTAAGAGATTGCAATAATAATGCCTCTAGTGTTTCGTGGTTAATTATGATATTTACTTCAGCTTTTCATTCTCTGCTTATAAGATCATTTATTTTAGAAGAAAGAAAAGACATTGTTGTCATCAATTATTCACACTTCTTTCATGTAAAAGTACTAAAAAGTCTGTCTTTGTGTGTGTGTGTGACAGGGTCTCGCTCTGTTACCCAAGCTGGAGTGCAGCGGTGTGATCATGGTTCACTGCAGCTTCAACTTCCTGGGCTCAAGGGACTCTTCCACCTCAGCCTCCTGAGTACCTGAGACTACAGTTCTGTGCCATGCCTGGCTAATCTTTTTTTTCTTTTGTAGAGACAGGATCTTGCTACACTGACCAGGCTGGTCTTGACCTCCTGGCCTCAGGCTATCCTCCCACCTTTGCCTCCCAAAGAAAAATCAGTCTTTTGTTATGTCTTCATTTTATTCACATGCATGCTTGATTCATGTTCTGTTGCTTCTATTGATTATTAAATCTGGTTTCAGAGTACTAGACAGACTGTCTTGCTGTGTTGCATTCTACTGTTTTGACCACGAAAGGACAGGTTAAATATTGTGTTCTGTTACAAAATGAAATGGAAAACTAGGATCATTCACAAAATATTTGATGTACTATGGCTCATTCTTTTCATGGTTGTCTTTGTATTTCAGAAATGCTTCTTTACTGTTTGAATGACCATATATGGAAAATAGACACCGTACAAACTCTTCCTCCTAGTTTCAATTTTCTTTTTAACAAAATGCTTCATTCTTTTGTTGGACGTAGTATAAGTAATATGCATGCAACAGACATCCCTGAATTTCAACTCATCCTAACCTTTCTGCCAATTAATGGAGACTTACAACTGATGTTTTATTCATTTCTACATTATTTGACTGTTTTATAGGAATGTATTAATAATCAGAAAAATAAGATACTAATTTATAGTAAGAAAAATAGATTAAGCTGCCTAGGTGAATAGACTAAAATAAGCTGGCAATTGTCCTTTGGTTGTTATCCTGGGATAATGATTAAGCAGAGACAGGAATAAAGGGGGTAAAGCCCTACGTAAAAGCTACCTTTGTAAGAGACAAATTGTAGTCTTCCAAAATTATCCACATGTGCCTTTTTGCACAACCCAATTCAAACTATCTGCTGTTCATAGACAACTTTTGAGTAAGCCTAACATTATTATTAGTTAATAACAACAATTGACTTCTCATAATTAATCTATATTGCTTATAAATTACAACATCAATTATTCCTTCACTTACGAGGTCTGATAACTGGCAATAATGGGAACAAGCAATGCTGTGTGTAGATTGTGTGAGGGCAAAGCATAGTTGAATTCCTTTTTATCCACCTAAGCTGACCATCACTCAGTGATGTAAATTCATAAGATTGCAGATTGCAGTGTCTACTCTTGCCTGATAATGTTGTCTATATTTTACCTGATATGTTAAATATGCTTATTTTTCCTAAATACAGACATAATAATGGCCAATTCACAGAGGGTTGTTGATGAAATATGCCTCAAAATATTACCTCTCCCTCTACAAGTAATGGAAAATACATTTAATTTTTAGAGTTTTTACAAACTGAGTTTGTGGAAATAAAGCAGGATCACTTGCTCACTTGTTAACAGTCCAGGGTGTCACATTCTTGAATCAGGTTGGGAAGGTGCTCATGAAGTTTATACAAGACCTGTGATATGGGGAATCTCTCAGATGCGTGGGCAACTCCCTATTTTGTCTCACAGGATGTGAGATGTGTACCTTTTTATTCTCTTGAACTAATCTAAATACATTCTAACAATAATGAGTAGAAACCAGCAAATTATGTAACAAAACAGATTTCTTATGGTATGTTGGAAATATTGGTCTAATCCCTTCATTTTACAAATAAAGAACTTGAAACCTGTAATGATTAAGTGGCCAAGTGGTTACAAGGTCAACTAGTGGCCCAGCTGGACTCAAACATAGGTCTCCTGGAAAAGGGCTCTTTTCATAACACTGCATCATAGCTGCTGGAAGAGACCCCAGGCACCAAAAGATTCTTCCAGTAAGATCCAAAGTCCTATGGCTTATTTTTCAAAATGTTCTAAGGTAAAGAGTATGAAAAAGTCAAGATCTTAGAGGATTTTTTTAAAAATTCCTTTTATCACAGTCTCTTTTTAATGATTGTAGCTGTCACATTTTAGAAGTAAGGTAAGTTTGACTATGGTTCTGTTTCATATATTTTAGCTTGTCTCTGTCAGCAATGTCACCCCCCTAACAACCTAAAATCATCTCTTGGCTTCTTTCTTAAAAACATGTATCCAGGTAGGCCAAATGATCTGTGGTCTCTGGAGTCAACTGCAGAAGAACAGATTTCTATTACAATGGCCCTTTGATGAACACAATGTATTAATTTCACAAAATACCCTGCCGGCATAAATGACCTAGTCTCAAGAGTTCTTTTAAATGTCAGTCTGTTGGTACTATACTGCTTAGAGCATGAGGCTGGGAACAGAGAAAACTGCTGTGCAAAGATAACTGAATGTACTCTTATGGCTAAAATCACCCACAGTGGATTTTCTTATTTCTCTGAAAAGAAAAGAACACTAAGTGATTCAGTTTCAGTGCATGTGATAACTATCTTTGAAGTATTGAAGAAAATGTATATTTAAATTGCTCTTACACATTATAACACCTTACTACAGTAACAAGACAACGACTAAATCTAAGTCTCAATGAATCTCAAATAATACTGTACTGAGGCTCTAATTAATCATGTAGAAATTCCCTAGATGCCTCACGTAAATGCTACCATCAGTAGAAAATATTAAAATTTATGTATATGTCAATACATCATTATATGAAAATTGGTATGACAGATCTGTGCAACTTCCACAAATTTAAATACCAATTGCTATGTTACAAAGCCATTTGACCAAATTATTTCAATGCAGCAAGTCGAGGTAGAGAAGATGGAAAAGTCTAGGAAATAAAAATAAAGTGTTCAGAAATGGGGGAGAATGAGAACTGTGGGAATGTTAAAGGAAATAGTATTATTTAGGACAGGGAAGACAAGTCTGAAGGGTAATTTAATAACTATATTCCTATAGTATGTCTCCTCCTGATAGGTACAGTAACAGTGCACATGTAAAGTATGAAAATCACTTCCAAGCTTTTGAACATATTCAAATATTTTTCTCATTTAACTCAGCTTAAGCCTTGCACCGTGAAAGTGCAGGCACAGATCTATTTTGCTTTGCCAGTATGACACAATCCTTATGCAGTTCTTTCAAATTAAATTTCTCTATTGTTTCTAATCCAGGTCTTAGTGACTCTCTTACTCTATGGCAAGGTCTACCAATGCATTAAATGTGGGCAGTGTTCTTTAAGCCAGTGTGTAATAAAATGTCTATGGAAGCAGCTTGTCTTTCAGGCTGCTTTCTTGCATTATGAGTAGTCTTTGACTTGCTCCAATTTACTATTGAATGTCAGAAGATAAAGGACTTTGGTATCCTAGTAACAGGTGGGTTTTCCTTTTCATGCATCAGTTCTTAGAGTTTTCCTTTGGAATGCTTCCCATAATGTTGAGCCAAGCTCACTTTGGCTGGTACAGAAAAGCAGCATGACAAATGGTAAGGAGAACATCTTTACGTGTGTGTGCACACAGGCATGTGTACACATGAACATGGGCATGTCACAAAGGACACAGCATCAATATCTTTGTCTTTATTTAAAATGTTATGATTTTCCAGATAGATGCTGTACTCAGACTTTGAGATATATTTTGTGAGACAAAGTTTCAGAATGTCTGTCACAGCTGCCACTCATTCTTGTGTTTATTTCTAATTGTTGTATAGGTGCCTCTTCAAATAGTGTGCTGAAAGTTTGACAAATTTCTCTATTTTCTGAGTGCCGGGTTCACAAAAGGATAGTGTAAAAATCTCAATTGTCCTTGGTTTTTTCCATAATGTTCACTGTCTTGCCTGCCGATTCAACTGTCTTTAAAGGTTAAAAAAGGCATTTTCTATACTTAAAGTTCTAGAACTTTGGAAACTCCTACGAAACTTCTATAAGGGACAAATTTCACTCATATATATAACTGGATATAGTTGAAGACTTTGCTCTATGAAAATTGATTTGTAGTATATTTTTCCACTTGTTTTCCTTCACATAGTTTACCTTCTCCAATGTTACCATTTCAGAAATACGTGATCTCTGATTATTTTTCATATTAAGAGGGCATATGAAAATATTTGACAATTTATTTTGCAATTGCTGGTACAAAAGAATCCATATGGATTGTTTATGTGACAGCATAATCATACCCATCTAAAAGCATGGAGCAGTTCCAATGTAAAGCTATACTTCTAAGTATTTGAGGCCTAGCAATGAGACATCTATATGTCATCAAAATGGATGACCTATGAAATTTGTTTGATATTTTTCATAAGCTGAAACAAAGGAAAAAGTTAGAGCTAACATTTTATTAACTTGGAACAAAAATATTTCTTCTTTCAAAAAGTGAGAGAAAATATTCTATAAAGTTGAAACTGTAAAAAATTACGTGCTAAATAAACAAAACTTCTACAAGTTTAACATACCATCCCTAATTCCAAAAACGGACGTAGAGAAAATGCCAGGATTCACTGAGGTGATTTGTTATGAGACTAAGAAATTGACCTTTTAGAAACATAAAGAGAAACTGAAGTTGATCTATGCCCAGTGTGCATCTTTGAGCCTTTGGAATGCTTTACCAAGTTAACATAGACCATCTCACTTTTCAAAGAAGAAAACAGTGTAGAAACAATAAACAATAAAATAAAAGGCAAACATTTTGTAATTTTGGACCTGTCAAGTGAATTATACCTTTTGATGTACTCTAATTCTTTCTTCAAATAACTGATTTTAGACTGTTAGAGTAACAGTTTTACAAAAACAAAAATTGACAATTGGGACCTAATTAAGCTAAAGAGCTTCTGCACAGCAAAAGAAACTATCAACAGAGTAAATAGACAACCTACAGAATGGGAGCAAATATTTGCAAACTATGCATCTGACAAAGGTCTAACATCCAGAATCTATAAGGAGTTTAAACAAATTTACAAGCAAAAGCAAACAACCCCATTAAAAAGTGGGCAAAGGACATGAACAGACACTTCTCGAAGACATACACATGGTCAACAAGCATATGCAAAAAAGCTCAACATCACTGATCATTAGAGAAATGCAAATAAAAACCACAATGAGATACCAACTCCCACCAGTCAGAATGGCTATTATTAAAAAGTCAAAATATACAGATGCTAGCAAGGTGGCAGAGAAAAGGGAATGCTTATACAGTGTTGGTGGGAATATAAATTAGTTCAAACCGCATGGAAAACAGTATGGAGATTTCTCAAAGAACTAAAAATAGAACTACCCTTCACCCCAGCAGCCTCACTACTGGGTATTTACCCCCACTAAAAATAGAGATTATTCTATCAAAAAGACATCTGCACTAGTATGTTTAGGGCAGCGTTATTCATAATAACAAAGTCATAGAAACAACCTAGTGGCCATCAACAATTGGTTGGATAAAGAAAATAAAGCCACATATTACGGCTGCTTAGTATTCTGTGGTGTGTGTGTTTGTGTGTGTGTGTGTGTGTGTATGTTTATCTTGGCTTTAGTCTTCAATAGAGACACCTCAAGACCAATTAGAATATATGTGTGTGTGTATATATATATATATATATATATATATATATATATACACACACACACACATATATATTCCATGGCGTGTGTGTGCGTGTGTCTGTCCACAGAATACTAAGCAGCCAGCCATAAAAAAAATAAAATTATATTCTTTGTAGCACCATGGATGGAGCTGAGGGCCACTATCCCAAGTGAAATTATGCAGAAAAAGAATATCAAATATTGCTTGTTCTCTCTTATAAGTGGGAGCTACACAATGGGTACACACGGACATAAAGAAGGGAAAAACAGACACTGGGGCCTAATTGAGGGTGGCAGGTGGGGGGAGGGGGAGGATGGAAAAACTGCCTGTCAGATATTATGCTTATTACCTGGGTGACAAAATAATCTGTACACTAAACATGACATGCAATTTACCCATGACCTGAAATTTACCTATATAGCAAACCTCCACATGTACCCCTGAACTTAAAAATATTTTGAAAAAGTAATAAAACTGTTCAGTTTTATATCAAAATCAACATGTCCAAAACCGTCATGAGACTTAGAAGTGAGTTCCTTCAAGCTTGCTTTGCCTGTAACAGTGCTGCCATTTCCTTAGTTGCTGCCAACAGACACAGCCCTGAAAGCCTCCAGAACTCTCATTACATGTTCATACAGGCAATCTCATGCATGCATTTACTGGGTTGTCCAAATTGACTCCCTTTACTTGAATGTCTTTTTAAATCTATTACTGCCTTCTTACTGAGGATTGAAAGTAAAATCCTCTAGTGTCTAAATTTTAAAGATGGGAAAAAATAAAATATACATGAAGAGCCTGAGAAAATACTTCCTAGTTAGCCTTTTTGTGTCTTTCTATCATGTGTAAATTTGTAACAATAAAAAGTTTTAGTCTAACCTTTGTGTTCTACTCTAGATCTGGCTGTGCCTATCTGCTAGTCTTGCCTCTATGAATGTCCCATAACCTCCTTTTCCATGCCCACTCCCCTCATTCCCTTCACTACCCTACTGTCATCATGAACTGCCTGGCGCTGTGCTTACCTTGCAACTTGACTTTATGTCAACCTGCCTTTGTTGCCTCTACCGTCTTCACTTTGATTCGGGCAACGTTCACTATGATCCCCACCCCAAACCTCAATCATCTTTTAAAATTCAGCATAAGACATCCCTACAAATTGAAGGATTTTGTTTTTGTTTTACTTTGCCAGGGAAAGTCAATTGCTCCCTCTTCTATGCCCTGTATCACCTTCGGTAAACATCTGCTAGAGCTCATGTCATATTTTATCGTAGAGTTTAAATTCATTATATCCACATGCTTTAATAGACTCTCACTCCTTGTGGACTGCAACCATATCTAATTTATCAGTGCATCCTGCCACCCTCATACCTGGCACACAGTAAGCGTTCAATAAATGTTTATTGAATTCATTTTTATTTGAAAGCCATTTCTATCAAAAGTTACAAAAGAAAAATAATCAAGGACATATGAGTAAGGCAAACTAAAGTATATGCTAAAGATAAATTCAAAAACAGACATTGCAGAGAGGTTTATTCTATTAACCACTAAGTGATGTGTCATAGATTTGGTGTTTCCTATACTTGCTGCCTCAGTATCTATTTTTAGGGCTGACCTAAGTTGTTTGAACCCAGTTGTGCCCTGTCGCCTTTGGCTTAGTTAAAATTTCTTCCTTCCTGTGCAGCTGTTTGTGATATAGCCCATTGTTCCTCATCTCAGTGATCCAAAGCCGAAAATATTTCACAGCTCCCGACCACGAGAAAACCTAATGGTCAACTCTAGAGTCATGCCAGTAAGTTCTCCCCGGCCACACGCAGTGGCTCACGTCTGTGATCCCAACACTTTGGGAAGCTGAGGCAGGCGGATCATCTGAGGTCAGGACTTCAAGACCAGCCTGGCCAACATGGTGAAACCCTGACTCTACTAAAAATACAAAAATTAGCGGGGTGAGGTGGCACGTGCTTGTAATCCCAGCTACTCGGGAGGTTGAGGTAGGATAATTGCTTGAACTCGGGAGACGGAGGTTTCAGTGAACTGAGGTCGCGCCACTGCACTCCAGCCTGGGTGACAGAGCGAGATGCTATCTCTAAAATAAATAAATAAATATTTTCCTTAAACTAGCCAATCCGCAATTCCCATGGGAAAGCCTAAGGGATAACACCCTGGACCTTAATAAAGGCATAGTTTCCAGGTCTCTCTCTCTCTCTCAACATGTCTTCCTCTACTCCACAGCTCCAGCTCCCTGCCACCTCCACATCTCCCAGTCAGCCTCTTGTTGGCACACTGAATCACTCTGGGGCCAGTGAGTAATAAATTTGATCTGTTTCATGCATTTTGGTTTTACTTCTTCATTGTGTGTCACCTGAAACACACACTTGAACTTAACTTTCCCCTATCAGGGCTCTCCTAGCAAATGTTTATCTTGGCTTTAGGCCTCTCTAGGCCTCAAGACCAATTAGAAAGAAACCATAACAATAGAAATTATCATAACATAATGTATATGTAATGGTAATTCAGCATTTTAAATAAGCTTTTTCTTAATAGTTCTTTATGGGGTGATAATTTCATATTGTATATATACGATGGTATTGATTTAATGGATACTAGCAAGTTAAAAACTTCATTTTATTTTTATTTTGTAATATTTTATTTATGTAAATATGAAATCCAGTTGTCAACAATAGTAATTTCTCCACGAACAGATTTCAGATGATTTTAATTTTATTTTTACTTTAATATTATATACAGTAAAAATGTATTGTTTGAATACCAAAATAACCATTTATTTTAAAACATTTGGTCTCATGGCATTTTAAGCCAGACTTATAAAATATAAATTTTTCATATATAATCAATGAACTTTCATATACTTATCAACAAATTTAACAATTAATTTGCTTCATCTAGTCTCCTTTTCTTCTCTACTGAAGTATTTAAAAGTGAATTCTATACATCATGTTCTTTTATCCCTACATCCTCCATTATACAAGTAAAAAACATTGCATTTTTATACAATGACAATGCAATGATCATTTATAGGAAAGTAAAATAGGAAAGTAAAAATAATTATTTGAGGTAATATAATGTCCGTAAGTAAATTTTCTCAATTATAAAAAGTGCCTTTTTAACAGTTAGTTTGCTTGAAACAGTATCCAAATAAGATCACATATTACATTTGACGCAGCCCTTACACCAACTTAAATTTAGCCCACTTTCCACTCATCTCTTTTTTCCTCTTTTGTACAATTTACTTGTTACAGAAACAAAATAGTTGCCCTGTAGAATGTTCCACACTCTGAATTTGTCTGCTTGATTCCTCATGGAGTTAACATGTGCCTCCACCTCCCATATTTTCTCAAAATGGAAATTACTTCCAGAGTTTTTATTAGATTTAGGCTCAACATTTTTGCCAAGAATGTTTAGAGGTGGTGTTGTATGCTTCAACTGGTATCACATCAAAGGCCTGAAATATTTGGTTGTTCCCAATTTAGTGATGCTGAGATTGATCAGTGATTTCAGGTGGTGACAATCTGGTCCTTCTATTTTAATATTTTGTATCAATCTTTGATATGATGTCTACAGTCCTTTATGATAGTTTCCTGATTTAATTTCTTCATTGGGGGTAATTTTCTAATTCTATTATGCTTCTTAAATTTTTTTAGATGGAATTACTTTATAAAGAATATCATTCTTTCATCAACTATGACTATTTTTCTTGAAATATAGTTTATATTCATGGCAAAATAAATATTCAGTTCTTTATGTTAAATTATCCATTCTGTAACTAGTACTTGGTACTCTAGTTATTTCCAATGATGTTTACTGAGTTTTAAATTTTGACCTTTCTCCCTCTCCATCTCTCTCTTCCTCTCTCCGTCATTATGAACATAGAAAATTTGCTTTATTTAATTGCTTTCAATTACTTCCATTAATTTTTATTCAATTTTTCTCATCGTTGATCAATGGAGATCCTTTATGTTTGCTTCCATGACCAATTGATACAACTCCATCAGTCCTTGAAACTTTTCTCTTTTGAGGCACATCCTAGACTCATGTTGTATGTTTTCTGCCCCAGAACTAGAATTAGCCATTTTCTCAAGGAATTCTGGTTCCATTTAGTAGGGATTGCAATAGCTCTACTTGTCTTTAGCGTGTAGTTATATCACAAATTTGATCCACAGATGTATTCATTTCAGTTTGTTTTCAATTTTAACGAGTTTTTAAATTGAATTTCATTTTTAAACACATAAAAATTATATTTTATTTTTGAATCTTTTTTCTTTTATTGGCATATAAGAATTTACATATTTATGGAATGCATGTGAGTGTCTGATAGTCAATCACACATTCCTTGCATGTAATTGGGTAATTGGGGCATCCATCAACTTGAGTATTTATCATTTTTATATGTTGGCATCATTTCAAAGTGCTCTTTTTTAGTTGCTTTGAGAAATATACATAATATTGTTGCTAACTATAGGTGCCCTAGTCTGATATCAAACATTAGAACTTATTTCTTCTATTTAACTGTATGTTTGTACCCATGACCAGCATCTTTTCAGTTCCCACTCCCATGCATCCATGCTTCTCAGTCTTTGTTATCTATTGTTCTTTCTTTATGTCCCTGAGATCAAGTTTTTTCGCTCCCACTTATGAGAACATGAGGTATTTGTCTTTCTGTGGCTGGCTTATTTCACTTAACATAATGGCTTCCAGTTTCATCCACATTGCTGCAAATAACATGATTTTATTCTTTTTTATGACCAAATAGTATTCCATTTTGTATATGTACCACATTTTCTTTATCTATTAGTCTGTTGCTGGGCACTTAATTCCATATCTTTGCTATTGTGAATAATGCTGCAATAAACATGTGAATGCAGGTATTCCTTTGATATATTGATTTCTTTTTCTTTGAATAGATACCCAGTAGTGGGATTGCTGCATCCTATGATAGCTCTATTTTTAGTTCTTTGAAAGCTTTTCATACCGTTTTCCATAGAGGTCATACTGATTTACATTCCCACCAACAATGTACAAGCGTTTTCTTTTCCCCTTATCCTTGCAAGCATCTGTTTTGTTTTGGGGGTTTTTATTTCAAATCTTTTAAGAGTAAATTATTTCTACTTAAAAATAAATCCTAAATGTCATAGGAAAATAATGATGGAGTATTAAATGAGAAAAAAACAAGCACAATATTGTTTACAGCTATCAACAGTTTGAAAATATACTTGCATGAACATAGTGTAGGCAGTTTAATAATATTTTCTGCAGATTTCATTGTGCTTGTGGCTGCGGTTTCTTTTTAATTTCTTTTTAACTTATTTGTGGTTATTATTTCATATCTCGTTCTACATAAATATTCACTTAGTCCTAGTTGTGCATTTAGTAGAGTCTCCAACGTTGTATAAGCTTTAGGCCCCACAAAACCTGGATCCCACTTTGCTCCTAACATAAGGCTAAATGACTGTAATTAAAGATTGAGGGAGAAGAGAATCAAGAAAACATATAGAAACTTCGGAAAGAGAATGGGAACTTGGTAGTGATTAATAAAATATACATAAGTTCCCTGAAAAATTAGAAAAAGTTGAATGTATATCTTTTAAAATTATGAATATTCTGTTTTTTGAATTATTTTCTCATTTATTTATAGTCCACCAATCTTTTTTAGTAGTTGAATCTGGGGGCAATAAAAGCATATAAAATAAAATGCTAAAATATAAAAGTTTAAAAGTCAAAATCCAGAATAATAAAACTTAGGTTAAGAATCCAAGGCTAAAACTTAAAAAGGACACTACTTTGCATACCATAAGAAGCAGTATAAGAGGTACCTGAACTGTAAATTCAACTCTAAATTTCTTGGTACAGAATGAACAGGGAAACATTTTCATGCACGTAGTTTTTTGGTCAAAATCAAAATCAGATCACTTTCTCAGGGGAATAAAAACTTCTCTGAGCATTTCATTGTAAACAAAATGTTGTAAGGGTCACTTTAGGGAAAAGTGAGTGATGTCATGGATAAAGTCCTCAAAATAATCTTCAGGCAAACACAGTAATCGGTTTGACTTGCCTATTTCTATGAAAGCTGCACAATATATTTATTATATATTGTGAAAGCTGTACTGGATTCATTGTTTCAGTTGCCCAAAATGAATTCCATTTTAGGGAGTGGTTCTTGGTTTCTAATTCTTTTGAAGAAATGATTGTCTCCTTTTAAGAACAGTCAGCAAATCTGGTGTCCTTATCCTCCTTATGTGGGGTATAGTAGTTAAGGTAACCAGATATAACAAAGAAACTTCAAAGTAAATGAGGTAGGAGTTCATTTCTCTCTCTCATAATACTTGCCATTTCAAGTTGGCAGATCAGCTTTGCTACAGAAAGTCATTCTAGGATCCTGATCCTTCCATATTGTTGCTCCGCCATCCCCAGGCTACTGTTTCGCTTACTGTAACAACACTGGACACCGCTAACCTGTTCCACATGTTCATGTTTCTGTATGTGGGACAGAGAAAAACAAGGCCTGGGAAGGTGACTTTATCTTTATGAGAACCTGACAGTTGTGAACATTTTTTTGTTCACATCCTATTGACTAGAACTAAGTCACATGCTCACACCTGGTTGCAAAGGAAATAAAGTCTCTAGGTGCAGAGCCTGTATACAGCTAAATCTCTGGAGTTCTGTTTTAGAAAGGAAGAAAGACAAAATACAAGTTTGGGGAAAGTTTTTACCCTCTGCCTCATCAAGGGGGTGAACGCAAGTTAACCTAAGATAAACCAATTAGACTCTCCCTCTCTGAAGCATGCATGGTGATAACACAACCAAAAAATGGTTAGAGCTAATTCACTGCAGTGTCTGAGAGTGCTAATCAGTTTATCAATTGCTGCTATCAAGGCCTTTTGGAACTTCTCCAAATCTGATTCTTTAGTCTTTTTAATCTGGGTGAGTCTTCCATAATGTCAAATACATGCCTTTTTGGTAGAGTCAGCTTCCAGTAACAAGACTGTCTCGAAGCATCAAAATACCTGTCTGTGAAGGCAATTCTGTTGGGGATAAACATTAAATAGGGTGCCAGTATGCATTTTTTCTTTCGTTCTTTAAAAAAAGTTAACTATTTTTTATTCTAAAAGTACACTTTTCTTTTATTTGATTAGAAAGGTAATATAGTTTTTGATTCTGCAATATGGAAGTATCCTAATACCCCTACTCCATTACACACAAAACACCAGAGGGACAAAGTTTTTAAAAAGTCATTGATTTGCATCAGCCAAGTCTGAGCTCTTGCATTAAATAGGTTGGTAAATGGTAAATTAATGGGAAGAAGGTAACATAAAACAATCAAACAGTTGTCTATATCTCCTGTGATAAATGTAAACTAAAACAGAAATGATTTTGGAAGTTTACTCCAGAGTAGAGATGTTTACTACATTAGCTGAGAGAACTATCCTAGTCTTCTCCATGATATGACAACAAGAAAAGGGCCAAAAATCTGGATGTGTGAATATATTGCTTATGCTAATGATAAAGATTAGTTCACAAAGTTGTATTATGTGGCATTTTTCCCCCAAGAAGTAACACTCTCAATCAACAACTGGAAGGCAAAATTGAAAATGTTTTCACAGTAATGAAAGGATCATGGTGAGGTAAATGATACAAGTGAGTCAGTTGAAAAGACTTGATTGTGGAAGCTATAAGTTATTTGAAATTCTCAATTCATTTACTTGTGATGAAAATTACAGTGTTAGAGTTAAAATGAAGGACAAAAATATCAGACATCTTTCTTCACTAAAGTAGTTATTTAAAGAATATTTCCCCGATATAGCAAAAGATGGATCAGTAGACCAGATATTCTTTCAATTCTTGATTTGGACAAGACATGTGACCTTCTAGCAAACAGACACAATTTTCAAAAGTTCCACAGAGTAGTCCTATGTATTGTATCTTACCACTTATTTGTGAAACCCTAGGATAACAAGAAGAAAAATTGTTTTAGAAACCAGAAAGCATGTTGCTACTTATATCTATATGTATTTAAAAATATTGTGACATCATGGTAAGAGAATATTTGCATGGACATTGAACCTGATAAGCTACATGAGCTGTCTTCAATTCTTTAGTTGTCGTTGTCGCTGTTTTTCCCCTCCAAACCTTTAGTACAATAAATTACCCATTAGACAATGACATGAGCATGATTTCACTTTAGGGACTATTTATTTGGTTTTGGTAATAATTTAAATTTTTTAAAAATAAAATATGCAGAGAGAACCAAATTCACATAAATGTTTATGGTAAAATGGAGGTCTCGATCTTTTCTGGCCATGGCTACTTTAAGCTATATTTTAGAGCTGGGCAAGATCTGTTTTATAGGCTGAAGTGACACAAATCCCATGATCACATGTGATCCACTGAAGTATGATAATTTGAGCATGATGTGTTTCTGAATTCTCTTTTCAGATTGTTGTATTTTCTTCTCTGGTAAGCTCTGTTTGATACTCAAAAACAGCAAATGTGAAAGAGTGCTGATGAATGTAATTACATTTGTGATTTCTAAATGCATGAGTCATGATTTCAGTATCATGTCTCTCCTAGGAAATCTTAGCTCTGCAGCGCACAGATGTCTGTGAGCTCCATCGTGTCTTTATTTATAATGTGAGCTTCTTGGGGGACATGACTAATATTTTGATGTCTCCATGATGACTAAACTCTACGTAGTGATGCCAAATTACATCTGGGGAGTAAATGAATGACTTGATGCCAACTTTAGTACAAAGAAGCAATAGCAAGAAGTCTATTATGCTGTTCACAGCTGATTTCTCACTGGTGCTACTAAACATTGAAAAAATAAATGATATACCCCATGGGACTAAAGGTTTATCTTATTCTTTAGACCCTCACAAACAAATCCCATGCTTTGTGATTTAGGTTTAGATCAGTTGATTCATGACACCTTGTTGAATGCATAGGGAGCATGTGGTAGAGTAATTCAGAACTATGGCTTGGCAGTGAGATAGACCAATCTCTGCCATTTCCATCTCTGTCATCTTAAACAATTTCTTTATCTCTCTAAGACTCAGTTTTCTCAACTGCCAAACAAGGATAATAGTAGCATAAGTCTCACTAGGTATTTGTAAAAATTAAATGGGTTAATATGTGGAAAGTGCTAAGCACTGTATCTGGCAAAAACTAAATGCTTAATAAATGATAGATGATAGTTACTACCCAGTACTATGGTGGCATACCATAGTGAGTACAAAGAAGAACCCACCTTGGCTTCTGCTCTAAGACTTTGCCATCTATTTGAATAGGCCGATATACACATAAGAAAGTAAAATCCAAAAACACGTTGAGGAAGTGTTATTGCACACCATAGGAAATGGCTACTTATAATTTCAGAGAAGAGAAAGAGCAAAGAAAATAGATGTCAGAAAAGGAATTACAAAGGGGGATGAAAATGAAGTGAGCCATAAAGAATGAACAGAATTTCAATAAACTGAGAATGAAATTTGGGTTGAAGGAAAGACACTGAGTGGACAAGAGTTTGAAAGCAGCGGTGAGCGTGGCCTGCATGTGAGGCAGTGAGGTGGAAGACTGGTTGAAGTAGGGCCTCCTTTTGAAAGCAAATGAAGATCCATTCAGCTATGAAGTGATTCTAAATAGAAAGGAAGATAGACAGGAAGAAAGTTTTATTTCTTTTACGAAAAATGAACATTTATTTTAGCACATTGAGGCAGAATATCAAAAAATATTTTTAAGGTAAAATTAATATGTATTTTATGCATTAGTATGACAAATAGCAAATTATGATGTTATGAACAGTGGAAGAAGTTGAGTTGTGATGCCATCTCCTCTGAGGACTCAGCCAATCCTACAGAGTTTGGAAGCTGGATGACCCTTGAGAATTGTTCCTAGTTGGGTGATGGGCCTGGGACTTTATACCCCACATTGAAAATCACTGGATGTAGGCCATTGTGACCATGATGTGTGACTGTGTGAGGTGGCTCCCTGAGCCAAGCCAGTCCCTAGAAGGAGCTGAGAGCTGAGGTCCACCTTCTGACAGCAATCCAGGCACCTAGGGGAATAAAAGCTCCATTTCTAGAGGAGGATTTGGACAGCACAGCACAGCATCCACTGCAGTTGTCAATACAATACTTTTAAAGGAGACAAATGTAGAATATGACAATGGTGACTTAAGGTCTAGTCTAATTATTTCACACCCATTCTTTCTATCCTTAATTCAAGACTCTTCCTTGTACAGCGTTATTATAGGAAAAAGAAATTTATACAAAAAAGCTTCTGCAGAGCAAAAGAAACTATCAGCAGAGTAAACAGGCAACCTATGGAATGGGAGAAAATTTTTGCAATCTACCCATCTGACAAAGGGCTAATATCCAGAATCTACAAAGAACTTAAACAAATTTACAAGAAAAAAACAAACAACCCCATCAAAAAGTGGGCAAAGAATATGAACAGACACTTCTCAAAAGAAGACATTTATGCAGCCAACAGGCATAGAAAAAATGCTCATCATCACTGGTCATTAGAGAAATGCAAATCAAAACTACAATGAGATACCATCTCACACCAGTTAGAATGGCGATCCTTAAAAAGTCAGGAAACATGCTGGAGAGGATATGGAGAAATAGGAACGCTTTTACACGGTTGGTGGGAGTGTAAATTAGTTCAACCATTGTGGAAGACAGTGTGGCGATTCCTCAAGAATCTAGAACTAGAAATACCATTTGACCCAGCAATCCCATTACTGTGTATATACCCAGAGGATTATAAATCATGCTACTATAAAGACACTTGCACATGTATGTTTATTGTGGCACTATTCACAACAGCAAAGACTTGGAACCAACCCAAATGCCCACCAATAATAGACTGGATAAAGAAAATATGGCACATATACACCATGGAATACTCTGAGCCATAAAAAAGGATGAGTTCATGTCCTTTGCAGGGACATGGATGAAGCTGGAAACCATCATTCTCAGCAAACATACACAGGAACAGAAAACCAAACACTGCATGTTCTCACTCATAAGTGGGAGTTGAACAATGAGAACACATGGACACAGGGAGGGGCCTGTCAGGGGGTGGGGGCTGGGGGAGGGATAGCATTAGGATAAATACTTAATGTAAACGACGAGTTGATGGGTGCAGCAAACCAACATGGCACATGTATGCCTATGTAACAAACCTGCACGTTGTGCACATGAACCCCAGAACTTAAAGTATAATAAAAAAATCACTCCAAAAAAAGTTGTGAAATTAAAATTGAAAAAAAAAACCCAAATGGTATCTCTACCATGGTTTCTTGAAAACACCAAATGTGATTTCAATTCATATACAGCAGAATCTCTTAAAATCCCTTTTCCCCATGTTTTTCTTTAATATCTCCTATAAATGTGGACTGCTTCTAATTTCCTCTCCTGACTCCCATCAGTGATTCAAACCCAGCCCTGCTGCTGTGGTCTCACCATCCCTCTTTGCAGATCTATTCCAGGCTTCTCCACTGGGTACTCTATTTGCTGTCAGCAAACATTCTTCCCACTAGTTTGTGTTCCTCTCTAATTCCATTCCATCATTACCCTGGTAATTTACAGCCAAGGTCCAAGAGCATACATGGCAGACACAATCGTATGCCGAAGGTTGTTTCCTCTCTTATCCCTGTTGTGTCCCTAACACATTACTTATCATTGGAATGATCTACTTGTGTTTAGTTTCCCCATAGTTTCTTTGTAGTGTCACTCTCAATAGATACTAAATGAATGTATTGCACATCTGTCAGCTCACCATTTACTCTGGCCATTTCTGTGGCAGCCATTTTTGCACAGGTATAACCTGGCAGCAACTTGCTTCTGTTATATCATGTGTCTCTTGATATCAGCCTCTGGGCTTCTATAATACTGTGATGCAGGACTCTGTCTTCTATTCACTTATGAACAATATGAAAGCACAGGACAGTCAGTACTCAAAAGGACAGCCCTGGACCAATGAAAGACGGAGCTGGTAAATAAGTGATCCCTTTCTCCAGTGGACAATTCTGGGGTGCACTCTATGTGGCTCATCAGAAGGACCCTGTGGGATTGAGTCCAGTTTCCCACAGTGGTGAAACGTCTGAGAAGACACTCTCGTATTGGCTTTGCCTCCTTCCTGGTCTTCCTGTTCTGTTTCCTGAACTGACTTTCCAAACAACATTTCTGCACATAAATTCTTATCTTGGTCTCTGCTTTCTGGAAGAACTGAGAGAAAAGACCAAGGCAATGAATGAGTGAATGAATGAATGAGTCACTATCGAACAGAACCCTAAGGCAGGGACAGTGTTCTCAAGTAATCAAGGAAACTGCAAGAATTAATTCTTTGATAACTTCAGAGATGTAGAAAGAGCAGTATTTTTCCATTTTTCTAACACTTAAAACACTTTAGATACAAATGCAGACCTCTAATTTAGACTCTGTGTGTGTGTGTGTGTGTGTGTGTGTGTGTGTGTGTGTGTGTTCTAGTTAGTTGGAATGCTTTAGACCTTAGAATTGAATTTCTAGATAGAGTTTCCAGACTGCTTCTGCCAAAAGAATTTGGCAGAACCTGGGGATATGTGTGTGGGGTGGAAGCAAGGAGAAAAGGGGTTAGATCTGTATCTTACAAGGCTTTTGCCAACACTGATGACTTAAAAGCAAAACTTAAATCACTATCCTTTCCTTTAGATAAAGAAATGATAAAGCAGATTATCTTGGACAATATAAATTAACTCCTGCATTTTGATAAACTACCACCTGCCTTTGAGAATTTACATAGGAGAATCAAACTTTCATATGACAAAAAAAGTTTATCAAAAATTTTTGCCATTTCCTTTCAAAGTGATTTTTTCAGACTGCTCATTTAAAGAGGCTTAATTTTTCTAAGCTATTGAAATTGGTGATGGGTGAACATGAACATGACACTGACAGCTAGAATTAGACTTCTTCTTGCAATGAGATCCAACAGTATTTTCCAGGTGCACCCACCTTCCCCTCCTCTCACTTCATACTCACGAATTTATCTCCCATATTTTCCAACATTGCTTTCTGGGTATGCATTTTAGTATCCTGAATCAAAAAAGATTAAAATTGTCTGAAAACCACACTATAAAATCAGCTATGAGTACAATACTCTATTGAAATGTGTATTTAGTAAACATGAGAAGTGCAAATGGAACTGCAATTCTTATGAATGCTGATTTGGAGGAGAGCTGCTCTACCTGCCTGCTGGCTAATCCACAAATATTTGACAATTGCTATGTGGGAACCATTGTGTTAGAGCCATAGCAATCACAAAGACCTAGAGTAATCCTTCCCCCATGATGAATTCTCCCTGTACAAAAGTTAAGCACACTGAGATTTAGTGAGTCACTCCTGTTGTTTTTCACTAGGTTTGATGGAGCTTATGCTGTTTCTCTGCTTTAGCTAGAAAGTGAAGAGACGAATCTCACTCTTTCTTCTCCTTCTTCCTTTCTTTCATCTCCCTCCCTTTCCTTTTCTCTTTTTTTCTCTCTCACTTTGCTTTTGAAGAATAAAGTATTGGAAGCAGACATGGTGGTTTCAGCAATGATTAGTGTCACATGAGATCTCCTCCAAATCAGAAGCTGTGAACTCCAGGTACTCTGATTAGGGCTAAAAGAAGCCCTGGGTTGGCAAAGGGCTGAAGCAGCCACATCTGGCAGAGGAGGGATGGGAGATGGAGAGCAGCCCTTTGTTGGGGCAGTTGCAGGGACAAGTAGCAAAGAAGACTTGCCCACAGGAGCGTTTGTCACAGGTGACATAGCCCAGCAGGGAAGTAGAACCAGAACTGTCCCCACGTACCTGTGCTTAACGCAGCTGTTCCCAGAATGCACCCCAGCATTCTAGGGCTACCACCCCAGATGCAAACTCAGTCCCAACTTGCATCAAAGAAAACACAGAATACCTGCAAAATTACTTGCATGTTAACAGGAATAAAAGTGAATAGAAGAAATGAAATAATTCACCCTTGATATGTCTCATTAAAACTTTGGAATGACTTTTCATTCCACCTGATTTTTCAGATTTTATCCTCACAGATGAAAAAAAGTTTCTAATGTCACAAAATGTTTGAATGAAGACGTAAATGACATTGAGTAACTGACATTTTCAGACACTAGGTTTTATCTTTTGGACACGAGGCAAGTTAATCTCAAGGACTCAATTGCATCTTCCAACAAAGCAGAAAAGTATCATCAAAATATTTGCAAACATGAAACGAATATTTTTTGTTTCAAGCAACAATGTTCTTGGTCTAACCTTTGAAACTTAAGGATGTCACAGTAAATACTGATCTCGCTCCATGAATAAAATTTTATTGTTGAATTTATGCAACAAATATTTATTGAGTACCTACCCTGTGCTAGGCACAAGGCTGTTAGTTGCTAGATGATTTGCTACAATATTAGGAAGACATGCAGTCAGACTTTGACCAAAATCATTTATATTTTTGTTTTGTTTTTCTTTAACAAAAAGGGTAGAGAAAATAATTCCAATACAACTCAAAGCACTGTGAAAAGACATTCGAATGAGCTTTGTAGGCAATAAGCCTAATAGAACACACACATGAAAGGGACCAAGACTTCTCTCTATGACAATCCATGGGCCTTTGGCATTTTTTTCTCTTCTCATCTTTATGACCACCACAGTAATTAAGGCAACAGTAGTGTCTTAGGATTAAAAGCAATTGGAAATTAATTTCATAGTATCTATTATTATTCACGTCAAGATGTTTAAAATGCTATTGCGACTCGTTTAATGCACTATTTTTAAGCGAAATAAAATTTAAGAGTTAAAATGTTTTATTGTAAACTTGCTCTTATGAACTTCTTTTTCTTAAACCACTTTAGGCATGATTAACATTCAGAAACGTGTACATAGTTAATGTACACAACTTGATGAGTTTGCAGATACATATACACCCATGACATTATCCCAACGATATATGCCATAAACATATCCCTAACCTCCAAAATTTTCCTCCCACCCTTTTTGTTAATTATTATTATTATTCATGTGTGTGCACACTTAAGATCTACCCTCTTAGCAAATTTTTATGTGTACAATACAGCATTGTTAACTATAGGCACTATGCTGGGCAGGAGATCTCTAGGACTTGCATAACTGAAATCTTGCACACTTTGACTAATCCCCCCATTTCATCTTCTCTCAAGCCTTGGTAATCACCATCCTGCTCTCTGCTTCTATGAGTTTGTCTATTTTTGATTCTTGATATAAGTGGTATCATGTGGTATTTGTCCTTCTGTATCTGGCTTATTTTAGTTAGTATAATTCTTCCAGGTGCACCATGTTGTAGCAAATGGCAGAATTTCCCTTTTCTTAAGACTGAATAATATTTCATTGTATGTATACACCATGTTTTCTTTATCATTTCATCCACTGATGAATATTTACATTGCTACTATGCTTTCATTATTATGAATAATGCTGCATGAAGGTGCAGATGAATGAAGATGATACATGAAGGTGAACATGGAAGTGCAGATATCTCTTTGAGATTCTGATTTTGATGCCTTTGGATATACACCTAAAAATGGGATGCCTGGATCATATTGCAGTTTCACTTTTAATTTTTTGAGGAAGTTCCATACTGCCCTCCATAAGAGCTGCACAAACTTACACACCCACCAACAATATACAAGGTTTGATTATATATGAATGGATTTATTCCTGGGCTCTTTATTCTGTTTCATTGGTCTATATGTCTGTTTTTATGCCAGTACCATACTGTATTAATCCATTCTCATGCTGCTATGAAGAAATACCCAAGACAGGGTAATTTGTAAAGGAAAGAGTTTAATTAACTCATAGTTCTGTGGGACTGGGGAGGCCTCAGAAAACTTACATTCATGGCAGAAGGGGAAGCAAACACATCCTTCTTCACATGGCAGCAGAAAGAAGAAGGGCAGAGTGAAGAGGGAGAAAAGCCCCTTATAAAATGATTAGATCTCATGATAACTTACTCACTATCACGAGAACAGCATGAGGGCAACCACACCCATGATTAAACTGTCTCCCACCAGGTCTCTCCCACAACATGTGGGGATTATGGGAACTATAATTCAAGATGAGATTTGGGTGGGGTCACAGCAAAACCATATCCTTCTGACCCAGCCCCTCCCAAATCTTGTTGTCCTTACATTTCAAAACACAATTACGCCCTTCCAACAGTCCTCCAAAGTCTTAACTCATTTCAGTATTAACTCAAAAGTCCAAGTCCAAAGCCTCATCCAAGACAAAGCAAGTCCCTTCTGCCTATGAGCCTGTAAAATCAAAAGCAAGTTAGTTACTTCCTAGATACAATGGGGGTACAGGCATTGGGTAACACACTTGTTCCGAATGACAGAAACTGGCCAAAACAATGGGACTACAGGGCCTATGCACGTCTAAAATTTAATAGGGCAGTCATTAAATTTTAAAGTTCCAAAATTATCTCCTTTGACTCTGTGTCTCATATGCAGGGCACACTGATGCAAGAGGCAGGCTCCCCTGGCCTTGGGCAGCTCTGTCCCTGTGGCTTGCAGGGTACAGCCCTGCTCCTGGCTTCTTTCACAGGCTAGTGTTGAATGTCAGCAACTTTTCCAGGCACATGGTGCAAGCTGTCAGTGGATCTACCTTTCTGGGGTCTGGAGGACAGTGGCCCTCTTCTCACAGCTCTACTAGGCAGTCCCCCAGTGGGGTCTTTGTGTGGGGGCTCTGACCCCACATTTCCCTTCCATGCTACCCTAGAAGAGGTTCTCCATCAGGACTCTGCCCCCTGCAGCAACTTCTGCCCGGATGTCCAGGCATTTCCATACATCCTCTGAAATCTAGGGAGAGGTTCCCAAACCTCAGTTCTTGACTTCTGTGCACCTACAAGCTCAACACCACATGTAAGCCACCAAGGCTTGTGGCTTGCACCCTCTGAAGCAACAGGCTGAGCTGTACATTGACCCCTTTTAGCCACAGCAGGGACACAGGGCACCATGTCCCAAGGCTGCACAGAGCAGGGAGACCTGAGCCCAGCCCATGAAACCATTTTTCTCTCCTAGGCCTCCGGGTCTGTGATGGGAGGGGCTGCCATGAAGGTCTCTGACATACCCTGGGAACATTTTTCCCATTGTCTTAATGATTAGCATTTGGCTCCTTGTTACTTATGCAAATTTTTGTAGCCGGCTTGAATTTCTTCCCAGAAAACCAGGTTTTCTTTATCACATCATCAGTCTGCAAATTTTCCAAACTTTCATGTTTTCTCCCTCTTGAATGCTTTGCCACTTAGAAATTTCTTCCACCAGATATGCTAAATCATCTCTCTCAAGTTCAAAGTTCCACAGATCTCTAGGGCAGGGACAAAATGCTGCCCCTCTTTGCTAAAACATAGCAAGAATCACCTTTATTCCAGTTTCCAACAAGTTCCTCATCTCCATCTGATATCACCTCAGCCTAGACTTTATTGTCCATATCACTATCAGCATTTTGGCCAAAGCAATTCAACAGGTATCTAGGATGTTCCAAACTTTCCCACATTTTCCTGTATTCTTCTGAGCTCTCCAAACTGTTCCAGCCTCTGCCTGTTACCCAGTTCCAAAGTCCCTTCCATATTTTTGGGTAGCTTTATGGCAGTGCCCCACTCTCTGTGGTAGCAATTCACTGTATTAGTCTGTTCTCATGCTGCTGTGAAGAAATACCCAAGACTGCATAATTTATAAAGGAAAGATGTTTAATTGACTCACAGTTCTGCAGGGCTGGAAGGCCTCAGCAAACTTAAAATCATAGCAGAAGGGGATGCAAATATGTCCTTATTCACATGGTGGCAGCAAAGAGAAGTGCAGAAGAAGCGGGGGGAATGTCCCTTATAAAACCATCAGATCTCATGATAACTCACTCACTATCATGAGAACAGCATAAGGGTAACTGCACCCATGATTAAGTTACCTCCCACCAGGTCTCTCCCGTGATATATGGGGATTATGGGAACAATTCAAGATGAGATTTGGGTTGGGACACAACCAAACCGTATCACATACTGTTTTGATTAGTCTAGCTTTGTAACGTATTTTTATATAAGCAAACATACTGTCTCCAGATTTTTTTTCTTTTAGAAACAGAGTCCTGCTCTGTCACCCAGGCTGGAGTAGAGTGGCATGATCTTAGCTCACTGCAGCCTCCACCAGTGAGCTCAAGTGATCCTCCCACCTCAGCTGGGACTATAGGTGTGTACCACCACACCCAGCACATTTTTTATGTTTTATTTTTGTAGAGACAGGACCTCATTATTTTGCCCAGGCTGGTTGTGAACTCCTGGACTCAAGCAATTATACCATCTCAGCCTCAAAAATTGCTGGGATTATAGGCCTGAGACATGGAGCCTGGCCTCCAGATTTCTTCTTGCTCAAAATTGCTTTGGTGATTCAGGGTCTTTTGTGGTTCCACATAAATTTTAGATTCCCATATAATAAATGGTGCTGGGAGAACTGGCTAGCCATATGCAGAAAATTGAAACTGGACCCCTTCCTTACACCTTGTACAAAAATTAACTCAAGACAGATTAAAGATTTAAAGGTAAAACTCAAAGCTATAAAAACCCTGGAAGAAAATCTAGGTGATACCATTCACGACACAGGCACAGACAAAGATTTCATGATGAAATTGCCAAAAGCAATTGCAACAAAAATAAAAATTGACAAATGGTATCTAATTAAACTGAGGAGCTTCTGCGCAGCAAAAGAAACTATCATCAGAATGAACAGGCAACCTACAGAACAGAAGAAAATTTTTGCAATCTACCTATCTGACAAAGGTGTAATATCCAGAATCTACAAGGAACTTAAACAAATTTACAAGATAAAAACATGCAACCTCATTAAAAAGTGGGCAAAAGATAAGAACAGACACTTCTCAAAAGATGTTCATGTGGCCAACAAACATGAAAAGAAGCTCAACATCACTGAACATTAGAGAAATGCAAATCAAAACCACAATGAGATACCATCTCATGTCAGTCAGAATGGCGATTATTAAAAAGTCAAGAAACAGCAGATGCTGGTGAGGTTGAGTAGAAATAGGAACGCTTTTACACTGTTGGTGGGTGGGAATGTAAATTAGTTCAACCATTGTGGAAGACAGTGTGGCAATTCCTCAAAGATCTAGAACCAGAAGTACCATTTGACCCAGCAATCTCATTATTATATACCTTAGGGTATATACCTCATCATTATATACCTTAGAGTATATACCCTAAGGAATATAAATAATTCTACTACAAAGATTCATGCACACATCTGTTCATTGCAGCACACTATTCACAATAGCAAAGAAATGGAATCAACCCAAATGCTCATCAATGGTAGACTGAAAAAAGAAAATGTACATATACACCATGGAATACTATGCAGCCATAAAAAGGAGATCATGTCCTTTGCAGGCACATGGATAGAGCTGGAAGCAATTATCCTCAGCAAGCTAATGCAGGAACAGAAAACCAAACACCACGTGTTCTCACTTACAAGTGGGAGCTGAACAATGAGAACACGTAGACGGCACAGGGAGGGGAACAACATACACTGGGACCTCTTGGAGAGTGGGGTCGGGGGAGGGAGAGCATTGGGAAAAATAGCTAATGCATGCTGGGCTCAATACCTAGGTGATAGGTTGATAGGTGGAGCAAACCACCACGGCACATGTTTACCTATGTAACAAACCTGCACATCCTGCACATATACTCTGGAACTTCAAATTAAAATTAATAAAAAATATAAATTTTTAAAAATGCCATTCAACTTTTAATAGGGATTGCACTGAATCTGCAAATCACGTTGGGTAATATAAACATTTTAACAACATTAATTCTTCTAATCTATGAACATTGATTTATTTCCATTTATTTGTATCTGCTTTAATTTCTTTCATCAGTACTGTATAGCTTTCAATGTACAAGTTTTCAGTGCACCTCACTGAGTAAGCTTATTCCTAAGATTTTTATGATTTTTGATGCTATTGTAAAAGGTAAAGTTTCTTAATTTCCTTTTTGGATAGTGTGCTGTGTCTAGAAATGTAACTGATTTTTGTATGTTGATTTTGTATCCTGCAACTTTACTGAATTTGTTTATTATTTCTAACCTTTTTTTGTAAAATATTTAGGGTTTTCTATATATGAGATCATGTCATCTGCAAACAGAGATAATTTTATTCTTCTGTTTTTATTTAGATGACATTTATTTATTTCTTCTTTCTTAATTGCTCTAGCTAGGACTTCCAGTACAATATTTAACAGAAGTGTCAAAAGTGAACATCCTTACCTTGTTCCAGATCTTAGAGGAAAAGATTTTAGATTTTCACTAAATTAACACAATTAACACAATTCACTTGTTAACTGTGGGCTTTTTAAATACAGCCTTTATTGTGTTGAAATAAGTTCCTTCTATATGTAACTTGTCTGTATTGAAAGGGTGTTGAGTTTTGCCAAATGCATTTTTTGCATCTTTTGAGATAATTGTTTGATTTTTATCCTTTATTCCATTAAGACATAATTGAAACTCCCATTGAACAGCTACTTCCCATTTCCCACTTGCCCTGCCCCTGGCCAACACCGTTTTACTCTCTGAGGATAAGTTTGGCTATTTTAAATATGCAGTCTGTTTTCTATGGAGGATATAGCATCAGGCCCAAATAAGCTTTAAATGTGAATTGGAGAAGGCTTTCTCAAACTTAAGAGTTTTTAAAGTTAGTATATTTTTAATATATCTATAAGAAGTAAAATAAATATAAAATCATTTTTGTAAATTTTCAAATTATACAAATCAAAATAGTAAACATAAAATCACAAAATTTTCACATAATGAAAATTTTAGTCACAATAATTAGGAACTCAGAATTACAAGATATATGATAAAATAGTTATAACTCTCACTTTCATATTCTTTCATAAAGAATAAACAAAATTCTTTATGACTGCTTCAATGTTGACTTGTGCTCTTTATGTACAGTAAAAAATATTTCATTTAAAGGTCTTCTTTCATGGCATTCTTCTTGCAAAACATACAAAGAGATTTGGGGTTCAATAATTGGCCTTCATGAAGCTCCACTAAAACCAACCAATTCTGAACTCACATGTAAAGATTTCGTTTAACCAACCAATCATTTTTCCTTGTGAAAATTTCTGAGTTTTGCTCTTGTGAGTTCTACCCTTGTCTTTGTGTTTTCTTCTGCATAAATAAACCCTCAATGTTTTAAAGTAATTTCTAAGTTTGGAGTTATTCTTTAACAGTTAATCCAAACACATCTTCCTGCAGACCTGCCCTCTCTGAGTTAAATCAGATTTTCTCTGTCCTCTTAGACAGAAACCATGGCAAAGCACTTGTTCAGTCTCCAAGTCATTATGTTTTACTGGTAGAGTTTAATCATAATTCTTAAATTAAATGTCATCAAGGATATTAAAAAGGCCACACATTTTTTATGATCATACACCTGTTTATTTAAGATGATATTGTTGTGTACAAAAAAATTATTTTAAAATTTAGTTTTAAATTGTAAATAATGGGGTTTGATGTCAAAATGTCTTCCCTTTTCTAACATTTTCTATGTTGGAGAAATTCACATAATTGTAAAAATACAAGATTTTTGGCATCAACGATATAGACTTCATAAATATTATCATGTCTATCTTTTTAATATTCTGAATTATTTTGCTGCTTTCAAGGACATTATCTGTAGAGAATTTTGATTAACACATCATTTCACTTAAAACATTGAGGCCCATTAGAACTTAGAAAATACATTTCAATAAATACAGCTTTGAAATACTTTTGGCTTGTATTCTGTAATTTTCATCTTTATTAATATCACAAACAGTTTCTATAGGAGCACACACTGCATCTAATTGAGTTTTAATGGCATAATGGCAATGACTGGACTTTCTCATTGTGTATTCTGTAATGGTTCAAATTTGCATTTAGTAAATATGTTTTCAAAACATTTCAATATTTCATTGAAGCCAATGAGTAGTAATTATATAGCATTTCAATAATTTCAGAAAAGAAAAACTGATAGTAGAAGAGATTTATGCTTCATTTTTTGGTACCAAGTTTAAAGAATATATAGAACAAGAAATTTAGAATGCCTTCAAATATTTTTCAAGAATCTTTTGTAGCAATCATTATGTTTTCCATGTTTTCAAATTCGGATACCTTGGGATTCCAGGCTTCAAAACTTTTTTTGGTATAGATTTGTTATTTATATATAGTTTTATAAACCAACCAATATATACATAATCCTTCCTCAGGATTTTGCTTTGCATTTCATTCCCTAAATAATGTGCAGTATTGCAATATTACTTATTTTCAATGTTTGTATTTTTCATACAAGTTCTGCCACAGTGCTCTCAAATTTGGCTTTGGTTTTCTTCTAAATGTCCATTATCACAGACATAAAGCTTCTTGGATGACTTTCTGGATGGTAGACTTCAACTTGCCAAAAGCTGAATCACGTATTATAAGTTCAAAAACAGTATGTCAATATTTTTATCACTATTGTATAATGTTTTAACATTTCTAATTACATCTATAAAATTTTTTAGTTTATAAACAATACTACTGTTAATGAGTATTTCACTTTGTTCTTTTTGCTAAAATGCTATAACTGCTTCCATTTGTACACTCACTTTCCATCTTCAGTTGATTTTTAATCCCTCAAGAGTTTGCAAAATAAAAAAGTACAAAAGCACTGGAGAAAATAAACTGACCAGTATATAATGGGTTTATAATTATTCATTATTTTGAATAATTTATGTTAAATAAATTTCTGAAAATTTTATATTAGTATTGTCATTTGAAAAACTAAATTTTTTTACTTATCCAGGCTATGTACTTAAATCAGCAGACAATATGCTTGATATAAGTCCTTTGTGATTTTCTTGTTTCTTTTTTTTTAATTCTATAATAGTGGTTTTCATGTAGATTTACAGTTAATTTACCCATGCTTCATCTGAACTGTAACTGTGATTACATTCTACCTGTGCTTGGATGTCCAAAGTACTTCTAATTTTTTCTAACTTTGTATCTATTTTCTCTGAAACTTTATTCAGTGATTACAAGAGCTGTATTTTCTTTTAAAATTGTTTTCTGACAGCAACCAATTGAAAAAAACCTTTTTTGATATCTTTAACTTGTTTAGTATTTTATCATTTAAAACAAATTTAAATATATTCATGTAATATATTGCTAAATTTTATTAGAAATTAACTTTTGTATTAACAATTGGCAATCTTTTTGTAACAACAAATAAACAATAGTTATTTAATTTGTGGATTATTACATGATAATCTATAATTTATATGTATGCAGTACTTTGGAGATTAGCAATGACTTATAGATATTGGTTTTTGCATAGTGATTCATATCATAATAAAATATTTGTACACTTAAATTAATAATTCAGAAATACTATTCAGTACAGTAAACAAATGGCAGATGAAATGAACTAAAATATAGAATGTCTAATTTACCCATGTACTAATATTAATATGAAATTAAAACCATAAATATTTACTAATCACTAAGTATATCAGCCATAAAAACAGCATCTTATTTGGAGGCAAAGTGTATTTTAGATATGATCAGATCAACAAGGTTTCTCAATTATCAAACTTGCTCCTCTTTCATAAGTTAATGTGGTATGGAATTTTATGCGTGTGTGTGCGCATGTGTGTATATATATGTATATATATATATAATATGTGTCTTAGATAACATACTTTACCACCATTAGTCAGAAAATTCCCATAATATGTTCATTTTTCTAGAATAAGACTCCCTCACTATCAGAAAATTGTCAACATAAATTGTAAATAGTTCACCTTTGAAGTCAACAGGTATAGTAAAAATACTGACATGTTACAGTATGAAGAAGATATCTGTGATGTGAACAGTGATCTGATGTGACTTTCTGGTGTAGTGCGCAACCTATACGATTGAACATAACGGCTCTATGAATTGGAATCTGCCCCTTAATTAAAAGTTGCAAACAACAGGGAAAAATTTTATATAATGTGTTCTTGCCCACTTGAACAAAATTGATTGGAACTCAGATGGGCAACTGACCTGAGGCAGGCTAATCACAGCCCCTCACATAGAAATGTAACGTTAGGACCAAGACAGAATTTTCTTTTGGGGTAGGTGAACCAGAAACATTAAAAACCAGATGTCAGTTACCATGTTTCACAGAATGAATAAAAAGAGGAAACAAAAAAGCCTGCACAGCAGAGTGTGGGGAAAATGTGAAGAGTCTGATGTCATCCTAGTGCCTAGTTCCAGGCCATACTGGGGGCCTGGCTGCATCTCTGACTCTGGGTCTCATAGGCCAACCTTCCATTCATTGGTAGAGGGGTACCTGGAGAAACAGATAGACATACACACACGTGCACATGTGTGCAAACACATACACTTTTTTGTTTTTAAATAAGAAAAACTGCCAGCCACCACTCCTTTGTCTAGTAGACACAGAAAGTCACTCAGGAGCAGTTTTTTTCTGATTTTTTTCAAAACACTTGAGTACTGCTTCTAAGTTATGAAAATATAAAATTGACAAGACACCCAAGGCCCTAGAGAAGGGTACAGAGCATCCTGTGGTCCAATTAATGCTGTCCCTCCTGGAGGCTGTCTCCTAATATCCTAATATGCAGAGGTAAGTGCTATCTAGAAGCAGGCTGAGGGGCAAGGCACCTCATGAGAGAGAGGTTGATTACAATCTCTTCCCTTTTCAGGTTTAAGATAACTAGGACCTTTATGATAGATGGTGGTGGATTTGGAAACAGGTCTGATCCCTTCGGATGGAGGAAGCCCAATTCATGAAGTAGAGAACTCTTTCAAGGAGAGATTGGATTTCCTATTAACATGAAAAGCAGGTGGACTGAAAGCTTAATTAGAAAATAAAACAGACATATCCATATTTGTATGGCATGTAGAGTTCAGATAAGTGCTGATTCTAATCAATTTTTCTTTGAATTAAATGACCTAGAGTTATCTTCATTATAGGCAACCAAAGGAGGCCTCGCTAATACGGAAGAGTTATATTCTGGGGACACAAACTGATCTAAACTCATGTCAAGGTTGCCTGTTCTATTAGTGAATTCTACCTCCAACTATTAATGTTTTATAACAGTCTGTAAACTATGAAACAGTATATTACATTCAGTAATGATAATAATACAATATAAAAAGGTAATATAGTTAAGTCTTTTTGTGACCAGCCTTCCCCACAGGAAAAGCGAAATGAATTGGAATCTCTCCTGTCAAAGGCCAGAGATGATTTGTCACCCCAAAAGCATCTCCAAACACTTAGTTTACATGGATGTTGGTAAATTAACTCAGAGCAACATGTTAGTGTGTGGAAGGAGGTTGCTTAAAATCTACTCCTCAATTTATTCAATAATTTTACAATAAATCAACGGTCTTTTCCAAGCAGTAAAATATTTCTGTTAAACAAACAAAAACAAATCGAAGAAACAGTTCGATTGGCTAACCATTACTATTTTGTTGTCCCCTGCAAAATGTTATAGTGAGTAAATTTATATTTTTATGGTTGCATTGCTTAAAGAACACTAGTGCAGTATTGATTTACTAACCTAATTTATACCCATATGAACTGCCACTCTCAGTTGCATTTATCTTCTTTAGTTATCCCAGTCATTTCTAAATACCAGTGTTGTAACTCTCTGTAATACCATTATTTTTCTTTAATACTGATAAAACACAGATAACTTCACAAAAAAGTTATTATCTATTTTTGGCGAGAATTTCAATATATGAGCAAAATTGGTCATACAATAACTTTAGGCTTTTTAGAGTGCTCTATTCTTTTTTATAGTTGAGTAGAAGATCTCTTCAATCTCAATTGCTTCACCCTAGATCATATTCAAATAGCTTTTTTTTAAATTTTTAATTCTAAATGTTAGGTCATTCTTTTCCAGCTACCTGTTGAGAATGACATTGTTTAGAAAAGGATTGTGAATAAGTTAGTTATTAGTAGAAGGAGCTGATAAAACAATATTTACCGCATCCTTTTTTATTCTTGTTGCAAAATATGTTAATGCATACCAGACTGATAAGAAAAACAGTAGCAGCAACAGTCATATATTAGATAATGTCTTGGCAGTTTCCATTAAAATGTGGAAATTCAAAGACTCAGCGTACTGTTTCCTGGGTCAAGTTGTATTTGTTTTTTTCTAGAACACAAATGCCACCTATTTGTGGGAGGTTTCTTTGCAAAGTGTATATTTAAAAAAGCAAAAACAAATAAACAAAATCACGGAGCAATTTAGGATTGAGTGAGACATAGTCACCAAATATAGAACTGATTCATTTATCTGCACTACAGATCTAGCAAGTGGATTCTGGTTGATTTTAAGAAAATAAATATGACAAGAGAACACTGCTATATTTGATATTTTCTCCACTGGCATTGCTTTTATTTCCAAAGTTTTATAATTTGGTTCCTTAACATATTCACATTTCTTGGGATTACCTAAAAGTTTTAACCTTAGAATTATCTTTTATTTGTGCCATTGAAATGGAGTACATTATAAGGGAGCTTCTGAGGAAGAAGTAATTCAAAAAAGTGAGTTTGGAAAGAGAACACAAAAATATTTTTTAGGTATAAAACTTGGTGAAAATAAAGAACGTGTCATAGTTATGAAATAAAAAAAATGGCGTAAGAAGTTTGAACAGAATAATCAAAATAAAAGCCAAACATTAAATTTTGGAGAAGAAAATCATCACAAATTAAAGAAAAGAAAATAATCCCAGTAAAATAACGTATATTCAAGTGAGAAACAAATGAGAGAAAGATAATGGGAGTGGGGGTGCTTAGTTTAGAAACTTCTGTTTCTACTTTGTTCATTCACCTGATATTTTCTCTTGAGTCAAGGCCTCAGTTCCACCCCATATGATTTAGATTTCCCTCCTCTAATTTCCGAAAACAGTCTATGCATTTTTCTAGCACAGGACTTTTTACATACACTGTAACTGTTGATTTTTATTTTTCCTCATTGACTGGGGACCGGGGATCAAGTCTTATTTTTTCTGTATCCCCAGTGCCGAGCACAGTGCCTGGCCAAAATAACTACTTATAATTGTTTGTTGGAGGAATGAATAAATTCCAAGTTTACAATTCCTACAAACACCCAACGAGTGAATAAAAATCACAGAGTTTTACTTGGCATTCAGGACACCACAGTCTCTCGGGGTTTTTCCTACCTCATTGGCTGTCCCTTCTCTTTCGCCTTTGCTCATTCCACTTCATCATCCAGATTTCTTGTTTCAAATGTCCCAAGACTCAGTCCTTACTTAGATCTCTTCTCTCCTATTAATACTCAAGTCTTTGAGGATCTCAATCAGTGTCTTGTGGCTTTACATGCTACTAAAGACTCACAAATGTGTAATTTCAGCCCAAACCTCTCCTCAAAACCCCAGTTATTTATATCCAACCGCCTACTGTTCATTTCCACTTAGATGTCTAACGAGCATCTTCAACCTATGATGCCCAGAACAAAACCCCCGATTTCTAACCAACCAAACCTATTCAGTAAATGGCAACTCATCCCTATTCTTACAGACCAAAAATCTGGAGTTATTCTTTTCTCATATTTCATATTCAATAGGTCAGCAAATACTCTGATCTCTGCTTCAAAAATATAACCAGGACTTAACACCTTCTTACTACCTCTTCTGCTATCACTCTGACAAGCCTCCTTATTGCTGCTGTTCTTACTTCCACCTTTTCTAGCCCTTTGTGTTTATTCCCAATGCAGCAATCAGAATAATCCTGTTACACATAAGTGTAAGATTCATGCTCAGACCCCCCCATGGCATCCTAGCTCACTCAGTAAAAGTCAATTTAATGGCTTAAGGGCCCCATGATCTGGTTTCTCTCCAACTTCATCTCCCACTTCATCTCTTGCTATGATTCACTCAGCTTTAGCCACTCTGGCTTCCTTGAAGTTTTTCTGATGAACCTTTCTTGACCTTCTTAAAATTGCAAACCCTCCCCATAAAACTTCCTTAACTTATAACCATCTAATATCCTTTAAGATTAAATTTTATTGTCTATTTCTCTTTACTAGATGTAAGCCCTGTGAAGTCAGGAATTTTTGTTTGTTTTGTTCAATACCTCTAGTGTCTAGAAGGGTGTTTGGCACATACTAGGTGTTCAATAAATATTTAATAAATAAATAAGTGAAAAATTAATTCATTCATTTGCATATTCAACAAATATTTATCGAGGACCCACTATGTTTCAGGTACTGTTCTAGGCTGCTTAATCCTGTCCCACTACAATAACCTGCCCCTGGGTTTTTGGCCAATAATGCTTACCTTTCGCTGGTGTTGTGCAAAACTTAATGAATCATCTCATTTTCCATTCCCTCTGGATCATTATGTATGCATTTCTTCATCTCCTCTCCCAATCGGTTTTTTATCTATCATGATTTATTACTTCCCACCTTCATTTGTCTTTCTCTCTTTCCAGAAGTGAGATAAAAGTCACTTAACCAATTTAAGTACTAAAGAAGAGAGAGACATATGTTTTAAACTGAACTTGGATATGATGAAAAACCAGCTTCCTTGGCCTTTCATGCTTATAAGCATCTAAGTCTTGTTCAAATCATTAAAATACTGTCATCTGCCTTTTGATTCCTTTAACTCACTTCTAATTTTTTTAAAATTTTTATATATTTAGGGAATATATGTGTAGATTTCTTACATACATATATCATGTGGCAGTGAAATCTGGGCTTTTAGTGTACCCATCACCCAAATAGTGAACATTGCCCCCAGTAGGAAATTTTTCAACCCTCACTTGTCTCCCACCCTCCCAACTTTTGTACTGTCAAATGTCTATTATTCCACTCTGTATGCCCATGTGTACCCATTATTTAGCTCCCACTTATAAGTGAGGATATGTGATCTTTGACTTTCTATTGCTGAGTTATTTAACTTACAATAATGGCCTCCAGTTCCATCCATGTTGCTGCAAAAGACATGATTTTATTTTTCATGGCTGAGTAGTATTTCATGGTGTGTGTGGATGTGTGCATCTATATCTTTCATCTGTATAATATATATAATATATAGATACATTTATATATAGGTGTGTGTATATATATATAGGTGTATGTTTATATATAGGTATGTGTGTGTATATATATGTGTGTGTGTGTGTGTGTATTTTCTGTATTTCATCCTCTGTTGATGGACATTTAAGTTGGTTCTATATCTTTCTTATTGTGAATAATGCTGCCTTAAATATACAAGTGCAGGTGTCATTTTCCTTTGGTTATATACCCAGTAGTGGGATTGCTGGATTGAATGGTAGTTCTATTTTTAGTTCCTTCAGAAATCTCCATACTGTTTTCTATAAAGGTTGTATTACTTTACATTCCCACCAACACTGTATAAGTGTTCCCATTTCTCCACATCCTTGCCAATATCTGATATTTTTTGACTTTTTAATAAATAGCCATTCTGACAGGGATGAGATGGTAGCTCTTTTTTGTTGTCGTTTGAGACAAGGTCTCACTCTGTTGGAGGGCAGTGCTATGAACATGGCTCACTGCAGCCTTGACTTCCTGGGCTCAAGTGATCCTCTCTCCATAGCCTCCCAAGTAGCTAAGACTACAGGCACATGCCACCACACCTGGCTAGTTATTTCATTTTTTGTAGAGATGTAGTCTCACTATATTGCTCAGGCTGGTCTCAAACTCCTGGGTCAAGCAATCCTCCCACCTCATCCTCCCAAAGCACTGGGATTACAAGTGTGAGCCACCACTCCCAGCCTGATGGTAACTCTTTTTACCTACTTTGTGAATGTCTTCATCCAATATATGCGTATATGAAAAATACATTTTCTTATTAAATTTTCTTACCATTTCCAATTTAATAGATTATATTGTAATAGAATCATCTTTTATTATTTTACATTGTGTATGTACATGTTTGTGTAGGCATGCATCTGGGAATATCACTTGTGGGAAAATGAATTCTGATTATCATCTAAAGATAAACTTTCATAATATACTTAATGACTTGTTTATCACTTGCAGACCAACTACATCTTTAAGAATGGTCTTAATTAAAATTTACTTTTCTAGGCATTCTTCATCTAAGTGGCAAGCAACACTTGAAAACTACATAAAGACAATCATTTTTCACCTGTTGGTTTTTCACTGAAAAATTCCCTCCATCCAGAGCAGTGCTAGAAACATAGTAGGCACTCAGTAAATATTTGTTCAATGCAAGAATAAATGATATGAGATGAAAATGAATAGTGAATATATATAGGTAAGTGTTAAGATGGCATTGGTGAATACAGGCAGTTAATTAAAAGATATATAGATTAGTAGTATGAGAAGGTGCTAATTTTTTATTTAATTTTTTTAAAAAACTACAAGTTTATGGGAGTCATAATTTCTCCTTAACTTCTTGGAATATAGGAAAATATGAACAGAACTTTGAAAATCCCAGCCAGATGAATTTTGAAGGGGTTGGTATACTGCTAAGATTTTTTTCTTCATCCCTTAATGTTACACTCAAAGAATCATGACTATGAGGGATAGTCAGGAGTCTATAGAGAGACAGCAGCATATTTGGAGTGAGTCATAGAGCTTTCTAATCATAGAACAAATCCATGGAATCTCAAATGTGCCAGTCTCAAGTCTCAGAGGGCAGGACGAAAGTAAATATCAAATGAGTATCAAATTAGATAGCATATTCTCAGCAAGATTCAATAAATTATAGCCATAGGTATTTTTAATGAAAATCAGGCAATTTCTCCAATCTGTATTCTGCTTATGGTATTACATGCATGCACCACTCACACAATCATCTGGTAAACAGATAGACACTTACCATGGCTGATAAGAATTAAATTATGACCAGAACTAATGAGGCCAAATACAAGAAAGTCACCTTTTAAAATTGAACTTACAAAAGCCTTTTTCCACATTACATTGACAATGCCTTCTTCAAAATCTACCTCATAGCTCACACTATAAATATGGCCATCCAAGATCATTTGAGACTGAAAAACTAAGTTTACTTATTCCAAAGCAATAAGAAAATGTATATATTCTTTTTCAGTCAAGAGTTTGGGCTTTTGTGATAACTGAAATATATTAGGTAGCAGAATGTAGTCACCAAAATATATTTTGATCTTCTGAATAAATGACTTTGTTCCTAGGAAAATTCTCAGTGGAAGCCCAAAGCTACAAGAGGCAAGATATTTGACTCTTGGATTGTTTTTCTAGGGCTTGTTGAAATGCAGCCAGTGTAGTAAAAAATGACTGTGAAAACGTAGACTCCTCTGCTGACATGCCACGAAGAGAAGACAAGAACAAGTTGCTATTCATTTTCGGAAGGTGCCCACAGGACAGTGTGCCACACTGGTCTTTTCCTTCATCACTCATTACAGCTCATGACAAGTCTCTTCAATTGAATCTGGACCTCTTTTCCCATACACTTTCAACCAGGAATTACGTAATAATTAGAGGATGTTGCATGTTAGATACCATTACTCTGCCCACACATCCAACTAGTAATTTGCTCACCACGAATGTGTTTGGCCTATACATTTTATCTCTAAACGCTTTGCTCTGACATTCTTTAAAGTTGTGATTCTAATGTAAACCAGGATATAATGTAAGTCTTTCAATGAAGATTCTCTACCCTCAAACCATTAAAAAAATAGGAAAATAGGCCACTCGCAGTGTGCAAAAGAAGTCCCATTGATGAGAGTGGACCTCAATTGCAATTGCTTGGTTTTTGCAATTCTTCCTCTGAACATCAAATATTGTGCTTTAATTGCACTTGTGGAAATCTAGTGACTACAGGAAATTTAGTCATCTTTAAAATGGGTATTTCATATTGCTTAGAGGAAATAAAATATGAATAGAATAATATAAATGTGAGAATCTAAATATTATTTCAAGTTTTAAAATGCTATAGTTATTTAATATTTCACTTGGCCAGAATATTAAGCTAATGGTTGCTCTCTGAATATATTCATTGGCTTTGTCCTTTAGATAAGAGTATTAAGCTTAAAATAAAATTGATAGGAACTCTACATTAACCTTTGGGATTCACTAATTACTAATTAAATTGGCAAATGAGCTTCTGCCAGAAAAATCTCATTCTAACTCCATAAAACCCAAAGAACTTTAAAAGCACTTCATCAAGTCAAGAGATTGGGGAAAAAAATGTTATCGGCTAGAAATTATTATTTCTGAATTCACTTTTTTCTCTATCTAGTCTTTTAGCTTGCCTCTATGACTACATTGGAATATATCACATACTTTTTAATCATTTAGCTGTGCCCCTCTTTGGTGTGTTTGTTCTCATTCATTCACTCATTTGTTATCTGTGCCAGTTAGCTTTCTTTGTTTGCAATCCACAGGAATGGACAGTGACTAAGCAGAAATAAAAACATAAATACATGAATTATTAAATAGCATGGGGTATCTCACAAAATCAAAGGAAAAATGATGACCCAGTCTGTTTTTTTTTTTTAAGTCAAAATGAAAAGCTCCTCAGTGATCTAGGAAAGAAAACAGATAGATGTTCTTCTTAAGGTACCATTGTATTGGACGAATGTGCTCTAAAAAGTAAGCGTGTGCATGTGTGTGTGAGAGAGAGACAGTTCACTTCCTCTAAAGTAGGTACTGAGCACCTCAGTTCATGCTGTATTCTAAAAATGTACACGTATTTTAATTGCAATCCCTACTTTCTAGTAGCTCATATGCAGACAGAGAAACTCATTATATTTCTCTTGTAAGGACATTTAGATTATGTCTATGCTTTTTCATTTTTCCCTTGCTACTATAAGCAATGTTATAATAGACATCCCGGTAATATATGTACTGGGATTACCCAAGATGCATCAATTATGTAAGCAATACATATTTTCATACCCTCTTCAGGTGTGTGTGGCATCATAAATCTCAACATGGGAACCAAATTCTAGGTGAGGGTACATTTTGCACCTGCAGAGTGGTCACAGCAAACCATAAATAGAACCTCCTACATAAACACAGTATAATTATCAAAATCAGAAAACGAACATTGGTACGCTATTTATTGTTTAATCTACAAACCAGATGTCCCTATTTGTCCCAGTCATGTTCTTTAACACCTAAGAAAATCTTGCATGGCACTATGAGTTAGATGGCATGTACCTTTAGCCTCTTTTATTTTAAACAGTTCCAGAATCTTTGCTGACATGGACATTTTTGAAGGGTACTGCTCAGTTATTTTGTAGAATGTTTCTCAATATGGGTTTGATGTTTCCTCATAATTAAATTCAGGTTGTGTTGCATTGGAAGTTCCCTTAGTTTCTGTTCGTTGGCTTCGTGTGCTTTTTGCCCTAACAAAAGAGGTTTTGAGGTTTCTATTATAATTTCTTACATCTTTCAAGTAGAAACAAATTCCAATACAAATCCATACTTAAGTTTTGAATATCCAAAGGGTGAGACCAGACTGCTGGACAATGTTTTCTATTGCCCCACTTATTAATTTTAGGGTGATAGAAGGAAGCAGTTATGGAGAAGTGGCATGCAAAGCTTTGTAAAGTTCTCCTCTCTTGAGTCAGGCTGCGTGAGATCTGATATAACAGATGCCATGTTAAAGTCTTCTCTTGAACAAATTTGTTTCTGCCTCCTTATTAAGCTACCCTAGCTATCTCAAAGAGCTACTAGAAACGAAAACTAAGAGGACACATGTGGTTTATAGTCCTTGTAACATTTTTTACTAGGTGTTGATCCGTGGCTTTCACATTTTAATGTAGGCACTTTGGGATTACTTAAAATAAACATTTTCTTTTATAATCAGTAAATAAATAGGATAAAGTTATTTTTATTAAAAAAATTCAAACCTACCCTTGACCAAATCTCTGTTTCTTCCTAATTATTATTCTCTCTTTTTGAAGCTAAGCTCTTGAAAGAGTGGTGACCACTTTATGTCCCTACTTCCTCATCTCCCATTTACTTTCCCAGTGACCTTCTCTGTCCTGCCTATGACACCTGATCAGTTTTGATCACTTCCTCCTTTGGTGTTTGATTCAACATCTTCTTTATTTGCATGGCTTACTCCTCTCAGCCCATAAATGTTGTCCTTCCTCAGGTCTCACACATGTCCCAGTTCTTCTCACTGCTCAATAATTCATACATTTTTATAGCTTCAGATACCTCTTTTCAACAATGATCCACTATCCAGAACAATACCCTGGTCCTCTCTCCTAAGTTCCAGGACTTTAGGTCTATCTGCCTAGAGTACTACTCCACTGAAAAGCCTCACAGGCCAAGTAGCTCCTTTGACTTTCTTGCATACTCAGTACCCAATTAAAACAATGAGTCTAAGATTCATTCGGGCATCCAAGTCAGAAGTAGGAGTTGTCAGAGATCCTTCCTTCATTTTCCACATCTAAGTTCCGTTGAGTCTGGCTCCCCTATATTTCTCAGATCCATTCCCTCCCTTCTTTTATATATACCCTCTACTACCTGGCTATTTTAGTGGTCTACTAATTGGGCAACCTGCCTCTAATATCGACTTCCTTCACCACATCATGACCAGAGTGAGCTCCCTAAAATGCAAATTTGATATCGTCTGATTTTATAAGCTTACAGTATATACACTCTCATGCACAATAATATTCTGAACAAATCCCAAACTTTTCACCATGGCATAAAATCTCATGATTATCTATTTTAGCTGGGCTACTTCTCTCTAAAATTATTTACTATACTCTAGCATGTTTCTTCATTCAACAAATACTTACAAATCATGTCTGAAATTGGTATAGACCGTGGGGATACAAGGGAGAAAAAACTCAGCAACAACAAAGTTCTTCACTTTGGGGAGTTTATTATTTTTTTCTTTATGTTCGTATCAGATGAAATTTACTTACCCTTATCTCAACACTTCCTTCACACAGTGTCGTCTAATTTCAAATAGATCAAGAACTAAAAATCAGTGTCGTACTTAGTGTATTTGATATTTGGAACAGATTCTATTTTAACATTATTTAACTCTCTACTTGATAAACCTAACTTTAGTAATAATAATCAATCATGAAATAAAATAAAGAAAACTAATGGCCAGAAAAGGCAGATAGTGAAAATTTTATTTTGTTGAATTTCATATATATTATTATGCTAGTGAAATAAAATAAAAAACACAAAGTAAAAATAACATTGCAAGAAACAGAAAAGTAATGGATTAATACTCCTTAACTACACTGATAGATTTCTTTTAAATGGGGGGGGGGAATCTTATGTCTCAATATTGGTCCATTATAGGAATGTTATGTTTTCTTTTTTTGTGTTTTAGAGACTTGATTTCTGCACATTTGTTAAGAACTTCATCAACATTAGTTCTCATCATATTTTCATTTTTAATAGAAAGCATAGCCAGATTTGCCAATCTTTCTTTGCTCATAGGTGGTCAAAGAAGACTTTTTATTAATTCCAAAATTTAAAAATTTATTTCCAATTAAGACTCAGGAAAAGCCTGAAGCGTAGTGATAACTTTGGCATCAATCCATAAAAATCCCATTTCACTGTATACTTCAGAAGTTTCAGTTCTACCTACCAGCTTTCAAATATCTCCACACTCAAAAAATTCCTGCTAATTATCTTCATGACCACATTTGTCATAAATTTCTACGATATTTAGTAAAATCTTCTGAAGTTTTATTTCCACAATTTTTTTCTGTAAAAACTAGAGAAAATAGTTAAAAGATATGAACATTCACATTATGTGATTATTGCTTTAGAAATGAGTGTCCAATTCTTAGTGAAAACAATTGAGGCATTCAAATGCTGCTCTTTTGATTTCTTCTGACAAAGAAAGACCATTCTCTTTTGTCATTCTTCCTGGCATTGTTTTTCACATTTGATTTCATTTTTCTATTTAAACATTCATTTTCTTACATTTGCTTATTGCATCGTTGACTTCCCAATGTCCAGGTGCTGATCTTTAAGAAATCACGCTAAAGCTTGGCATTTCATTGTGTATTGTCCAAGTCTGATCCTGGATGTTTGTGATTGATTAACTTCATCTAAAATTTCAAACAATAAAAAAGAGGACTCAGAAAAGAAAAATCCTATTCATCAGAGAGTAATACATAAGCTGATCTTTTTGAATCCATATTTCCTATTAGATCACACAGTATTTCCAAAGTTGGTATTAACTTTTAAAATGTGTCTGTACTGCATGCACAGCTCTCTGATGAGCATTTTAGCTTGTCTGGGAAAGTCTTTCCACTCTTATGTCTTCATTCTGCAGCATTTTCCGGTGAATGAGGTGAGCCTAAAAAGAATAAATAATTTTTCCTTAAAGTTCTAAAAAATGATACACCTGAAGAAATGTTTCCAGTAGAATGACTTCTGAAGAGATTTAGAGAATGATTATTTATAAAATAAAATAAGAACTTGGAATTGTTTATTATTTTTCTAAAAGCCAATGAGACTTCTGACCGTAGTTGCAACATAATTATATCCTTCAACATTGTGTATATGTGATGGTTAATATTAAGTGTCAACATGATTGGATTGAAGGTTGCAAAGTATTGTTTCTGGATGTGACTGTGAGGGTGTTGCCAAAGGATATTAACATTTGAGTCAGTGGACTGGGAGAGGCAGACCCACCTTCAGTCTGGGTGGGCACCATCCAATCAGCTGCCAGCATGGCTAGAAAAAGCAGGTGGATGAGTGTGGAATAAGCTGCCTTGCTGAGTCTTCCAGCCTTCATCTTTCTCCCATGCTAGATGCTTCTTGCCGGTTAACATCGGACTCCAGGTTCTTCTGCTTTCGGACTCTTGGACTTAACACCAGTGATTTATCAGGGGCATTCGGGCCTTTGGCCATAGACTGAAGACTGTGCTATTGGCTTCCCTACTTTTGAGATTTCAGGACTCAGACTAAGCCACATTGGCTTCCTTGCTCCTCAGCTTGCAGACAGCCTATCATGGGACTTCACCTTGTGATCATGGGAGTCAGTTCTCCTTAATAAACTCTTTCACATATACATCTATCCTATTAGTTCTGTCCCTCTGCAGAACCCTGACTAATACAGTATAGTAAACAACCATTCTTTAGAAATGCAAATGTGTATGGGTATCTATACTAGAAAAAATGCAAGTACCTATACTAGAAACAACACAAAATTCAGATAGCACAGGAGTGAAAGAAAATGTTGAAACATCATCTATAAGCACTGACAGTAATGAAGAGAAAGAAAATGCTGGTAAAAATCAACATTAACAGGATAGATAGATGATAGACAGATGATAATGATGAAGATAGATAATGATAGATAATGAGGATAGATTGATTGATAGGTAGGTAGATAGATAGATAGATAGACAGGAATAATAAAGACTGAGACCAAGAATTTGAAGCAGAAGAGACAATGTTATTTTTCATTTATTCTGATATTGCTTCATGGCCAGTACTGGTTCCAGATGATTTGAGAGTTAATTGGATTAAGAGAAGATATAAACCTCTTCAGATTAAAGGTGAACCTTTCTACACTACAGTTCAATGAGAAGGAAAAATATAGCAGAGGAGATAGTCAACATGTGACAACGTTGTGGTTTTATAAGTCTTTACCAAAAATAAAAGGAGACAAAAAGTTAAGAAATTGCTTTCTTCAAAATCAAAAACGTGTTTGCTTTGCTTTCTGCTGCAGACCATTTGCAGATAATGAGACAAAAAGTGAAACGGCCAGCTTTATAACTAGCTTTAAAACATAGTGAAAATTAAATCCTCAAATCTCTGAACATGAGACATCTGAACATTTTTCCTACTTAGAAAAATGGAAGACATCAGCAATGGTACTAAAACTCCAATAAAAATTGTTGATAAAATGTAGCATGTGGAAATGAATAAAGAGCGGGAAAATGGGGAGACATTTTACATCATCTTTTTGACATAATTATGTTTTTAGTTACATGAAACCTTTTCTTCTGTGGTCACAGAGAGAATATGCCATCAACAAACACAGAAAATTTTTGGAGTTGCTGGAATCACTCTCAAATTGTAACCCAATTCTGAAGGAACAGTTTGTTAAAATTTAATATGTTATTCCTTTTGAAGGGGAATTAATTGCATATTTATCTCCAAAACTCATTTTCCGGAAAAATGACATCAAAGAAAAAATAGTAATGGATATTTAAAAAGCAAAATATGTTGGAATTATTTGACAGCTCAGCTTATGCATGGGATTGAATTTTCAAATTCTACTCTCAAGAGTCAGAGATCTTACTCAGCATCGACCTTTACAGCCTTAAGGATACAGACAATCAAGAGGCTCAGTTGGAGAAGAGAGGGGCGCAACCTCTTATGGTCTCCATGGGTCCGGCTTTTCCACAATGGACACAAGCACAACAGATGAGGTCCCCAAGAGGTTTGGTAGGATTCCTCACACTGCAAAGACCATTTAACTTATAAAATATTTCCATGTTATACCCCAGAATGTGTTATATAGCTTAGGTGAAATTCTCTAGGGAGTCATGCCTCATGGATTAAATCCACATGGGGTTTATTTATCATAAGTCATCTTTTAGCCAGAGACATCCTGCTGATAGGAACTCTTTTTCCTAGTGAATATCATTAGCTTATTTACCAAGTGAGGTCCAAGTGAGGAGGACCATAGACTTGTCTTTTTTTCTTGCCCCAGGAGGCATGCCTTCTTCCAATTCAAGCCAGCTTCTGAAATTCCTTCCTCCTAGTAACATTCTGAATGTTTCACACTGAACAAATGTGCAAAATAAAAAGTTATGTCAATATTGAAGATGATAAAGTTAAAATAAAAGAATCTTTCTTGGGCTTCTTTTTTATTTCTGGGAAGATTGGATCTGAACTGATAAGAGAGACCAATGGACAGTGATGGATGGGAAATAATAAATTTGGCAGGGATTCATAAAAATTCTGATTCACTATAAATTTCAGAAACTTTGATACTGTGTTTCTTTTAGCAGCTTTTGAATGTTTCCAGAGTTGAAAAATTCCACTAAATATCTTCACCAGAAAATTCTCCATAAATTTATGTTACAGTTAGTAAAATCTTCTGGAGTATTTCATTTGGATAAATCAGAGAAAATGGTTGAAATATAGCAAACTGACATGATTTGACCCATTACTTTAGAACCAGTGTCTGATTCTTAGTGACACAAATTGGGCATTGAAACATGACTCTTTTCATTAGATTTTTTTGTTTTGTAAGCTTTAGTATATTGATGTTGTTTTTCAATGGTAAAAGTACCCTAATCCAAGCCTCTTTAAAAAATTCAAAATAACTTTGAACCAGCTGCTGGTTTTACAACTACCTTGCAAACAACTACAGATTTTCACCAAGTTTCTGCAAGACTAAAAAATAAATAAATAAATAAATGTTTATTCAACATTCTTTGTATCCTTTTAAATTTGAACTTTGAGCTTTTGATTACATTGAAATAATAATAGTTGTGTGAATATTGTCTAGTAACAGATAAGTAAATTTTTATAAAATCAAACATTTGAAAAGTCACAATTTAAGCAACTACTAAGTCATACTATTTATGTAACATTCTATTCTCTTGATTTGTTCATTAGTTTTAAAACAATTGAAAAATTTTAAAAATACGTTCTATTTTAAAGATATATTTAAAATTTGGTAAAATAGTTTATGAGCTAAAACTTTCCACACAATTGATATAACCTACTTAGGATTTGCCAGCAATACTCTTGCCATCAATACTCTTGCCTCAAAAATGCTAGAATTTATTTCAAGGAAAATAAGCACAACATGTGCCTTACAATGCATTTTGAATAGCCTATGAATATACTCAGTCTAACCACAGACTATTTGTCTATTCCCTGATGACTGATATTTCAACTCAGTGTGTAAGACAGTCTTCACAAACTATCCTACATCCTAGCAAATATTTTCCGAAAAGCTTGTCAAAACAAAAATACTCTGGACTTATCTATTACCACTTATATATATCAATATTGTCTGCTCATATCAATAGTATTCTACTTTGGCTGACTTTTCATAGTCCACAATGTTATGTTTTTTTTTTAATTAATTCCATCTCTCATTCAACAAACATATATTAAATACTTTCTAAATGCCAGTAAGGTGCTGAGAATACAAAGATAAAAAGTGTAATTCCTTCCTTCAATAAGGTATTATCTGCACAGAAAGGCAAACAAATAAATAATAAATTTCGGTAGATGCCAAGACAGAGGTTCCTTAAGGGACTAGAGAGAATCTATTAGAACATTTACCCTGAAGGCTTAGAGATTTGAAGGATGGTAGTTAAGACTTGAAAAGTTTTAACTAAGACAAAATAAAATTATTTTTTGCTTTAGAAAAATTACTCTGGCTTCAAAATTAAAGGTAGAAAGGCCAGTTAATAATCCCAATTTGGGGCCAGGTGTGATGGCTCATGCCTGTAATCCCAGCACTTTGGGAGGCTGATGGGGGCGGATCATGAGGCCAGGAGTTCAAAACCAGCCTGGCCAACATGTTTTCATCTTGTTAAAAGAGGGAATAGGAAATGTATAAATATGGCAGATGGGCAGAAACGGCTGTCAAACTGGTGCCCACTAAATATCAGATTAGTTACCCCTACAGAAGGTGGAACCATGGCTTATTCATCTTTGTTTGCCAGACCATGACATTAAGCACTGACTTAAAAACATGTTTTTTGGACCAAACATAAGGTAGTATTTCTGAAAATGGAAACTCGAAGCAAAAATTCTGAATTATTTGTGTATTCTTTCCCTCAAAATACAAAGTAGACAAATAATGTAGGAAAATATATTTTTTATTAATTTCCTAAACCAGCTGGATTCATACTTTTTTTTTTTTGACTCAATGAGCGACACTAAATAATGGAACAATAACTATAAGTTGGCAACTTAAAAAAGTCAATATCCAGAAAACCCACAACCTTCAGAATTGGCCCATTAATTTAGAGCTGGCACCTTTTATTCAACAAACACGTAATAAGGTCCTTACTGTTCATTGGACACTAAGAATAAAAAAGAGTAAGAATTCCTACTTTAGAGAACACTGTTTTAAAGAAATATAATGACTTTGAACATGATCACTGTTTTTCTTTCCTAAGTTCCTAACCCTTCTCCTATTCTGGGTATTCTTTTAGTCTCTTTAGGCTTCACATCAAAAGAGGGGATTGAAAAAACAGGCTGCTATGGGGTTAGAGAGATCTGACATGAGGGTCAGCACCTGCCTTGTATAATAATAAGTACCCCCACTGCTGATGTGTACCTAGTGAGGACACGGAGGAAGTAGAACATAGCGTATGTATTGAATGACAAACCTGTGGCTCCATCAGGCTCCTTTCCAGAACTTCCCCTGTCTGGAAGGAGAGAGCTGGAGGAATCAGGAGGAGTGAAGCATAGAGGGGTTCAGGTGGTTTATTTGGCAAATCTTTCAGAATTATTTTAGATAACTATAGTGTCTAAGCACCACCTGGATACTTCCATGGTCTCTGTAGCATGAATGACTCTCCAAAGAAGGCTCCTGTGCCAGTTTGCTTCAGTTTTTGAGGCTATAGGTTCCTTGTCACATTAAATTTGGATAGGTTGGATGGGTGCAGTGGAGTTGGGGAGAAAAATGCCTATAGCTGCCATGGTGATGGTGACTGTGATCTGGCTAAAGCTAGCATTACGGAGTTTGGAGAGAATTATTCTAATACCTGACTCGCACAGATTTGGGATGTAAATTATCTAGTGTATAGATTACAATAGCAAATGCCTGGCATATAATAAGTATTCAAGAAAGCTATGACAATTATTACTATCATCTTCATCATCATCTTTGTCATTGTCATCACCTTCAAGAAGGACAATATTCCAATTGCCAGTCCCAATTATTCCCAGCTGAATCTAGAAATTCTTGGTTTTCTAATTTTCCAGGTAAGATTATGCAAACAAGAGAACTGCAACAGCATTTACTAATGACTAATGAAGGTTGTAAATAATAAGTAGCAGCTCCTTCCATCACTGCCACCCAACAATCTATACTAGCCTAGGACAAAGTCATGACAAACCACGTCTTGTGGGCATGGCAGCCATCTTGCTCTGAAGTGGATTCATCCAAAGGTACACCCTGGTTGCTGTTTTAATTTTTATTTTTAAGCCTGTAGCATTAGGGATATTTGAAGCAATAAGCTAATTTACCCTCAAAAGGAAAAATCAAATAGTGGATAGACACTGGGTGGATCAGGATGTTGAGAAATAGTCACCACAAGGAGAAATGCTTTGACTTAGACATTTCTAAATAATTATTCTCCTAAGTTTAACAGTTTTCTCTCTCTTTACCTCCCACCCAAGTTGAAATAAGGATTCTATTGCCAAGCAAAGTTTGAGTATTATGAAATAAAGCGCCCCGAATCTGATGATGCTTTATTTCATTTTCTTTGAAAAACAATATGGCTCTGCAAACAGATCCTGTACAATTTTCCTGTGGGATGCATTGAAATCCAAAGTAAGGACACCTTTATGCAAACCTATGAAAATACATTTAAGTAAAATGGAAGACTCAGAGAATGAGACAACCCAGAACTGAGTCAGTTATAATGTTAGAGTTCTCACTACAGATTCAGTATTATAAAACTTCCATATTGTTTCATTGCATTTTTATATTGACAACTAATTTATTTTTTACTCTCAATGTTCTGTGATATAACAGGAATGTAAGGTATTATATCTATACTACAGCAGATGCACAAAAAAGTCATGAAAAGTCACATATTTATTAGACCCAAAGAGCTTTATTTGCTTCTCAGTTATTTACTGACACCTAATAATTATCAACAGCTATGCAAGTACCAGGACAACAGAGATGAGGGAGGGATCAGCTTTGTGCATTTGAGTGGCCACTCCAACATGTTTATTAGAACTCAAAATTCTAAATCTGGTTTGTACATCCATCATTTCAAGCAAGTTATTGCAAAGGAGGCCTGAGAGTCTCAATATAGTTTCAAACATCTGTGCATACTAAACAGTTCTCCAATAGTCTCAATTCTTTTTTAACACCTGTTAGGGAACACTGGTCCAACTTTATGAGCATGAGATCACCTTAGCATTTTCCACTTATAATTTAGAATAAAGGGCCTGTCAACCCTGGGTGGGAATTGACCTCACAATTTAGTGGGGTGTTTTTTTTTCTTTTTTTTTGGGTGGCCACCTGCATTTGAAATCATTTATCTTCATCAAGTTTAATAAGCTAAGAGAAGGGGGCAATCCATTAATGGAACTAAAAATTTTTCTCCTCCAAAAGACCTTGTTAAGAAAACAAAGTGATCTTAAAACACATATACACACCCAGGTGGAAGCAAAGTTTGGCACAACATAAAAATAATAAAGCTGGAAACATTTTTCTTCAAACTCCACTGCTTATTAAATATTTTAAATAAATCTAATGAAAATAGTTCAGGTCCTGTTGTGGGGTGGGGGGCATGGGGGAGGGATAGCATTAGGAGATATACCTAATGTAAATGACAAGTTGATGGGTGCAGCACACCAACATGGCACATGTATATATATGTAACAAACCTGCACGTTGTGCACTTGTACCGTAAACTTAAAGTATAATTTTAAAAAAAAAGGAAACTAGTTCAGGTGTGACTTTGTGACTGAACCACAAGACTGTTTCTTAAATTTAAAACACAAACTATTTCAAGATATTTTTAAACCACACTTTTTGTCTCAAAAGTGAGCATAAAAAAGAATCAAAAAGGTTAGATTTTACTTTTTTAAGAAATTATATTTTTAACTTATATACAGAAAAATTCACTCTTTTTGATATATATTTCTACAAACTTAAAAATGCAAAGATTCATGTATTTATCAACACAGATAAGATCCAGAGCAGTTTCATCAACCTGGCGTCTCTCTCAGGTTGACCTTTGTAGTCCACCACTTCTCCCTCCTTCAACCCCTGGAAACCACCATACTTTAACCTTTTTTTAAAAAAAAATGAAATATACATGCAATGACATAGTATGTAGCTTTTGTGTATAGCTTCTTTCACATGGTATAATTTATTTGTGGTTTGTCCATGTTGTGTCAGTAGTATATTCCTTTGTACTGTTTAGTAGCATTCCCTTGTATTCACATACACAGTTTGTTTATCCATTTTCTAGTTGAAAGTTATCTGGGTTATTTCTAGCTTGGTGAAAATTATTAAGAAAGCTCCTATAACTACTTGCACACAGATTTTTGTGTGAAATACATTTTCAGTTCTCTTGGGTAAATTCCTAAAAGTAAGATTGTTAGGTCATATGTTAAGTGTATGTTTAACTCGATAAGATACTGCCAAACTATTTTACAAAGTGGCTATCCCACTTTTATTTCATCCAGGAATCTATGAAAATTTCCTATTCTCTGCATTTTTACCAGCACTTGGTATTGTCATATTTTTGTTTTGCTTTGTGTTTTAATTTTAGGAACTATATCTTTGTAGTGGTAGCTTTTGTTTTAATCAAAAGTTTTTCTATAACAACTATCACTGTACATATGAGTTACCAAAAGTGACTGAGACTCTTAACTTGGAACTTAATCTTGGCCCTTCCCTAATACACCTTACCTGCTACAATAACTGAGAACCTCAGGTATTTTTATGCATTTTTGCCTAAGGAATTAAATAATAACTCAACAGCTGAAGCAGAAAAACCTAAGGAATAAACTAAAGTAAATGACACCTAAGGCAGAAAATTACCTGAAAGAAATCCAACAGCTCAATAGCATATACTATCTGAAACACAAGTATTGGAACAAACCAACCAAAACTTTAAAACAACAAAAACAAGTGTATTGAAAGAAATAAAAGAAAGTATTAGCGATATGAGAAAAACAAGTGACTATAAAAATGAACAAAGAGGAAATGTTAGTTATCCCACATATAATGGTTGAAATAAAGTCCACAATAGGTGGGGTAAAGACTAAGATGGATATAGCTGAAGAAGGAATCAGTGAGTTGGAAAGACAAAATGGAGATAATAATGTAATTCTTGTTATCAGGATTAGAGATAGTATATTATAGGGCCAACTCAGGCTCTATCATATACTTAATACATGGTAAATATTTAGAGTTGGCACTTAATACATGATAAATATTTATTTTCCCACCATAAATTCTAGACACCCTTTTGACTGTGTTATGGAGAGTAAATGTTTTCAAATGATCTAAAAACTGACTTCATAACTTTAGCTAAAGATGGGTACAGTTGAGTAACACCTTTCCTTGTGTTTACTTTCCTCTTTAATTCTTGCTTTCTTTTCCAAGTCTTATCAATATATGCTACCCACATATTTGTGTCTCTGTAGCGGTGTGGAATATAGAAAGGCAGGAGCTCAGAAGTCTCTGAAATCAGTTCATGGGTTAAAACCCATGAACTTTGGTAAGTACATTGACCTCCTTAACTCTCAGTTTCCTCATCTGTTAAAAAAAAAAAAAAAAGAAAAAAGCATATTACCCTACCCACCTCATAGAATTCTTCAAGATAATTAAATTGGATAATGAAGACCAAATATCTAGCACAAGGCCTGACACATGATAGGTATTAAATAATCGACTCTTCCATACTCTTCAAAACACAACATTCTCAACCCCTGATCTTGAAATTTTTGTTTGAAAACACTGATTTCACAATTAGAGATAAGTACAAGTCAAATGCACTTGAGGTAGATTATGCTTGGGATAAGCAACCATTAACAAACTTATTCTCAGGCATAATTTATTGATATAAACCTCTTTCCAGAAAATAAGGATTTATTAAAAGAAAAGGAGAGTGAAAGGAGAGTGAAATGAGAGTACTGGATGGCTGAGGTATGAAAAGAATAAATAGAGGAGGATATATATAGAAAAAGAAAAGAGTCGGGTCCAAAAAAATAAGCTTTACTTATTTCAACTCTCTATTTGAGAATGGTTATATGTCTCAGAGTCTGGCTTATAATATCATTCTTCTGGAATCTTGGCCTTTAGCAGGCAGCATACTATGTTTATCAACCATATTATAAAAGACTCTGCACTCTATGACAAGGCTTTTCTGCTACTCCCAATAATAAACACAGGCTTTATTCTGAATTACATCCTATGACAAGTTGTGTTATGCTCAAACTTTATTGTGATGCATGAAACCTTTCCCTTTCCAAACTATAGTCCAAGTCCCTTTGGAGCCAATCAATGCAATTCCTGGCCCAGGTATCAAATGACAAGGAGAAAATTTTGAGTACTCAGCTTTTGATAATTTAAGCATTCACTGTCAGTCAATCCATGTGAGTTTCATATGCAGATTTATCTTGGAGAGATGTGAATCTGGTCGTGACACGTATGTATTCTGTGAATTTCATAACAATAGCCTGCCCATTGACCACTTGCAAATCCAGTATCACCAGCACTGCCCATTGATCACTTGCAAATCCAGTATCACCAGCACTGCCCCAGCCCCCTCATAAATGTGAAATGCTACCAAAAAAGCCATCCTTTTTTCCACGTGTACTAATCATTACATTTATTGAATTTTAAGTAATACCTAAAGATAACATTGATATTACTCTCAAGATATAGCTTTCAAGATCAGAGCAGTGGAAATCTTAGTGGAATATTTTGGAGGTTTGTTCCCTCCTCTGAATCTCCATATGCACATGTCTTTCTTTTCTCAGTTAACTGTTCTATGTATAGAAAATTCATTTCTATTATGTTAGAAGTGCTTTTAGAAAAATAAATAAATAATTGTCTGGTACAAATTTGGTCAATGTTTTTATGTGTTTCTGGAAGATAGAAAGTACCTTCAATCCATTTTATTTATTCAATGCCCAGTATGTTTCAGGCTTCGTATTAAGTGTCAAAGATCCCATGACAAGACAGCTCCCCTGCTTGCTGGGAGGACGTGGTGAGGACAGGGTACATCTGAAACCTCTGGTGTGTCTGGCAGAGTTGCAAACGACTAGATTCCATCCAAGATCAAATGAATCAGAATCTGTGGTGAGTGTCCTGGGAATTATACCACATAAACTTTTGTGGGTTAGAGATTGTGTCTTGTTCTTCATTTTATTCCCAGTAGTAAGCACAAATCCTGAAACAGAGCAGACACTTAATACCTATTTGCTAAATTGAATCATTTTACAAATATGTGAGTGTCTTCTATGGATCAGACATTATCCTAGGCGCTTGTATCAAGGAAGAAAATAGACAAAAATCTCCATGTTCCACGAAGTTTGGAAGAGAGAGGGAAAGACAATCTAAACATAATAATGAAATAAACTGCACAGTGTGCTAAAGGCTGATATGCTACAGGGGATAAAAGTAGAGCAGGGTAAGGGAAAATAGGGAAAATCAAGAAGGTGGGTGATGAAAGAAGGAAATCAGCAGTATTAATTGAGGTGCCAGAATAGGTGTCCTTGAGAAGGTGACATTTGAGCAAGGACTCAAAGAAGGTAAGGAAGTCAGCCTAAAAGACACCTGGGGGAGAAAAACCCCAGGAAGAGAAAACAACTAGCACAAAAGAAGTAAGTCAGGAGTGTGCCTGGCACATCTGAGTGACAGCAAATAACCTCCTGGGCCTGGATCAGAGTGAACAAGGGAGAGAGAAGCAGAAGAGATAAGGGACAGGTCATGTGTAACCTCATAGGCCAATGTAAGGACTTTAAATTAAATGAGAGAATGTGTTAATGATTGAATGAGTTAACAAATGAAGTTTCTACCATGTCTTGTGGTAAGTACTACATAAAGAAATTCAGATGGTGCTCAGAGGAGAGCTTATAGTCAGCATTCAAATATTGTTTTAATATTAGATATTATCTTTTTGCAATTAAAAAGTGCATTTTACCATCATCCATCTTGCCAATGGCTAGTGAAAATTAAATATGATTCTAATAAGAGCAGCACTTCTTCTGTTTTCTTTTTTCTTAATAAGTGCACTATTTTTAAAGGTAATCAACTCCTCCTATTCTTGGTTTGCTTACAAATAACTAACTAACATGGCAGAAGTAGGATAAAAGCCTTATCTTCTGTCTTTGAGCCAAGAGTTTCTTCCATTATCTCATATTGTCTGAAGATATCCAGAATGTCTGACAAATCAGTTTTATGATTCCAAGGGCCATAAAGAACAGTGGTGAAATGACTACCCTAACACTGACACTCTGTACCAAGTAAAAATATTTTTTTAACCATACATAGTCTGCAGTGCATCCATGTTTTCTAAGGCTCCAGTACAAATTGTTCCAGTAGTATCAGATATTATTCTGCAGAAAGTTCAGTCACATCCATGAATATTTCACACATTTTGATAAAATTATATAGATTCCTTTGCCATAGAAAAACTACAGTTTTCTAAACAAATAACCAAATAAAACTAACAAACAAAAGCAGGAACCACAGACAAAAGAAATAAATGAAAACAGAGTTAAGTTTCAAGCACATGATAGGTAGCAAACCAGAAGAGAGAAAGTAGAGGAAAAGTTATATTTCAGCCTATTGTTTTACATGAAATCATCAAACTGATTTCAGAATCTCTAAATTTTTTCAAACTGTATGTAGTGATGGGATATAACACTTTATGGTAATTTAATTATATTAGATTTATTAAAGATACATTGAACCTGCCATGCATATATAATAGAACCATAGTTTTACATTTGACATGAATATACTGCTGTATTGATTGCTTTCCCAAGATGGCCAAATAGGAACAGTTCCGGTCTGTAGCTCCAAGCTTGATAGATGCAGAAGACAGTTGATTTCTGCATTTCCAACTGAGGTACATGGTTCATCTCATTGAGACTGGTCGGAAGGTGGGTGCAGCCCATGGAGGGTGAGCCAAAGCAGGGCGGGGCATTGCCTCACCTGGAAAGTGCAAGGGGTTGGGGGATTTCCCTTTCCTAGCCAAGGGAAGCCATGACAGACTGTACCGGGAAAATCGGGACACTGCCACCTAAACACTGCAGTTTTCCAACAGTCTTAGCAAATGGCACACCAGGAGATTATATCCCATGCCTGGCTCAGCAGGTCCCATGCCCATGGAGCCTTTCACACTGCTAGTCTG